>NC_000013.11:54658106-55908106 GCF_000001405.40 Homo sapiens | reverse complement strand
ATTAATATCTTACAGTTTTCAGCACGTATATATTACCCGTGCTTCGTTAGATTTGTTATAAGAAGTGATTCACATTGGTCTATTAGTTGACTTTTTTTATGGTCAATGTTACTAGTCTGTCAGCTAACTATAATAAACACTTGTGCTAAAAAATTCCAATATAAGAATAATATAAGAATTTTTGGCTAGTTTGGAAAAAATAATAATTAACGTTTATTCAGTGCTTATGATGTACCAGGTCATTTTGAAACAATTTATAAAAATTCATAATGCCAAAATTCATGTAAAATAAAGATTCTCATCATTCTCACTTTACAGAAGAATAAGTTGAGGTGGGTTCTTATATATTGTTTGAAATGCTGAGGCCAATTTACTGTGTGATAAGAAAAACACCTTTCAAATTAAACAAGTGCTTAGTGAATGGAGACTAAACCAGTAAAGCATAACATACACACAAGCACACACACACATATAAAAATATATATGTATGTGTATATATATACACATATACACATGTGTATTTATGTATTTGTGTATATGTACATACATATATACATGTATACATATACACAAATACTTATGCATGCAGAAACACATTAAAATCACTGTCAAAGAAGGATAAAAACAGATGAATTAGACTTCCTTAAAATTAGAACTGTTGTTCCTCAAAAACCTCCACTTTAAAGGATAATGAAAATTCAAATCACACTGGAATAATTTACCATAAATAAACATGACCAAGCATTTGTATCCAGCCTTCTAATACAAGTAGATATATATATACACAATATGCTTATGAAAAATTGGCCAGTATTTTATCATAAAGCCAACACAAATGTATGTTAAAATCAGAATAAGATACCTCTACCCACCCACCATAATGGCTAAAACTAAAAAAATGGATAATAGCAAGTCTTGGTGGGAAGGTGAAACAACTGGAGCATTCATACATTGCTGGGATAAACATAAAATTGCACAATTTGGAAAGGTGTTTGATAGTTTATTGTAAATATATAGAAATACATGCCATATGCTTTAGCAATTCCACTAATATTTAATCAAGATAAATAAAAACATATGCTAGCAAAAAAGTACAAGATAGATCATAGTAGCTGTATTAGTCCATTTTCAGGCTGGTGATAATGATGTACCCAAGACTGGGCAATTTACAAAAGCAAGACGTCTATTGGACTTACAGTTCCATGTGTCTGGGGAGGGCTCACAATCATGGCAGAAGGTGAAAGCCACCTTCTCATGGTGGCAGACATGAGAATAGAGCTTGTGCAGGAAAACTCCCCATTTTAAAATCATCAGATCTCATGAAACTTATTCACTATCATGAGAATAGCATGGGAAAGACCTGCCCCCATGATTCAATCACTGCCCACCAGGTACCTCTCACAACATGTGGGAATTCAAGATGAGATTTGGGTGGGGGCACTGCCAAACCATGTCAGTAGCTTTACTATTAACAGCTACAAATTTAAAACAATCTAAATATCTATAAACAATAGAGTAAATGAACACATTTTATTATACACAGAAAATGGAATATTACAAAGACATTCAAATTTGAAAAAACAACTACTGATATAACATTGATATGAATTAATCCCTGAAATAGTATATAAATATACAACTACAATTTGATTTATAGGATTTAAAAAAATAGGTAACTAATCTAATGTGATATAAATCAAATCGGTATTTTTTTCTGAAAGGAGAAATGGAAAATTGGCTTCCAGGAGCTTTTTGGGTGATGGAAATGTTCAATATAATGAGTGTGATAGTTTTTAAACATGTTCGTCAAAATCCATAAATTTTTACAGTTAAAATGCTTCTACCATAAGCAATTTATATTTCAAAGAATTGTTTCTTTTAAAAAAAATGTTAGAAGTAAACCCAGAGTGCAATAGAATAAGAACCTAATATTACAGTTGTTATGCAAGCTCAGAAATCAATTGGCTTAATGTAGAAATAAAAATCAGAGGTTCCTAGAAAAAAGTCTTCACAGAAAAAATGAAGAAAAAACAGCATTACAATTAATATGTGATTATGAATGCGAAAGCATGCCCATGGATTGTTATGTCCCTTTAATTAAGCAAGAATATAGAAAATAAATTATAACTCTTTCAACAAAAATATCACTAAATCTAAACAAAGTTGAAAATAATAGGTTTTGAAAAAGTTTTGGTATTTTTGACATTGAAAAGTAATTTATTGTCATGTTATAGATACTTCTATAACACATATCTGTAATAATAAGCTAATCCCAAGGGCTCTAATATATGCTATTTATAAAATTGGTTTTCCTATTTAAGTAGGTCTTCTACATTTGTATGGCAAATTTTTCTGTTTTATTTTTTGTTATTAAGAAGTAATTCTGAGAGAACATGCATGATTAAATATATTATTTCTTTGTAGATTTAAAGAAGAATTTTTTTTTAACAATTGAAGTTGTCTTCTGATTTTTATAAGGAGGTTGAATAAGTCTTAGTAAACGCAAAGTCAGAATTTTTCATAACATTTAGTTTAACAACCCACATAGATATTCTCATTTTTTAAAAAACTTTAGAAGAATCATTTTCAGGATAGAATATATTCTTTTGAAGAAAGTTATCTGAATTTCAGAAACTCCTTTTCTTCACTTTCTATATTTGTGTCTATTATGTATGCTTTTTGCTTTCAAATTGCAAAGCAAGTAATTTTTCTTTAAAGTGTCAAGAATAATGCTTTTTACATATATAAAACATTTTACTTGTAAATACAAGAATGCCATTAAAATTTTAGGAAGGCCTACATATATGTATATATAATTTTCAGGAAATCACTTATGCAAAAGCCTTCACGGTTCAATATAAAATATTCTATATGAAAAAGTGCAGAAATGAGCACTAATAATAATAATCAAAATAAAATAATAAATAAGTGTTTTGCCTATTTGGAGCTTACAGATATATGCAGAAACTCTCAGTACACCATTTCTGTCACTAAAGAAGAGTTGCAATTATAAGATTTTTAAAAAATAATTTATTTTTAGAGTTAATGTTAAAGTGGATATACCTTTTTCCTAATTTAAGGATTCATAACATAAGTTTTAGTACTGAAAGAAGGTAATAAATTTCATTGAATATTTACAGACAAAGGAAAACACTTAAAGTTAGGATTGTTGATGTATAATGTCAAGAAAAAGAGGAGAAAGCATGGTAAGGTGCAAAAAATGGTCTTTTTAGAAAAAACAAATTTCTGAAGGCTGCATGAACTATGTAAATTTACACTCTGTTGCTGAAATTCTTAATGTTACATTATCTTTTGGGTTTTTTCATGAAATTAATGTATATGTGTTTATAAATATACTTGAATATGCATATGTTTGTGTGTTTATATTTGCATATATTGTTTATTTTCTATCTTTATCTTGCATTGGTCTCTATAAACCAACTCTATAGTTTTCCAAATCAAATTTTATTTTATTTTGTTTTAAAAAGAAGCAAGTTGATACAGCTACAGCATCATCAGTTTTTAAATACATTTTTCAAAGTGGCTTACAAGAGTTGAATGCATTTGAAGAACAGACGGGAGAGGAGGCAGTTAGAGACTTGTTAAATATATAGAGAGGGATGGTCTTGGGAGGAGAGCAATGTTCACAGGAATACCCGCGGGACAGCACCTACATCTCCTCTGCAGCTAACAGGAAAAAACTTGGTTAAGAACTTCCCTTATGCCAGGATGTTGCTCAGAAGGGACTGTCCCAACTTAGGTGTGGGTGCAAGAAATCACCTAAATGTCCTGAACTTGACCCAGCTCATTATAATGTCATTAATAAGACATTATATTGTGGCTTTAGTTCCCCTGTGGGTTTCACTTAGGTACTCATGGAAAATAATCAAGATGGAGTCACTCTGGCCAACCCCAGACATTTGCAGGTGCAAGACCCTTAGGAGGGAAGTTTACCATCCCATTCTGGGCAGAACCCACGGAAGCCTTCCTTTCTCTTGTCAAATAAAAGACCAAGAACTCAGCACTATTTCTGGCAACCTGCTTTCAAGACCCCTCTGTTTGCCGAGCACCTTCCTTCTGCTTAATAAATCCTACTCTACTCACTTTCTGGTGTCTGTGTGCCTTATTCTTCTTGGCCATGGGACAAGAACTTGGATCTAGCTGAACTAGGGACTAGGCAGACGTCAATATAGAGTTAAAAGTTCTGTAAGATGTAAAATTTCCTGTCTAAATTATTGAGGCTGAAAATATTTTGGAAGTTTACAGATATTTGTGTTAGGTTTATGTAGGGGAATAGCATGTAGAAGTGAAAATCGTTCTTTAATGATATCTGCAGTTTATCCCAAATGAATAGAAATAATAAGATTTAAAAAACATTAAGCAAACTATTGTAGTAAATTATTAAGTCAAATAGTAAATAGAAAGTGTAAAAAAAAATAGGTAAACAAATGTTCTTACTCATCTTCAATAGGCTGCTTACTCACTAGTATCTATTGGTACAATGAGAGAAAAGAAGCTTATTGCAAACTCCAATAAATGTGTGTAGACTACAGACTAGAAAACAAATGTGGCCAAATACAAATGCAGAAGGTAAACATACAACAGTCTCCAGTATGTCAGTGTTGAAGGCGTGAAGTTAATGAGATATAAAATTAAAAGTTACATACTGAAAACATTTCCAAAAAATCGAAATGAAATGTGATGTAAAAATTACAAATAGCTATAAAATTGGGTACCTTCAGGTATTTCTGATAGGGCTTTATACTAAATCTCTAATTCACTTTCATGCTTAGAGGAAAGTTTTATGCTTAAATTCTATTCCTAAGAACATAGTAATTAGTCAGCATTCAATACTAGTCTAATGAATGAATGAATAGATGAATGAATGAATAAAATTAACATTAACACATTCAGTCATCTGTACTTCTAATACTCACTGAGGGTTCCTTCTTGTTATGCAGATGATTTCTCTATTCTCATATTCACACTACTGCCTCCTTACCCTTCAGCTGTCGGCTTGGAAATCATATTCTCTACATCAATTTATCAATAATACTCCCAGGCTGGGTAACGTGACTCCAATGTGATTCTACAGTATTCCTCATGCTGTTTTGTTATCCTATCCTATCTGTACCTTGTACTAGCATTTGATGTTAGGGATAACCAGGCCTTGTTAGTCTTTGAACATATGTCCTTAAACAATAAGTGGCACATAGAAGGGTTTCAAAAAATATTAGCTGAATGAAGACTTTAAAACACAAATTTGGAAAGATAAGCATGGAACAGAGGCATGAGAGGAGATAATGGTGTCTGTGAGATAGAAAACAGTAGATACCCATGTAGTTGGCAAATAATGAAGCCCATGAAAGCCAGGCTGATAATGTTTATGGTGGAGGATGACAAATGATTTAGTGATGAGAGGTGATAATCTAAGTATCAAGAAATGTTATTTAGATTAGAATTTTGGAATTAGAAATTACAGGAATGATAGTACTTCAGGCACTTTTTGAAATAAGGACATTATTACTATCCACAGGTTAAATGTTGGTGATAAGGAAAGAGAGAGGAGATAAATTTTAGTTAAAATATCTGTAATTAATTATGGTTAAAAAATTTTGGACTCTACTTTTAACTGGTTGAATAATAAACATCGAAGGCCACCCCTTCAAAAACAAAAACCATTCAAAACCACAAAGATTACCGAAAGTTTGACTCTCTTTATTTGTCTCATTTTTCCTTTCATAGTTTTTATTATTTCAGTAGTTCATGGGGTGCAGCTGGTTTTTGGTTACATGGGTGAATTGCCTGTTAGTGAAATCTGAGATTTCAGTAAACCCATCACTCCACTAGCGTATATTATTCATTTTAAATCCTTCATTTCCCTCCCATCCTCCTCCTTCTGGGTCTCCAATGTCCATGATAACAGGCTGGATGTCTTTGTGTACTCATAGCTTACTTCCCACTTTTAAATGTGAATATATGTTATTTGGGTTTTCATTCCTGAGTTAATTCACTTAAAATAATGGCCTCCAGTTTCATCCAAGTTGCTGCAAAAATTATTTCATTTTCTTTTTTTATGGCTGAGTATTATTCCACGATGTATATGTACAACATTTTCTGTATCCACTCACTGATCGATGGGCACTTAGGTTGGTTCCACATCTTTGCAATTGTGAATTGTGCTGCAATAACAAAATGACTGCAGGTGTCTTTTTTAGGTAATGAATTCTTTTCCTTTGGGTCAATACCCAGTAGTGGAATTGATGGATTGAATGGTAGATCTGCTTTTCGCTCTTTGGAAATCTCCCTACTGTTTTCCACTGAGGTTGAAGTAATTTACATTCCCACCAGCAATGCATAAGAATTCCCTTTTCACCATGTCCACAGCCACATCTTTTTTTTTTTTTAATTTCTCATAATGACCATTTTGGCTGGGGTTAGGTGGTATCACACTGTGGTTTTTATTTGCATTTGCTTGACCATCAGGGGTTTTGAACATTGTTTCATGTTTATTGGCTATTTGTATATCTTCTTTTGAAAAGGCCGGGCGCAGTAGCTCACGCCTGTAATCCCAGCACTCTGGGATGCCGAGGTGGGCGGATCACCTGAGGTCAGGAGTTTGAGACTAGCCTGGCCAACCTGGAGAAATACCGTCTCTACTAAAAATACAAAAATTAGCCAGGTGTGGTGGTGCGTGCCTGTAATCCCAGCTACTTGGGAGACTGAGATAAGGGAATCGCTTGAACCCAGGAGGCAGAGGTTGCAGTGAGCTGAGATCACGCCATTGCACTCCAGCCTGTGCAACAAGAGGAACAAGAGCGAAACTCCATCTCAAAGAAAAAAAGAAAGAAAAGAAAAGTAAGAAAAGTGTCTATTCATGTAATTTGCCCACTTTTTGATGTGATTATTTGTGTTTTTTTAATTAATTTTTTTTTGTCTTGCTGATTTGTTTGAGCTTCCGGTCTACTCTGGTTATTTGTCCTTTGTCAGATGTATAGTATTCAAATATTTTTTCGCCCATTCTGTATTTTCTTTTCCTGTGTTGACTATTTATTGTGCTGGGCAGAAGCTTTTTAGTTTAATTAGGTCCCGTTTATTTATTTTTGTTTTTTTTGCATTTACTTTTAGGGTTTTAGTCAGAAATTTCTGTGCCTAGGTTAATGTCCAGGAGAGATTTTCTTAGGTTTCTTTCTAGAATTTTTATGGTTTCAAGTCTTAGATTTAAGTCTTTAATTCATCTTGAGTTGATTTTTTTTCAATGGTGAGAGATAAGGATCCAGTTTCACTCTTTTACATGTAGCTATCCAGTTTTCCCAGCACCATTTATTAAATAGGTTGTCTATTCCCCAATTTATGTTTTTGTATGCTTTGACAAAAATCTGTTGGATATATTTGGCTTTATTTCTAGGTTCTCTATTCTAGTCCATTGGTCTATGTACCTACTGCTCCAGCACATTTCTATCTTGGTTACTATAGCCTTGCAGTATAATGTGAAGTTAGGTAACATGATGCCTCCAGATTTGCTCTATTTGCTTAGGATTGTTTTGGCTCCTTAGGCTCTTTTTCAGTTCCATATGAATTTTAAGATTGTTTTTTCTCATTCTCTGAAATATGATGTTGATAGTTTAATAAGAATTATAATTAATCTATAAATTGCTTTGGGCAGTATAGTCATTTTCATGATATTCATTCTTCCAATCCATGAGAATGGGATATGTTTCCACTTGTGTCATCTGTGATCTCTTTCAGGCAGCATTTTGTAGTTCTCCTTGTTAGAGATATTTTATCCCCTTTGTTAAGTTACATTCCTAGGTATTTTTTATTTTTATTTTTTGCAGCTATTGTTAAAGGAATTGAATTATTGATTTGGTTCTCAGCTTGGTTACTGTTGGTGTATAGCAGTGCTCCTGATTTGTGTAAATTGATTTTGTAGCCTGAGAGTTTACTGAATTCATTTATCAAATCTGCGAGTCTTTTGGAGGAGTTTTTAGGGTTTTCTAGGTAAATAATCACATCATCAGCAAGAAGACATTTTTTGACTTTCTCTTTTCCAATTTGGAAGACCTTTATTTATTTCTCTTTCCTAATTTCTCTGGGTAGGACTTCTAGTACTGTGTTGAATGGAAGTGATGAAAGTGGGCAGCCTTGTCTTGTTTCTATTCTTAGGGAGAAAGTTTTCAACTTTTCCCCATTCAATATGATGCTGGTTGTGTGTTTGTCATATATACCTTTTATTATTTTGTTGACTCTCTTTTAATATTATTGTTATCTTCTTAGTAATGCTGATCTATGACTAGCATCAGCTATGATTCTGAGAAGATATGTATGAGAAGGTATATTAAAAAGTACCAAATATGATTCTAGACTGGAAGAATGATGTTAGTGAGCATAAAAATGGTGAATTTAAAGCAAAACAGATAAGGAACAATTGCATCGACATTCTCAACAAACCTTTATTTTACTATTTAAATTATCTTAATGTTTTATAGATACTACTGGTTTTACTTATGTGATATTTTCCCACTTTCCATTTACAATTTGGTTTACTCAATAATTTTTTTAATCTCATAATGCCTATTAACTTGGAATAAACTATGGACATCATTATGAAAAATTTCTACTCCTACTTGCCATTGCCCTATGTGAACCTAACACAAATCTCTGTAGAAACCACCCCCGCAAAAAAATCCCAGTGACAATAATTTAGATACATTTTTTTAGATTGCTTAGAAGCAGTTACCTCTATTCTTCAAACACATTTAATTGTTATAAGCCATTTTGAGAAATCTATTAAAAAACTGATGACAGTGTTGGTATATCAACCTGCTTATCTTTTTTGAAAATGTGACTTGGCAAACTTTATAGGTTGGTGTATAGAGATTGATGCAAGGTAATAAATACAAAGGATACACACATATATGTATAGAAGCAAATATAAGCACATACAACATATTTATAAACACATATCCATTTTAAATTCAGGGAAAATAACATTAAATAGTAATGTAAAATAAAAATAATTTCAGCAACAAACTGTGAATTTACATTGTTTGGTTTGATTTATTTTGTACAGGTGCATTTATATAAACTGATGTGGAATACACATATATCAATATTTTTCTGCTAATTTTATGAAGATTGTGGTATTACAAAAGACTCAGACTAGACTATGTAAATGGATTGAGGTGGATGAATAAAATACGCAAACATTTTGATGTTTCCTTTAGAGAAATTGCGAGAAAGAGGGAGCATGGTCTACATAAATACAAGAAAATGATTATATTAGAAGTTTGGGAAAAGGGAAGATAAAGGGACCAAAATTTGAGTAACTGAAGTTTAGCCGTGATATTCATATGGATTATGAATTATTTTTGAAATGGTAATTAGACACAGATGTTCAACATCTTTATTTCTCAAATTTTGATGCATTCCACCTTGGCAAGGATAACCATGGCATTGAATTAAAGAAAAACCTCCCTTAGGACATTGGTAACCTGTGTAATATAATTTCAAGGAAGACAAAGTCAGAATTATATGCCTAATCAATTTTTTCCTTCTAGTAGTCCAAAAGTTCAACTTTGCTTTGGTCTTCCATATTTATTAAAAGAATATATGAGGACATGGTTGGTACATATTTCTGTGTATGGTGTGTGGATGTGTGTGTGTGTATACACTAGATAAAGATGAGATGTGATGCATTATGTACCTTATGTCACATAGGAAAAAAAAAAGGAATATTTTAAAAGAAAAAAAAGCTAAGTCTATGGCCACTGCTTTGGGCAATTATATTTAGTAGACAAACCCAACCAACCCATTAATTTTCTACTAAATTAATAGAAACATAGCTTTTTTAAAAAGCACTAGTGTTGATCAGACAGACATGAATTTGAATCAGTTTCTTTCCCCTTATGTTTCTTGAAAAATGTTACTAATTTAGTACTTTGAGCGTCACACATTTTTACTTGAAATGTATCCATAAACTTGACTTAATATTTTTGTATGCTTAAATAGAACAGTATGTAGAAAGCTACAAGCAGTGTGTCTTGTGTATAATAGAGGCAAAAATGGTAGCAATTACTTTGTTGTTGTTATTGTTAACATTATTTTGTTCATTGTAATTGACCATAGAATAACAAATCTTGAGCAGTAAAGTAGAAATTATTTTATATTAGAAAGGTTATTTAAGATGTTTTAGTAGCTAATCAAGATAGCTTAATGTGCTTAAAAGTAAATGTGACAATAAATTACTAATTTATTCTACTGCAGATATGTTGTATTTTTCTTGGAAAGGCTTGATGTTCTCCTTATTTTTGTACTTTGTACCTTGCTATGGTTTCCTAATCTGATTAACTGCATTTCTAAGTATAAAGCTCCATGTCCTCATTTATAGGAAATGTATAAGTCCACTGCATCCAAAACTTTAAAAACTATTTTGATATTTCATTCCTTAAACATTTTGCCTGGTCATTTTTCATCCAATAGTACTTGTTTCATACTTACATACATCTTGTCATATACAAATGAGGGGTGACCACTGGCACACAGAATCACAAAATCAAAGTTATTTCATCATCCAAATGAAAGGTTACGTACTCTTTTTCTTCTCCCTTGCCCAGGTGGTGGTAGCTAGCACCCCATATCGTTTTTACATGAATAATAGCTTGTAAAAACTATGAAAAATCACCTTTCTTCTTTTATTCCTGTAGAAGATATAAAACAAAATACCAACACTATTGAAGAAAAAAACTGCTTATATAAACCAAAGAGTTTCTCAAGTCTAGGACATCTCAAGTAAAATTAGAAATTAACTACCTCACTCTTTACAGCACTTAAATATAGTGTTTGATAATGCTGTTATTTGGTTTCTAGTGTTGACACAGTTGTAGAAAAAAGTTACTTCCAGTTTATATTGACATATTATCATCAATTATGTTTCACCATCTGTGGACCTAATTAAATTTACCCTTAAATTTGATTTTAACAGACATCATTCACAAGCGAGACATGCTTACTAAACATCCTTTATGCAAAGAGAAGAAATAAAAATCAGTTAAAATGGCCCCAAAATAATTTTGCTGTTAGCAAGTTGGACGCAAAATAACATTTCTTAAGTTAGACTATTCTAAGCGATCAGTGGTGGCTGGTTATGCCAGAGAATAGGTTGGTGTAAGGACACCAATGAATACCAAGAGTATTTTTATATTTCACTACATTGAAAGAAGGTCAAATCATTTCCTTTCCCTTTCCCACTTTAATTTTCACTATAGACAACTGTAACAAGTGTTACATTGTTAGATTTTCCAAAATTTGAATATCCTTAGAAATAATGTTAATACTTGATATTGCATTTTCATATATGTCAATCCTGTGCCATGGACTAAGCAAGCTCTTAACAGCCAATTTTAAAATGAGTAACGCAATGAACAATGAAAGAACAAAATCATCTGCTTTAGCTATCCATAGATTATTTAAACGAAACATTTTTAAAAATATACTTTTTACTTTACTTCAGTTCTCCTGTTAGTAAGAAATTGGAAAGCATACAAGGAAACAAAATAGGACATGAAATAAATAGGGAAGCAGATATGTGATTGAGTGTCATCTTTCAATTACTTTTGGGTTGCGAAAGCTGTATTTCTGGCAAGGTTTATCTATAGTAAAATGCATTCTTTTTATGAAGTATATTATAAAATATTTCAAAATGGATATAAGAAGCCTAAATAATCCAGAAAGAGAAAAATGTGGCAATTGATGATAAATAAGAGTTTTGCTTATTTAATTAAAAAACTATCTCTCCAAAACTGCGTATAAGGCAAAAATGGAAAATAAGCAATATTCTAGATTAGTACATGTCATTTAACCATATCTTGCAGGTCATCTCTGCACAGATTAATATAAATTAAATTCTTAGAATTATTTTACAAATAAGAGGTTTGTTGGTGAACATCCTGCAAAAGGATATTTTATTCAGTCAGTAGGCTGGATTATAGTAAAAAGGAATATTCAATCCCCAAACAAGAGAGGTATTATGGAGCACACCCCTCTAGGATTTCTGTGAAAATTGATAGAAGAATTGTATCTCTAAACCAATGTCAAGAAAATCACTCAGGTGTAATTTTGTTCTCAGCAGATATGTGCTCAGCAATAAGAAAAAAATATATGATTATGTTTAAGGAGTTGGCTGTGAATAGATTTATATAAACAATTTTAAGATGCAAACAAACCAATAGATGAAAAATTGGATGTTTTAAAAACACTACACTACCAAAATGCCATTTGCATGTAATCAAGGCTGAGGTATCTATTCATTATTTCATAAAATTAAGCTGGTCCTAATTGTACTGTTTACTTTTTACTGTTAGATTTATACTATTAGAGAATATATATATCTGTGCTTCTTCCCTATATCATCATTAGTACAAATAAAAAAGACTGACAGAAACAAGAAGTTGGACCCAATGTTATGAATTTTTAAAGGAATTAATTTTTATTACTAGTAAATTAGAATTGTTTGTTTTTCATTTTTTTATATTCATTAATAGACAGAAATTAAGAATTTTCTACATAGAGACCATAAAGTCTCGTGGAACTAAAATTAAACAAATGGTAAGTACATAAAATGTTGAGTGTTTGCATTACATGATAAAAGATTCCTATAAGCCCATATTATCTTTGAGCAAAGGGACTGGCTTCACTAATTGTATAGTAAGTCAACTCATAAAAATACTAAACAGAAAATCTATATGAGAACAGGGATGGAGTGCCAAAGATGCAAGCATTTAAAATGTCCCTGTCTAGAATCCCAAGCAAATTCATATTTCAAAATATGAACAAATAAAGCAGTGTGATCAATAATGTATTGAAGCCTCCAAATACAATTCCTAAAACCCATAATCAAGTGTTAATAGCTACACTGTAGTCAATGTACCCTGGAGCAATGTTTCTCAAACTGGAGACCTGGGGGTTTGCCAGGTCAATAAAAAGAGTTCCCATTGGCAGATGTGGGGAGCTTTATGTTGTCATTCAGAGATGATAAATCACGGAATCAGAGACTTGGATTTACAGTGAATGGTGTGTGTGTATATGTCTGTGTGTGTGTGTGTGTTTGTGTGTATGTGTGTGATTTTTTTTTTTTCACATTTTGGTACAGAAATTTTGGTCTCCTCTATCTACTTGATTTTCTCATTTCATTTTGTCTCATTATGCCATCATTCAGTTCGTTTTGTTAGTGTGGTATTATATCAATATTACCTTTAAAGTTTTCATCGAAGTTGGTGATGGGAAAGTGGTGGTACCCAGTGAATATTAAACTGTAAAAATGCAATAGTTGTCTGATAAGAATCATTAAATCATAAGGACTGCTGGCTTAGGGAAGGGAACAAAGGATTCACTACTTAAGGGAAAAAAATGAGAGTAAAATAGCACATATGGTACTTAATTTTAGATTGGCCTCTTTGGTCATCAGTGTATTCCAGTACCTGCATTGCGTGTTTTTTACCTTGTTGCTCAGGTTTCAAATATATTTATATTGTATATTGTAGTTATCAAAATTGCCATTTATACCTCAGACTTTTGTTCAGGATGAAAAATATTCATTTGCCACCGTCATTTACAAGATGAACCATTTATCTTTTCTAAAAGCCTTTCACTTGTTAAAGCCATGTCTGCACGGCATTTAGAAACCCTGAAATGCTTACAATTAATATATATAAAGTGCTATTTTAGTTTCTTTTCACATATCATATCAATGAATTCACCAATAACTTGATGAGACAGGAATAATTTTGTGCTAAAATTTTCTGAATTATCTCTATTTTATCCCCGTATCTGGCCATGTCACAGATAAGGGAACTGAAATATAGATACTTTCTTATACACATACTAGTAATTAGCAGAGCCATGATTACAGTCTATGCTGCCTGACTTTAGATTCTACATGTTTACCAATATCCAACATCATCTTGGCATTTATGGAGAAGAGGTAACCATTTGGGGCAGAGAGGAGTGGATAGGAAACAGGGTTAAAGCTTTCTGCCTTGTCCCAGATAAATACATACTTTTGAGGTTACTTCTTCATTCTTAAATGCTTGATAGGTAAACCTAGTACAGTGTTGTTGGTGCCAAAGGAAAATAAAAATGTTAGAGAAAGTTATCAATGTTGTCAAATGTAGCAGTTACACCTAGAAAATGGCAAACGAATTTAGCAAAAAGTCGAGTTTTGGTGATCTTAGCAGAAAGGACAGATTTCATATATCTGTGAATATTGGTGAATGAAATGTTGAGGAAGATAAAATATGGAAATGCAGACTATTTAGAGAGACTTGGATGAAAACGGGAACAGTCTGATCAGCAGCTGGAGAAGAATATGAGTCATGGTGATGACATCTTAGGCTTGCTTTTTAAGCTTGTATAAGGCACAGAAATAAAGTGTCATAATGAAGCATTGGGTCAGAACTTGATGACTTCATGAAGTAAAGATACTGAATGCTGTTTATAGATCTCAAACTTGGGTTCATAATTACAATCTTCATAGAAATAAGCATTTTTCCTATTCTAATGAGATACCTGATAAAACACTTATTTCTGTAAACTTAGATTCCGGTGGAAGCATCTGAGACCTTTTATGGTATGTTGCCATTCTCAAATGAACTAAGTTTTACAAAGATCAAATGACAACATTATTGTTATTAAAATAATACATAATATATCATAAAAGAGTTCACTGCAGCATACAACTTAAGTATATGCAGTTTGGTTGTTTTGAATGAAGTTTCATTTTAGGAATGATTTTAAAGAGGGACTTGAGGCTTTTATGTTCCTGCTTAATTTGCTAAACAAAAGTAGTGAATGTAACATGACATTTCTTGAGAACACAATTTCTCAGTAAGAAATAAAAATAAGAAACTCAAACAGAACTAGGGTTATAAGCAATAATATCTTAAATTAATATTGGCAAATAAAAATTAGATTCTTGACCTATGGCTGAAAAAGAAAGTGACAGTAATGCATGTTTTATGTGTATGGCTGCACATCCCATGCATTTTTTTCTTTTTCTTGCCTCTAGTATTTTGGGTGAATAATGTTCTTAGAGCTTAACTTTATGATTTTTTGTTCACTGGATGATGAGAAAATGAGCAGCTACACACAGACCTGAGAAAAGGGAATGGATGAAGAAAGTGAACTTTAAGAAGGCTATAGTGACTGATGAGGCAGTGTGTCTCCCCTTATTTTGGGATGTAAAACCAATTGCTGATGAATATAACACTATATTCTCCCATCAAAAATAAAGGAAGTGGTTTCTCCCGTTTTTTTCTAATAATGTGCTTAAGAACATATGTAACTGTAAATTTATTTTCTGTGACTTTAAAGTGAATGCAAATCTTATTTAAAGCTTAATAAGTATCTTGATAGCTGATATGGTTTGGCTCTGTGTCTCCACCCAAATCTCATATTGAATTGCACTCACATAATTCCCATGTGACCCACTGGGAGGTAATTGACACATGGGGGCAGTTTCTCCCATACTTTTCTTGTAATAGGGAATAAGTTTCATGAGATCTGATGGTTTTAAGAGGGAGAGTTTCAGTGTACAAGCTCTCTTCTCTCGTCTGTCGCCATATGAGAAGTGCCTTTTGCTTTCTGCCATCAATGTGAGGCTCCCTCACTCATGTGGAACTGTAGTTCTAATAAACCTCTTTCTTTTGTAAATTGCCCAGTCTCAGATATGTTTTATCAGCAGCATGAAAACAGACTAGTACACTAAATTGTCACCAGGAGTGGGGCGTTGCTGAAAAGATAACCAAATATGTGGAAGTGACTTCAGCACTGGGTAACAGGCAGAGGTTGAAAAGAGTTTGTAGGTCTCTGAAGAAGACAGAAAAATGTTGGAAAGTTTGGAACTTCCTAAAGACTTGTTCAATGGCTTTGAAAAAAATGTTGATAATGATATGAACAGTAAGGTCCAGGCTGAGGTGGTCTCAGATGAAGATGAGGAACTCGTTGGGAACTGGAGCAAAGGTGACTCTTGCTATGTTTTAGCAAAGAGACTGGAGGCATTTTAACCCTGCCCTAGAAATTTGTGAAACTATGAATTTGAGAGACATGATTTAGGGTACCTGGCTGAAAAAAATTTTTAAGCAGCAAAGCATTCAAAAGGTGACTTTGGTGTTGTTAAAGGCATTCAGTTTTATAAAGGAAGCAGAGCATAAAAGTTTGGAAAATTTGCAGCCTGATAATGCAATAGAAAAGAGAATTCCATTTTCTGTGGAGAAATTCAATCTGGAACAGAAATTTGCGTAAGTAATGAGGAGTTGAATGTTAATCACCAAGACAATGGAGAAAATGTCTCCAGGGCATGTCAGAGGTCTTCACAGCAGCTCCTCCCATCACAAGCCCAGAGGTGGAGGAGGAAAAAAATTGTTTTATGGGCCAGGCCCAGGGTCCCTGTGCTGTTTGCAGTCCAGGGTCTTGGTGCCTTGCATCCCAGCTGCTCCAGGTGTGACTAAAAGGGGCCAAGGTACAGCTCGGGCCATGGCTTCAGAGGGTGGAAGCCCCAAGCCTTGGCGGCTTCCACATGGTGTTGGGCCTGTGGGTGCACAGAAGTCAAGAATTGAGGTTTGGGAACCTCCACCCTGATTTTAGAGGATGTATGGAAATGACTGAATGTCCAGGCAGAAGTTTCCTGCAGGGGCAGGGCTGTCATGGAGAATCTCTGCTAGGGCACTGTAGGAGGGAAATATGGGGCCAGAGCCCCTACACAGAGTTCCTCATGGGACATTGCCTAGTGGAGTTCTGAAAAGAAGGCTACCATCCTCCAAACCATAGAACTGTAGATCCACCAATAGCTTGCATCCTGTGCCTGGAAAAACCACAGACACTCAACAGGACCCTGTGAAAGCAGCCAGGAGGGAGGCTGTACCCTGCAGAGCCACAGAGGCAGAGCTGCCCAAGATCATGGGAACCCACCTCTTGCATCAGTGTGACCTGGATGTGATACATGGAGTCAAAGGAGATCATTTTGGAGCTTTAAGATGTTACTGCCCTGCTAGATTTCAGACTTGCACAGGGCCTGTAGCCTCTTTGTTTTAGCCAATTTCTCCCATTTGGAACGGCTGTATTTACCCAATGCCTGTACCCCCATTGTATCTAGGAAATAATGAACTTGCTTTTGAGGCTCAGAGGCAGAAGGGCCTTGTCTCAGATGAGACTTTCGTCTATGGAATTTTGAGTTAATGCTGAAATGAGTTAGGACTTTAAAGGACTGTTGAAAAGGCATGATTGGTTTTGAAATGTGAGTACATGAAATTTGGTAGGGGCCATGGGTGGATTGATATGGTGTCCCCACCCAAATCTCATCTCCAGTTGTACTCCCATAATTCCCATTCATTGTGGGGGGCATCCCAGTGGGAGATAACTGAATCATGGGGGTGGTTTTACCCACACTGTTCTCATGGTAGTGAATAAGTCTCACAAGATGATGATTTTAAAAAGGGGAATTTCCTTGCACAAGCCCTCTTCTCTGTCTGCCACCATGCGAGACATGCCTTTCACCTTCTGCTATGATTGTGAGGCTTCCCAGCCATGTGGAACTGTAAGTCCAATAAACCTCTTTCTTTTGCATATGGCCCATTATTGGGTTTGTCTTTATCAGCAGCATGAAAATGGACTAATACACTCGCTTTAAGATGCAATATTGTTTCTCTTAAGAATTTGGGAACCATCATTTTGAAATATAAACATCAAGTAAGACAGTGTCCCTACCTCCAAGTTTCTGTGGGAAGGTAGGAGACTGACTTCAGTGGATACCTTGCTTCAAATTTCAAAACTACGTGCTGTTACGAAGACATAAGAAGTTTGGCTTTTTTTCTTTAGATAAAGTCAATTAGCCAACACAGATGGTCACACAAATTACCAAGTGAATTTAGGATGAATTATATTTTGGCACTACCAAATCCTCTTAGGTGATGACTAGCTGTTGCTATCTTGAGTACATGTATCTGCTTAGCTGTCTCAAAGGGTAAATTTTTGTTTCCGTCTTTGCAATCTTCTGGTGGATTACCTGTCAGTTGCATCCCATTTGGGTACAATGCTTATGCAATAACAAAATTGTTTTCCTTCTCTTCTTCCTTTGTGGAGAGATTTTCTGGGTTTGAAGATTTTGTTTCTAGTTATATCTTCCCAATAATGGATAAAGAGAGAGGATATTCTTTTGTGCAAAGAATAATTGCTTCATGTTAGGTGAAAGCACAAAGCTTAGTTCTGTGAAATATGTATAGAAAAGTTAGAATACACATGGATTAGCAAATATTATAGCTAGAGTCTGACAGTCAAGTCATTTGCTTTTCTGTTCTTTAATAGCTTTCCCACACTTTTGCAAATCACATTTTGCAGATTCTCTTGGCAACTCATTTTCTATAAGTTTGCATGATGGAAAGTACTGAAAAGAGATTGGTGACAGGAGAAAAGAGAAACCTAGGGTATTTCTCTCACTATTTCTGCTGTTGGCAGAATCTCTGACAATGGCTGCATCTTTTTCAAAATCTGAGTTCCCACTGAGCAGCCCAGGTTCTTGTGCCTTGATGAACCTCCCTTGGTCCCTAAGCATTAAGGGTTTTAGAATTTTCCAGCTCTTTCTAGCACTGGAATTTCTCAAAATTCCTTATTTGGCTTGGCTCTTATAACATCTTTACAAATATATTTCTGAATTACATTTCTATTACACTACCTGGTTTTAATTACCTTTAGTTTTGCACACATAAAACTTATGAAGATTTTCAGTATGCTAGATTTATGGCTACTTTGGGGAAGATATAATCATCTTTTCTCTCATGTCAATAATAAATATTCAGCTATCAAACATGTATTTCAGAACACATTACTCATGCTAAAACTGTATGACACATTTTTAATATTATACTATTCTCATAAAAATAGGTCATAATTTCTTGTTTGTGTTTCCCTTATATTTATTTATTTAATTTTTTCAATTATTTATATAGTTTATAAATAAGCAAACTTATAACTGTAATATTAGTCACAAATTATTTTCTGGAATAAATTTTTAAATGTTGTATTATACCGACAAGAAATTGAAAAATGTATTAGTTTTGATGTGCAGGGCTCAAAAGTCCTGTGGAAGGGCTTTATTATAAGAGACTCTAAGATTTTTTTTTTAAATGATAATCACAAGTATACTATGGATTTAAATCTACATATGACATTACATGAGGCTTCATACTAATTACACACAGCAATTCACAAAGGATAAGAAGGTGATAGGATTATTCCTTAAATTACTAAAGGCTGCTTACAATGAAAATATGGAAATCTTAATTAAAATAATAAAACAATTTCATATTTTGTAGATGTTTGATTTGAATTTCTTTCTCTTGTTTTTTTCAGGTTATGCTGATATATTTATCTATGTCCAAAGCTATTTTTGTGGCCCACCACACAGTATGTCTTGCTATCAGGCCCAATTCTGAGCTAAAGTACAACGTTATTACAGAGGAGTTTGCCACAAATATAAAATCATGTATTTTAAAGCAGACAGAGTTAGTTTTCAATATAGTACGAGCATTTATTAGTAATTTAGGTATTTGCATATTAGTTAACTTATTGCTTTGGCTTATTCTTTTCAATGAATTGTTAAAATGTTATACAATAAAATGCTCTGATAAATTATATTAAATAGTTATGTTAAATAAAATACTTTATGTTAAGTTACCATGTCATATTTTTATTCCCAAACTTTCAACTACACAAATTACAGGCAAACAGGAGCACAGTTAAACAAATATGGTATTTATTGACGCATCTATAGAAAGTAGAAGCTTAGATCCTAGGTCACAAGAGAAATTCCTTATTATTGCATATTTTGAAGAGGAAAGAGTGATTGAACTTATGTCACTCTGATTTGCAGCATCTTGAGTCAAAAAGAATTCCCCATTTCATATCAAGAATATCTTTTATAGATATTTATACTTTAAATGCTTTAATGTTCATCCTCATGGTTTAAAGGCATAGACATAGTTATCCCAAGGGAAGATGGGCTTTTCAGAGCCTTTTATTATCCTTGATATCTGAGTAAAGTTAGGGAGTGTACTGAATGCATGATGCCACATGACAATGAGATATAATGCTTTTAGGAAGGTAGGATAGTAAAAAGTATAATGACCTCACCAAATTCTCCTGGTGGTAGGTTTTTAACAAATAAAAAGGAAGACAATTTAAATTAATGTAATGAACAAACAGGTGAGCAGTACACTGTAAAAAAATCTTTTAATCTAGTTTCAAAAGAGATAACAATTAAGTAAAAACCTGCAGAGCGTGATGGCAATTACACAAACCCCCTGCCTTGCAAACTGTCTGAACTTAATCAGGCATGATTTCTTGCATAATAACAGAAACAAGGAATATGTTAAATAAGGACATGAAAATTCCCAGGGAACAATATGAAAATCTGAGAGACATATCCCATATATGACACATTACTATGCCTATTAATTGTTCAGACAATCCTTATGAGGAAAACCAGAAAAGCAGAGGTTTATGAATAAGTATATACATACCAAGTTACATTTCATTTTGAGAAATGCAAATAAAACAAAATCCTTTATAATATGTTTTACTAGAGATTAAAGATAATGAGCTCTGTTCACAAGGGCCGATAATCTCTATTTGTTACTTAAAAAATGTGAATAATAGGATTTTATACAATTATTTACAAGGGTACTTACGAAATAAACAGAAGTGACACTATATTTTTTTGGTCAACTTTTGTAAACAAACCCTGAGCAGCAGGCCAAAAAAATTCCAATTAGGAAAAAGGAAACCTCTTATTAATAAAGGACTGTTATCATCACAGATGCAGGCACATTAGGGATATAAAAGGCCTCCGAAGTCAGCAAATCTATACCCCTACCACATCTGGAAGTCCCTTTTAAAAGATGATGTGGTTTATCCCATGTCATTTTAAAGCTATAGAACAATTTATAACATATTTTAAATTAATCCTAATCCTTTTACTTCACTGGTTTGTGTGATGATTTCTAAATGTGTATCCCAAGAAATATGAAAGTCCAGCAAAAAGTCTAGAGAAATATAGAATTTGGTATATAATTATCTTTTTTATAATGTTAATTTTTAATTATTTAAAAAATGTTACAACATAAAAGATAATTTCAAAAGGAAAAGGCCACCAGTAAACATACAACTCTGATATGAGTACTGCTAAAGTTTCAATATATTTATCCAAATATTCTTTTGTCATTTTCATTATTTTAGTAGTTGGGTATTAAAAGTAGTCAAGATGGGTCTTATTGTTTCACATACTGCTTTTTAAAATTTAATATTAAATATTGATAATAGTTCATATGATTGAATGCATTCCAAAAAGAATTCCCTTCTGTGAATATGCAACTATATATTTAACAAACACCTTATTTATATAACAGTTTCTATGGTTTATTGTCAGATTAACAGAAGGAACAATTTTTTTTCTATTTAAATCTTATGTACATCTCTGCTTTTTTTTTCCAAATATTACTAAAAGTAGAAATGTTGGACATTGATATATGAACACTGTTAAGAGTACTGATACACCTTGCATACAGGTTTTTGTGATAAGTTTTTAAAATAATTGGATAAATACCCAGTGGCACCTTTGCTGGATTTTATGATAAGACTATGTTTGACTTTGTAAGAAACAACCAAAACATATTCCAAAGTAGCTATAGCATTTTGCATTTCAGTCAGCAATAAATGATACTTTTGCAGCTCCACATCCTTGTCAGCATTCAGCATTGTCAGTTTTTTGGACTTTGGGCATTGATGTGTTGCATTAGACCACCAATTGGACCAATTAGACCACAAAACTATCAAGCTATATAATCTATAACCTTCCTCAAATCATATATATCACTTTAAGTCATTAAAATTGATTATTTTGAAACACAACATCAACAGGATGATGGAAGGGGTGGTTCCAGCTTTCATCTCCCCATAGAAACACAGATTTTTCAACCACTCATGGACAAGAATATCTTTGTGGAAGCCTCAGAATCTAACTAATTTTCCAGCACTGCAGTGGAACAAAAGTTTGAGAGGAGTTGCATTGAATAGAGTAAAAACAACAATTTTAAATTACCTGTGCCCCCTGACAACACAGCTCAGTGACAAGAGAGGCTGTTTCAGCTTATGATTTCCTCTTAGGCAAAAGTGAGAGTGAAGTTAGCTCTCAGCTTCCCTAGCCTTGCAGAATACTGTCCAGGAAGAACACTACTATCTTGTCCTGCTCAGAATATTGAGGGGATTTTCATGGCTAAATTGTCTGGGGCAGCTTGGAGCAGGATAAAGGGGCAGAAGTACCCAGAAACTTGCACATGGTTCTCAACATCCAACTGCAGGTGTTCCTAACATCTCAAACACTTCACCAAGAGGCTCATTCATAAAACTCACAGGGTTGCCTGCATGTGGATCCCCCTATCAGCCAATCGGTACCCTCAGAACTCCACACACCCTTCTGTGTATGGCACCCCATGGATTCTCATGTACCACTCAAATGAACCCCTGCAGAGAGCACACAGATCTCAGTTGCAGGTGCAGGTCTTTGCAACCAGCTTTGCTCTAATGGTTTATGAGAAGATGCACAACCTTCACAAATTCAGAGCACTGATCTAAGGAAAATATACAGGATTCTGTCAGCATCAGGCCTGGTTTTGCAACATCAAGAGAAGGCACAATATCCTAACATTTGGTTCCGAAGAGGAAACTAGAGGAGTGAAGTGGTGTATTCATAGAAAAGGTGTGAGAGACCCCTAGAAAATCTAGCTAGGCTCACAGATGAAAGGTCTTTCTCTCCCAAAGACAGTAAGTAAAAACTGAAAGGTGACCACATCTTCAAATACAAAGACAGTAATTTAAGGCTTCAAGGAATATGAGGAATCTAAGAAATATTATATCACCAAAGTGGGGGGGTGGGGGAAGACCCCATGGATAATTAATTGAGATCAAGTTGCCTGAACAAGAATTCAAAATAATCATCTAAAATAAAACTCAGTGAGCTACAAGATAACACATAGACACGTAAACAAAATTAGGAAAGTAACACAGAAATAAAATGAAAAGTTCAGCAAAGAGATAAGAGGCATAAAAATAACTAAATAGAAATTCTAGTGGTGAAGAATATAGTATCTGAACTAAAAAAAAAAATTAATGGAAAGCTTCAACAGCAGACTACATCAAGTAGAAGAAAGAATCAACAAACTCAAACAGATTATTTGAAATTCAAGTCAAAGAAAAAGAAAATGAAAAAAGAATAAAAATGAATGAAGAAAGCCTATAGGATTATGGGACACCATTTAGCAAAGCAATATATGCAATATAGGAATCCCAAAAGAAAGACAGACATCATAAGAAACAGAAACAGTATTTAAACAAATAGATGGCAGAAAACTTCCCAAACCTGGAAGGGGAAATTAACATCCAGATCCATGGAGCCCAAAGAACACAAAATGACTTCATCCTAAAAAAAGTATTTGTGGAAACAAATTATAATCAAATTGTTAAAAGAGTTAAAATAAAAAAAAAGAGAAAATTTCAAAAACAGCAGATGAAAAATAACTTGTCACAAACAAGGAAGCCCTCCTAAGACTATCTGTCACTTTCTTAACAGAAACCTTGCAAGCCAGGAGAGAGTGTAATAGTATTCAAAGTGTTGAGGAGAAGCAAACAAATAAACAAACAGCCAATTAAGGATACTATACACAGCAAAACCATCCTTTAGAAATAAAGGAGAAATAAGGCTTTTCTAAAAAAAAAGCAAAAGAGTGAGTTTCTTACCACTAGACCTGCCTTACAAGAAATACTAAATGGAATACTTCAAGTTGAAAGAAAGAATAAAAATCAGTATCATTAAAATGTACAAAGGTACAAAATTCAGTGGTAAAGTATATAATGAAATTTATAATATTCTAGTGCTACAATGGTGGTGTATAAATCACTTTTAAATCTAGTAAACTGAGTAAAGACAACATTTTCTAAAATAACTGTAGCTACAATAATTTGTTAATAGATACACTATATAAAAAGATATATATTATAATGCCAATAACAAAAAACATGGAAGAAAAGAAATACAATTTTAGAATAGTGTATGTGATTGAAGAGAAGTTGGCATCAGCCTGAAACACACTAGTATAATGATGAAATACTTTATGTAAGCATCATGGTCATGGCAAATTTAAAAAAGAGTAGTAAATATACAAAAAATAAAGAGAAATGAATCAAGCCATATTACTACAAAAAAAAAAAAATTCCCATCCCAAAGGAAAACAACAAGAGGGCAAAACGATCAAAGTAACTGCAAATAAAGTGGGGGGAAAGTTAACAAAATAGCAAAAGTCGTTACCTGTCAATAATTACTTTAAATGAAGAATTAAATTTCCATTAAAACACATTAAATGATTGAATGGATGATAAAAACACGATTTAACTATATGCTACTTAAAAGAGACAGCTTTATCTTTCAGTACACCAGCAAATATAAAGAAAAGGGATAGAAAAAGGTATTCCATGCAAACAGTAAACACAAAAAGCTTGGATGGCTATACTAGTTTCAGACAAAATAGGCAAAAACTATTAAAAGAGACAAAGAAATACAATACCATGATAGAAGAGACTTTTTAGAGAATATGGCAACGTAAATACATATGCACCCAACACTAGAGCACCTGAATGTGTAAAGCAGATATTAACAAAATAGAAAAATAAATAGACAACAGAACAATAATTGTAGCAGGCTTCAGTATTTCACTTTAAACAAGGATTGATCATCTGGCAGGAAATAAAAAAGAAAAAATCAGACTTGAACTACACTACAGATCACATATACCTGCAAGACATATACATAACTTTTCACCCAACTGCTACAAGATACACAATCTCCACAAGCACAGATGGAACATTTTCCAGAATAGATATTGGGACACAATGCACATTATAACAAATGTAAAAAGAGTGAAATGATATCAAGTATCTTTTCTGACCACAATGATGTAAAACTAAAAATCCAAAATAAGAGGAAAACTGGAAAAATCATGAATACATGGAAATCAAGTCACTCAATTCTGAGCACTTAATAGATCAAAAAGAAATCAAATGAAACATTTTTAAAAATCTTGAAACACATGAAGATAGAAACACAATATACCAAAACTTACGTGATATAGCAAAAACAGTTCTAGAAAGAAAGCCTATAGCAAACACCTGTATTAAGAAAATAATAATATCTCAAATAAATGACCTAACTTTAGACTTCAAGGAAATAGGCCAGGGATATAAAACTGAGTTAGCATAAGAAATGAAACACCAAAGATTAGAACAGAAATAAATGAAATAGAAACTAGAAAAACAGTAAACAAGATCAATGAAACTTAGTTGTTTTTCGAAGTATAAACAAAATTGTCAAACTTTAGCTAGAATATTTTTAAAAGCCCCAATTATTATATTGTAATTTAAATAAGAGACATTACAACTGAAACTATAGAAATACAAAGGGTTCTAGAGACTAGTACGAACAATTACGTGCCACCAAATTGGAAAACTGAGAAGTAAAAGATAAATTTCTGGAAACATACAAGCTATCAACAAAGAAAAGCCTAGGACATAATGGCTTCACCACTGATTTCTAACAAACACTTAAAGACTTAACAACAAACATTTTCAAACTTTTCAGAAAAACTGATGAGAATATAACATTTTCCATCTCATTCTCCGTGGCCAGCATTACCCTGATACCAAAGTAAAACAGATATATGACAAGAACCTATTAAATGCCTATATACCTGATTAACATAGATGCAAAAATTCTCAAAGAATAGTTGCTAACTGAAAACAACAGCACATTAAAAGGATCATAAACCATGATGAAATGGAATTTGTCTCTATGATTCTTGGATGCTTCAACATATACAAATCAATTATTGTAATACACCACATTAAAAGAATGAAGAATAAAAATCACATGATCCTCTGAATAAATGTGAAAAACCATCAAACATAACTTAACATTTATTTGTAATAAAAAACTCTCAACTAATTAGGTATAGAAAGAATGCACTTCAGCATAATAAAGGCCACATATAACAAGCCTGTCACTAATATGATACTAAACTGTCAAAAGCTGAAAGCTTTTACTCTAAGATCAGGAACAAGATAAAGATGTCCACCCTTACAACATTTATTCAACATTGTATTGGAAGCCTTAACCATAGACAATAGGCAAATAAAAGAGACAGGGTTCATCTGAATCAGAAAGAAAAAATTCAAATTATATCTTTTTGCCAATTACATGGTCCAATTACATATAGAAAACCCTAAAGACTCCATCAAAAGTTGTAGAACTAATAAACAAATTCAGGAAAGTTGCTGGTTACAAAATCAACATGAAAAATAGGTTTCTATACACTCACAAAAAACTATTCAAAAAAGAAAATAATAAAACAAAATGTTCAGGCATACATTTAATCAAAGAGGTGAAAGAGCTTTACACTGAAAATTATAATACCTTGAGGAAATAAAGTAGACATAAATAAATGGAAAGATATCACTTGTTCATAACTTGGAAGAATTTATATTGTTAAAATGTCTATACTACACAACCTGATTTACAGATTTAATGTAAACCTATTCATATTTATTACAATGCCAATGACATATAGAGAAATAGAAAAAAAAACCTTAACTTTTATATACAACCACAGAAGATCCTGAATAGTAAGAGCAATATTAAACAAGAAGAACAAAGCTGGAGGCATCATACTTTCTGATTTCAAATTATGTTGTAAGCTTACAGTATTTGAAACAGTATGATTCTGGCGAAAAAAAAGTAGATACATAGACCAATGAAATAGAGTTGAGGGCTAAAATATAAACTCATACCTACAAACTTCTTAATTTTCTACAAAGATACCAAGAAACATAATGAGGAAAAGATAGTTTATTCAATAAATGGTATTGAGAAAGCTGAATATCCATATGCAGAAAAATAAAATTAGACCCTTATCTAAAACCATATATAAAAATCAACTCGAAGTGGATTAAAGACTTAAGCATAAGACCTAAAACCAGTTAAACTCCTAGAAGAAAACTGGGAAAAAGCTCCTTTACATTGATCTGGACAATACTTTTCTGGATATGTCCCCAGATGGACAGACAAAAAAGCAAAAATAAGTAGGAGTGCAACAAAATAAGAAGCTCCCACATAGCAAAGGAAACAATCAACAGAACCAAGAGGCACCCTATAAAATGAGAGAATATATTTGCAAAACATATATCTGATAAGGGGTTAATATCCCAGATATACAAGGAACTCATACAATTAAATAAAAGAAAAATCCACAAAAAAACTGACTATAAAAAATGCCAAAGGATCTGAATCTGAATAAACACTTCTCCAAAGAACACATATAAATTGCCCACAGGTATATGAAGAGTTGGTTAACATAAGTAATTATCAAGAAACAGCAAATCAAAAGGTAAAAAAAGAAAATGCAAATCAAGAGAAGACATCACCCCACACCAATTGAAATGACAACAACAAAAAACTGTCACATGCTCTGGCAAGGTTGTAGAAACAAAGGAACTGTTCTCTCATAGAGAAAAGGAAACAGTACAATGCTGATAGCAATGTAAATTGGTACAGTCACTGATAGCAGTAGGAGGCAGATCAACTTCTAGACAGACAGGGACAGGTCCCCAGTGATACCCGACTTTCAAGTCAATAACAGCTTAAAGCCTGAAAACTGAGCTGCCAGTTCTGGGTAGAGTCCCTGACCAGAGTTAGAACCTCCTTGAAGCCTTTTAGCCAATCAAATGGTGCTTTTTCCTTGTGAGAAAATATTTTAAATGGTCTATTTTCAAGTCTTGATAAATCTAAGCACTGGCAGCCAGACCGTGGATGTAACAAACTGCACAGCTCATGCTCCTAGAAAGTCAAGATAAGCAAACAGAATGCAGAAGAGGGGTCAGCTTATAAAAGGGGAGAAAGCTTTGTTACTGGGAAATTGAAATTTAAGGGAGGAAGGGAACTGGGGTATAACCTTATAAGGGGGATAATGAAACTTAGGGAACATCCAGGAAGATTATAACCTCATAGTAGTCGACCAATAAGGAACTGGGCAGAGGACTAACATGCTAGGAGAAAAATTACATGCTGTAGCTGCCCCGTGTGTGCCTGCCTACCAGACACACAATCATGCAAAACAGCTATTTAAAGTCTCACTTTCACTGTTCTTTATGCCTCTGAGTCCATTCTTTGGGTTTGGATGGGTGAGCATGTTTCTCACAAATCTGGGGGTCTGTCCAGGATCTCTTTACCTGCATCAAGTAGGACTCTGGCCGAGAAGGGAGATGCATCCCACTTGATTTAGGTAGCCCACTCTGTCTAGGCATCCCGGCTCCCCACAGAGGCCGTAGACAACACCAAGGCTGTTATTCAGGAGGCAGTGGAGGTGACACAGAAAGAAAAACAGGCACAGTGGCAACCAGGCAGCCTTGTGCACAAGCCAAGTTAGGAAAATTGGACTATACGTACTGCCTTGTTGGTTGGGCATTTTTGGAGGTTGAGTGTGTGTGACTGAGATGTATCAAATATATAAAGCAAGTGTGAAATCCCAATCTGTGGTTCCATTCTACCATGAGGCAAATAGCCAGAGATGGATAAAGGGATTCTCAGGATGTGCAAGAAACCTCCTGTGGCGGGGAGAGGGTTGAGTACACAGGGAAAAGTTCAGACTCACAGAGCAATTCTCAGGGTGTGCAAGAAACCTTCAATAGAGGGGGTTGAGTACACAAGGAAAAGCTTAGACACAAACACTGATCACAAATGGGAAACAGAAATTCTAGGCCTAGCGGCCAAAGGAAAGAAGGAGCCCAAGAGACTCCCTTTGACATTCCCCCAGGTAGTCATTTGGGGAGAATGTTGCAGGTTTGGAGGGACAACCCTCAAACCAGAGACAAGGGAAAACAAAAGATGATAAAGTATTGTTGTGTTATCTGTCCCAAAGACCCCATTTGTAAGCCTTCTGTCTTTTGGCCTAAGTTTGGCTCAGATGAGGATTGGATGTGCCAAGCTTTAATTCTCTGTGTGAATGATAAAACCCTATCCTCACAAAAAGAGATAGGTTACACTCTCTGCTGGATCAAGGAATTAGCTTCCGTGCTCCCCCTCAAAGAGGAATTTAAAAAGCTTAGTAAAGAGCCCTCACACAGTGAAAAGCTTTGGGACCCCCTATCATGCTTGCCTCCTGCCTATGTCACACAAAATAGGGGACAAGAAGATCAAGGAACAACAGGGGGGTTAGAGGAAGAAAGACCTGGAGACCATGGCATGTTTCCTCTCAGGGAAGCTCCCATGGGACCAGGAGAGATTGGCTTTGTAAATGTTCTTCTTACAAGTACTGATGTCAGGAATTTCAAGAAGGAAATGAAACCACTCCTAGAAGATCCCCTTGGTTTAGCAAACCAGCTGGACCAATTCCTAGGACACAGATTTTACACCTGAGTTAAAATGTTGTCTTTCGTGAATATCTTGTTCACAGAAGAAAGAGGATTAATTAGAAAAGCAGCCGTGACCATCTGGGAGAGTCAAAACCCTCCTGGGTGAAAAGTCTTGCCAGTCAAACAAAAATTTCCAAATGTTGATCCCGAATGGGGTAATAATGATCCCAGAGACCGGGCCCAAATGCAGGACCTCAGGGACCTAATAAGTAAAAGGATAAAATAGTCAACTCTTTGGACACAGAATGTCTCAAAGGCATTTGAAGTTCAACAAGAAAAAGAGGAAACTTCTGCTGAATTCCTGTAGAAGTTCAGAGATCAGATGAGAAAATACTCCAAATTAGATCTGGAGGACCCCATAGGGAAAGGTCATTTTAAGGTTAGCTTTGTAACTAAGAGCTGGCCTGACATTACAAAATAATTACAAAAGATTGATGGATGGAATGATAAAACAATTGAGAAATTACTGAGGGAAGCTCAGATGGTCTTTGTAAAGAGAGAAGAGAGTCAGAAACAGAAAGCGAAAATCATGGTTTGCACTGTGGATGAGGTAGTCAGAAAAAGGTTAAATCAAGATCCCCCTCAAAAAAGATAAGGGAATGATAGATTTTGACAAAGAGAAAGAAGGGAAATGCAGGGAAAAGCTCCTAAGATTATGAGTGCATATTACAATTGTGGAAAGTCAGGGCATTTTAAGAGAGAATGTCCTGAATGGAAGAAAGAAGAAAAGGTGATTCCCCTCATGACCATTAATAAAGACTAGGGGGGCCAGGGGTTCCTCCTGAGTAGATCCCACTAGGAACCCTTGATAAATTTGAAGGTGGGACCTGAGGGAGAAGAAGTGACAGTTTTGGTTGATACTGGGGTGGCTTGCTGCTCCCTAATTCACCAACCAAGGGATACAGAACTCTCTAAGGAAAAGTTGACAGTATCGGCGCTAAAAGGGGAGGGATTTTGTGTTCCAATATTCAAGAAAATGTTAATTAAGTTGGGACCAGAACAAATTGAGGGGTCACTCTTATATGTTCCTGAAGTAGAAACTAACCTCCTGGGTCAAGACCTGATTGTGAGATTGGGTTTAGAATTGGGGATAGAGGAGGGACACATAAAAGTAATGATGGGCTTCCTGACTGAAAAAAGAAGAGAATAAAATTAATCCCATTGTGTGGGTTAAGAAAGGCAATAGGGGAGGGTTAAAAATCACATCCTTACAGATTAAACTAAAACAGCCAGGAGAAGTAGTTTGCAGAAAACAATATCCAATTTCTATTGAAGGGAGTAAAGGTCTCCAACCGGTAATAGATTGGTTAAAGATGGACTCTTAGAACACTGCATGTCACCATACAATACTCCAATTCTCCCAGTCAAAAAGCCTGATAGGTCATACAGATTGCTGAAAGATCTAAAGGCTATAAATCAGATTGTCCAGACTCATCCCCCTGTGGTGACTAACCCCTACACTCTCCTTTGTAAGGTATCCTATGAACATAAATGGTTCAGTGTAGTGGATCAAAAAGATGCATTCTGGGTAATGCCCTAAACTTTAGGAATAGGGTCTTCTTTCCTTTGAATGGAAAAATTCTATAACTAGGAGAAAACAATAGTACTGTTGGACTGTGCTGCCACAAGGTTTAATGGAAGCCCCAAACTTATTAGGTCAAATCTTAGAAAAAGTCCTGGAGGAATTACAAACTTCCAGTGGAACCCAGTTGTTACAATATGTGGATGATTTTTTAATTTCTGGGGAGAGAGGAGGGCTGAGTTATCAGAAACCACTATAAGCTTGCTTAATTTCCTAGGAGAAAGGGGATTGCAAGTCTCTAAGAACAAATTGCAATTTGTAGAAAAAGAAGTTAAACATTTAGGACACCTGATTAGTGAAGGGAAGTGGAGAATAAACCCAGAGAGGATATCAGGAATTAGTGGGTCTGCCTTTGCCTAAGACAAAGAGAGAACTCCAAAAAGTTTTAGGTTTAACTGGCTACTATAGGTTGTGGATTGACTCATATGCTCAAAAGACAAAGATTCTGTACCTCAAGTTGTTGGAAAAGCAACCTGATCTTTTGCAATATTCCCCAGAGGAAATTCAGGATATGAAAGAGCTAAAGCATGCCCTCATTACAGCCCCAGTACTGGCCCTCCCATCTTTAGAGAAACCATTCCGCCTGTTTGTAACAGTAGATCAGGGTGTGTCCCTTGGGGTGCTCATTCAAACCTGGGGAGGCAAGAGGCAACCTGTTGCTTTTTTCTCCAAGTTTCTTGATCCTGTCTCCTAGGGATGGCTCAAATATGTGCAAGTAGTAGCTGCTACAGCCGTGCTGGTAGAAGAGAGTTGAAAGCTAACCTTTGGTGGGGTCTTAATAGTAAGCACCCCACACCAGGTCAGGAATATATTAAATCAAAAAGCTGGGAGATGGTTAATGAACTCTTGGCTTCTAAAATATGAAGCCCTGTTGCTAGAAAAGGATGATTTGGTCGTAACAACAAATACTTGCCTGAATCCAGCCAGTTTCCCATGGAAAAGAGAGAAGAACAAAGAGACATCAGACCATAACTGCTTAGATATCACAGAATACCAAACCAAAGTTAGACCAGACCTTAGGGAAGCTCCACTACATGATTAGATAAGGCTGTTTGTGGATGGGTCATCCCGAGTGATAGACGGCAAAGAGACATAATGGTTATGCTGTCATTGATGGAAATAAATATTCCTTATGTGAGAAAGGTAGATTACTTAATGGCTGGTCAGCCTAAACCTGTGAATTATATGCTCTTTATCATGCCCTAAAGCTCCTTGAAGGCCAAGAAGGCACTATATATACTCATTCTAAATATTCCTATGGGGTGGTACACACTTTTGGAAAAAGCTGGATGGAGCACGGCCTAATACATAGCAGGGAAAAATAATTGATACAAGGGGGTTTTAGACTCAAACAGGTTTTAGAAAGTCTCCTGCTTCCAGCAGAGGTAGCCATAGGTCATATAAATGATCATCAGAAAGGGAACATTATAGAAGCTGTAGGAAACAAGCTTGCAGATGAAGCTGCTAAGTGAGCCTCCCTGGAGAAAGAAATTAGACTATTTATCCTGATCCCAGACATCCCTAAGGTAGTATTAAGGCCCCAGTTTACCAGAGAGAAGAAGGAAGAATTAGACAGAAGAGGGATAACTCAAACTGAAGATGGAAGATGGGAAATGGGTACTTCCTGATGGGAGAGAAATGATAAGTAAATCCCTGATGAGAGAATTAATGTCCATATTACAAAAGGGAATCATTGGGGACCCCAGGCTCTGTGTGATGCAATACTTAGGAATTATGGGTGTATAGGGATTTATACTCTCACTAAAAAAGTATGTGGAAGTTGTGTAACTTGTCAATGGATAAATAAAAGTGATTAGAAAACAGGTCATGGGAGGAGGACCTCCAGGGCTACGACAATTTTAAAACATTCAAGTAGATTTCACAGAAATGCCCACAGTAGGAGGACTAACATATTTACTGGTGATTGTAGGACACCTTTCTGGCTGGTTGGAAGCCTTTCATCTTCCAACAGCCACTGCTGGGAATGTGGTCAAAATAATATTAGGACCAATTATACCTAGATTTGGCCTGGAGGAAAATTTTGATTCAGATAAAGAGAACCACTTTACCTCAACGGTGTTAAGGGGAATTATGGAAGATTTACAAATTAGATGGGATTATCATACCCTTTGTCATCCCCCTTCCTCTGGAAAGGTAGAAAGAATGAATCAAACTCTCAAAAAGCATATCACCAAACTAATATTAGAAACTAAAATGCCTTGGACCAAATGTCTACCAATAACACTTCTTAGGATTAGGACAGCCCCAAGAAAAGACTTGGGATTGTTCCTTTATGAGTTATTATATGGACTCCCATATTCAGACAAGGTTACAGATCTTTCTACTATGAAAACCTATTGGGTTGATCAGACCCAACACCAGGCCATGGGGGCTACAAAGTCCAGCGGAGTCAAAGGAATGAGACAAGACAAGTTAAGAGTACATAGGTTGGGTCCAGGGGGCTGACGCTAGTATGGAGGCTGCAAAGGCCCTGAGCTCTGTTAGCCCACACTATTTATGGGTGATCAAAGAAAGAAGCAGGCGGTGAGGACGTGGGGGTCGAAAGGAAGCAGTGCATCAAGTGTTTAATTTATAGCTATGTCAGTTTAGCATTTTCTTTAAAGCATATGGAACATGTTCTGCTATTTGAGATAATATTGAACATGTCCTTCTAACTCAAGATACAATCAATTTATGATCCTGGGAGAGCAAGAAGCAAGGAGCCAGCAAGTCTGGACACATTCCAGAGGCCATGAGGGGTTTTATGTCCTGGACTTAGATTGTAGTGTGGCAGGGCAGCCTTCCACCCTTAAGCACAGAGCTTGGTGTTCCAAAGGCCATGAGCGGTTTTAGACCTTGGACCCCAGATATGTACCAAGACTCTTTTTATATTATGTCAGACTAGCAAGTCTTGCCTCAGCTTTTCTCCCAACAAAAACCAAGGACCAATTCTTAAGAAATTATATACTGATCATATCCTCCACCCTGTCTTCCCTTAGGTTAAAAGGACTTCTGACTCAAAATCTGCCTCTTGAGTTCATGGTTCACCACTTCCAGCCTGGAACTTGGTGCTGATTGAGACTTGGAAAGAAGACAAGCTCCACCCAAACTGGGAAGTTTCCTATCAAGTGCTCCTGACCACTGAGACAGCCATGTGAACAGCTGAATGGGGGTGGACTCACTATACTCGAGTCAAGGAACTGGTGAAAAAAAAAAAAAAAAGACCCTGGAAAAGAGGGTAAAATACCAGTGGCAATTGCATGGGTAACCTGAGGAACCCTTAAAGTTAATTCTAAAAAAATTATAAAAAGAAAGCATGGGCTTGCCCCATTTCTGGAAGTTAATATGGCTGGGATAGACTACAATACAAAGAGGAAAAGGTCAAAATGGAAACTGGCAGGGGGCTCCTCTCTAACCAATCAGGTTGGTTATTAATGTGACCAAGATGGTAGCACCTCAGACTATTAAATTTGATGCCTGCCAGGTTTTACCTTACAGGAATTGAGAAAAACAGAGACAGTTCTCACAAGCAGATAAATATCTTTGCTGTGAACCAGATACAGGTTACAGTAGGGCATCGCCCTCTCTCAACTGGGATGATGTTTGGTGGACTACCCAATTTCAGGGTTGGACAGTAAACATGGAGTGGGTAACTCCAAGCTGGAGACCCTTGAAGAATAAACTACATCTGTCCAAGGACTCCCTGCCAAATAACTGCCAGAATTTGGAATGGAATCCTATACTCAATTCCATTGACAATCCAGCCATTCTAGACCAAGAACCAAAAGTCACATCTTGGGTATATGGGTTAGGGGTAGACATCACAGAGGATAGATCCCCTATGGCAATTTGTTCTCTAATCAAGAACTCAACCTCCCATTTGACTGGGACTACTCCAACCCCAGATCCTAACAGACACTTTAGTCCACCAAATAATGACCCTAAAAGGGTAAAACTAATTGAGGTAGAGGATTTAAGGCAAATCTTAGAAATTGAGACAGGGTATGGGTATGTGAATGCCTGGGTCAAATGGGTCCAATTTTCAGTACAGACCCTCAACGAGAATAACTGCTATACATGTGCTGTGGTATAACCTCAGGTACAGGTGGTTTCATTTCCCCTGGGATGAAATACTGATCCTGAAGGGGTGCTTTGCATGTTGGCTCTGTACCAAGACAAGGATGCATGATGAGACTTATAAGAGTCTGTCATTGCTCTTTCCTGCATTGTGGAGGTTGGATCCCAGAGCAATCCTCTCATTCTCTGTAGGGAATGTGAACCACTCCTCTTGCCTCTAGGCCGGGGGCAGAGTTCAATAAGCCCATGAGAGAACTCTCAACTTGTACCCACATCCTAAATGTCACTGGTGAGTCAGGCAATGGCAATTACTTGGCTCTCCATATACCCCAGCCTGATGTCTGGTGGTACTGTGGGAAAAGGAACCTCCATAACCTGTTACTGTCCATCTGGACTGCAACCTGTGCTTTAGTCCAACTGGCCATCCCTTTACCCTGGCATTCCATAAGATAGCCCAAAATATACATGGCCACTGAAACCGGATATTTAACAAATTCTATAGGAGTCCCTAGTGGGGTACTTAATGAATTTAAGGCTCAAAACTGAATAGCTGCTGGGTTTGAGTCAGCACTCTTCTGGTGGTCAACTATTAATAAGAATGTGAATTATATTAACTAAACCTATTGTAATCAACAGAGATTCATCAATTATACTCAGGACACCTTCAACAGGATGGCTAGCCAGTTAGATGCCACCAGCTGAAAGGCCTGGGAAAACAGGCTTGCACTAAACATGATACTATTAGAAAAGGGGGGCATATGTGTTGTGCTTGATGGGAAATGTTGTACTTTCACCCAACAATACTGCCCCTGAAAGGACCATCACAAAAACTTTATAAGGACTGAAAACTCTAGCCAACAAACTGTAAGAAAATGCTGGAATTGATGACCCATTTACAGGATGGCTAGAAGGTTGGTTTGGAAAATGGAAAGACATGGTAGTTTCAATTCTTACATCTCTCATAATTATGGCAGGAGTCTTAACAGCAGTGGGATGCTGTATTATCCCTTGTGTGAAAGGACTAGCACAGAGATTAATTGAAACAGCTATTAATAAACAAATGCCCATGACTTACCAGTAAAATAACGTGCTACTATTAGAAACCAAATTAAACCCACTATCCTATGAAGAAGAAAGTAAATGACTTCTAGAGTGATTTGAGGACCAGAAGGGTTTAGATGAAAATGAGACCAAAGTAAATATACAGAAAAGAGGAGGGGATTTGTGAGAAAATATTTCAAATGGTCCATTTTCAAGGCATGATAGATCTAAGCACTGGCCGCCAGCCTGTGGATGTTACAAACTGGGGAAGGGTACCAGAGTATAACCTTATAAGGGGGATAATGAAACTTAAGTGATGTCTGGGAAGATTGTAACACCATATTACTTGACCAGTGAGGTACTTATGGAGGGACTTGTATGATAGGAGGTAAATTACCTGTTATAGCTGTCCTGTGTGCCCCTGCTTACCAGACACCCAATACTGTAAGATTGCTATTAAAAGTCTCACTTTCACTGTTCTCCATGCCTCTGAGTCCATTCTTTGGGTTTGGATGGGGGAGCACATTTCTCACATTCCAGGCCAGCCCACAGACCAATCTGCACACACTCCCCCATTTTGAGCTCATAAAAGCTCCAGATTCAGCCATGTTTTGTGCTCTCCACTTTCGGGCCCCCTCTCACACTGAGGGCTACCTACTTTGGGTCTCTGCTTATCAAAAGCTTTTTTGTTGGTCAATAAAATTCTTCCCTGTCTTGCTCACATTCTGGTGTCCACATAACCTCATTCTTCTTGGTTGTAGGACAAGACCCTGGAACCTGGTGAACAGCAGGTGCAAAAAGAGCTGTAACATGGTAACTCTCCCTCCGCCTGGCTAAGCAATGGGTGACAGGACCGAACGATCTATGACACACTCCTTTTTGCCAACCTGAAGGTGGTGGGAATGAATGAGCGGTAACATGAAGGAGCTTTAACACACCCCACCATTCACCACACTGTGGGCAGAAAAAACAGAAGAGAGCTGTAACATTTCTTTGGGGCTCAAACCTCAGGACTAACTGGGTGAGAGCCATAATTTCTCTTGGGGCTCCATGGTCACTGTCATCTCTGAGTTTTCCAGCATCACTGTGGTCCCTTTGTCTAGATGCCTGCAACCCAAAGTGAAAACCACTTGCTGCACACCTGGCTCAGCTGCAGGCTGAGTATGGAGTCCATGTGCATGCTTGGGATCCGGGCTGGTAGTGTGAGCTAAGCGCATTCTGCCAGGGCGAGCAAGTCACAAAAGCCCAGCAGCAAGCCCAGAGCCAAGCAAAGCCCAGAGAAAGGCGTCACTAGCTGTGGAGATTTCAGTTGGGGAAGCAGCACCGAAAGATTCTCATGTCATTTCTGGGTTCAACGAAAGGGTGAGTAAGTGTGAACCTCGTTCACTTTCATTTTCAAGGCTTCTTTTCCTCATTTTTTTTTCATTCTGTAAACAGATGAAGCATCAGACTTTTGTCAGCTAGTTAAAAGCTAATGGCATGGCTGGAGATGACAGGCTTGCTGGGGAGGACAGTGTTAACCCCACACCCCCATCACCCTGGGTATTGGGAATGTTGGCTTTGTTTCAATGCAGCCTCCATTTGTGAGGTGAAGCCGTCACATGGGATCAGAATAAGGTCCTAGGGCAACTGAAGGTATCTGGCTGAGGCTACACCTTGGCATTACCGAAATGCTCCTGGACCAGCCACAATCCCCAACAGTCTGTACAGGCGTTGGCCAAGACCTTCAGTCTTTCCCATTGCATTTTCTTGCTTTCTTTCAGAGCTGTCATGGCTCTTATCTTTTCTTTATATACAATGTTAAAAGTGTTGTTGCAAACCACAGAGATAATATTACTGGGTAGAATGAGCACTTTGCTCAGTCATCAGGAGTGTAATTTAGAACAATGAGGTTTCTCTCTATTCTTTCAAGCAAAGAGGATGTGACACTTGAGATTTTTCTTTCCTCTGTTGAAGGAATCCATTAGCATAGGGCAAGAGGCTATTCAGGGACCTTCCCCTCCCCTGTATTTAAGTTGTTTTTTTCCCAGCATGTCAGGAGTAAACATAGCCCTGTGAATACAGGGAGCTTTTCTATTGGAGAGATTGATTTTTTTCCTATTGGGAGGCATCTTATTATGCCAGGTTTGCAATTCTGAAGACTCTCTTTCTTTCGCCTGTTTGAGGAGGATCTGGTTTCACAGCTTTACTTTAGTATTCTGCTTATGATAGAGAAGCAGCAGAGGAGCCACCCCATCAGTTGTTGGCTGCAATTTGGTGAGGATCACCTGGGACTAATTTAATGGGTCCATACACTGTCCTGAGTTATCTTTTTGTCCCAAATTTGATTCCAAGCTTTAGGTTGAAGCCCTAAAGAGAAAGAAAACTAGATCTGAGGGACCCAGAGGCAGTTGACAGTGGAAGGTCAGGACATAGTGCAGGTGAGCATGACTATCACTGCTGATATGGTTTTGTTATGTGCACACCCAAATCTCATCTTGAATTGTAGTTCCCATAATCTCCACATGTTGTGGGAGGGACCCAGTGGGAGATAATTAAATCACTGGGGCATTTTCCCCCATTCTGTTCTCATGATAGTGTGTTAATTCTCACAATATTTGATGGTTTTATAAGAGCTTTTCTACTTTTGTTCTGCACTTCTCCTTGATGCCACTATGTGAAGAAGGGCATGTTTGTTTCTCCTTCCACCATTTTTGTAAGTTTCCTGAGGCCACCTCAGCCATGATGAACTGTAAATACATTAAACCTCTTTCCTTAACTGATTATGCAGTCTTGGGTATGTCTTTATTAACAGCATGAGAACAGACTAATAAACCTGCTGACTATACCTTCCCACTTCATGGGTGAAGAACTTGCTTGAATCTATGGCATAGATGATGTCTAGGGAACTCAGAGATTACTGAGAGCAAGAGGCTAGGTCACAGTGTAGGTAGGTGTGACTATTACTAGTTGGTAGGTGTGCCTACCAACTAGGCATCTCCACTTCAAAGGTGGAGGTCACACTCACACTCATGGGTGGCACTTGGGGCTAATGTGTTTATTACACACTCTCCTGAGGTACCTTTTGGCCCAAATTTCATTCCAAGCTTTGGGTTGAAGCCCTAAAAAGAAAGAAAACTAGATCTGATGGACCCAGAAGCAGTTGACAGTGGAAGGCCAGGGCATAGCACAAGTGAGCATGACTATTACTGCTGATATGGTTAATGTCCTGCAAGACTCAGGGAAGAAAAGGAGGAAAGAAAGAAGAGGAGGGCTTTTTTGTTTCTCTTCCTCATATATGTCAGCTTGGGTTTTTGTTGGAAGAGAGAAAGGAATTAAGGGAATCTTTTCCCCTTTTTCAGATGAATAGCAAACCTTCTTCAGCCTGCACTCCTCTTGAGTTTATCCTGAATCACTGGGACTCTTTTGACCTACAGACTCTAGAGAAAAATGTCTCATACTACTTGGCACAATGGTTTGGCCAAATTATGATTTGCAAGAATAACAAGCTTGGCCTCAGGAATGAAGAATTAAATTCAATACTATCCTGCAGCTGGATGTTTTCTGTAAACGATGGCATGAGGGCAAATGGTCCGAGGTACCCATATGTGCAGGCTTTCTTTGACTTGCAGAGTAATCAAGAACTTTGCCTATGTTGTAGGATTGATTCAGCCCTCCTAGGGACCATCTCAGGAAAGGCTACATAGGCAATCCCATGGGACTAGGAAAGCAAACCCCAAAGATATCTCCAGTGGGGGAGTCAGCTATCTCTAGTGGGGGAATCAGCTACCTCTGATGGGGATCCAGCTCCCTCCAGTCCTGCACCTCCTGGTCCACCTTGTCCTCCCTATCCAGGTTCTCTCTCAAACTTGCCCCATCCTAGAAATCCTCATTTTAGGCAGGGCTCAGTCTCACTCCTGCCGATACAAGAGATGTCTAGTTAATATGTCCCCATTAAAGTCCAGGTCCCCTTGTCTATACAAGACTTAAGGCAAATTAAGGGGGGTCTTGGCAAGTTTTCAGATGACCCTCACTTGCATATAGAGACTTTCCAGAATTTAATTCAAGTATTTGAACTCTTCTGGAAGGATGTTATGTTACTTTTGAATCAAACCCTGCTGCTGAGAAGTAGGCTGTCCTGCTCATGGCAGATAGTTTTGGGGTTAAGATTTGGATTTCATATAGTGCCAGGAAAGGAGATGAGCCATATCCAACCGGAAGAATAGCAATACCATTGGAGGACCATAAATGGGATCTCGATGAAATGGGAGAATAAAATAGGAAACACTTTCAGATGTGCGTGTTCAAGGGCTTACAAAGGACTAAAACTAAGCCTCTCAATTACTCCAAACCATCCATGATAGACCAGGGATTAGATGAGAATCCCACTGCCTTCGTGGAAAGATTAAGAAGGACCTTAGTAAAGCACAACTCTGTATATCTTGATTCAGTTGAGGGACAACTAATCTTAAAGGATATGTTTATTACTCAGGCATCCCCTGATACCAGGAGGAAGCTGCAGAAACAGGCCATGGGACAAGATAGTACTTTGTAGAAGTCCTGAAAGTGGTCACCTCAGTCTTCTATGATAAGGATTTGGAGGAGGCTTGAGAGAGAGAGGGGAGACACAAGAAAAAGACACAGGCTTTGATGGCCACGTCGCAGACCCCAGAACTTTTGAGATGCACCTGTTAACTGCTACAAATATAGCAAGCCAGGGCACAATAAGGACAGCCCAAGCAGCAAGAGGAAGTCACTTCAATCCAGTCCACTCTGTGGAGGGGACCACAGGAGGGCAACTGTCCCTGGAGATGCAGGTCACTGAGTCAAGGAGCAGTATCCCAGGTGGTCCAGCAGGACCCAGGGCTCTTGGGGCTCCTCTCCCCAGCAATAATGGCTCAGACTTCCATTACCCTCCAGGAGGCCCAGGTGATTCTGGAGGTCAGAGGGAGGAAAGTAGACTTCCTCCTGGATACCAGAACAGCTATTTCTGTTTTCGTCTTCAATCCAGACTTCCCCACTCCCCCTAGTATGACAGTGATAGATGTGTCAGGAAAGCCTTTAGCCCAACATTTTTACCAATCCCTTAGTCATAGTTGGGGAGACCTCTTGCTTACTCATCCTGTTTTAATCATGCCTGAAAGCCCAACTTCTCTGCTAAGAAGGGACATTTTAGCTCATATGGGAATCACTATTCTTATGGCTCCTGGACAGACTCTCTGTCTCCTCATGGTTGAGACCGATATTAATCCAGAAGTTTGGGTAAGTCAATGAAAAACTGACTGAGCCTCGGCCACCATACCAATTCGGATCTACCTTAAGGATCCCACTTTCCCTAACCAGAGATAATATCTCCTAAAACCGGAAGCTAGGAAAGTACTGGAAGCTGTCATTGATAACTTGAGGATGCAGGGCCTCCTCAAACCCTACAACAGCCCTTGTAATACCCTAATATTGGGGATACAGAAGCTCAACATGGAATGGAAACTGGTCCAGGATCTCCACCTCATTAGTGAGGCTATGATTCCAATTCATCTGGTGGTTCCCAACCCGTGTATCTAGCTAACTCAAATACCTAAGGGAACTAAATGATTTATAGTCCTCAACCAAAAGAATGCCCTTTTTTTCTGCATACTACTACTTGCAGACTCCAAATATTTGTTTGCATTCAAGGATCCCTCCACTCAGACCACCCAGCTAACCTAGATGGTTTTACCTCAGGGATTCTGAGATAACTCCCACCTATTTGAGCTGGCATTTGTCAAAAGATCTCTTTGAGGCTGGTGCAGTGGCTGACCCTTGTAATTCCAGCACTTTGCAAGGCTGAGATGGGTGGAAGTCTTGAGGTCAGGAGTTTGAGACCAGCCTGGTCAACATAGTGAAACCCAGTGTCTACTAATAATACAAAAATTAGCTGGGCATGGTGCTGTGTGCCTGTAGTCCCAGCTACTCAGGAAGCTGAGGCACAAGAATTGCTTGAACCCAGGAGGCAGAGGTAGCAATGAGCCAAAAATCATGTCACTGCACTCTAGCCTGGACGACACCATGAGCCCTCATCTCAAAAAAAAAAAAAAAAAAAAAAAAAAAAGCCACCCACAAAAGATCCCTCTGAGTTCCTTTATCCTCAGATTAAAGTTTTACAATATGTAGACATAATTATCCTTTGTTCCCCAGTTGAGGAAAACTCTCAAGAGGCTCTTAATTTTCTGGCTAACACAGGATATAACATCTCAAAATCTAAGACTCAGCTCCATCAGACTTCAGTGAAGTACCTAGATCTAGTCTTGTCAGAGGGGACCAGGGCACTAGGCAAAGAAAATATTAAGGCCATCTATTAGTCCATTTTCATGCTGCCAATAAAGACATATCTGTATCTGGGAAGAAAAGGAGGTTTAATTGGACTTACTGTTCCACATGGCTGGGGAGCCTCTGACTCATGGTGGGAGATGAAAGGCACTTCTTACATGGTGGTGGCAAGATAAAAAAATGAGGAGAAAGTAAAAGCAGAAACCCCTGATAAAACCATCAAGTCTCATGAGATTTACTATCATGAGATTTACTATCACAGCAGAGGCCGGCCCACATAATTCAATTTCCTCCCCATGGGTCCCTCCAACAATACATGGAAGTTCTGGGAGATACAATTCAAGTTGAGATTTGAGTGAGGACATAGCCAAACCATATCATTCTGCCCTGGCTTATCCAAATCTCATGTCCTCACATTTCAAAACCAATCATGCCTTCCCAACAGTCCTCCAAAGTCTTAACTCATTTCCGCATTAACCCAAAAGTCCACAGTCCAAAGTCTAATCTGAGACAAGGCAAGTCTCTTCTACCTATGAGCCTGTAAAATCAAAAGCGAGCTAGTTACTTCCCATTCCAAATGGGAGAAATTGGCCAAAACAGAGGGATTACGGGGCCCATGCAAGTCTTAAATCCAGTGGGGCAGTCAAATTTTAAACTCCAAAATTATCTCCTTTGACTCCAGGTCTCATATCCAGGTCATGCTGATGCAAGAGGTGTGTTCCCATGGTCTTGAGCAGCATTTCCCCTGCGGCTTTGCAGGGTACGGCCTCCCTCCCAGCTGCTTTTATAGCTGATGTTGAGTGTCTGTGGCTTTTCCAGGTGCACGGTGCAAGCTACTGGTGGATCTACGATTCTGGGGTCTGGAGGATTGAGGCCCTTTTCTCACAGCCCTACTAGGCAATGCCCCAGTACGGACTTTGTGTGGGGGCTCCGATCCCAAACTTCCCTTCTTCGCTGCCGCAGCAGAGGTTCTCCATGAGGGCCCTGCCCCTGCAGAAAACTTTTGCCTGGGCATCCAGGTATTTTCATACATCTTCTGAAATCTACATGGAGATTCCCAAACCTCAGTTCTTGACTTCTGTGTACCCACAGGCTCAACACCATGTGGAAGCTGCCAAGGCTTGGGGCTTCCACTCTCTGAAGCCACGGCCTGAGCTGTACCTTGGCCCCTTTCAGCAACACCTGGAGCAGCTGGGATAAGGGCACCAAGTCCCTAGGCTGCACACAACACATGGACCCTTGGCCTGGCCCAGCAAACAACTTTTTCCTTCTGGCCCTCCAGGACTGTGATGGGAGGGGCTGCTGTGAAGGTCTCTGACATGGCCTGGAGACGTTTTCCCCATGGTCGTGGGGATTAACATTAGGCTCCTTGCTACTTATGCAAATTTCTGCAGCTGGCTTGAATTTCTCCCCAGAAAATGGGTTTTTCTTTTCTATTGCATAGTCATGCTGCAATTTTTCCAAACTTTTATACTCTGCTTCCCTTGTAAAACTGAATGCCTTTAACAGTACCCAAGTTACCTCTTAAATGCTTTTTTATTTAGAAATATCTTCTGCCAAATAACCTTACTCATCTTTTTCAAGTTCAAAGTTCCACAAATCTCTAGGGCAGGGGCAAAATGTCACCAGTCTCTTTGCTAAAACAAAAGAGCCACCTTTACTCCAGTTCCCAAGAAGCTCCTCATCTCCATCTGAGACCACCTCAGTCTTGACCTTATTGTCCATATTGCTATCAGCATTTTGATCAAAGCCATTCAACAAATCTCTAGGAAGTTCCAAACTTTCTTATATTTTCCTGTCTTCTTCTGAGCCCTGCAAACTGTTTCAACCTCTCCCTATTACCCAGTTCCAAATTCACTTCTACTTGTTCAGGTATCTTTTCAGCAATGCCCTACTTTACTGGCACCAATTTACTGTATTAGTCTGTTGTCAAGCTGCTGATAAAGACAAACCCAAGACTGGGATGAACAAGTTTTTTAATTAGACTTACACTTCCACATGGCTGCAGAGGCCTCAGAATCATAGTGGGAGGCAAAAGGCATGTTTTATATGGTGGCAGCAAGAGAACATAATGAGGAGGAAGCAAAAGCGGAAACCCCTCATAAACCCGTCAATTCTAGTGAGACTTATTCACTATCACAAGAATAGCACAGGAAAGACTGGCCCCCATGATACAAATACCTACCTCTAGGTCCCTCCCAAAACACATGGGAATCCTGGGACATTCAATAAAAGTTGAGATTTGAGTGGGGACACAGCCAAACCCTATTGGGCCATCTCCTACTTTCCCCTCCCACAAACCCTCAAATAAATGAGGGGATTCTTGGGTATTACAGGATTCTCAGATTATGGATACCTGGGCATGGTAAGATAGCTTGTCCCTTATATAACCTAATAGAGGAAACTCAGTCAACTAAGACTCACTTCTTAATTTGGAAACCAGAGGCTAAAAGGGCATTTGACCAATTGAAACAAGTCTTGCTTGAGGCACCGCCCTTTGTCTTCTCATAGGTAAGACATTCAAACTTTATGTATCAGAAAGGAAGGGAATGACTTGAGGTTCAGCCAAGCAGCCTGCAGGCTACCTAAGCAAGGAGCTTGATATGGTAGCTAAAAGATGGCCAGCCTGTCTACAGGCAGTTACAGCAGTATCTTTGCTGGTGCCAGAGGCTACTAAGTTAACCAAGGGGGATAACTTAACCATTTATACCCCACATAATGTGGCAGGACTGGTGTCTTCTAAGGGGAGTCTCTGGATAATGGACAACTGCTGCCTCTAATATTGAGCTCTGCTATTAGATCTGCAGTCCAGTTAAGAACCTGACCCTTCCGGCTGGGTGCAGTGGCTCACGCCTGTAATCTCAGCACTTTGGGAGGCAAAGGTGGGCAGATCACGAGGTCAGGAGATCAGGACCATCCAGGCTAAAATGGTGAAACCCTGTCTCTACTAAAAATACAAAAACAAAATTAGCCGGGCATGGCAGTGGGCACCTGTAGTCCCAGCTACTCGGGGGTCTGGGGCAGTAGAATGGCGTGAACCCGGGAGGTGGAGCTTGCAGTGAGCCGAGATCGAGATCGCGCCTCTGCACTCCAGCCTGGGCGATACAGTGAGACTCCATATCAGAAAAAAAAAAAAAAAAAAAAAAAAAGAACCTGACCCTCTAATCCCAGCCACCATTCTCCCAGAGGAAGTTGGGGAGCTTAAACATGACTGCATACAGATAGTAGTGCAAACCTATGGAGCCAGAGAGGACTTCAAAGAAACTACTTATAGAACACAGACTGGACTCTCTTTATGGACAGAAGTTATTTTGTAGAACAAGGGATCCATAAAGTAGGGTATACAAGAATATGAATGATATTATTGAGAGTGTGCCTCTCTCCTTGGGCACAAGTGCTCAACTAGCTGAGATAATAGCCCTTATGAGGGTGTTTGAATTAAGCAAACGGAAAGCAGTTGACATTTATACTGATTCTAAGTATGTTTTCCTAGTCCTTCAGGCTCATGCCACAATCTAGAAAGAGAGGAACTTCCTCACAGCTAATGGTTCTCCCCTTAAATACCATTAGGAAATTAAGATTATTATCCTCAGTTCTTCTTTCATGGGAAGTGGCAGTAATACCTTGTAAAGGCCACTAAAAGGGGATGGATGAAATAACCGAGGGTAAAAAGTTGGCTGACTAAGCAGGTAAATTGGCAGTAAGAAGGTCCCAGATTTCTTATCTACTAGAGACCCCTCTGATCTGGGAGGGCTCCATAAGAGAAATAAAACCTCAATATTCTCCTGCATAAGTAGAATGGGCCACCTCTCAGGGATACACCTTTCAGTCCTCAGGATCGCTACAATAAGAAGATGGCAAACTTCACCTAACAGCTTCCAGCCAATGGAAAGTTCTTAATATCCTTCTCCAAGCCTTCCACCTAGATAAGGATAGAACCTATCAATCGCCCCAGTGGTTGTTCTCAGGTAAAAATCTGCTACCAATAGTCAAATAGGTCATTAATGCTTGTGAGACTTGCCTTAAAAATAATCCCCTCAATCAATGGCTCTTCCCTGCAGACTCCCAAAGAACAGGAGGCTACTTGGGGGAAGACTGGCAGATAAATTTACCCACTGGCAGATAAATTTACCCGTAAAGCCAAAGAAAAGCAGCATCCAGTGTCTCCTGATATGAGTAGATACCTTCAATAACTGGGTAGAAGCATTTTCATGTTAGACAAAGAAAACCTCTGAGGTGATAAAAGTACTAATTAATGAGATCATTCCTTGCTTTGGACTTTCTAAATACCTCCAGAGTGATAATGGCCCCTTGTTCAAGATGGCTGTCACCCAGAGGGTCTCAGGGACACTAGGCATACAATACCATGTTCATTGCATTTGGAGACCACAATCCTTGGGAAAGGTAGAAAAGACAAGTGATATTATCAAAAGGCACCTCAGAAAACAGTCTCAAGAGACTTCTCTCTCCTGGATTACTCTTCTCCCCATAACCCTACGACTTGTTAGAAACACCCCTTTGAACCTGGGTTTAGGTGCCTTCAAAATGATACATGGATGGCCTTTTCTTATCAGTGATTTCTTGCTAGACCAAGAAACTTCTGATATGATTAAACATGTATTTACTTTGGCCCATTTCCAACACAAACTGAAGCAACTGTAGGAGACCCAAACCCATGAACTAGGCCACCACCACCTCTATTCAACCCAGGGGACTTAGTGCAGGTAAAGGCTCTTCCTTCTCTTTCTCCCACTTTAGACCTGGTGTGGGAGGGATCTTACATCGAACTTCTTTTTTTTTTTTTTTTTTTTTTTTTGAGACAGTCTCACTCGGTCGCCCAGGCTGGAGTGCAGTGGCATGATCTTGGCTTACTGTAACCTCTGTCTCCCAGGTTCAAATGATTCTTGTTCCTCAGCCTCCTGAGTAGTGGCAATTAGAGGCATGCACCACCACGCCCAGCTAACTTTTGTATTTTCAGCAGAGACGGAGTTTCACCGTATTGGCCAGGCTGGTCTCAAACTCTTGACTGATCCACCTGTCTCGGCCTTCCAAAGTGTTGGAATTACAGGCATGAGCCAAGGCACCCAGGCACGTTGTACTTCTTTCTACCCCTTTGGCAGTGAAGGTCACTGGAATAGGCTCTTGGATTCATTGTACTCTAGCAAAGGCCTGGGGAACTGACAGAATTACCTCAGAAGAGCACCCAAAGCTCTTCTGAAGAAATTGGAGACCTCAGGCTAAAGATCACAAAAGATAAGTGTCAATAATGAACTTCCCATAGATATCTTCTTTATTCCTGCTTATGCTTGTGGTTCTCACCTTCATTTCATTCCTCACCATAAGGTATCTTTGTCAAGGAACCCTTAATCCTGAACTCCCACAGGGATTTTTTTTTACTCACCTAAACAGTATTCTCTCTTCTAGTTTAACTGGCCCCATACGAGATTTAGTTTCTTTCCCCAGAGTGAAACAACTCTGGCCACAATATTGTTTTCAGAATGATTAGTCTGTTTACTTCTTATTTCTCTTATCTTTGGCACTAGATTTTTCCCTTTTAGCTCCTCTTTGTATAATATACATATTTGGTGCATGAATATTTAAGCTCTGTGAGGGTTAATATTGAGTGTTAACTTGATTGGATTGAAGGATGCAAACTATTGTTCCTGGGTGTGCCTGTAAGGGTGTTGCCAAAGGAGATTAACATTTGAGTCAGTGGACTCGGAAAGGCAGACCCACCCTCAGTCGGGGTGGGCACAATATAATCAGCTGTCAGTGTGGCCAGAATAAAAACAGGCAGAAGAATGTGGAAAGACTAGACTGATTTAGACTTCTGGCTTTCATCTTTCTCCTCTGCTGGATGCTTCCTGCCCTCAAACATCAGACTCCAAGTTCTTCAGCTTTGGGACTTGGACAGGCTTCCTTGCTCCTCAGCTTGTAGATGGCCTATTGTGGGACCTTGCCTTGTGATCCTGTGAGTCAATACTCTTTAATCAACTCCACTATATGTATATATATCCTATTAGTTCCCTTTATAGAATCCTAATACAACCTCCTCGTAAAATTTGATTTTTCTCACCTGGAGATTAACAAACTCCAAATGGTCATGCAAACGGAGCCTTGGACGATGGCTACCTTTTACTGGGGACCCTTAGATAGACCTCTGAGAGAGATCTGACTGCCATTTTCCCACAATAACACATCCTGTCAACGGAAGCAGTAAGAGCAGTCACTTATCTTAAACGGCAGTTAGATGAACTTACTCAGAAGTGGTGGAGCATGCCCAGAGCCAAGCAAAGCCTGGGCAGAGGTGCTGCTGGCCATGGAGATTTCTAGCTGGTGCAGTGTTACCAAAAGGATCCTGTGTTATTGCTATGGAAAATAGTATGGAGGTTCCACAAAAAATCAATAGAACTACCTTATGATCCAGCAATCTCACTTCTGGGTATACATTCAAAGGAAATAAAATCGATAAATAAAAGAGCTATCTACACTCCCCTGTTCACGGCAACATTATTCACAATAGTCAAGATATGGAAACAATCTAGAAGTCTATCAATAGATGAATAAATAAAAATATTGTGGTATATGCGTACAGTGGAATTCCATTCAGCCTTAAAGAAAATCCTGCCATTTGCAATGACATGGATAGACCTAGAAAGCATTATGTTTAATTAACTGAGCCAGTAACAGAAAGACCAGCACTGTAATATCTCAATTATATGTAGAATCAAAAATAGTCAAACTCATAGCACATAATAGAACGGTTGTTGCCAAAGGATGGGCACAAGGATGCAGGGGTGGGGAGGTGGGGTAGTAATGGTTAAGGGATACAAAGTTTCAGTTATGCAGCATAAATAAGTTCTGGAGATCTACTACCCGGCATAGTGCTCATAGCTAACAATACTGTATTGTGTACTTAATATTTGCTAATGTATCAGTTCTTGTGTTAAGTGCTCTTAGCAAAGCAAAACAACAACAAAAACAGTAATAGTAATAACAAGGGGTAAGAAAAAACTTTAGCATGTGATGAATATGTTTACGGCCTTGATGGTGATGATGTTTTCACCAGTGTATGTATATCCCAAACTCACGGTGATTTACACATTAAATATTTACATCATTTTATAGTTTAATATACCTCAATTGAGTGGTTAAAAAGCAATCAATTAATCAATCGAGATTATTTTTTCCTCATTGATCTTTTTTCACCCTCATAAAAATTTATAGACACAATTACAACAAATAAAGCTATTATTAGTAGTAAATTTATCAACTCTATGTACTGAAGCCTTTCACAGAAAAAATAAATTACATAAATAGAAATATTATAAGCAGTTAATCAGGTCTTAGTGTGTATCAGGTGCTTTTCTAAGGTCTTTGCATCTGTTGACATGTTTACTTGTCACAACAAATTGATGAATATATATAATGTAAAGATGAGAAATCTGAAGAACAGTTGGCAGTGCAAATTTATACAGCCACTATAGAAAATAGTATGGAGATTCCTCAAAATATTAAAAAATAGAACTACCTTATGATCCAGCAATCCCATTTCTGGATATATATTCAAAGGAAATAACATCGGTATATCAAAGAGATATCCACACTCCATGTTCATTGTAACATTATTCACGATGTTGAAACAATAGTTCCCCAATAAAATTTTTCCAAACTGGACATCTGTTTAAGTATACATTAAAACCCAAATCCTTCTTTGAAGATAGCTTTATGCCCATTTAACTAGGTTCTAATCAATAAAATGTAATTATGAGTAATGTGCTCAACTTCTGAGTCATTTACTCAAAGAAAATTGTTTACTGATCCTTGATTGTATGTAACCTTACTGTAGGTTGAATGCAGACTTAATCAAATCCAGTTTAACTACAAAGGGTAGTACAATATATACGTGGATGAAAAAACAAGAAGATCTTGGTATTGTGGAAAAGCCCTTCCATAAGGGCTGCTTAATACTGCTCAATTCTATAATTTTATGTTACTGAGAAATATACATCTTTCTTAGTTGAGTACTGCAATTTTTCTATGTTTTCTACAATATTCTATCATTTTCCCTAAATTATATATTGCTCTAGTTTACCCAGCTAGTATGTAACAACAGTAGGAATGAAAAATCAAAACAAGGAAGTCTGAAAAACCTCTAAGCTCTTAATCAGTACACGCTGTTATCTAAAGTGGCAATAAGCAAATGATAATGCTTCTCATACATCTATCACATTCAGCTCTTTCCAGTTCCACTCTGCATGCATGTACTGGTGACTAAACAGATCTTGAAATTAACTTCTAAGCAAAACTTGATGTCAGAATCATGAGATTGAAAAATCACATTTCTTGTAATTTTAGGAATTTCTAAAATACTTCATTTGTGAGTATGTCAATTTTACTTCTAATCAGCATTTCTGATTATGCAACATTTCTGATTATTCTGGATACAGGAGAGATTTGTGGTTTTCTCCCAATGATAAAGCTATATATCTAAGTCAATTTACATTCTACATATACAGAAACTTAGCAGATGCAAGAAGTGATTACCTTTAGATTGGCATTATTGCTAAAGATTGACAATATGAAAAATGATTTCTTGAACAAATAATGAGAGGAATCCCCTTAGAAGAAATGAAAACTACAAATTCATAACAAATGAGTTTGTGAAGTATGCCAAAGTCATATAGAAACCTGAGGTAATGTTTTCATACTTTTAAGTTCATCTTTTTTATTTTATAAGCTTCTAAAGATCACTGAAGTTTTAATTTTTATCCTGAATACTATGAAGATTGGTGAAGAAAAAAACATGTCATGATTGAAATCAACATTATATCTGTTAGTCCTTTTGGGACAGTAAAAATCATTTTGCTTCACTCTTTTCTCTAAGAAAATGTTTACATATAATTATTACATTTAATCTATGTTTCTTCTGTTTAGACAGTGGCTTAGATCATGGGTCAGTAAATATTTTAACTATTCCAGTTATTAATATTTTAGGCTTTGCATACCATAGGGTCTCTGCTGCAACTACTTGGTTCTGCCAATGTATTGTGAAAACATCCATAAGACAATACATAAATGAGTGGGCAGACATGTGTTCACTAAAATTTTATTTATAAAGTCAGCAATCTATAAGTCATAATTTGCTGACCCTTTAGATCAGTGTAGTTCAATAGAATTTTTACATTAACGGAAATGTTCTGTCTGTGTTGTGTAACATGAAGGATACTAGCCACATTTGGCCACTGAACACTTGAAATGTGTCTAACGTGGCTGAGAAACTTAATTTTTAATTTTATTTTTATCAATCACTTTAAAAAGAAATTTAAATAAACACATTTTTAATGACTACCCAATTGAATAGCTTGTTTATATTTGCATATTAAACATTAGTAAGCAATACGTCAGCTTTCCTTATTAGAATGATTTCTATTCTTATTTAAATAAAAGTTTATAGTCTTTAATTAGGTCTCTATATTGCAAATATGATACAATCATCTATGAATATTTAAAAATAGGTCACTATTTATTAAATACAAGTTACTGTTTTTCTTTTTATAAAATTTGAGACCAAGGAGTTTTTATGTGCTAAAATAATATCTTTGTGGCCACAGGATGATTATAAAAACATCACATTTCATTGTATCATATTTAAAATGAGATCACTTCAATAACAAAAGTCCAGATGAAATTAGTGTGAGCAATAACAAAATTCTGGAAAACAGAAAGTTTCATTTTGATTAATATATGTCTTCACCTTCTTTTTAAAGTTGCAGTTTCTGTACTTTCAAGTTGCCCTTCTTGGCATTAGCTTTCTATCTTTCTAGATAACCTTTCTCATGGTCAAAGAGAACTACTGCAATACCAGGCATCATATGTAAACTAAAAATATCTTCACATTATTGCATTCACTGCCAAGGAGAACTGAACTACTGTGATTGAACTAGAACAATTGTAATTCCGCCCTTAATTTGGAGCTGCGTTCCACATCTCCTGAAGCCAGTGGTGGTTAGACACCTAAACAAAATTTGGATTTTGTTAACAAGAAAGAAGTGGCAAAAATGTGTCAATGAGCAAACAAAGTGATTTTTGACAACTACCTATTTAGAAAGCTAAAAGACTTGGAAAAGAAAAAGATAGAAATACTGCACTATATAATAAAATTCAGTGTAGGGAAAAGGATGGGAAATAAGTAATGTCAGAAAAAAATAGATTGCTTATTTTGATATAATTAGTGACTAACGTTAATTCATTTGATGTAATATAAGTTGGCTTTAATAAATCACTAGATGCCATGTTTCAAAAATCTTAGCAAACTATTAATTACAATTGGTTTGGATATGAGCACTGTCACATGGACTGAAACTGACTAACAGCCTATAAACAAAAACTAATGATAGATGGCAATGCATTGAGGAAAAGCATGTAGTGTTTTCACTTTGGAAAAATTAACATCTTTAGGAATAACACAAAAATTTAATTTTTTATAAATATGAATAGCAATTGAGCTTTACCAAAGACATTATAAATGCAAGTAAATTATTTCAAATAAGTTTACATTGTTTTCATTGCTCACATCTTTGAATATTAAGCTTGTGGTAGAAAAGAAGCTAATAGACGATTGAACACAGGAATTTTTCTTTTCTTTCTTTCTTTCTCTTTCTCTCTCTTTCTTTCTTTCTCTCTTTTTCTTTCTTTCTATTCTTTCTTTCCCCTCCTTCTTTCCTTCCTTCCTTCCCTCCCTCCCTCCCTCTTCTTTGTTTCTTTCTTTCTTCTTTCTTTCTTTCTTTCTTCCTTCCTTTTCTTTCTTTCCCCCTTTCTTTCTTCTTTCCTCCCTTTCTTTCTTTCTTTCTCTTCTTTCTTCCTTTCTTTCTTTCCTTCTTTCCTCTTTTCCTCTTTCTTTTTTTTTTCTTTTTTTTCCAGAAAATGCCTATAGCTGTGAACTCCTTGAAAGGCTGAGGTTTGTGTGGTATTATGGTTTAAAATATATTTCCAGTCTATTTTGATGGGCACTTGGGATGGCTCCAAGTTTTTGCTATCGTAAATTGTGCTACAATAAATATACGTGTGTGTGTCTTTATAGTAGAATGATTTATAATCCTTAAAGTAAAATTTTAAAAAAAGATATTTCTTTTAAATGGCTTTTCTGGTATGAGTCAAAGTATCAGCGACTTTGAATGAAGAGGTTATTTAACCCTGTCAATTTTCTTTTGTTGAAATTGTTTTCTTATACTTACTTTTACATTTTGAATTGCAATTCTGTTGCCTAATATTATGATTATACAGAATGTCAGTCTGTCTGACCTTTATTATTAATTTAATTAGTTGTGCCAAAATTACTTGGAAAACCTAAGTGAAAAATAGTCTCTGGATTCATGATGATTATTGATACTCAGAGAAACAGTTTCTTAGATACATTCCTTACTTATTCTGACATAGTGTTTTTTATTTGCCCTGCACTGTTCTAAAGGTTTTATACCATCTCCCATATGGATAAAATTGACAACTATACCGATCTTTAATAATAAAGATCATTTTATAATAATAAACAGTATTTTCTCATTTAGAACAATTCAAGCCTTTCATATTTTGTCCATTATCTTTCTAAAATCTTCCAGACAGCAGTGTTCCAATAGTTACTTATAAAACTGATGGAGCAAATTATTGAAACTTGGGTGACAAAAGATACCCTGGAACCCTCACACAGGCCTGAAAACCTTGGGACATTTCTACATAAGAGAAAAAAATGTCTATTTTCTTCAATCCACTATTATTTTAGACTTTTGATTATATGCAAGAAAAAACAATTTAAATTATACACATATTTAGAAAGAAGTGTCTTTCAAATACATATAGACACTTGCACACATGCACACACCATTTATACAAACATATACCCAAAGTGATTAATTTCTAAATAAAATATTAAAAATACATTGAAATATGCAGTTAATGACTTTAATCCTTAATATCACTTCATAATATAAACCTAGGTGGTTACTCAGCCATCATATCTGATTTACATGACTGAAGAAGAAGGTAAGAGAGAAGAGTAAAGGGAGGCCATTCTGATGATTCACCTCCCTTTAGCCTTCCCAGTGTCTTAAAAATGTTTTGCTTACAATTAGTAAAATCATAACTTTGTCACATAGTCTTGTGTAAAGAAGGTTGGCCATGCAGTCTTTCATTCTAGGGGGTATTTTCCTAATAGAAAATTAGGGCTCTCTCTCTGTAAGAAAAGATGATGGATGCTTTGTTTGGCAGCTCATGGTCTGTGAAACCATAGATAACATTGGCTGAAATGACAAGTAGGTATCACTAAGGTAAAATTCATATTAAAGAATGAATTTTCCTAAAATATGGATCTGATTGTGTATATTAGACAAACACAGTTATTTTTTTCCATTATTTTCTTATGCCTAAAGGGTCAGATTCTAAAATTAGCAAACTTTTTGTATCATCAATTATATTAGAGAGTGGAAGCACAGTTATCTCAAATTAAACCTCAGTGTATCTGCATTGGAAATCCTCTTCTAATAATAGGCTGGTGAAAAGCTACATCATCTGTCACACAAATGCCACAATCACAAAGACAAAGACCATCACTATTTACAATCTCAAAACACTCTATGTATGTCTTTTTCATGGCCAATTTGATGTGATAGCACATCATATACCTATGAAACTTCTTCTTCCTCTAGTCATTTCCCTTTTTTAGTAATCTAAATGATGAATGAGGAAGCATATACCACATTAAGGGATCTGATGGATGGATGAATCCCTCAAAGCCATGTAAATCAGATCCTATCACCAATAAACTTGACTCCTCAGAGGGACTTTTATATGAATTTTGTAAGATTATTAGTCTTCTGAAATTTGAGTCTGTCCTCTGATAGAGTATCATTACTCTCCTACCCAATTTGACAAAGAACAAGAGTTGTAGGAAATATTATTTGGAAATTTGAAATATTTTAGCACATTCACTTTTCTAAGTGTCCCATATCATCTTTTGATATTACTAATTTGGCCTATCAGGAACTGTGAACACTCCAAACCAATCCCTGGAACCAAATTTTGGAATTTACTGCTTTCACACACACACACACACACACACACACATGCATCCCACCTTTACAGAAACAGAGTTTGAGCAATAAAAAATAAAATATTTTGAAACATAATTATATTTGCTCTTTTACAACTTGATTAAAAATCATATATTGAACACCTGCTATCTGCATATACATGTGGTAAGTACTGAATAATAATTTTAAAAATAAAACAAAGCTTTATTGGTCATTTCTGTTTTGTTTTGACTTTCGTGTTTTATGTTTGTTTTTCTTTTTGCTTTAATTTTTTTGCTTTATTATAAAATGACTTATTTATTTGCGAGATTAACACAGACACAAAACAAACTGCATTTTTATGAACAAAACTAATCTACCTTACATTCAAAAGTTCAAGTGGAACAGATGTCATGAAAACTTACTGGAAATACATAAAAATAAGAGACATGGTCACTAGAGTTTATTCTGAAAAATACATTTATGGAGCAGTTAAAATGAATTAATAGTTTTTTGATATTTTGCTCAAATATGTGAATTACTTGAAGTTAGGCTTTCAGAAAAAAATAGTATTGGGTAAACAGGAAGAAGAAAATAGGCTTTCAGAGATAAGTAAATGAGCACATATAAAAAGTTATAAATAAGTATGTGCAATTGAAAGTTGACAGTAGCATATATAATCAGAGATAGCTGTGACTATAAGGAGGTGAAGAGACAATAAAAGTGAAAACACAATCTAGCTGTGGTTAAAGGGAATTGCATATGCTAATTAGAGAAAACCTTTTGTAAATTAATTGCAATAAAATAACCAACTATAACATTTAATTACGATTATTTTTTCTGGGTGTAAATTGGAAATATATAATATTCCATACATGCACACAGAGAGACATTTCCTTCACTCAACAGATTTATGAGGCAGAGATTATTGCTATCCTGAATCCAGTGTTTATGCCGTTAATTTAAAAATAGACTTGACTAGGGGTGTAACCAGACCAAGATTCAACCTTAGTGAAGAGAAGATCTGATAGGTTGATGCCCGCTGAGACCCAACACTTAGCTAACTCTATTATACCACTCATGCAATTCAGGATTGTGTAAGGAACACGGAAAAAAACTCTTGTTCTTTTAAATACAAAGTGTTTTATTTCAGGAGATTAGAAGCTAACATAATTGTTGGAAAGATAGTGAAGGTCAAGGAAACAACTGGTAGAAAGTGGTTATTTACAGGGGAAGCCACATGACATCTGCAGACTATCTCCACAGACTCAATGGGTGCAGTTTCAGCCACCCATAGCTTCTGGCAGCTCCAAAGCAGTTGATTCGAAAGAACTTACCTTGTGTCTACATATCTACCTATAACTGTTTTTTTGAAGAAAAAAATGATTCCTCTTTTTCTTACCTTCCAAATTTTCTCTTGTCAGCAGAATCTAACACAGTGTGGTTTGGGAAAGGTGATCCTGAGAAATGCGGTTTATTGTAAAGATCTTCAACGCTGAGAAGAGTGTATAAAGTGGTGACTGTGATACTAAGTTGTACAGCAGATAATTCAAGGTAACTGCTGTTGCAAGGAATAGAAGAAGTGAACGCATTAAAAAGTTTAGCTATTGTGTGATATTTTGTGGTTCCATATTTTGTAGGACACCTACATCACCATATTACAGAAGTAATCATCACATTTATGCTTTCCAAAATACAAAATAAATGGTCTAAAAATAACTTGATTTTCTTTAATGTACCATTTCAGTACAATGAAGAAAATTTATAAAAATACTCTCAAATATAAAGCAGAGACTTGGATTCTGCAATTCAACTTACTGATATTATTACTTTGACACTAGGAGCCCCTTAAAGACATTGAATATAATGCAATCAACAGTGTACGAATTACCAAAACAATTTAAATTGTAAGTAAAACATTCTGATGTGTGCATAGGAAGGAATACATTACTTAGTGATAGCTAATGGACAAGCTCTGGAAGTGAAAATAAAGGTAATGAAATAAAGGCAAAACAATATTTAATTAAATAATTCGAACAAAAACCTTTACATAATGTCTAACAAATCCCAATTTTGAGTTAAGTGTATTGGTAAGAGTCTTAACTCCCCCCAACATAAATAGGTTGCCCATCTCTTTCTTGCTCACCCCACTCTATTTCTCTGCTCAACTCACTGTCTAGTCCCTACCTATATAGAATCATCTTCTTATAAAACAACCAAATGTATTAATAAGGCATAGAATTGTGGTAAGTGTTGATGATGGAACATTGCAGGGACAAATACGGTACCAGTTTCTCTCTTGGCACCACTTTTAACTACCTGCCATGAGTTTTCATGTATTATACTCAGTATCATTTTTTTTTTAAATAGAGAGACTAGATGAAATTTAATAAAACTACTCATTTTGTTTGTTTTTGTAGCTTATAATACTGATATAATTTCAAATGTAGAGAAGTTTCAAGAATATTTCAATAAATTTGTAGATACACCTTATCCAGATTTGCATTATTTTAAAAACAAGTTGTCTCCTTTGCTTTATTTTCTAGAAGACAGATGATAGATAAACAGACAGGTAAGTCAGTAATTTGGAGACATTTTACATGTTTACTCCTAAATAGTTTATGGTGGATTTGCTAATAATCATATTGATACAATATTATCATCTAATTTATAGTCCACATTAAAATAGAACCAATGGCCTTAATAATCTCCTTTATAGCTATTTTTTTCATGTGATAATATAATCCAGAAGTAAATATTGTGTTGTCATTTTATTCTCCAAAAAAATCTATAAACATTTCTCAACTTTGCTTTGGCTTTTTGAACCTGATATATTTGAAGAGTGCAAACTATTATTTTGTTGCAGGCCCAAAAATTTGAGTTTGCTTTCCTTTCCTACTGATTAGATTCATGTTAGATATTTTTTGTAACAAAGAACACAATTCTGATTTTGTGCTCTTCTAGGTGCACTTTATCAGGAAGTACACTATAAAGGTTTGTCCCAGTTTTGGTGATCACATGGTTAAAGTGGTGCCTACCAGTTATCTGCACCATAAATGTATACTTGTCTTTTTATAATAGATAATCTCCAGAAGATATCTGAGTCCAAATTATCTTTTACTTATCAAAATTACCTGAGTAGTTTCAACCTCTATTGATATTTTCTATATTCCACACATTTATTTAATATTATCAGTCTTTATTTACTTATTTATATTTTCATTTATATCATACACATTTAGGGATTTTAATTTTATCCAGAGTTTATAATCCATTATTCATTTTGACAACTAAATTCTTCCTGATATGGCCAGTGAGAATCTCTTGAAGTTGTCTCTTGTGTCCTTTTAATGTTTGCCTTATGCCTGAGACAGTATATTCTTTCTGGTGTTACAAGAAATTCCCAGTTTATCTTGAATTTTTTCATACCTCAGTCCTTGAATCAGCCTTCTCTTCAAGGTGCTCTGCTGTGACATTGCTCCTTTGCCTTCACAGTGCAAAGATTATTTTTACATATAATTTCATTATATATATATATACACACACATATACATGTAAATACATACATGTTCGTGTGTATTTATAATATATATTCTATATACAGTAATATAAGTTTATATATCAAATTCCAATTAAATACCACAGTGTATGTTCTAGCACTCCCTGTTTTATAGTTGTAATTTTATTCTCTACTATAAAGAAAACTAGCTCTGATTATTCATTATAGATTTATGTATTAGCTCAAGCTTAGAATACAAAGAAAGTCATTTCAGAATTGTTTGCTAATTACAGTTCAATAGTTATTTGAATTACTTCTTTTCAGTAAAATTTTCATTTAGTAAATTGCAAAATCTCACTCATCAATTAATAAATTTTGAAAAAATTATAGGTCTATGTAATCTAAATCTATGTATAGATTTATCTATAAAAGTAGGGAACATTTTAATACCTCTAAAGCTACATCTTATTTCATTTCCTTTAGAGAGGCAAAAGCAGGACTCTATTCTGATTTCTTTATTACATAGATTAGCTTTGCTTGTCCTATAACCTTATTTCAATAATAATTCTGTATGTATTCTTTTGTCTCTGGCTTATTTTCCTCAATCTACTATCCATGAGATTTATCCATGTGGTTACATGTATCATTATTTTTTGATGGATGAATAGTATTTTATTTTATAATACACAACCATTTCTTTATTCATTTTCATGTTGAAGGGCATTTGATTTGGTGCCAGCTTTTGACTGTTACAAATACGGCTGATATAATAATAGCTGTAACAGTCAATAGCTATATATGTATGTATGTATACACATATGTATACATACATATTCATATTCATATGCAAATCTCCTCAAGTACCTTCTTTGTCATTTCTCCTCATTAGATACCTAAAAACAAAATTATTGTGTCCACAGAGTATATTTTATATTGTAAGAAACTAGTCAACCTCCTTCAATGTTGTACTGTTTTATTAGTACATCCTCAGCCGTAATGTATTTGTGTTTCAGTTATTTTACATTCTTACCATCATATGGCATAATTTTAATTCTGGATATTCAAGTTTGTAGTAGTAATCCACTTTAAATTGATCATCTCCTTTATTGCCAATGCTGTTGAATACATTTTTCATGTAAAATGCTTTCTAAAACATTTTTCAGTTTCTTCTTTTCTAACAGTTTTTGTTCTTTGCTGGTTGAGTTATAAATGTTTCTTGTTGTTTCTGGGCCAGGCGCAGTGGCTCACGCCTGTAATCCCAGCACTTTGGGTGGTCGAGGCAGGCAGATCACGAGGACGAGAGATCGAGACCATCCTGGCCAACACGGTGAAATCCCGTCTCTACTAAAAATACAAAAATTAGCTGGGCATGGTGGTGCACGCCTGTAGTCCCAGCTACTCGGGAGTCTGAGGCAGGATAATCACTTGAACCCGGGAGGCGGAGGTTGCAGTAAGCAGAGGTCATGCCACTGCAGTCCAGCTTGGCGAAAGAGTGAGACTCTGTCTCAAAAAAAAAAAAAAAATTTCTTGTTGTTTCTGAATATAAGTCTTTTGTACATTTTGTTTGATAATATTTTTCTTCTGATCTGTGAATTTCCTATTTATTTCCTTAATAGTACCTATTGAAGAGAAATTGTTGATATCAGAAGTCTAATTTATCTAGCTTTTTCATTGTGATCATTGTCTAATATGTTCTATGTAACATTCACAGGCAGTGAAGATATGGCCCATGTTTTTTTACTGGATGTCCTATCATCTTTGTTTTTAAGTCTACTCATATCAGATAAATTTTTGTACATATTGTTAATTAGAGGTTCAAGTTCACTTTTTTCCATATGGACTTCTAGTTGTTTCAACACAATTTGTTGAAAAAAGACCTTTAGATTCAACATGAGTTAGTTTCATAATTACGCTTTCATCTGGTCAGTTTCTACTTTTTTTTTTTTTTTAACTGAAAATATTAGCACTGATAGACAGAGCACATCTTTGTTTAGCCACTGCAGTTTTCTACCCAGAATTTATTTCATCCTTTCCTTAGTGGAATACTCCAGACTTTTAGATGAGACTGAGTCTTTGCATTCTTCCAAGGGGGGCTATAACTGGCATAAATCAAGTATTTTAACACATATTGCCATCTTTCTCTTCTGCCATATATATTCTACAGTTATTTGCCCATAAAAGGAGATGCAACTTAACATGTTTCAAATGTATTGAACTCACAATATGTGGTGGATGAAAGAGGAAGAGAAGCTTTCTCCCATTTGAATCTCAAGGTGTGTGGTCACAGAGGTCATGTTAGCATCATGCTGAAATCTTCAGAGCAGTTTCAACAAGCAGAGATAAATCTTATTTTTGATGACATTGTTGAAAAAATAATAGATTAACTTGCACCCACAAATAATCCACTTATGCTAGCTTTTTCAATCATTTAAGCTGGATTTAGATGGATTTCTGACTCTTGCAAGTGAAAGCACTGTAAATGATAAAATGTGTCTGTGTATCTTCTCTTCAGGTCCACCATCTACATTTTAGAGAAAAAAAAATTCTTTACAAAAAGTGAATGTATGCAGTGATAATTTATGTGTGTGTATCATTTAGGTAAATTAGAATTGCAATAAAACCTATACGAATGATGAAAGAGGTCCTTTTTTGAAAGAACATTTTATTTCGATAAAAGAAAAATACTCATTTTTTTTTTGCAAATATTTTTCTAGTGACATAGAAATGTATTTCAGGAAGGACTGAAATAAATCACAAAAAACATGTCTCATCACCTTCTTTATGGGTCCATTTCCTTTCAGTTATTAAAATTTCATTTCTGAGATTGAATAACACTGTTTATTTTTATATGAGTGTCTAGGCTTTCTTAAAGTCTAAAAATTATGACTATACAAAATATATATAATCTCTTTGCTATTATACCTTAGTTATAAATAAGGATAAGTTTCTAAAACCAGATGACATAATGAAGGAATAAATATATAACAATTTTTAATAATTCTTTTCATTATAATTTAATATTGCTAGTTGAATTTTCTTAGGACAGTATGACCTAGAAATATTGATTCAATTGCTTTGATGAAACAGTGGCAGAATATTACTTTAAGTGCATTGGAAATCAAATGCACTAACAGAAATTTTATTGAAGTAAAAATTACATTTGAAATGAGTATGACACTAAGTAAGTATGTACCGATTTGTAAACTCATGACAAAAGTAATCATGACAGAAAAAAAAGGCTCAAAATAGTTGCTATTAGAGAAATTTTTACATTGATATCATAAGCTATATGTAAGAATAATATTCATAGAAGCATATAAATACATGACTGATAATACAATATTAACTTCAAATGTCTATTATGTTGATGAATATTCTCCATGAAAAACTGTGAATTTTATTTTCTTATATCTTTTTTAGCTAAATTATCCTATAATGAGACCTGGTATTTTTCACATCCCTTGAATTAAAATGTATGTTGTTCAAAAAATTAATTGATTTGGAGTTTATGTAAAATAAAATAAAATGTAATTTTTAATACTGTTATCTACTTTTATTAATGATTTTAATATTTAATTCATTTTGTAATTATCAATCTTTTCTATAAAATTGGAAGAACAAAGAAAATCACTGTAAGAATGTTGTACATACCATTCTCACTCATTTCACTTTCATTAAACACCACAATTGAAAGAATTTACATCAAAAGAAATAGTGTATTATCTGAGAATATATAAAATATATATTAATATAATATATAATAATATGATATATAGTATATTATATTTTATATAACATAATATAATAATATATAACAAAATAATATAGTATATTATAGGATCTATTATTGTATTATACTATTTTATATAGTATATTATTTTGTCATATATATTATGACATACATAATCTTGGATAATACAATATTTCTTTTGATGTTAATTACTTGACTTGTGATATTTAATGAAAGTGATATAAGAGTGAAAATGGTACTTACAGCATTCTTATAAGTGATTTTCTTTGTTCTTTCAATTTTATAGAAAGATTATATATATATATAAATATATGTGTGTATATATTTTTATTTTTATTTTTTTTAATCTTTTTTATTTTTAGTTGGAATCTCACTTTGTTTCCCAGGCTGGAGTGTAGTGGCATGATAGCAGCTCAATGAAACCTCTGCCTCCCGGGTTCAAGTGATTCTCTTGCCTCAGCCTCCTGAGTAGCTGTGACTACAGGCATTCACCGCTACACCCAGCTAATTTTTGTATTTTTAGTAGAGAAGGGGTTTCACAATGTTGGACAGGCCGTTTTCAAACTCCTGACCTGTAGTGATCTGCCCTCCTTGGCCTCCCAAAGTGCTGAAATTACAGGTGTGAGCCACTGCACCAGGCCAGATCCAAAAATATATTTTTATAATTTTGCTGAAGATAATTTTTTCAGACTGAGATATTTTAATAGCTTTTTTCCTTTTTATAATAGAAAAGTTATAATTGTTCATCACAATAAAATTTTAACATTTATCTGAATTCACTTCATGTGTACATACGCAAATAATGAAATTGAAGGGAGCCTGAAAATTTAATGATTTATACTGTACTCAAGGTTAGAGTATTGAAAATATTTATTTGCTTTTGAATTTTTAGTGAATAGAGTTTAAGAATGTTAAAATGTTTCTGAAGTATAGGAGACTATTATTCACTTGCCAGCAAATAGCCGTTTGGATTCCTCGTGTTCAGTTCTCATCCCTGAGTACAAAATGATTGTACATAAACACAAGAAGTCTACATTTTAGGCTAGAAATACAGAAAAAAATAAATTTGGGGAATTTGTAGGGAAAAAAAGGCAGCTATTGCCTCTCCCTTTCTGAGAGTTACCTTGAAACTTAATGGGAAGGACCTTTATTCTAACACTTTAATATGTAAATAAATATCTCTAGATGGAAAATAGGCTCATATTTCCAGTTTTACAAATTTGATATGTCTCCATGATCCTTGGTCTCAAATTCTTCTAAATATAAACACACATATGGAATGAAATTAATCTCTGAATTTAAAAATTATTTTAGTGGTAAATTAACATCTAAGACTTGTCATTTTAGTCCAAGGCCCAAGTTTCTGAAAGTTTGTCCAGAAAGCCCAAACCGCAGAAATATAAACATATTTTATCATATTTCCACAGGTGGGAGCTAAGTAATATTGTGAAATTTTGCATCATGACATTGAGGAAAGGGATGCGTCCTGTCCTTTGTCTTTCACCCTTTTTAGTTAGAAAAATCTGAATGTGATGGTTGGTGTGGTGCCAATCATGTGGGCAGTTGTATAGAAACTCCCTGAAGAGAACAACTGAACAGCAAGTTTGAATGGGTATGGTCACTGCTCTGATTTTTTTCCTATATAATGAACCACATCCCCCAACTTAACAGATTAAACAAGCAAATATTTTGTTAAACATTATAATTTTGTAGTTCACTGAGAAGAGCAGCTCTGCTGGCCAATTCTACTCTACATGATTTTGACTGTGTTTAGAATGTGATGTGCTACAGGTGGCTGGACTGGTATGGAGGATGACTACTAATATGACTGGCCTGGAAAGCTGGGTCCAGCTCTCTTTTCATGAAGTTTCTGTGTTCGTCTCATGTTCTTTCTAGCAGGTAGCCTGCCCTCTCACACAGGAATTGTAAGTCCCAAGAGCAAGTCTTTCAAGATGCCGGAAGTGAAACTTGTCAGGCTCTTAAGTCCAGGGCCTGGAAACTGGCACAGCATCCATTCAGCCATATTTTTGTGCTCAAAGCAGTTACATAGCCCCCTCAGATTGAACGGGAGGAGAGAGAGAACACATCACTTGATAGAAGTAGAGTCAATGAGTTTCTTGCCATCTTGAACCTGCTGCAGTCTCTGCCACAGAAGAACCTCCATGCTTATTTGGCCTGAATCTGATTTTTATGTTACATAGGAATACGATTTTATATTTTAAGCACCTACAGCTATGTAGGGTGTTTTTCTTATAATGAGTCTTTTGCTATAGAGGACCTCTTTAATTTATTACTCTTAAGTACTATATCCTAATTAAATATCAAATTCAAATATAGACTCTCTTAATTTAACGTTATGTATTTATTTCTCTATCTAATTCAGACCACTTTGCTCATTTTGTGAACTATTTTTTTCAAAAGTAAAAGTAAATTCCCAGTATTTTTTTTCAAAGTTAAAAAGTATATATAAGTACAATTTTTCAAAGGTTGAGACTTTTGCTTTTTTTGAATTTAAGAGGAATGGATTATTTTATTGCCTCTATTTTCTCATAATAATAATGATACAACCTCACTATTAGTAATGTTCTCAGTGTTATTAATAACATTATGTTAAAGTCAATACTATATACTAAATTAAATTAATAAACAGCTTAATATATTTGACAATCCAAAATTTTTATGTTTTCCAAAAGTGTCAGTAACTGGCATTTTTTTCTTTTCTATTTTATTTTATTTTATTTTCTGCTCAGATAAATGCTTCACATTTTTTAAGCCATATTAAACTTACACAAAACTGTATTCAGGTAGACTATTAAGACTCATAGGAGTACCTTTAACACAGTGGAGAGCAAATGTTTTACGTAGAAATGCTACAGATAGGAAAGAGCAAAGAGAAACTTTCTCAGTTCGATTTCTGTTTCAAGAATGCGAAATTGAGGTACTATGGTGATATGGAAAAGGTTTATTTGATGTTGTTTGAAGAAAAGATAATAACAGATAGAAACTGTAGTTCAGGAGAAAGGTAAGGAAAAGAAAAGGGTTACGAACTTTATGTAGCACTTAAGAGAAGTAATCATTTCTTTTGATTGCTTGACATTCCTGAGGAGAATATTGTGCATAAAATTTTACACTAGTATCTGAGCATCTATTTTTATAACAAAGACGTCTCCCAAGCAATCAGAACCTTGATATTTTATTAAAAAACAAAAATAATGTATTTTAATAAAGGGCATTTCTTAATATGAGTGGGAAGTTTAACGTAACTTTTATAACCTTGCTTTAAAGCTAGTGACAGGAATTTAGGCATATTTTTGAGTCCTGGCTAAAAAGTGGAAAAAGAATATGGGTAACGCAGTAAGTAATAACTGATTTTAGCCATTAAACAGTATTTGTACTTTCAGAATATTATTCTCAGGAACAAATGTAGATTTGCAAAAACTCAGGTGCAGAACTGAAGTGTTATGTCTTAGTCCACTGTGCATTTAAAAGTGAGATCCTCATGAAATAATAATAAAAATCCTAAGACTGACATGTAAACCAATATAAAACAAAGAAGAATGGAGGAAAAGCTACTATTATCAGTGGTCTAAGACTGGATCTCTATTTTAAAAGTTATGTCCCTCAAAGAGTCATTGTATATATGTTTATTATGAGTGAGGAAATTTAAGATCAGAGTTATTGATTGTACTTTGTACTTACTGTTTTTCTTTTTTGTTTCTAATAATTGCTCACCAATGAGATAGAAACAGATGCCATAGAAACTTAAAGCAGCAAACATATTGTCAATTATAGAAAATATTATACAATAAAATTTAAGATCTTAACATCTTAACATTCTAAAATTTCATAAGGTTTTCAAAAGCATTTTGTTATGAGCATCTTCAAACATAAAAGCAGAGAGGACCAAAAATATGAACCATCATATATAAACCATCAAAATGAACCATTATATATTTATATACATCACCTAGGTTTAACAATTATTTATGTTTTTGTACATTGGTATTTTAAGTTTTTTCTTTTCACTGGAGTATTTTAAAGCAAATCCAAGATATCATAACATTTTATCTCTAAATGTTTCACTATAAATCTCTGAAAAACAAAGATATTTTCTTATATAACTACAATATCATTTCATGTTGAAATACATTTACAATAATTCTGTATCACCTACATAGTAGCTATATTAAAATTTCTGTAATTGCCCCAAAAATGTCCTTTATAAAGTTTCTTTGTTTTGATGGTAATCTAAACAAGGTATATTGAAAATAATTGTGTATCTTAATTTACCTTTTATTTTCATTGTTTAAATTGCTATTTTTGCTCTAGTGTTAGTTTGAGTCCACATGATTATTTTCCTTTTGCTCATTTCTAATTGTGGTATAATTCAGATACTATAAATCTGACCCTTTTAAAGCATATAATTTAGTGCTTATTAGTATATTCACAAAGATGTGCAACCATAAGCACTATCTAATTCTAGAATATTTTTGTTATGCCCCTCTAAAATAAATGCATACCCATTACCACCTCTTCCCAATTTTCTTCTCCTCCTAACATCTGGAAACCAGTAATGTACTCTCTGTCTTTATGGATGTGCTTACTCTGGAAATTTCATACATATGGAATTAATATGAGGCCTTTTGTGCTGGCCTCTGTCATGTAGAATAATATTTGCAAAGATCATCTATGTAGTAACATATATCAATACTTCCCATTTTTACAGCTGAATAGCATTCTTTTATATGAATACACAATATTTTATTTTATCCATTCATCAATTAATGAACGTTTGAGTTGTTTCTATTTTTTGCCTGTTAGGAATAATGTTGCTGTGAACATAGGCATTTAAGTTTATGTGTGGACATATATTTTCAATTCCCTTAAGAATATCTGTAAAATTGCTGGGTCATATGGTAACTCTATTTTTAACATTTTAAAGAACTCAAAACATGTTTTTCAAACTGGTTGCATCATTTCACATTCCCATTAGCAATATATGATGCTTTCAAATTCTCCTCACCGTTGCCAGCAAATTTTATCCTCCCCTTTTTATAGCCATTTTAATGGATATAAAGTATATGTCATGCTGACTTTAATTTGCAGTTTCCTAATGACTCATGATGTTGTACATCTTTTCACGTATTATTGTCTACTTATATATCTTCTTTGGAGAAATGTGTATTTAAATCTATCTTTAAATTAGGGGTTATTATCCTTGCTTTGTAAGTAAGAAAACTGAGGCACAGAATAATTACTGGATTGCCAAATTTTCACAGCTGATGAGTGGAAGTGGTGAAACAGAGATCCCAGCTCAGGTAGGTGGGCTCCAGTGACAGAGATCATGCACATATTCAGTGTACAAAGACGTTGCATGACTTGCTTAGGGTGCAAAGTTTGACATACAGAAAATGTAGGGATGGGTCTCTATTAAGGATCTGGCTTCAAAATTCATATACCGCTTAACAGGCTACCACTCTAGGTTACATAAGAATATGTATTTGGAGATAAATTTTAGTGTGTTATTTGCCTTTCTGTGGTCCAGGACTAATTTTGTAATTTCTTGATAGCTCAGTTTTCTCACCTTTTAAATGAAAATAATCATGCTATGGTCTGAACGTTTGTGTTTCCCCAAAATGTATATGTTGAAATCTTAACCTCCAAAGTGACGGTATTAAGTAACTGGATCTTTGTGGAGATAATTAGTTCTTAAAGGAGGAGCCCTCATGAATGAGAGTAGTGCCCTAATGAAGGAGACCCAAGAAAGCTTGTTCATCCCTTCTACCACCTATGAACCTGCCAACACCTTCATCTTGGAATTCCCAGCCTCCAGAACTGTGAGAGAAAAATTCCTCTTGATTATAAGCCACCAAGTGTAAGGCATTTTGTTTAGCAGACCAAATGGACTAAGATCACAATCCCTATATCATGATAATTTTAAAGGATTTCATGTGTTACTGTGGTAAAGGCTTAGTATACCATCTGTTATATAGAAAATATTTAGTAAATGTTGGCTGCAACCGCTTTTAAAGTTTAATTAATATTTCAACATTTGTGTGTATTAAATCACAGTTATTTTATAAAAACATGAGGTATCTCTCAGTAACAGAAAATGTCATTGGAACTAGAGATTCTAGGCTTGCTCTGGGCTCTGAGAAGAGTATGTGAAAGAGCCTAATTTTTTTTTCTAAGGAAATGTGCACCTCTAAAACACTATGTTTCTCGAGGAAGGTAAAACAGACAGTCCCCCCAAGGTTCTAGACAGATAGAATTCAAATGCAAGGAAGATTTGAGTGAGTTAAACAGGTGAGAGTGGCATGCTCAGAACAAGGAGGAGAAAGGAAAAGTAAGACTGGAGACATTGCGTTATCAAAGATGGGTAATCCTAGCTTCTTTGAGGCATCTGTGACTTCTAACAAAGGTGGTGAAGGCAACATTAAAGAAACCTAGCTTGAACAGAAGAAGAGTTTCTTGAGATTTTGTAGCTTTCCAAGTAAGAAGTTGTATACAACGTGGGCAAAGATGCTGATCAAAATACGAAATAGGCATTGCCTATTAAGTTTCATGTCTGTGCATTTTTTGAGGAATCAAGAAACATACTTCTATGAGCACCTGCTTCTGATAACAATATTTACACTAAATACAAAAATATCTCTGAAGCCAGCTATAATGGTTTAATTTGCTTAAACCCAAATAGCTTCATTTGCAAAATAATAGTAATAATGTTAACTCTGTGGATTGTTAACTGAGATAAATAGAATGCACAGTTTAAGCGATGCAGTAGGTGCTAAAAATTGATAGCATTATTGTTATTATAACAATTAATTTCCAAAAAAGTAATCATCCCCAATGCCCACCATGTAGTTTGCTGTATTAAAACCCGCTGCACCTTGACTAGATGGAGAACCCAGTCAACTCTAGTCTATGAGGGCCAAATGATAAATTAAGATGAAGCCAATGGGTCCACTATGATGGCTTCTTGGGGCTCATCTTGAAGTGCTTAAGTGTGTTCTGTTTTGTTGTGATCTTTATGGGATCATTTCTTTTGACACTCCAGCTATGTAAAGAAAATAATCTCACCAATAGAACCAGTGACCTTTCACTATTTCTCCCTCCCTTTGATAAAGTCTCCTAGCAAAACAATGACAAATATCTCACCTTTATCATCAGTAAACTATCAGATAATCTATTATGCTTAATATCCTTAGCCCCAGAAACCACTATTACTTGGTTTGGATTCCTCTGAACGAGATGAACATTGTGTCTCTAACATATGAAAATCTATGCTCCTTTGCAGGGTTACTGGAGTTGAATTTGTTCTCACAGCTGGTTGCACTTGGGGGGGAATTAGCTACATCTTGAAGGTTCTACCATACATGTTCATCACTAAGGCTGCTGTATGGTAGGGGTTTTGAGCTGTTAATGAGAGGAATAGGGGGAAGTCTAAATTAGTAATTTAGGATTTATTTTTTCTTCTTTTCCATCATGGAGTGAAACAAGTAGATGTCAACATTTCTAGAGCCAGGGCTGTCTAGATGATGTGATGTTTGATAACTAATTTCTAATATTTATCTGCCAACAGGACCAATCTGTAAGATGAATAAAAAGCCATATACATACAGACTACTTCATAATTCACACTTTGGTTTTCCTATTCTTGGCCTCAATTTATTCTTATTAAAAATCCCCTGAGTTAGATGCTTAGATGCTGCATTTAGAGGTCACCCATTTCCAGATGAGGAAACAGAAGCCCATAGGCTATGTGCCTATGTGGTTTGCCTGAGGTCACACAGTGACATAGAAGGTGGGTATCTTGAATCTCAATCACCTAACCCTAAGATTTGCACATTTCCATCAGTACATTGAAGGGAAGGCACAACATGGTGGCCTTCTCTGCCACAGAGTTCTATAATCTTTGCCCTGAAAAGTAATACATTGAAACCTAATCATCAGATGATAATATTAAGGTATAGCCTTTGGGAGTTGATTAGATTAGGGAGACTGTCCTCATGAATAAGATTAGCGCTCATATAAAAGACGCCTGAAAGTGTGTGTTTGCCCCTTCTGCCATGTGAGAATGTATCAAAAAGGTACCATCTTGGAAACAGAATGTGAGCCCTCACCAGACACTAAATCTGCTGGCTTCTTGATCTTAGATTTCCCACCCTTCAGAACTCTGACCAACAAATTTCTGTTGTTTATAAATTACTCAGTCTAAAGTATTTTGTTATAGCATTCTGAACAGACATCACTTAGATTTCCTGCCCCTTCTGCAGCAGGGCCAAGAATTCTCACCATCCTGCCATTTAGTGCTGTCTTCACTCAGGCACTGCAACAAGTGTTAAGGAGTACCTGTGCTGCATCAGTAACTTTCTGGGTACTCAAAATGTTAAGATGAATTAAGACATATACACTGCCTTAAAAGAACTTTCACACTAGAGCTGCTCTATCCAGTATGGCAGCCACTTGCCACATGTGGTTATGTAAATTTAAATTATAGTTGACTCTTGAACAAAATGGGGGGATTAAGTGTATCTCCCCCACCACACTGCATAGTTAATAATTTAGGTGTGTAACTTTTGGCTATCCAAAAACTGAACTATTAATAGCCTATTGTTGACAAGAAGCCTTACCAACAATGGACATAGTTAAGTAACATGTATTTTGAATGATACATGTATTCTTACAATAAAATAAGCAAGAGAAAATAAAATGTTAAATAAATAATTAAATAAATAGGCCTACTTTTCTTTTTGTTGTTGAATTGTAAAATAGCAGTTTCTTATAATATGTACGTTTTGCAAACATTTTTCCCACTCTAACAGTCACTTTTTATTTTCTTGATAAAGTTTTTTGAAGCAGAAAATTTTTAATTAGGAGAAAGTCAAATTTATTTTATTTATTTTGTAGGTTGTAGTTTTGTTGTAACCTAATTCAAAATTACAAGGATTTATTCTGCTGCTTTTAAGAAAGTTATAGTTTTAACTCTTACATTTAGGTTTTCTATTCATTTTTAGGTATTTTTTTATATGGTGTGAGGTAGGGATCCAACTTTATTTTTCAGTTTCTGGATAAACAGTTGTCTCAGTACAATTTGCAGATAGCCTATTGTATTAGTGTGTTTTCATGCTGCTGATAAAGACATACCTGAGACTGGGCAATCTAGAAAAGAAAGAGGTTTATTGAACTTACAGCACTACATGGCTAGGGAGACCTCACAATCATGGCAGACGTCAAGGAGGAGCAAATCCCATCTTATATGGATGGTGACAGGCAAAGAGGGAGCTTGTGCAGGGAAACGCCTGCTTTTAAAACCATCAGATCTCATGAGACTCATTCACTATCACAAGAACAGTGCAGGAAAGAACTTCCCCCATAATTCAATCACATCCTACCAGGTTCCTCCCACAACACATAGGAATTGTGGGATTTACCATTCAAGATAAGATTTGGGTGGGGGCACACTGAAACCATATCACATATTCTTTACTTCATTGAAATTTGTTGGTACCTTTGTCAAAAACCATTTGACCATAAGTGTAACAGTTTATTTCCAAAGTTTTAATTCTATTTCATTGATCTTTATGTCTATTATTATGCCAGTATTACATTGTCTTAACTACCATAGTCCCCATAGTAAATTTTGGAGTTTGAACATTTGAGTCCTACAGGTTTTTCTACTTTTTCAAGATTAAATACCTTTTTCATCAAAGTATTGGTTTAGGTGAGTCTCATAAGGTTTTTTGATTTTTATTTTCAATTTTCCTCATCTAAATGTATTTGCTAATTTCTTTTTAGATTTCTTTTTTCTTTTTCTTTCTTTTTTTTTTTTTTTGGACAGAGTCTTGCACTGTCATCCAGGCTGGAGTTCAGTAGCACTATCTTGGCTCCCTGCAACCTCCACCTCCCAGGTTCAAGTGATTCTCTCACCTTAGCTTCCTGAGTATCTGGGATTACAGGCACCCACCAGCATGCCTGGCTAATTTTTGTATTTTTAATAGAAACGGGATTTCACCATGTTGGTCAGACTGGTCTCAAACTCTTGATGTCAAGTGGCCCACCCACCTAGGCCTCTCAAAGTGCTGAGATTATAGGCATGAGCTACCCTGCCCAGCCTCTTTTTAGATGTCTTAATTGAATATATTTTAGAAATATGTTTAATTTCTACATATTTGTCAATTTTCCAAATCCTCAATTAATTTTATTTAGTTGGGGTCAGAAAACATAATTTGTATCTTCTTAATTCCATTATATTTATTTAGATTGTTTTAGGATCCAATTATGGTATGATCTATCATGGAGAGAATACATATTCTCATGTAAAATGTTCTATAGTTGTTGATTAGGTTTAGATGGTTTGTAGTTTTGTTCATTTATATTCGTTCTTGGTCTTTTGTCTACCTCTTCAATCCATTATTGAAAACAGAATATTGCATATTCCAACTAATGGAAACCACACATTATTTTTTTTAATCTTTAGGCATTACAAGGTAAAGTCATTTTTGAGCGAAAATAGTTATAATGATAAAGAGATGTGGCTTTGGACCCAGGCTTATCTGATAAATGTTAGGTCATAGTTTGAGACATAAGTACTGAAATTGAGGATAACAACTTATATGCATATTGAAAACAATCTAACAATAATTTTATATCTGTTGACAATAATAAAACAATAGTTTTTATTTGACATGCATTTTTTAATTTTTATATTATTGTCTTTATTGTATTTTTAAAAAGTGATATTTTGGGACATATTGAAAAAAACAAATTTTCTTCTGCATAGACAGTTAGAAAAGGATTGATACCAGCATCCTCATCAGCAGAGTATCTCCTGAGTTTTTTACATTTTAGAAAATATACCTTTCTCTTTCTATGACCTCTGCCAATAGTCAAAAAACTCAAATCTCTCTGTCACTATGACTATGTGGGCAAGTTGATGGATACAGTGTAGGTGGAGTAAGTTTACTCTAGAACCTTTCTATTGCATGCATGCTTTTGTGTTTATCCCCAAATCACAGAGCCACATATAAAAAAAATGTGTACCTAGGTTTTGATGGGTCTAAGATTGTGTGAGAAATGAAGAAACAGACATCATATTTGTGGACCTTAGTGGGTAATGAAATGTCAGAAGTTGCATGTTCTGTTTTTCTGCCTGTTTCAATATGTCATTAGTTTATTAGGTTTTAGAATATGTTGTAGGCAAAGGAGGGAAGTCAGTGAAAATGGAGCAATTAAATAGTGAGGGCAGAGAATGATAATTAAAGGAACTGAGACAGAAAAATTAGGAGTGGGGTGCATGGTTCAATCTTGAGCAGCAGAAAAAAATATATATCCACTAAAAATGCTGTGATGGTACAAGGAAAATATGTGCATCTGTCTATAAGTGTGTGTGTGTTTGCATGTGATGTCTGTATGTTTCATCATATTTGTTATTTCTTGTGCTATATGAACTATATTGTTGTCAAATACATTATTCTAATGATGTTGAGATGGGGGAATATAATTTAGTTTGTTCAATAGCATTATCTTTTAAGCCCTTAGAGAAAAATTCAGACAACATAAAAACTACTCACTAGATGGGTGAAATGTTCATTCATCTGAAACCAATCAATTCCTTTGGAACATTTGTATTTTATGTACATGTGTTGGAATTCATAAATGCTGCTTTCTTAATGGAAAAATTTGTTAAGTATACAGCAATAAAAAAGATATTGCAACAGTTATTTAATGTCTCCTAACATTTATTCCTAAGACATTGCATAAGACTTTAATATAAGGAGAAAAATAATTTAATTCTCAATTTTGTTTAAATTCATAAAATATAAATATTTCTTATAGTTTTATATTTTTTAGATAAAATAAAATCTGAATTTCAATTTTATTATCATTTTCTAAGTAATTTATTAGTAAAATAACTTACCAAAGTAATTCTCATAAACATCCAAGAAGCACATTTTATGTATTTTGCCAAATTCTCTTAAATGCAAAAAATATATTTTCTTAACATTTTTTCAAAATGTACTCTCCAAAAAGATTTATACAAAATCAGAAATATTCTACTGATCTATTTTCCTATTTAATGTATCTGCATTTTTATTAATCACCTAATATTATTATCAAAGTTAGATAGGTGATAGAAAGATGATAGATGATAGATAGATAGATAGATAAGTACATTTTTATGGTAATTTACTGAAAAGGTAGTCAAAAGTTTGGCATCTCAAGATTAACTGAGGCAATGAAAAATCTGGACCAAGTTTTTTTGAACATTTTTATTAATAATTTCTCTTCTGTTGTCATGATCGGACCAGTTTATATCTTATATCAAACTGGAGTAGGGGAGCATAATTTTATAGTCTTTGTATCATTGAAACCATATTATTATTATGTCTTTCTAGCTTTTTCTTAACAGAGTTCATTTAGGCTACTATAATAAAATACCACAAATGAAGAGAATTATAAGCAACAGAAAAGTATTTCTCACAATTCTCAAGGCTAGAAATTCCAAGATGAAGTCACTGGCAGATTTAATACCTGATGAGGACTCGCTTTGTGATTTGTAGATGATCTCTTTTCCTTGTGTTTTCACATGGTGGGAGAGGTAAGGTTACTCTCTGAGGCATCTTTCATAAGGCTGCTAATGAGCCTTCATAATTGAATGACCTCCCAAAGGCCTCATCTTCTAATACCATCACTTTGGTAACTAGGTTTCAACATATAAATTTGGGGGGGACACAGAACATAGTGGCTACCAATTTGCTATCAACCATCAATGTAAGAACAGAAGCAAACCATTAGAAACAAACAAACAAACAAACAACCAAAACAGTTACCTGTAGGTGACTGTGCCTTATGGAATAACTGTATTCAAGTATATTTTTTCCCAGAAGTTCATAGCATCTCATCACTCATTACTAGTTCAGATATAAACATTTATCTTCCTCTAATAAATCTCTGCATTTGTGAAATTAATATGATACATTGAAATCCAAAATTTTTACCCAATATTGTTCAGTATGTGATTATCAGACATAAAATTGTACAATTCATAAATACTATGTAAGATGATATGTAACTCTTTTCATCTGTATCAACAAAATATTAATTATAAATAGAGCATACATTTTTAATGCTCTAAAAGCTTTCACTTAGAGAAAAGCATTTATAAGAAAGAAAAGATCAAACAAGGGTTATCAAGCATCACACATAGCCCTGAAAATGTTAAAAATGAAGAGGGGCTATGTCAGAATACCTTACATTTTACCATGAGTTATGCATTCTATATATCAGTGCTTTAGTTAATTTTGTGCTTCTGCAACACTCTTAAACTTCATAAATTTTAGGAGATATGTAACTGAATGATCCAATGCAAATTTTTTATTTCATCTTCTTTTAAACTGAGTTGAAATTTACATATTAATACATATCATTACCCATTTTAAAGTGAATATTTAGTACCGTTTTATACATTCGTAATGCTGTGTAACCATCATCTGTTGCTAATTATGCAACAATTTCTATCTCAAGGTGGCTTGGTATATCATTGCCATCTTAACAATGAGTCATTAAATCCATGAACATGAGTTGTCTTTTTGTTTATTTAGGTTTTCTTTAATTTCTTTTGGCAATATTTTGTTGCTTTCAACGCACAAGTCTTTCACCTGCTTTGTTAAATTTAAATTTAGTAATTTTAGATGTTTAGATACTGTTGTAAATGGAATTGCTTTCTGAGTTCCTTTCCAGATTGTTTACTGCTGGTGTTTAAAAGCATAAATGATTTTGGTGTTTGGTGTTGCATCCTGCAACTCTGCTTCATTCATTTATTAGCTCTAGCAATTTTGGTGTGAATCATTTGAGATTTCTCTATAGGATTATGTTATTTGTGAATAGAGACTGTTTTATTCAAGGTTCATTCATTATGTAGCATGTATTAAAACTTCATTCTTTTTATGACTTCTTCATGTTTTATTGTATATACATAAAAATTCACTTAACCATTCAGCTTTTGATGGACACTTAAGTTGTTTCTATCTTCTGACTATGGTAACTAATGCTGCGATGAACATTCACCTACAAGTATACTTTTTGGTTTAATGTTTATATATACATATATATATATAAACATTATGTGTATATACATATATATATAATTTTTTTGAGACTGGGTCTTGGTCTGTTACCTAGGCTGGAGTGTAGTGTCATGTTCATGGCTCATTGCAGCCTCAATTTCCCAAGCTTATGTGATTCTCCCACCTCAGCCTCCTGAGTAGCTGGGACTACAGATGAGTACCACCAAGCCTGGCTAACTTTTATTTTATTTTATAGAGATGGAGTCCTGCCATATTGCCCAGTCTGGTCTTGAACTCCTGTGCCCATGAGAGCCTCCCGCCTTGGCCTCCCAAAGCTGGAATTACTGGTGTGAGCCACTGGACCTGGCCTATTTTTTGTTCTTTCATGTATTTATCTATGTGTGAATTTGCTGAGACAAATGCTAATGCTATGTTTATCTTCTTAGACTTAACTTTTTTCTGCTGTAGCTGCTTCATTTTACATTCCCACCAGCGATAGGTGAGGCTTACAATTTTTGCACACTCTCACCATTTGTTATTTTCTATTTTGGAAAAAATTCTAGACATTCTAGTTAATGAACAGTTGTATTTCATTGTGGCTTTGATGTGAGTTTTCCTGTTGACAAATGACATTGATGGAGCATTTTTCATGTGTTTTTGGGAAATTGATATATTCTTTGGAGAAATAGCTAATTTCTCCTCCCATTATTTGAGTTGTTTGGAGTACTTTTTGTTGTTAATTTGTACTAACTCTGTTTATATTCTGAAAATCTAACCTTATCACATATATTGTTTGTAAATGTTTTATTTTATCCATTTTTTGTTGTTGTTTCTCATGCTTCTGGTGTCATATCTAAAATCTAGTTGCCTAAATCTAGGTCATGAAAATTTATCCATGTATGTCATATATTTTCTTCCAATGGTTTTATACTTTCATCTCTTATATTTAGGTCATTGATACATTTTGCATTGATTTTTGTATATTGTGTGAAATATGGTTAAATCTTTATTCTTCTATATGTGAAAATTCAGTTATCTAAACATTATTCATTGAACAGAATATTCTCCCCTATTAAGTTTTCTTGGGACTCTTTAAAAAGAAGTCAATTGGCTATGGACATATAGGTTTATTTTTGAATTTTGAATTCTCTCCCATTAGTTTTTATGCCTATCCTTATGTCAGCCTCATAATGTTGTTTTCAGAGCATTTGTAGTAAGTTCTGAAACTGGGAAAAGTGAGATCTCTAATGTTGCCTTTTATTTTCCAACACTGCTTTTGCCCATTATAATTCCATATAAATTTGAAAGTCGGCTTTTCTATTTCTGCAAAAAAATTAGTATTTGAATGTTGGTAGGAATTATGTTAAATTTGTTGGTTGCTCTGGATTTCTTGCTATCATAACAATATTACAACTTCTAATCCATAAAATTGGGATACATTCCATTTGTTCTGTTTGTTAATTTATTCTAGCAATGTCTTATAGTTTTTTTTTAAATTTTATTATTATTATACTTTAAGTTTTAGGGTACATGTGCACAATGTGCAGGTTAGTTACATATGTATACATGTGCCATGCTGGTGAGGGATAGCTTTAGGAGATATACCTAATGCTAAATGACAAGTTAATAGGTTTTCTTTTTTGAAAAGGATTCTTGTTCTGGTGCAGTGCCATGATCTTTGTTCAATGCAACCTCTGCTTCCCAGATTCAAGAGATTCTCCTGCCTCCGCCTCCTGAGTAGCTGGGACTACAAGTGCATTCTACCACACCAGGCTAATTTTGTATTTTTAGTAGAGATGGGGTTTTACCATGTTGGCCAGGCTGGTCTCGAATTCCTGACCTCAGGTGATCCACCCGCCTCAATCTCCCAAAGTGCTGGGATTACAGGCGTGACCCACCACCCCTGGCCAGGTTTTTTGTTTGTTCATTTAATTTTAAGTCTTACAAATCTTGGCGACATTTAATGCTAGTTGTTTTAAACTTTTGAATGCTTTTGTAAATAGAAATGTTCGCTGAATTTCCTTTTCAATTATATTCTTTGTGGACACGTTCAAATGCAACCACTTTTTGCATGTTAATATCATGCTTTGCAACACTGATGAATTTGTTTTATCAGCTCTGACATCTTTCTTTGTGGATTCTGTGGGATATCCTATATATAAGAGCAAGTCACCTGTGAATATAGTTTTACATTTCCTTTTGCAGTTTGGATAGCTTTTTTTTTTTTAATAAATGGTTCTGGTTACAACTTCCAATACAAGGCTGATTAGCAAAGTTGTAAGGGATTATTTTTGTCTTTTTCCTATATTTAGGAAGAAGCTATCAGCCCTTGACCATTGAGCATGATGTTAGCTCCGCTTTTTAGTAAAAGCCCTTCATTATGTTGAAGTTCTCTTCTATTTCTAGTTTTCTAAGTGTTTTTATCATGGAAGAGGGTTGAATATTGACAGGTGCCTATTCTGCTTATTTAGATTTTCATGTGTGTTTTTTAATATTTTTTTACTGATGGGATGCATCTCAGTGATTATTTTCTTATATTGAACTGCCCATGCATTCCTGGGCTAAATTCTACTTTTGTCATGCTCTATACTTTTAAAAGATATTCTGTTAGGTTTATTTTTTCATGTTTTATTGAGATTTTAAAAATTTATATTCATAAGGGATATTGGTCTGTAATTATTTTATCTTGTGATTTAGTTTTCTGGCTTTGGAATCAGGGTAATGCTGACATCATAAAATGAGTTGGAAAGTGGTCCATTTTTATAGAACTTTTGAAGATTTTGAGAGGTATTGTTAATTTATCTTTAAATATTTGGTAGCATTTAAAGTGAAGCCATCTGTCCCTGGACATTTCGTTTGTTCGGATGTGTACAATTGCAGATTCAACTCCTTTACTTTTTTAAGGTGTTGAGTTTTTTTAATTTTTTCTTGATTCTGATAGGTAACAATTGTGTTTCTAAATTTATCAAATTGATCTTAGTTATTTAATTTGTTGACATATAATTGTTTATAGTACTTTTGTAATCCTTTTTGTAAGCTTGGAAGTAGTATCTCCACTTTCATGTCTGCTTTTAGTTATTTCTATCTTTTTTCTATTTTCTTAATATTTAGCTAAAGCTTTGCCAATTTTATTAATCTTTTTAAAGAACAACTCCTAGTTGTATTAATTCTCCCAAACTTATTTTTTAAAAATAATCTATTTCTTTTCTCTCTTCTTTGATCCTTATTATTTCTCAGCAATGATTTTAGTTTGCTATACATTGTCTAGTTCTACAAAATGTAAAATTATGTTATTGATTTTAGATTTTTTTTCTAATGTAGGCATTGACAGCTCTAAATTTCTCATTGAACATTGGTTTCATTGCATCCCATAAGTTTTGGTATGCTATGTTTTTTGTCTTTGTGTATTTTCTACTTATTTTTATAAATGTTTTTACCCATTGATTATTTAGTAGTGTGTGGTTTACACAACATTTGTGCATTTTCCTGTTTTCTTTTTGTTTTTAACTTCCAGATTTCTTCCATTGTGGTCTGAGATTATACTTAGTATAATATCAATTTTTAAATTTATTGACAACTTTTATTGTAACTTAATATCTGGCCTACACAGCTGTAATTCCATATGCACTTTAAAAATGTGTATTCTTCTGTTGTTGGCTAAAGTGTTTTATATGTTATTGTTAGGTCTAGTTTATTTACAATAGTTTTCAAGCTCTCGATTTTGCTTTATTTATTTTCCACCTAGATGTTCTATTCATTAATGAAAGATATGTGTTACCATTTTTAACTACTATTATATACCTGCCTATTTCTCCCTTCAATTCTGTCAATATTTGCGTAATATATTTTGGGCTGTGTTGTTTAGTGCATATGCATATCAATGCTTTCTTATTAACGTTTAGTAACCTCATTGTTAATAGGTACTACCCTGTTTCCTATAAGTATCTGATTACTTTCTATAGTTCCAAAAATTGATTTGGTCATTTTATGCCATGTAGAAAGTTGCTTCAGTGTAGGAAACAAATTTTGGAGCTGCCTTATTCATCATCTCTGTGACATCAATGAACCCATACAATTTTTAAATTACCTATTGTAATATATGTAAAATGTAATTCAGTAAGATTTGCCTAAATAAAATTGTGGTAAAGCAAAAGGATTCTGATATAAATATCTTATAACTATGTCTATAACCACAAACTTAAATTTTCTGCCACAAACTCTGGCTTGTATATTCTCTCCTCTAACCTTCGATTGGGATAATTTATGACAAAATGATTGATAGTGGGAACTTTACTATAGCTATCTACTTCAAAGCTTCCAAATTTCTAAATCCTTCATGTCTCCAAAATGTCTATAGATACTTTAAGAACAAAATGAATTCCATTTTTGATGAATAAAAACAATAAATGCAAGTCCATCTCTTTATTTATTATATTCAAATAAAAATTCAATGTATTATATGGAAGTAACAAAGAGCTGACAAATGCCTCTATGGTCACTAAATAGAATGTTCTCTAAAAGTCTGTTACCAGAAAGGTATATTTCAAAGAGCCATAAAATCCTAAATTCTTGTCTGTGTTGATACACACAAACTGAAATGAGTTATTATTGAATCTAATTGTTTCTGAACTTTAGAAAGAAAAAAATTCTTCTCAAGTTAAAAAAAAAAAAGTAAACATAAGGCCCGGCACGGTGCTCATGCCTGTAATCCCAGAACTTTGGGAGGCTGAGGAGGGTGGATCCCAAAGTTGGGAGATTGAGACCATCCTGGCTAACATGGTGAAACCCCGTGTCTACTAAAAATACCAAAAAAAAAAAAAAAAAAAAATTAGCCGGGAGTGGTGGTGGGCACCCGTAGTCCCAGCTACTCGGGAGGCTGATGTAGGAGAATGGCGTGAACCCAGGAGGCGGAGCTTGCAGTGAGTCGAGATCGCACCACTGCACTCCAGCCTGGGTGACAGAGCAAGACTCCTTCTCAAAAACAAAGAAAAAAAAAAAGTAAAGATAATACATGACATCATTCAACAGCACATAATATTCTAAAAATAACCTGCTAATAAAATCTCAAGGTGCAAAACAAATAAAAGCAAAAAGGAAAAACATACATATGAAATAATACAGAAGAAAAAGATTGATGACTGTAAACTATACCACTAAAATAATTTCCTTTATTTAGTATAATTTTGTTTTGTATGAAACAGTAGGGGAATTTAAAAGGACCGTGTATTTACCACTAAAAGAAAAAAATAGATTGAGTTGACATAAAAGTAACCACTTTAACTCATTATGTGATTACATACTTTTTGTTTTGACTACTCTCAACAAAATACACTTTCTGTGAGCTCAGACAAATTATAAAATAAAGAATGTTTACCTGTTTTGAAAGTATGAATGGTGGCCTTATGTATATTATGTCTAGAAGCACTAAGTCTAATTTACTTTAATTTAACAGAACGGGATGAAATGATTATAAAAATTAAACATATGAAGTAACATTTCTTTAAATATGCCAACTGTTTCAGACCCTTGTTCCTTCTAGTATATTTTCCCTCTGACCTTTCCCTTCATTGTGTTAATTGCTCCTTATTTTTAAAAGTCAAGTAATTTTTTTTCTGAGATGACTTTTTTGACTTTTATCTCTTTATGTAGAAGTTTCTCCTATTTGCTCCTATATATATTAAAAGTACCATTATCTGATGTTTTGTCTCATTGTCAATATGATATTCGGTTTCTTCATTAAATTAGAGGAGAATGCCTACATGACACTTAATTTAATAGTCCATTGAGCTATTATAAATTATCAATGAATATATTTTAAATAAATTAAGTAATAAAATATCTTTAGCACCTATTTTACTTCTAATATAAATGGTTAATTTGCTATTAAGTAGTCTATTTACTATCATATTTCAATTTATATTCTAAAATTATATTATTTTCTATGCTATTCTAATATGGTTTATAATTATTCACCATAGGAACAGGGGCATGTCCTGCTTGGTACCAAAGATTGTGCTTTGACAGCCGGAATTAGTGTGAAAATGTTCCTAAGGCCAGACTTCATTTCAACATCATTTTAATCATTGTGACCAGCTGGTTTACAAACACAATTATAACATTAGACCCAAAGGGCTTAGAACATAATAGGATGCAGGATAAAATTCTGCTTATTCGTAGGTCATTGAAAACAGAAAGATCAACAAGTTTGGATTAATAAACCTCTCCTTTCTTGGTCATTAAGATCCTGGTGATAGAAAACACTGATATCAAATAGATTTTTTAAAATGTCATCATATTAAGCCATTAGAAATCACCAATATAATTAGGTTTATAGTAGAATCCACTTTGTACTATTTCTTTTCTGAGCAATACCTTAGAAACAATAACATCTTGTATTTACGTTAACTCTCGACTTACAAAACGTTTTGGTATGCATTAATGCATCTTTATGGTATCCCTATGAATGAGTAGAGACAATCATTATAATTCCCAGTTTATGAAGCAGAAGACTAATCCTCATATGTAGTAAATGTAATGTGCATGAGAAGACACACTAAGATGAAAAACTAACTTGCTCCTTCAACTCCTCTTTTCTCTTTACATACTCTGTCTGGCAGAATTTGTCACAGTGCTTAATACATGAAACCAAAAGTTTTCATTATGGAATGTGAGATAAAGCAGGTAGTTTTATTTATCACATTGATTCTATTTTTAATGTGTCAAGTTCTCACATTTGAAAATGTTTTTTAAAAATTTAACATATAATAAAATTGAAAGTTATCTACATATGTGAATTAAAAAGAAAGAGAAATTGTATGTAATATTTCTGGAGCTCTTTCTTGCAGAGCACAATTTTAAAGAAGTTGGTTGAATAAAAATTGTGTTTAACATTATTTTTCTCAAAGAGTAGAAGATTTAGAACTTCTTGACATCAGCAAAGCAGCAGTATGCTTTAAGAAACCTATCAAATTCCCATTTTAAAAGTTAATGTAAGTGAAAAATTGACTAAGAAAACTGCATCTGAGATCTTCAAATATCTTACAATTAGGTTTTAAAACATTTTAGATGATGAATGTATTTGGAATAATTTTCCTGTGCATGTCAATATGGTTTTTTTTTTTTTTAAATTTAAGACGAGAGATAAGACTACTTATCTAGACAGAAGAAATATAATATGAACTATTATACTCACATCTAAGAATCTGCTTTGAAGTATTATTTTAAGTAAATTGTATTTATTGACTATCTTATGAAATCTCAGTTACAAATGCAAATGAAAGTGGTATGATGAAAAATATAGTCTACACTTGGTTATTAATCAACAGAAGCAAATGTGCATTTTATATAAATGAGCCCTATTGAACCTTGTCTCTATACAAGTGAATCTGTGAAAAATATTATTTTCAAATTATTATGTACTATAGTATCAAAGATAGAAAGATAAGCATAGTTTACTGTAATCATAAATCAGAGGTGAAGAACAAAGAAACATGAAATAGCTGGGAAATAAATTATCGGAGGTTTTGAAAATGATAATAATACAATATCTTGACAACAAATGGGAATGTTTAATACTAGATGTTCTGTCATTTGTATTCATAAGCTAAGATATTTTAGCTTAACCATGTCACTATTGAAATGCAAACATTGATATTAAATCATATGACATAATCTCATGTTTTTTAAACCCATTTTTGATAAAGTAACTCTACTAACTCATAAACATATTTGAAGAAACATAATTCCAGTGTGCAAATGCTACATATAGATTCTTATGTTGACTGGCATTTTTTATGGCTTAATATATTGTCTATAATGTATTTGTGTGTTCATTTAATTCATGTTTAACTAAACACTATATACAATATTCAAGACAAATTATTTTATATTTGCCATATTTAAAGATTAGGATGGTAGTGTTTTCAAGGATTCTCACACAGTTTTGAATAAATAGTAATGTTAAAGATAATTGCATTAATTAATCTACTACCATAAGCCACGCACTTGCCTAGAAACATTACATCTTTTATTTGATATTTTTATCAGCCTTTTGAAATATATATTGCTATTCTTTATCTTATGTAATCAAAAAGAGTATCTAAGGAATAAAACAACCTGCCTAGAAGTAAATGGTGATACCGATCAAAAAATACAAACATATTTAACTAATCACAGAGGTTAATCCTCATCAACTACTCAACAAAATGCAAGCATTTTCATATTTCAAACATCTACTTAATCATTCATTCAATATATTTAGCTATTATAAGTTATCAATGAATATTAGTTAAATAAATAAATATAAAATAAATATTCTTAGAATTTAAGTAAATAACAATTTACTGATCAAAAGAAATTATTTGTTTTTATATTTTATATAAATTACATGCCTTCAAAAGCTTTATGATTTAAATTGTCCACTAATTTAAATTGACCTTTTTAAACATTTGACCAAAAAGTAAATTTTACTTTATTCTAATTTATCTACATTTGCTAATTAAAATACTAAGTCACAGGAAGAAGAGACAAAGATGGCCAAATAGAAGCCTCCACCAATCCTTCTTCTTTCAGAAACACCAAATTGATTAAAGTCATAATAAAAAGTTTTCCAGCAAAGTAAAGCCAGGAATCCAATTACTTCACTGCTAAATTTTACCAGATATTTAAATAATTGAAACCAATCCTACTCAAAACTATTCTGAAAATAGAGGAGGAGGGAATACTTTCAAACTTATTCTATGAAACCACTATTACCCTGATAATGAAACCAAACAAAGACACATCAGGACAAGAAAACTACAGGCCAATGTCCTTGATGAACATTGATGCAAAAATCTCTAACAAAACACTACCAACTTGAATTCAAAAACACAATAAAAAGATCATTCATCTTAACCAAGTAGGATTTATTCCACAGATGCAAGGATGGCTCACATATGCAAATCAATGTGATACATTATGTCAACAGAATGAAGGACTAAAAAAACCATGTGATCATTTCAATTGGTGCTGAAAAATCGTTTGATAAAATTTAACAGAAGTTCATGATAAAAATCCTCAAAAAAACGAATAGAGAAGGAACATAACACAATAAAAACCATATACAACAGACCCACAGGTAGTGTCATATTGAAAGGGGAAAACTGAAAGCCTTTCCTCTAAGACTTGGAACTTGGCAAGAATGCCCACTTTTGCCACTGTTATTCAACGTAGTAATGAAAGTTCTAGCTAGAGCAGTCAGACAAGAGAAAGAAATAAATGGCTTCCAAATTGGAAAAGGAGAAGTCAAGTTATCCTTATATTTGGGAAAACCTAAGCATGCCGTAAAAAAACTATTAGAACTGATAAACATTCAGTAAAGCTGCAGGATGAAAAATCAATTTACCAAAATGAATAACATTTCTATATGCCAACAGCAAACAATCTGAAAAATAAATCAATTTTTTTCATTTATATAGCTACAAATAAACTAAAATACTAGGAATAAACTTAAGCAATGAAGTGAAAGAGCTCTACAATGAAAACTAGAAAACATTGAAACAAAAAATTGAAGGGGACAAAAAATTGGAAAGATATTCCATGTTCATGAATTGGAAGAATCAGTGTTGTTAATAAGTTCATTCCACCAAAAGCAGTCTGCAGATTCAATGCAATCCCTGTAAAAATACCAATTACATTCTTCACAGTAATATAAAAAAATCTTAATATTTACATAGAAGCACAAAAGATAGAATAGCCAAATCGATCCTAAGCAAAAAGAACAAAGCTGTAGACATCACGTTACCTGACTTCAAGTTATACTACAGAGCTATAATAACGAAAACATCATGGTATTGGCATAAAAAGAGACACATAGACCATTGAAACAGAATTGAGAACCCAGAAATAAATCCATAAATCTACAGTAAACTAATTTTCAGTGAAGATGCCATGAACGTACATTGGGGAAAGGACAGTCTCTTCAATTAATCTTGCTGGGAAAGCTGTTTATCCATATGCAAAAGGATGAAAATAGACTGTGTCTCGCCTTTTTCAAAAATCAAATTAAATGGATTGAATACTTACATTTAAGACCTCAAACTATGACACTACTAAAATAAAACTGGAGAAACTCTCCAGAACCTTGGACTGGGCAAAGTTTTCTTGAGTAATACCTCACAAGCACCGGCAACAAAAGCAAATATGGACAAATAGGATCACATCAAGTTAAAAAGCTTCTGCACAGCAAAGGAAACAACAACAAAGCAAACACAGAATGAAAGGAAATATTTGCAAAGTACCTATCTGACAAGGGATTAATAGCCAGAGTATATAAGAAGCTTTAAAAGCTCAGTATGTAAAAATATAATAATTTATAATTATTTAAATTGGCAAAAGATATGAACAGATATTTCTCAAAGAAGCATATAAATGGCAAAGATGCATGTGAAAAGGTGCTGAATATCATTAATCATTAGAGAAATGCAAATCAAAACCACAATGAGATATCATCTCACCCTAGTTAAAATGGCTTTTATCCAAAAGATAGGCAGTAACAAATGTGGGTGAGGATGTGGAAAATGAGAACCATCATACAGTGTTGGTGGGAATGTAAACTAGTACAACAACTATGGAGAACAATTTGGAGGTTCCTCAAAAACTAAAAATAGAACTATCACATGATCCAGCAATCTCACTGGTGGGTAACATACCCAAAAGAAAGGGAATCAGTATATCAAAGAGATATCTGCACTCCCATGTTTATTGCAGCACTATTCACAATAGCTGATTTGGAAGCAATGTAAATATCCATCAACAGACATATGGACAAAGAACATGTGGTGCACATGCGTGATGAATACTATCCATCCATAAAAAACAGATTCTGTCATTTGAAACCACATGGATGGAACTGGAGGTCATTATGTTAAGTGAAATAAGCTAGGCACAGGAAGACAAATTTTGCATGTTCTCACTTATGTATAGAATCTAAAAATTAAAACAATTACACTCATGGAGATAAAGAGTAGAATGATGGTTACTAGAGGCTGGGAAGGGTAGTTGGTGAAGGTGGGGAGAATGGTTAACAGGTACAAAATTATAATTAGATAGAATGACTAAGATCTAGTGTTTGATAGCAAAATAGGGTATCTATGGTCAACAATAATTTATTGTACATTTAAAAATAACTAAAGGAGTATAATTAGATTGTTTGTAACACAAAGGATAAATGCTTGAGGTGCTGTATTCCCCATTTACTCTGATTTGATTATTATACATTGTATTCCTGTATCAAATAAACTCATGAAACCCATAAACATATATACCTACTATGTATCCATGCAAATTTTTTGAAAATACAAAATCGTAGTATAATTTTTATTTTAATTATTAGGAAATAAAATACCTTGGCTCAGCAAGCAGTTTGCTTATGTTTTCTTACAATATTACATTCTAGATTGGATTCTTCATTTCAAATTCTTCCTATGTCAAATATCATATGCCATCTATAAGTCATGATATGTGAAATTACAGAGATCTCATAAAGTTGGGCTATGCAGACAATCTTTTCTGTTTAAATGTGCATTTTATTTTCATAGTGAATTTATTTTCTATTTTTTTAGCATTCTCTTTTGGAAGGCAATTTATCATGTTTGATCTACATTGCTCTTTATTTTAAAATTTTGCTGGTATTGTTTTGACACCTAATGTAACAATCTTAAAAAACTAAAAATGGTTTTATTGTATCTCATATTCGAATTTAATATCATATTGTCATATTTCATCTTGCATCCAGGAGTTTTCACTAGTGGCTTTAAATAGAGCAGATGTGAAAGTGAAGACATTTAAAAATTCATTTATACTTTATTATTGTAAAAATATCATTTTGAGTTTAAAGTCATGTATATCGTAACTCTAATTAAGTGTATTTCTAATAATTTACAATGTATTGTTACTCTTAAAATATTAGGTTCAATTTAATAGAAAGTGCATTATCATCAGGGACCTAATTATTTATATACGAAGAGAAATTTACAGAATCAATACAGGCACATTGTTGGTAAATGAAACCTTAATTTTTGAACTCTGGTACAAAGCAGGAGAATTGGGATTTACTCTATATAAGAAATCTATTACTCCTGCCTTCATAATTTAGTTTTGGGAACTTGTTATCACTGAATTTCATGTATGATCTTTTGAGTAAATAAGCAGCAACTTCTGACATGTGCTCCGTGTTTTTTGACTTTTAAAAATTAAGGCATCATTGCATACAGTGAAATATACACACGTTGAGCATTTATTTTGATAGTTTTGGCAAATGTGTATATTCTTGCAATCTACAATCCTATAATAATATAAGACATTCATCTGCACAGAAAATCAATTATCCCATACTCTATTACAATATAGCTTCAATTAGAGCTTCAATAGTGAAAATACAAATAGGAACACTGTTATATAATATGTTTAGCAAAATTATATAACATTAATTCTGTAAAACATTGTATTTCTTCTCTTATGAATTGTCTGTTGCTTTAATGAATAATGTAAAATCTAGAAATGAAAATAACACTCTGTAAAACTTGTTTTATTTTTAATATGTCCTGATTAATGGGAGGTATGTACCCACATATTTATCTTCTTTGAAAATGTACTTGGATGTTGTAAAAATCACTCAAATTTCAAAAACATATTTCATGCTATAGCGTGGAGTACTTTTAAAACTAGTGTTTAAAAATTGTTTAAATGTTTTGATCTCACAATTGCTCCTCATACTGAGCATTCTTATTAGCTCTGATTATTGAATCTTTTTCTTTGCTTTTTTGTTTTTCTTACTACATGATCATATTTTAAGCAAGTAATACTTAAAACTTTTACTAATAAAAATAAAAATTTTATAGTAAAAACTAATAGAATAATTGTCCACTCATATAGCATTAGAAATTTTGTCTAATTCGCTAACTACTTTTATTGTTATCCTCCTCCCCCTCTGAAAATTTTTGTTTTCTTAATTTTGATGGGTCCTATGCAGTTTAAGATGATGATATTTTTAATTCAACCACAGTGTATCTGAGAAACAACATTATATATTACTGCTTAACTTTTAACATTTATCACATATTAATGTAGACTGCATTAGAGAACGGCATGCTCAAGATTCTCCCCAGATGAAATGTTGTTTCATAAATTCAGGTATTACAAATATTATAATTATAAATAAAATGCTTTACACACACATCTACAGAACTTTCTGAGTCATAAAACAATTATATAAACTTAGAGTATAATAGAGTAGTATTTAATTGAAATAGTTATAAAAATATTACCATCAGTCACTTGAAGTTTAAATATTCTTCAATTTTATATTTAACTAATAATGATTTATAAAAAAAACTTAACTGGGGTTAGATTTAATTATTAACATTATATATTTTTGGCCAAATAAATATTTATTACGTTGTTCTTTCATCTTTTTCTAGAACATTGCATTCCTTAGTTGGGAAGCAAAAATACAAGCATCTCAATTTTTCTGACCCCATACTCTCCTTATTCTGTCTCAGACATTGAATATCAGTTTTTGAGCAAGAGACAAAACCACAAATCAAACTAACATATTGTAGTGTTTTTTTTTTTTCTTTTTTTTTTTTCAAGAAGGTCAGTGTACCATGTATATTCTCACTTACAGAACAAGAAAGCTATTTAATGTGAGAAGTAGAGAGTTAACAGTGCTGCTGTCTCTCTTTTGGGCCTTATTTGCTCATAATTGAAATCAATTTAGGATCAGTCAACATGTTGTATTGATTCAAAGACCATGAATGGAGCAGTGTGTTAGATATTCATTTTCTATTTACTCATTCACTCCTCAAGCTTTCAACGCTTACTATGCATCAGATGTATTCTAATGTCTGAGTTTATCCCTGTTACCTATCTTTAAGAAACTTGCAGTGAAGTATGGGAATATTGTCACTTCAATTCAATCTGTGCTACATTACAGGTACAGAGACATGCAGCAGAGCAGAACATGGAGAACTCAGTCAGACTGTACCAGGAAAATCTTTGAAAAATAAATACTGGTTAAATATTAAAGACTGACTTGGAGTTCATCAAGGGTAGAAAAGGAAAAGGACATTATCTCTGCTTCTGTGCTTTTTAAAGGTGTGAAGAAACTCCAATATCTCATTTCTGAAAACTAATTAATAAATGACATGATGAAAGGAGATAAATCATCTATTTTATTAAAGCTTCCCTGTATACCACATCATACTCTTTTTGGAATGAGAAATATTACACAATTGCACTGGTTTTCATGGGCTATTGTCAGATATATCTCTATTCTGATGAAGTATTAAAGAATTTTCCTTATTTTTTTTCCCTAGATCCATACCTGTAAAACACATGAAGGGATCAAGTGAAAAAATAGGAATACAGATTAACATTATCAAGGTTATCATCTGTCAATATTTCATATGAAATCTCAGTAAGATTCTATAACTTTCATTACTTTCATGTTCTGGGGAAAATATCTTGCAGTCTTCTATTTTGATAAATATTCTTGTTTGTGTAATTTCATATTACTTTTCCAACTTTTTTTCATAAACATGGGCACTCCTCATATTCTGTTGTTTATTTTCACTCCCATTTCTGTACTCCATTATGCATTGTATTTCATTCAAACACACATTCAATCATTTTATTGCCATTATACTATTTTGTTCATTTTGAAATGGTTTCAACTCTACAAAACAGCTGCAATAGAACTCTTACAACTCTTCTATCCCAAACACCACAACTGTTAGCATATTATCCTCCTTCTCTCCTTCCCATCTCTCTCTCTCTCCTCCCTCCACAGTATACAGAGTTGTGCAAGATACACTAACACACATACACATATGTGTATAACTTCCTACAGTATAATAGCTTTTTTATATGTTCTTAAAAAATATTGAAGCAGAAAATATAAAGAAAAACAAGTTGGCCAGGCACAGTGGCTCACACCTATAATCCCAGTACTTTGGGAGGCCGAGGCGGGCAGATCACGAGGTCAGGAGATCAAGACCATCCTGGCTAACATGGTGAAACCCAGTCTCTACTAAAAATACAAAAAAAAAAAAAAATTAACCGGGCGTGGTGGCAGACACCTGTAGTCCCAGCTACTCAGGAGGCTCAGGCAGGAGAATGGTGTGAACCTGGGAGGTGGAGCTTGCAGTGAGTCTAGATCACACCACTGCGCTCCAGCCTGGGGACAGAGTGAGACTCCGTCTCAAAAAAAAAGAAAAAAGAAAAACAAGTTTTCTTGTACTAGGCTGACTCACTCCAAGGCCCAGCAACAGGCATGGCTCTGGCAGGGATTTGATAGCACTGTCTGCAGAGCCAGAGCCCTTAAGGGATGGGTTCCAGAGCCTCTCCCTCCCATCTCGGAGCAAGGATAAGAAAAACAAGTTTTTCTCCTCTTTCAGCTTCCCCTTTCACCCTTACCATTCTCATAATTGTTTTTGCAAGTTTTGTAAGTTCCTGTCTTTCCCCTTCTGGGTGGCACGGCAAGGTCACAAGATATGCCTAAGTTGCAAAACCTGTCACTGTTTAACAAACTGCTTTTGTTCTGCTTCTGTAAATTTGCTTGCCAGCCCTACAGGTTTAGCACCATCAAGCTGCCCAAACCCCTTTCGAATGCATGTATAAAAGTCAAGCCCTGTCTTTGTTCGTGGCTCAGCCTTTGGATGTTAATCTGCTGGGCTGGTGCGCACCTAAATAAATCCTCCTGTCCCACCCATTGGTCTCTCCTGTCCCTTGATTCCTGCAACAATATCAATGAAAAAAGCAGAATGAAAAATTCCTGCCCCACAAGAGTTAAATTATGACTAAGGAAAAATAAGTCTGTAATCTAAATAAGTACTTTATTTAATACATCAGATCTTTTTAAGTTGAAAAACAGGTAAATATAAGTGGAATTGATGGATATAAGACAGGTTTCCAAGGTTGAGTGGTATTTTTAAATTATTTTTTAGACAGCTTTATTGAGATGCAATTCACAATACCATAAAATTAACTTATTTAAAGTATAAGATTGTTTCCTAGTATATTCACAGAGTTGCAAAATATCACCACAATCAATTTTACAACATTGCCTCACACAGAAGAGACTGCATACTCTTTATCAGTCACTCCTTATTTCCCTCCAAACACATCCAGCTCTATGTAACAGTTATCTATTTTCTGTATTTATTTGTAATTCCACACATTTCATATAAATAAATTCATGCTATATGTGGTCTTTTGTGGCTTCTTTTATGTAGTGGTATGTTTTAAAGGTTCATGCACATTTTATCATGTACCAGTAACCCATTCCATTTTGTTGATGAATATGCCATTGTGGATTTATTGTATTTTATTTGATAAATTGCCAGTTAACAGACATTTGCTCTATTTCCAATTTTTCTCTGCCTATAATTCTGCTATAAACATTGTTGTACATGCAAGTTTTAGTGCGGACATACATTTTTATTCCTCTGGGATATATACACAGGAGCAGAATTGCTGGGACATACGATAGCTTTACGTTTTTGAGGGACTGCCAAATATTTTCAAAAATGGTTGTGCCATTTTATATTCCCAAGTGCAATCTATAAGCATTTCAATTTCTTCACCTCCTTTCCAAGCCTTAATACCTTCTGTCCTTTTTTGTTATGCACATCCTAGTTTATGTGAAATAGTATCTCATTTTGATTTTGAGTTACAATTTCATAATGGCTGAGGAGATGGAGCATCATTTTAGGTTTTCATTACCAATTTGCAAACATCGTGTGGAAAATGTGCATTCAGATACTTTTCACTTTTAAAAAATTAGGATGCCTTTTCTTTTTTTTTTTTTTTTTTTAAACTTTTAAAACTTTTTATTATGGAAATCTAAAAACATTCACCAAATGAGAGAGAACATTACAATGAACCACCACATACCCATCACCCATTTTCAACAATTATCAACACATGGCCTATCTTGTTTCCTCCATACCTTCAGACACCCTCCGTCCACAAACTGGGTTATTCTGAAGCAAGCCTCAGACATTTCATTCATTATTATTGTAGTATATATCTCTGAAAACAAGGACTTAAATTTTTGTTTTTACACCTCAGAAAATGACTATAATTCCTTAATATCAAATTATTTAGTCAATGTCCCAAATTTACAGGGAAAAACCACTTTTTTTAAACAGTTGGTTTGTTCAAATCAATAGACCCACATATACTGCGTTTGGCTAACACATGTCTTGAAGTATCTTTTAATCTATGGGTTTCTCTCACTTTTTCTTCCAATTTACTTACAGAAAAAACTAGTAAACTGTATTGTAGTTACACACATTCTGTATTTTGCTAATTGTATGGTCCTCTGTCCCTTGCATTTCCTGAAAATTAGAATCGAAATCTAGAGGCTTGCTCAGATTCAGATTTTATTTTAGCAAGAAAACTTCATAGGCTTATGGTATACTTCCTACCACACCACATCAGAACACACAAAACATCTATGATCTCTTTTTTGAGATGCTAAGATATAACAGTGGGATAGATGTGGTCTATCTGATCCACTTATTATAAAGTTTCCCATCAGCATTTCTTTTTTTTTTTATTATTATACTTTAAGTTTTAGGGTACATGTGCACATTGTGCAGGTTAGTTACATATGTATACATGTGCCATGCTGGTGCACTGCACCCACTAACTCGTCATCTAGCATTAGGTATATCTCCCAATGCTATCCCTCCACCCTCCCCCCACCCCACCACAGTCCCCAGAGTGTGATATTCCCCTTCCTGTGTCCATGTGATCTCATTGTTCAATTCCCACCTATGAGTGAGAATATGCGGTGTTTGGTTTTTTGTTCTTGCGATAGTTTACTGAGAATGATGATTTCCAATTTCATCCATGTCCCTACATTGCCAAGTCAATCCTAAGCCAAAAGAACAAAGCTGGAGGAATCACACTACCTGACTTCAAACTATACTACAAGGCTACAGTAACCAAAACAGCATGGTACTGGTACCAAAACAGAGATATAGATCAATGGAACAGAACAGAGCCCTCAGAAATAACGCCACATACCTACAACTATCTGATCTTTGACAAACCTGAGAAAAACAAGCAATGGGGAAAGGATTCCCTATTTAATAAATGGTGCTGGGAAAACTGGCTAGCCATATGTAGGAAGCTGAAACTGGATCCCTTCCTTACACCTTATACAAAAATCAATTCAAGATGGATTAAAGATTTAAACGTTAGACCTAAAACCATAAAAACCCTAGAAGAAAACCTAGGCATTACCATTCAGGACATAGGCATGGGCAAGGACTTCATGTCCAAAACACCAAAAGCAATGGCAACAAAAGACAAAATTGACAAATGGGATCTAATTAAACTAAAGAGCTTCTACACAGCAAAAGAAACTACCATCAGAGTGAACAGGCAACCTACAAAATGGGAGAAAATTTTTGCAACCTACTCATCTGACAAAGGACTAATATCCAGAATCTACAATGAACTCAAACAAATTTACAAGAAAAAAACAAACAACCCCATCAAAAAGTCGGCGAAGGACATGAACAGACACTTCTCAAAAGAAGACATTTATGCAGCCAAAAAACACATGAAAAAATGCTCATCATCACTGGCCATCAGAGAAATGCAAATCAAAACCACTATGAGATACCATCTCACACCAGTTAGAATGGCAATCATTAAAAAGTCAGGAAACAACAGGTGCTGGAGAGGATGTGGAGAAATAGGAACACTTTTACACTGTTGGTGGGACTGTAAAATAGTTCAACCATTGTGGAAGTCAGTGTGGCGATTCCTCAGGGATCTAGAACTAGAAATACCATTTGACCCAGCCATCCCATTACTGGGTATATACCCATATGACTATAAATCATGCTGCTATAAAGACACATGCACACGTATGTTGATTGCGGCATTATTCACAATAGCAAAGACTTGGAACCAACCCAAATGTCCAACAATGATAGACTGGATTAAGAAAATGTGGCACATATACACCATGGAATACTATGCAGCCATAAAAAATGATGAGTTCATGTCCTTTGTAGGATGCCTTTTCATCACAGAATTCTAAATGATCTTGTATGTCCTGGTTACAAGTCCCTTATATAAATATAATTTGCAAATATTATTTCCCATTCTGTGATTTGCTTTTCACCTTCTTAATAATATCCTTTTAAGCAAAACCTTTTTTATTCACTTTAATGCAGTCCAGTTTTTCTCTTTATCTCTTGTTGCTCTTATTTTTAGTATCATATCTAAGAAGGTTTGCCTAAACCCAGGTCACTGAGGTTTATCCTTGTGTTTTCATCTAAGAGTTTTATAATTTTAGCTCTTTTATATTTAAGTTTATGACTAAGTTATTTTTTGTGTATGGTGATAGAAAGAGGTTGCTGAAAAAACTTTATTCCAAATGAATTGTATTGACAGTCTTGTAAAGATCAACTGAACGTAAATGTTAACGTATAAACGTTAAACATATACACATTCAATAGACTCCTCCTCCCAAAAAAACTGCTTCAAAAACCAGCTCAAAAATCTATGAATCTTTAGATCAATTTAGGAATTATAACCATTATAAAAATATTAAGCATTTTAATCCATGAACATACCAATGGTTTTATCATGAAATGATACTGGATTTTTTAAAAATGTTGTCTCTGTATCTATTGAGATGATCATGTAACTTTTAGGTTTATTTCATATAAATATGTATTTACATGATAATTACATTAATTGATATTTGGATGTTAAATTGATGAGGCATTCTCTTATATTTTGAAGGTTTTATGAAAAATTGGTACTCAGTCCCCATTTTTTTTTTAATTTGGTTACATACACCAGTGAAGCCACCTGAGACTGAGTTTTTCTGTGTGGGATAACATTAATTTATTCTCTTTAACTGTTATACGTTTATTCCTATAATCAATATTTTCCCGAGTCAGTTGTGGTAATTTGCATCCTAGGAATTTGTGCATCTCATCTAGGCATATTGTCTTGCTCATAGTACTCTTTTGAAAACTAATTTTTTCCTCTTTCTTAGTCAAAAGGAATGTCCCTTCTCCCTTCCTGAATTTTTTGAGTCTTCTGTATTGTGAACAGTCTAGGTAAACATGTGTCCTTTTTAGAAAAAGAATCCCTTAACAGAAACAACTTTGGTTTTATTTATTTTGTTTCCATTCCATATTCTCTATTTCATTCATTTTCATTCTAAACTTTTTTTTTTTTTTAGTTTGCTCTTTATTTTCCAGCATTTAGTGTAGAAGGTTTGGTTATTAATTTGAGATTTTCTTTCTTAAAAATAGTTATTTATGGTTGGGTGCAGTGGCTCATGCCTGTAATCCCAGCACTTTAGGAGGCCAAGGCGGGCAGATCACCAGTCGAGACCAGCCCGGCCAACATGGTGAAACCCCATCTCTACTAAAAATACAAAAATCAGCCAGGTGTGGTGGTGCATGCCTGTAGTCCCAGGTACTTAGGAGGCAGAGGTGGAGTATCACTTGAACCTGGGAGACAGAGGCTGCAGTGAGCCAAGATAGTGTGACTGCCCTCCAGCCTGGGCAACAGAGCAAGACTCCATCTCAAAAACAAACAAACAAACAAAAAACAAAATAGTCATTTATAGCTATACATTTCTCTCAAAGCACTGCTGCAGCTCCATCCTGTAAGTGTGTTGTGTTTCTGTTTTCATTCATGTCAATTAATTTTCCAATATTACTTGTGATTTATTCTTTGACCATAGGGATGGTGTTTATGAGTGCAGTATTTAATTCTTACAAATTTGTGAATTTCCCAAACCTCTTTATGTTACTGAATTCTAATTTCAATATTCTGTTGTCAGAGAAGATCTGTATGATTTTACTAATGTAAAATGTACAAATGCTTTTTTTATGTTCCATTATGTGATGCATCCTAGAAAATATTCCATGTGTACTTGAGGAGAAAGTGTATTCTTTTGTTGTTGTTGTTTTGTTTTGTGCTCTTTCTGCAGAATGTCCTGTAATGTCTGTGAGCCTTAGTTTGTTTATTGTGTTATTTACATCTTCTATTTCTTCGTTCATTTCTGTGTAGTTGTTCCATCAATTTTTGGAGGTGGAGTATTAAAGTCTCCAACTATTGTTTCTGAATCGTCTATTTCTCCCTTCAATTATTTCAGTTTTTGCTTCTATTTTAGGGCTCTGTGTTTGTTTCCATGTCTTCCTCATGGATTGTTATTTTCATCATTCTGCAATGTTCCCCCTTTTTTCAAGTAACATTTTCTAGTTTAATTCTATTTTGTCTGATAAATGGTTTGCTTTCTTATAGTTGCAGTTTGCATGACATGTTTTGTTCTATCCATTTATTTTCAACCTTTTCATATCTTTGGAGTGTGTCTTGTATATGTAGCATATAATTAGTTTTATATTTTTATTAAATTTGACTGTTCTATTTTTTAATTGGACCTTTTAGTTCATTCATAATTAATGTAATTATTAATATAGTTTTATTTGCATCTGCTATTTTATTTGTTGTTTTAGAAATATGTAATGTATTTTGTTATTTTGTACATCTTCTACAGACTTTTGTTTCTGCACTGAATAAATATTTTTAATGTTACGTTTTAATTCTGTTTAATGACTTCTTTGCTACAGTTTTTGAGTCATTTCCTTAATGGTAATATAATGGGCTTATAAACCTAATATCATCAAAATCCACTTTAGACTCATACTTACCTAATTTCAGTGAGATATGTGAGTGCTACTCCTGTATACTTATATTCCCTCACCTCCTTTATTGCACTATTATTTTTATATATTACATCTATATATTTTAAAAACCCAATAATACCTTATTACTATTTTTACTAGAATTTTTAAAGGAGATTGGAATAGAAATAAAATCAAATAGTTTTTTTTTTTTTTTTAGTTTCTTATATTAACCTTCTTATTTACTATCCCTGGTTCTCTTCATTTTTGTGGATGTGGTGTGAAGTTACCATCTGGTGGCATTTTCTCATTCCAATGCATTTGTACTCACACCAACCTCCCTTGTGCTGCTTTTGTCAAAATATGTTACATTTATATATACATTATTGAACCAAAAATACCATTATATACCTAATATCTTTTAGTTTTTTTTAGCTTAATAATAGTGGCTTTTATGTCCTGTCTGCTCAATCCAACATGTTGGCCTTCTGTAAGGCAATTTATGTTGCATGCTTTTGTCCATTTACGGGTTACACTCTCCTATTTTTATGAATGTCTCATAATTATTATGACATTTTAGACAATTTGTAATAACAACTGTATATACTGACCCACTGACCTTGGGACTTTTTCTGTTATTTTTTGCTTGCTTATATGTTTGGCAACTTGACTGGACTGCTTTAATGATGTAGATTACTTCCATAATTTGCAGTCTCCAATGTTGCTTCTCCAATGTTACAGTCCTGAGTGTATGCGCAGCTATTTGGGGATGACAGTGGTTTCCCCAAGGTTCTTTGTCTCTTTCCCTGATCTTCCTGTTAACTGTCTGCTTCTGTTATTAATAAGTGTAGCTATTCACCTCTATGAATTACTGGTTGCTTGCTATATATATATATTTTTTTCTTTAACAATGCCTTACGGCATTGATATGGTTTGACTGTGTCCTCGCCCAAATTTCCTCTCAAATTGTAATTTGAATTGTATTCTCCATGTGTTGAGTGAGGAAACTGGTGGAAAGTGACTGGATCATGGGGCAGCTTTCTCCATCCTGTTTTTGTGATAGTCAGGGAGTTCTCAGGAGGTCTGATGGTTTTAAAATGACAGTTTCCCATGCTTTCTCTCTCTTTCTCCTGTCACTTTGTGAAGAAGGTGCCTATTCCGCTTCAGCTTCTGCCATAATTGTAATGAGGCCTCACCAGCCATGCACAAATTGCAGTGAAATAAACCTCTTTCTTTTATAAATTACCCAGTCTCAGGCATTTCTTTATAGCAGTGTGAAAATAAACTAATACAGATAATTGGTACCAGGGCAGTGTGGTACTGCTACAAAGAAAACCTGAAAATGTGAAAGCAACTTTGGAACTGGGTAACGGGCAGAGGCTGGAACAGTTTGGAGGGCTCAGAAGAAGAAAGGAAGATGTGGGAAAGCTTGGAACTTCCTAGAGGCTTCTTGAATGGTTTTGACCAAAATGCTGATAGTGATATGAAAAATGAAGTCCAGGCTGAGGTGGTTTCTGACAGAGATGAGGAACTCATTGGGAACTGGAACAAAAGTTACTCTTGCTATGCTTTAGCAAAGAGACTAGCAGCATTTTGCCCCTACCCTAGAGATCGGTGTAAGTTTGAACTTCAGAGAGATGGCTTGAAATTGGAATTTATGTTTAAAAGGGAAGCAGAGCATAAAGGTTTGGAAAATTTGCAGCCTGACTATGTGGTATAAAAGAAAATCCCATTTGCTGGGGAGAAATTCAAGCCAACTGCAGAAATTTGCATAAGCAACAAGGAGCTGAATGTTAATCACCATGACAATGTGGTAAATGTATCCACAGCATATCAGAGATCTTCATTGCAGCCTCTCCCATCACAGGCCCAGAGGCCTAGAAGAAAAATATGGTTTTGTGGGCCAAGCTTAGGACCCTGCTGCTCCGTGCGGCCTTGGGGCTTGGTGCCCTGCATCCCAGCTGCTCCAGCTCCAGCCGTGGCTAAAAAGGTCCACAGTACAACTTAGGCTAGTGCCTGAGAGAGTGGAAGCCCTAAGCCTTGGTGGCTTCCACATGGTGTTGGGCCTACAGGTACACAGAAGACAAGAGTTGAGCTTTGGGAACCTCCTCCTAAATTTCACAGGATGTATGGAAATGTCTGAATATCTGCTGCAGGGATGGAGCCCTCATGGAGAACCTCAACTAGGACAGTGTGGGAGGGAAATAGGGGGTGGGGCCCACACACAGAGTCCTCACTGGGGCATTGTCTAGTGGAGATGTGAAAAGAGGGCCTCTCTCTTCCAGAACCCAGAAAGTTAGATCCACCAACAGGTTACACTGGGCCCTTGGAAAAGCCAGAAGCACTCAACACCAGCCTCTAAAAGCAGCCATGAGGACTGCACACTGCAAAGCCACATAGTTGGAGCTGCCCGAGGCCTTAGGAACCCACCCCTTGCATCAGTGCGCTCTGGATTTAAGACATGGAGTCAAAGAAGATTATTTCAAAGCTTCAAGATTTAATCACTGCCCTATTGAGTTTTAGACTTGCATGGGGCATGTAGCCCCTTTGTTTTGGCCAATTTATCCCATTTGGAACAGGAAGATTTACCCAATGCCTGTACTCTCATTGTATCTTGGATGTAAATAACTTGTTTTTGATGTCACAGGCTCATAAGTGTAAGGGACTTGCCTTGTCTCAGATGAGACTTTGGTTGGACTTTTGGGTTAAAGTTGGAATGAGTTAAAACTTTGGAGAACTGTTGGGAAGGCATGATTGCATTTTGAAATGTGAGAAAATGAGATTTGGGAGGGACCTGGGGGAAGTGATATGGTCTGGCTGTGTCCCCACCCAAATCTCATCTTGAATTTTTACCCAACTTGTAATCCCGACATGTCAAGGGAGGGACCTGGTGACACGTGATTGAATCATGGGGGTGGTTTCCCCCATGCTGTTCTCATAAAAGACAGGGAGTTCTCAGGAAATCTGAGGGTATACAAATGGCAGTTTCTCCTGATCTCTCTCTCTCCTGCCTTCTTGTGTAGAATGTGCTTTCTTCCCTTTCGCCTTCCACCATAATTGTAAGTTTCCTGAGGCCCCTCTAGCCATGCAGAACTGTGAGTCAGTTAAAACCTTTTTCTTTATAAATTACCCAGTCTCGGCCATTTCTTTATAGCAGTTTGAAAATGGAATCATACAGTCGTAAGTCACTTTATATTCTGATACAATTAAATCTAAACTCCTTTGCAGAGATAGTAGTTGAGGGTAATCTTTGAATGTTTCAGTCTCAAAGGGGCTCTTCTAGTTGTTGTTTTCTCTGTTTTTTAATTAAATTTCAAGATTGATGGCATATGGTTTCAATTGTTTGTCCCATTGAGCTATGAGCCTCCTGGTAATTGCTTACTACCAACATAGCTATTATTTTCAACAGTACTATAAGACTTGAACTTGAACCAGGTGCAGTGGCTCACACCTGAAATCCCAGCATTTTGGGAGGCCGAGGCAGGTGGATCACAAGGTCAGGAGTTCTAGACCAGCCTGGCCAATATGGTGAAACCCTATCTCTACTAAAAATACAAAAATTAGCCAGGCATGGTGGTGGGCGCCTATAGTCCCAGCTACTCAGGAGGCTGAGGCAGGAGAATCGCTTGAACCCAGGAGGTGGAGGTTTCAGTGAGCCAAGATCGTGCCACTGCACTCCAGGCTGGGTGACAATGCGAGAGTCCGTCCCCCCACCACCACCACCAAAAAAAAAAGACTTGAACTTAACCAAACTCTTTTCCTAAGGAAGTCAGTTCCTGAAAGGACAGCAATAGAATTTTCTGTAATTATGGCCTGCATCTTCTCTCTCTTCCAGTCTCCAGACCTAGGAAAAGGAACAGCAACCACTTGTCTTAAAGTAACACCTTTCTTTACAATTGAGGTACTGGATGGGAGTAATAGTATCTGACTTTCTTGGCTTGCTTTTCCTAGCATGGAACCTCCGTTCTATAAGAAACCTGGAAGAAAGGTGATGACGTCCTAATATTCTCAATTTTCCATCCCTAAGGTTGTGGTCTGTCCTATATGTAGGATGGTTGAAGGAAGGAATCCCTGCATATTTCAGGTACTCTTTTCTGGAATAGAACTAGGTGTTAATCGGAGAGGGACCTTATGATCTTCTGTTCCACATGTTTCTATTACAGTAATCTGGGAAGTAGAGAGAAAGTGTATCTTGGTTCAAATGGTATAGGCTTTTACAGTTTTTATTAAGATGTATTAGATGTTCTGCAATAAATGTTTCTCCACTTACTGTACTCATTTAGGCATATAGCACATAAGACAATTTCCAGAGACTTTAAAAGCTTGTCTTTTAAAATATTTTTTATAAGTTATTGTTGTTTGGCTGGGGAGAAGGTCCATGGAGCTGCTCACACTGCCATTCTGAAAGTGTTACATAGAATTTTATAATAATGATTACTGTGTACTTCATTTAGTAAGAAACATATGAGCAAACAATGGAATACCATGAGGGAACTTGTCAGACAACTATCCTGAGGAATAACAGTCAAAGTTGGCAGAATAGCAAGCACAAAGGCTTTAAATTAGTATCATTTCTGGTATGTTCACAGAACATCAAGCACTCTTGCATAGATAGAAAGGAATAAACAATAAATGATATTTAGCTTTCTTTGATGACAGTAAAGTAAATACAATTATTTAAATATCTTTAAACACCAGCTCTGCACTAATATTTTTCAAACATCTTTCTCAACGCAGAGAGTTCTTAATAATTACCTCCATTACCTCAAACTGAATTTGTCTACAATTAATTTATCATTAAAAAAAAAACTGTTATGTGTCTGGAAGTGGTGGCTCATGCCTGAAATCCCAGCATTTTGGGAGGCTGACGTTGGTGGATCACTAGAGACCAAGAGTTCGAGACCAGCCTGGCCAACAATGCAAAACCCCATCTCTGTTACACATGCCTGTAATCCCAGCTACTCAGTCTGCTGACAAACAGAATCGCTTGACTTGGGAGGTGGAGGTTGCAGTGCACCGAGATCACACCACTGCACTCCAGCCTGGGTGACAGAGCCAGACTCTGTCTAAAACCAAACAAACAAACAAACATCAAACCAAAAAGCTATATATTAAGAGGGTAGAATAAAGGAGAAAAGTCTTATTTTTGTCATGTACCCTATTCCAGTAACTTTTCGTTCAATTTTTCTCAATTCTTCAGCTTACTTGACATTTCAAGTTTTTATAATAATCACCATATATTATTTGTCTTTTGAATAAAGTTACAAAGGAACTATTTACCTCCAATTGTTGACATAAATCAATTGATCTTCAATCATCTCATAAACTAAACACTGATATTGACTTTCTGGGCAATTCACTTCATTTAATCTTACCACAAGTTTAGACTTCGCATTAAAAAAAAAGAGGAAAATATGTTTATATCAGTGGTCTCTGTAGTGGTGCAAGATGAAACTAGTTAATTTATGACAACTTTATTTTGCTATCTATGGGTTTCCCTTTTCTTATAACAAATTATGTATCGTCTGCAAGAATATGGAAGACTGCAAAGGAGGCTTCTACACATAGAGAGATGAATTTTTCCACTCTTCAGAAGGACAAAATATAATTGTTTTAATGGAGCCAAAGAAATAAATTGTTAGATAATAATAGCATGTAATATGACCTTATAGTTTTACAAATGAGTTGAAACTGAATTGTAACATTTGATATCATTGACAATTTAAACCCCTATTTCTCTACACTCGCAGAAATAAAAGGTCACTGGACATTAAATCTATACTACCAAATGTGGAGGCTGTAATTACACTAACATATATTTGAAATGTTTAAGTTATACTCACTAAGAAAAATTAGTTTGGTTATTTTACCATGTCTGTCTTATTGAGCTTTAACTGCTGAAACAAGAATGTGTGGTTTATAAGCTTATTCACTTACAAAACAAAATAAATAAGGTATCAAAATTTATGTGTACCTCTATATTTGAATTCAGATCAATACATACTTTTGCTGAGGGACACATTATTTTCCCTGTACTTATATATAGTGGTTTTTCTGCTATTCCTTCTTTTTAAAAAACTAAACTCTTTCACTATGCAGCTCTTTCTTTCTTTGCTGCTTAGTTAGCTCTCTGCTTTTGACAAATTTTCCCTCAGCCTCATTCCAAAATCCTTTTCCTTATGTCTGATAATCTGATGTGTCTTTGCTAATCATGAGTGTTCTGTAATAATTAAATATTCCCAGCTTACTCACTCATTCAGAACAATTGTGCTTCCTGTGTTTGAGGCCTCGTGGCCAGCATTCTCTTTCATAGATCATTTATATAAGTACACCAACTTGTTTTTAAAAGAGAGGAATTATGGAAGACAATGAACCCCCAATTGAATGAGCCTGGCAATATATAATGCTGGCACAGAAGAAACTGACCCCCAAGTTCTTTTAGCAAATAAAAATATGGACACGTACATGTTTTCCCTTTGGCTATACCAAGATTTTCCAAATAATGAATATAATAGCAGGTATTTAAATGAACTGCAGAAGGATTTGGAAAATACGGGGATGGAGTGGTGATGTTTTTTATTTTTTGTTTTTTTTCCAGTATTTCTCCTTAATATTCAAAGGGTTAGCCGTGACAACTGGTTTCATCTGGCGACTTTATAGTGGCATTTTAAAAGCACTGAACATCAGGCAGTTTAGTCAGATAATGTTATAAAATAAAATAAATGGAATATTAGAAGAAATATAGTGATTCCATATTCAAAGCTATGACTTTTAAAATTAAATTACCCATATTTAAAAAATAATTTTTTATAACATAATTAATAAGTTGCTTTTATTTGGTTTGAGTAGCAAAGCGAGTCCCTTGTAGTTAAAGCTTTCACAGGGTATAAAATCTATCTAGACGTTTTTCTTATCAGTTTGAAATAAATAATTATATGCAATATTTTTAAAAAATAAAGTTTTAATATTTTATGAGAACAATATAAAATACTTGAAATTGGTGTAGTATTTATGCAAAAGTGACTAAGACATAAGGGTCAATTAACAATACTTTTTTTCTGTCAACGTATCTACTTATCTATCTTATTTATTTATTGCTCTACATTTCTGGCATGAAAATTAAAATTATACTTGGATTTGTAGTGATAATTGCTTGACTTCTTATTCTCTATTAGGTTTGTCATTATACTATCAAACACTGAAGCACATTATCTTAATATGTAACAAATGCAATCTTTCAGTATAATGATTTAGTAAAGAAATAAAGACCTGAATTCAATGATTGATGTATTACTAACGCTGATTTTTTCCATCATTAACTAGAACCTCTCTAAACTTAATTATAATAATCTTTTTAATAATTTATATATTCAATGGAAAGACTACTGCTTAGCATGAGTCACTGCAAAGCTTCTGCTAGTCAAAGACCACAGGTTTTGAATATACTTTCATAGACAGTTAACCTGATTTTTGAGTTTAAATGTCTTAGTTGGTATATATCTTACTTTTCTGTCAAAAGCTCATGTTTATTATTTAATTTGTATGAACTTGAAACAACAATGATTGACTTACTAAGTATCTAAATTTTATTTTCTTCTCAATGCTGCACATTTGTCTTTATGAGAATAAAATATAGTAAAATATATACTCTGAGATTGGTATCTTATGATAAGAGAATGAAATAAAAGAATATAGACCCTTTCTGTCTCTTCTACTGGTTATCCCTATTATTGTTTTCAGAGGAGCCATAACATATCAGCATTTTCTTTTGAATATTATTTTAAAACAATAAAAAATACTTAGGAAATGCACAAAAGGAATGTTACGGTACAAGTTTATATCCTTAAAATTATACTATATAAGTATTTAAAAATAAAAGATATGAAGGATTAAGCATAATATATTTTAACCTGCAACATTTTGTAATACTTAATTGCATTAATTTTGACAATATATTGGGAAAGTGATATTTAAGAAAATTATCATCTGCTTATAAATAAAATGGATATTTAACAAACAATCTTCAGAACTCTTCCTCTGCTTGTCTCACCAAATTTAAGATCCATTCTTTAAAATATATTTGTATAAATAAGGGTGTGTTTTGTATCTATGCTACAATGTGTGTGCATGGGTCTGTGTGAATTTTCCTGCCACCCACATTCAATTTTATAGGAATCAGTAGACTGATCATTTGCTATGTACTAGATGCCAAAAATATAAAATCCTGACACTAGGCCCTGTGTTTTCACTTAGAATATGCTCAGCAAGACAATGTTGATGCATATTAACAATGAGAAAACATCAGATTATCTAGGAAGTCATATTTTTTAGCCTGTCAGAAAGTTCAAGTTACAAGGTATGAAACAAGGCATACAGCTAAACCAAATTCCACAGTGATAGTCACTCCACAGAGATGAGATACGTAATCATTTTCATGATTAGAGGAACAATGAACAAGAAAAGACGGAAAAACCACACAGTTGAATATAAATAAATCAGCTAGTACTTTGACAAATTCTTAAAAGTCAAATATGGGTTCAGGTGTCATTTTAAAATTGCTGGAACCCTCCTCGCTCCAGAGAAAAGGGAAGATGGCAGTCACTCATAAACTTTTTTCTATGGGCATTCACTTGGAGCTTATGAGAAAGATAAGAGAAAGAGATAGGAGATAAGACCATAACTTGTGAACGTATACAGTGGTGATCAGCTGCCCAAAGAGATGGTAGCAAAATACCACTTCTTGTGTGATCCCTGCATCCTACAAAGGAAAAATTTTAGTGTGCTAGGATGGGGTAACAAACCCTCTGACTTCCAGTGTCCATAAAACATCTAATGCTTCTGGGAAACAGGTAGAAACAAAGCAACAGGCACAAAACCATTGCCCTGGAGGAAGAGGAGGAAACCTTTAGTAAAGATCCTGCAAGACAAAATATATATTAGGGTTGCAGAAAAAATTAAAAATGTACTCCTCTGCATAATCCGGTATATAAATAAAGCACTGCTTCCCACAATGGAAGACACAAGTATCCTGAGATGATCTTATTCCTGAGGCTTATATGCCATACTAAGTTTGAGGACTGACAAGGAAGGCAGAGAATTATCCTTCTCCTATTTCATGTCAAATACTGTGTATCAAGCTTAAGTAGTCTACCTTAGCATATTAGGCAAAAGAAATAATTGAAGAGATAATGGCCAAGAATATTCCAAATGAGTAGTTAATGAGTGAAGAGAGAGAAGCAAAGAAAACCTCGATTCAAGATGCCTAGAGAATAGCAAACACAATATTTTTTTAAAGTACCTAGACAATGTCATGGTAAAATTGCAGACAATCAAAAGTAAAGAGAAAATCTTGAATATAGCTAGAGAAATAAAAAATCTTAAAATAAATAACAGCTAAAACATAATTACAACTATGTCCTTTTCAGAAAATATGTAATCCAACAGATAATGGAATAGTCACTGGAAAATAATGAAAAAAGAGAAAGAAAAGAAAATCTTTCCAAGCCAGAATTCTATAGTTCTCTAAGATACCATTTATAAATAACAAAAAAAAAATGATTTTTAAACAAACAAAAGCTGTGATAATTACTTTCAAGTAAAGTATATTACAGGAAATATTAAAGGAAATTCTTTATGCTGATAAAGTATGTTAACAGGTGAGACTGTGGCTGTTGAAAAAAGAAGAAAGAAACAGCATTGGAAATAGTAAAAATGCAGGTAAATATAAATGATTTACACTAAATAAAAAACTTCAAAATATAATTTACTGAGACAGAAAAACTAATAAATTTTAGAATGAAAACCATAAATAAAGTTTTTATTCATGTAAAACAAAAATAGAATGCATCACAACATTAGCAAAAAGCACAAAAATAAAAATAATAGAAGTATATTGTTGTAAAAATCTAACATCAGACATGAAAAAATACTGTTTAAAAACAAGCTGTAAGTTAAACATATATAATATAAACCCTGGAGAAACGATGAACACATTTATTAGAAGAGCAATAGCATTAACCAATTATGGAAATAAAATGGAACTATATCTATATAATTTGTTTATATATATATTCATATGCTTAAGATATATATGTATATGTATATATATGTGTGTATATATATCTTAAGTAATCTAAAGAAGGCATTAAAAAGACAAAAGCAAAAATTCAAGATTCAAGAAAGGACTAAAACTATATAAACCCTGAAAGGCAACACTGGAAAATATCATTCTGGACTTAGGAGCAGCCAAAGATTTCATGACGAAGACGCCAAAAGTCATTTCGACAAAAATAAAGATTGACATGTGAGACGTAATTAAACTAAAGAACTTCTGCACAGCAAAAGAAACTATCAACAGTTTAAACAGACAACCTGAAGAATGGGAGAAAATATTTGCAATCTATGCATCTGACAAAGATCTAATAACCAGAATTTATAAGAAACTTAAACAAATTAACAAGGAAAAAACAACTTCATTAAAATGCGGGCAAAGGACATGAAAAGACACTTAAAAGAAGACATACACATGGCCAACAAGCATCTGAAAAAAATGCTCAACATCACTAATCATTAGAGAAATGATAATCAAAACAAGAATGAGATATCATATCACACCAGTCTGAATGGCTATTACTGAAAACTCAAAAAACAACAGATGCTGACAAGGTTCTGAAGAAAAGTGAAAACTTATACACCGCTGGTGGGGATGTAAATTAGTTCAGCCATTGTGAAAAGTAGTTTGGCAGTCTCTCAAAGAACTCAAAGTAGAATTACCACTGGAACCAGTAATCCCATTATATGGTACATACCCAAAGGAATATAAATAATTCTACCATAAAGACACACGAATGCATATGTTCATTGCGGCACTATTCACAATAGCAAAGACATGGAATCAACCTAAATGCCCATCAATGGTGGATAGAGAAAATATGGTACATATACAGCATGGAATACTATGCAGCAATAAATAGAAATTAGATCCTCTCCTTTTCAGGGACGTGGATGAAGTTGGAAGCCATTATCTTCAGCAAACTAATGCAGAAACAGAAAACCAGTGATTGCATGCTCTTACTAATAAGTAGAAGCTAAACACTGAGTACATATGAGCACGAAGAAGAGAACAATAGGCACTAGGGCCTGCTTGAGGGTGGAGAAGGAGAGAATGGGGAGGATTGATAAACTACCTATAGGATACTATGCTGATTACCTGGGTGATAAAATAATCTACATAGCAAACCCTCGTGACAGACAATTTACCTATATAACAAACATGAAAAGGCACATGTAAGCCTGAACCTAAAAGTTAAAAATAAGAAGAAAAAAAATCAAAAAAGGAAAGATAGAACCAATGAAATATCTATGAGACTTCAATGTGAATATATCAATAATCATAATAATTAAAACTAATTACCACAATTAAAAGCTAAATAATTTAATATTGGATAAAAACACACAGTCACATACATGTTGTCTCCAAGAAAACCGCCTTAACAAACCTGCACGTTGTGCACATGTACCCTAGAATTTAGAGTATAATTTAAAAGAAACAAGAAAAATTAAAGGGATTTTTTAAAAGCACAAAATAAAAACAAAAATATTAATCAAAAGAAACCTGGAGAGTCTACATTAATGTCAGATTAAATATACTTCAGAAAAAGGGATAACAAGGGACATTAAATAATGAAAAACTGGTCAATTTCTAAGAGAGACATAATAGTCTAAAAAACATACAGTAACAAGACTCCTTCAGGATTCTAAAAGCAAAACTGATGAAACTGAAATGACAAATTCACACTTGTACTTAGATACTTCCATATCTTGCCCTAATGATTGATAGAACAAGTGGAGGGGAAATAAAAAGGATACAGATAATCTGAGCAACAGCATAAGCCACTTAAACACCCCATTCAATAGAGGCATCAGCAGAATATGCATTCTTTTCATGGGCATATATGACATTCAAAAAGATAGACCATAAAAAACAATTAATTACATGTTAAATAATTATAATCAAAAGAAAATGAGCTCTGAATACAATAATTAATTTAGAAATTAACAACCAACAATATGAAATATCCAAGAAATTTCTAAATTTCCCATTGATCAATAAAGAAATCACAAGTAAAATAGAATTGAAATGGATGAAAATGTAAACAAAGCATAAGAATTTGTAGGTTGCAATTAGAGTCATTCTAAATAGAAATTCATAGAAGTAAATGCTTATATGAGACAAAAAAGCTCTTAAAGTAATGATTCTTGCTTAAACATTAGCAAATAGGCACATAAGAAAAAAGCAATTTAAGCCAATTGAAGGAATGAGTAAACATAAATGCATAAAAAATTAAAATTTTAAAAATATTTAAAAAATTTTAAAACCAAAAATTTTGAGATTAATAAAATTGATAACATTGTAGCTAGACTGAAAATATTAATAAAATATGAAAAAGGCATAAGTTATTAATACTATGGATAAAAAGGCTACATTTATACAGATATTATAGACAGTAAAATATTTTAAGAGAATGTTACGGGAATAATAAGGGAATATTAAGAACAATTTTATGGTAACCAATTTGACAAATTGAATAAAATTCATTCATTTCTTGAAAGACTCAAACTAAAACAATCACTGAAAAAGAAACACGTATTCTTCGTAGCTCTATATCTTTTGAAATATTAAATTCACAATCAAATACATGCTCATGAAGAAAACTCTAGGCCCAAATGTCATTACTATTGAAGTCTGCCAAATATTGAAAAAAGAAATGCACCTCTTCTATACAATCTCTTCCAAATAATAAAAGGCAAATGAACCCTCCAAACTCATTTTTTGAAACCAGAATTATCTCGATACCAAACTCAGGCAAAGATCTAGCAAGAAAATAAAACTACAGAATATTATTCATGAACATAATATGTAAATAGTTTTATAAAATATTGGTAGCTTAAATTCAATCAGTAACAAAAGTAATTAATCCTGATCAATACTTGTTTATTTCAATAATGTAAGGTTACTACATTTGAACACCAAACAATATAATTTACCATATTAATTGACTAAAAAAAGAAAACTAATTCAATTTTATAGATCCTGAACAAGAATTTGACACATTATTGCATGTAGTCATTAAAAAATTCTTAGTAGAAAAGAACAAAAAGGAAACTTTTGTATATTGACCTTGTATCCTATGATTTTATCAAACTTACGTATTAGTTATGGGACATTTTATGTAGAATCTTTTATATTTTCTACATAGATGTTTCTTTGTTTATGAGTTGTATATACATATACACAATGAAACACTGTTCAGCCTTACAACAGGAGAAAATCCCATAATACATGCAACAACATAGATGAACCAGGAGGATATTATGTTAAGTGAAATAAGCCAGGCCCAGAAAAGATAAATACTGCGTGTTCGCACTTACATATGGAATGTAAAAAAGTCAACCTCATGGAAACAGAATAGGATAATATTTTAGAGGGTGGGGGTTAGGGGGTTGGGAGATGTTAAAGGGCACACAATTTCAGTTAGAAAAGAGGAATAATTCCAAGAGCTCTATTGTACATTATAGTGGCTACAACCAGTAACAAAATATTTTATATTTAAATATTTCTAAGAGAATAGATTTTAAGTGTTCTTATCACAAAAGACAGTATGTGAAATAATGCATATATTAAACAGCTTAATGTAGCCATTCTGCAACACATACATATATCAAAGACTCACGTTGTACACCATATATACAATTTTTACTTGTCAATTAAAATAAAGCCCAAATAACTCTACAATGCTTAGATAGTATTTTAAAATTAAAATGGAATAAAGAGTCTGATTGCATGTTATGTTTGATTTCTGATAGCTTTTAAGCCTCTCACCTCTCCCTCTTCCCATTTTAGACCATATCTGAGCAAGCTGCTAAGTGAGCCTGGGTGGTCCTTTGACACTCATGGGAAGTTTAGAACACAGGAGCCCAGCTGTCATAGGGAAAATACTTTCACCTAAGCCCTTGACCACCAGAGAAACCAAAGCTAGTGTCCCTTTCTCACTTTTTCAAACCATTTTTGGAGCTTCTGAGGAGTCATCCCTGCTCTTTCTTCAAAAATCTCACTGTGGCTGCATAGTATTCCATGGTGTATATGTGCCACATTTTCTTTATCCAGTCTATCATTGATGGGCATTTAACCATCATTCTCAGCAAACTAACATAGGAACAGAAAACCAAACACCACATGTTCTTACTCATAAGTGGGAGGTGAACAATGAGAACACATGGAAACAGGGAGAAGAACATTACACATGGGGGGCTGTTGTGGGGGTGGGAGGTGGGGAGGGATTGCATTAGGAGAAATACCTAATGTAGATGATGGGTTGATGGGTGCAGCAAACCACCATGGCATGTGTATACCTATATAACAAACCTGCACATTCTGCACATGTATCCCAGAACTTAAAGTGTAATAAAAAAAAATCTGATTGTGTTAATAGTAAACTTTTTCATACCTTCTTGGTACATGTGTGTCACTATCTGTCTCTACATCCAAATTAAATGCAAATGTGTGTGTATGTGTGATTTATACACACTGAGGGTAAATACAGAATATAACAATGACACATAATAAATAATCCAATATATTATCATTAGGGATTTAATGTTTAGGTTTAAAATGAAAAGAATTAAATTCATTTATATTATTAAATATTTCCTAAATAAAAGAATTATAATTTACCTTTAGACACATTTAATTTAGTGAAGCTTATAGTCATTTAAAAGTAGACAGTTATTACCAATTCATGGAACCTTTCCAAGTGCTACTGTATTGGCTTTTTCTTCCCATCTTCAGGCCATGTTTTTTTCTACCCCACACTGTTTCTCGTATAGATAAAAAGTTGTATCTGTAGGTCTGAAAATCAAAATCCTTTTTGTCCAACACAGATTCTTTTGAAACCTAATAGGAAAGCAATTGGAAAAAGAGACAGGGGTTCTTCTTTACTTTACTCTCATCCTCCCTGCTTGATATCTTTTTCTCATTACTTGGATTTATTTTGGTCTTGGTTGTGACCACATACTAATTTACGCAGCTCAATTCACCAAGAAGAAACATATAGCTACCTATGGGAATAACAGCATATTCCTTTTGACACCATTTTTTTCAAGTTCTCACTGTTTGTATGTCCTCAGGAACAGCTTTCTTAAACAGCAGGCAGTAAGTATTCTACTCACTGATAAGCTACAAAAGTGTTTCCTGAACTCTGTCTTAACATCATATGTCTCCTATTGGATAGCTATGTGTCCTAATAATTCCAGTAATATTAGCAGAGAATATAAACTCACAAAAATTACTTTTTTAAGAAGAACATTCTAGTGCTACATTTTCTAGAATGAATGGCATTTATTTGTTAGGTAATCAAGGTCTTATGTGTTTCATATGGTTCATTTATCTTGTCACAAGGTTAGCTATTTTAAGTTTTTGGATAATACCTTTAAAAAAGATAAAATATTTACTCTCATATGAACTGTATGTGTTCATGACCACATCTAACATCCTGTCCATTTCCCACCCCCATTGTTTGAAAGTACATGTCAGAGAAAATTCCTGTAATCCGAGCACTTTGGGAGGCCAAGGTGGGCGGATCACCTGAGGTCAGGAGTTCAAGAACAGCCTGGCCAACATAGTGAAACCCTGTCTCTACTAAAAATACAAAAATGAGCCAGATGTGATGGCACATGCCTGTAGTCCCAGCTACTTGGGAGGCTGAGGCAGGAAAATCGCTTGAACCCAAGAGGTGGAGGTTGCAGTGAGCTGAGACCATGCCATTACACTCCATCCTGGGCGACAGAGTGAGACTAGACTCTATCTTAAAAAAAAAGAAATCGTTTGCCAGTGACTTCAAAAATCTAATTCAGAGGGGGAAGGGGCATTTATTTAGGGAAAATATATTTTAATTTAATATCTTTGCCAAACTTTGTGATAAATATACTAAAATGTTATTTCAGTAGAAGCAGGTCTATACCCTTTCAATGCAAGGGAATTAATTTATCATGGGGAAAGCTTTCCGATTTTACTCCACAATTTCATTCACTTACTTCAGTGGAAATGCCTCACCACCCCCACTCCTATTGCCCTGATCCATGTTATTTTATCCCCATCTAGATCAAAGGCAGAAGCAAAAGCGTCAACATTTTCCAGGGCAGTTTGGTTTTGCATTGTAAAATCTCACCTTGAAATGTTTTGACACTTTATTTTCATTGATAGTTTCTACCTTAACAAAAACTAGTAATGTGGGGGAAAAAATTAGTAATGGAAAAAAATTAAAAAAATTATATTTCTCATGTAGGTAGCTGAATTCCTGTGCTGCCTTTTCCATTTTTCAATCATGTTTCAGACAATTATGCCTTTTTTTCCTCTGGGATCTTTGAAAATTGTATTGTGATTTCTGTACTGAACGCATTAACTAGCAGGGGGTAGAACACACTAATATGATTTTTGTGATGCTATGCTCTCTTTATGTACTACCTCTGAGGCTTTATTTTTCACTCATTCGGATCTTCATATTCATGGAAGAAGCAAGAGTAGGTTTTTACATAAAGTAAAGCTTCCAAAGAAATATTAGCTGTTTTCAGTATTGGACAAATGTTTAATGATTAAAGATATTTGATCAACTGAAAATATTTGTTAAGTTTCACAACAAGCTAAAGGGAAAGCGACTAAGTCTTAGTTCTGCTGATCCACAATTCAAGTCTCTTCTCCCCTATGTGCTACTCCAATCACTCTAAATATATTTATGTGTTATTGATAATCTATATTCATATATTTTATACAATGCAATTAGGTAATAATTATATGCTAATGTGTACCCCAATAGAATATACTACTACATTCTACAAAACAAAAACAAAAACAGGAAAAAATGGAGAAAACAGGCCATTCATTTTTAAATCTTTAGTGCTTAGCATTGTCACAATTCTCAAAAGTTGTTCTATAAATATTTGGCAATCTGAAGGAATACAGTACATTAACATCACGTTTGTAATGAAGGCATTGAAATAAAATAAACTAAATAAATGCCAGAGGTAATCAGCATATATTAATCTGGATCCTCACAAAAATACTGTAATTTAAATCATGCTATTTCTGCTCCTTCTTCTACTTAACATTACTATTTTTTTACTACGAATAGTACTGCTATAAAATCAATAAAAATCCCAAAAGCTATGTTTCCAAAGATCATCTTATAGGCAAGATCTTATCATAAGAATAACTCTATCAGAAGGAAAAATAACTTAACCTTTATTAAATTTTGTTCTACGGAAATGTGTGATATAAAGATTTAGACGTTATAGTGTTTGTACTATAGATATAAAAAAAGCAACAAGTGAATGGTATATCTGATAAAATACCTATTCATAAATAAAATGCCCAAGTAAAATTTTTTTTCAAATCTTAAACCCCAGAACAATATCTTGTTAATATCAAACTAAATATTTAAATATTAACTACTGAAATAACGGTTAGTATTTAAATATCAAATATCTAAATCTCTGAAGTATTTAAGACTTCAGCAGAGAGAGCACAATTTATCTTTGACCTAGGAGCCAAGAAAACTGGTTATATTTTTGGATGAGCATATGAATTTAGTCACTTCACTGGACCCAATGCAATATGGTGGGCAGAGACACAGTTTAGTATGGAGAATAAGAACACAGATTTTGGACTGTATAGCCACAGCTCAATCTCAGCTCTGCCACTTCCTAGTGATGTATTTTTAACATCAGAATTGTCGATTTCTTTAGATGTTTTAAAACAGAGGTAATTATAAAATGTATAAAAGTAGCTGTAATGTTATAAAAGTAAATTTAAAATGGCCATCTCAATATATTATTAAATTTGTTTATACTTGATTTTCAATTGCTTTAATTGGATATTATATTAAGCAGTTTTATCTTTTTAACGTTTATAGGATTACATTCACTCTTAGATTTGTAAGTAGGATATTGCCTCTTTAGCATTGTAGAACATAGAGAAAGTATATATGATTTATAATTATTATTTATTTAGTAAATGTTCATTGCATTTTCACTGGTTGTCAGATATCTACTAAAATGCAAGCACTGGGGATTCAAGGATGAGTTAGACAGGCAGATGTCTTTTTCAAGTGCTTATAGTTTACCAGTGGATAACTTGGGTAACTAAAAATATAGTTAATACGACCATATTTGGGATAGGCAGATAAATATAGATCATTACAGAGAGGCAAACCTAATCTTGCCATCATTGAATATCATTTATATGACTGCAATTCTGGTATTTATATATTCTAATTTATCTCATAACAATTATGCCAGGAAAAAAATAACCTAATATACTACATAGAGATACCGAGAATAAAATCAAAGAGGTAAAATAATTTGCCCATGGGAAAGCAAGTTCAGTCATCCCTAGGTATTCAAGGAAGATTGGCTTCAGGCACCCCTGCAGATACAAAAATCCAGATAAGTTTCCTTACATGAAATCATGCAGTATTTGCATAAAACCTATGCATATCTTCTATACTTTAAATCATCTCTAGATTATTTATAATATCTAACACAATGTAAATGTTATATAAATTGTTTTTTGTACTTTATTTTTTAGGATATAATGATAAGAAAAAAATCTGTACATTTTCAGTACAAACACAACCACTCACTATTTTTCCAAACATTTTTGGTCCACCACTGGTTGAATTAATACATGTGAAACCCTCAGAGAGGGAGGGGAAACCTTAAGGCAAATACAAATCAAATCCCAAAGCCTCTAGCATTTTTGAGTAAAAGTAGGTGAAGTATAAATTTCAGTAAATTGTTTTAATGTTACATAATTCTTATAGCCATTTTCAGGCTAGTATATAATTCATGAATTCTGGGAGTCTAAGTCAGTTGTGTATTCATATTAAAAGGAAGTGGATGTTTATTAGGAAGACTATAATAAATTTAATCCCTACTATGTTAGCAACTGGCACTCAAACCTTATACCTGACCTCAGAAAAATTATTAATACATTATAATTTTGTGCTCATTTACTGTGTAAAAAACAGATATCAATACTGACTTTATCATACAGACAATTCATGTGATTAACTCAGTGATCTTCTATAAAACAGAAGACAGTAAAACCACATTAAAGGAACAAAAATAATCCTTAATTATATTTTCTCAAGTAAAAGGATGTGTGTGCATATAGTATAAACATTTATTATAGAAAACACTAAATGCTTATTAGTCCTCACATGCCATAGATTTTAGTTTTGAAAATGAATTAAGTTTTAGGCAGGATCAGTGAAATAAAGTAAAATAAAATAAAAATAATAAAATAAAATAAGGGGAAGGAAGGAAGAAAGAAAAGAGAAAAGGGAAGGAAAAGAGAAAACAAAAAGAAAAAATGGAGAAAGAAAGAGAAAGGAGAAAGGAAGGAAGGAAAGAAGGAAGGAAGGAAGGAGAGAGAGAGAGAAAGAAAGAAAGAGAAAGAAAGAAAGAAAGAAAGAAAGAAAGAAAGAAAGAAAGAAAGAAAGAAAGAAAGAAAGAAAAAGGGAAAGAAACGAAAGAAAGAAAGGGAAAGAAACGAAAGAAAGAAGGAAAGGAAGAAAGAAAAGAAAGAGAGGAAGGAAGGAAGGAAGGAAAAGAAAGGAAGGAAGAGGGAGGGAGGATAGGAAGACAGGAAATAAAGAAGGAAGGATAACGCAGAAGACTAAAGAGGTGCGTTGGGAGGCCGAGCAAGTTGGATCACCCGAGGTCGGGATTTCTGGAGGAGCCTGGCCGATATGGCTAAACTTCGTCTCTACTAAAAGTACAAAAATTATCCCAGCATGGTGGCGGGTGCCTGTAATCCCATCTACTCAGGAGTCTGAGGCAGGAGAACCACTTGAACCTCGGAGGTGGAGATTGCAGTGAACCGAGATTGTGCCACTGCACTCCAGCCTGGGCAACAAGAGCTAGACTCAGTTTTTGTTTGTTTGTTTGTTTGTTTTAAAAAAAAAAAAGGTGCCCATAATATAACAGACTGATAATCAAAAATTATTTTTTCATCTTTCTAAGTTTAGGAGAAATAGTCAGTTCAAGGAGCCATTAGTCTCTCCCAATCAAATCTAACACTATACAGTTTGGGGAATGTTTACTATCTATTTAAGTAGCCATAAAGAAGAATATTGTGATATTTCACTTGGAGGTTTAAGGTTCAGAATATAAACTTAAAGTACATTTCAAAGGTTATCTCTTCTGAGTTTCTCTCCTAAAATTATATTAAGATAGTTTTACTAATCTGCCAGTTTTCATAGTTACTAATTAGGGTGCATTGTTCTAATTTTAGAATTTTGATGATTTATTTCTAATCATGCTATATTGAGGGATATATAAAATTAGAGAAAACCAGACCTTGTAGTGTGTACCACCTGTATTTGCTCCAGATTATTATTTTAAATTAATAAAAACAGAAAAGAAAGAAGAGAAAGTAAAAGTGAGGGGATTGGAAGAGGGTATGAGAAGTGGAAGGAGAGAAGGAAGAAGAGAAGGAGAAAGGAAGAAATGAGAGAATGTAGTTCAACATGACCAGATAGTTTTCATCCCAGGGATGCAAGGATTGTTTAATATACACAGGACAATAAACCCGATGCATCATTTAAACAGAATATAAAACAAAAATTATAAATCAAATAAATTAATTCATTAATTATTAATAATTTATTTCAATAATTAAAAGTAATTAAAATGATTTATTATTAAATTAAATTAAAAATTATATAGTCATCTCAATAGATGCAGAAAAAAACACTTAACAAACTCCAGCACCCCTTTATGATAAAAACTCTCAACAAACTAGGCATAGAAGGGACCTGCCTCAAAATAATAAAAGTCACTTATGACAAACCCACAGTCAATATCATCCTAAATGGAGGAAAGTTGAAAGCATTCCTCCCGAGAACAAGAACAAGACAAGGATGTCCACTATTACCACTCCTATTCAACTTAGTTCTGGAAGTACTAGCCAGAGCAATTAGGCAAGATAAAGCAATAAAGGGCATCCAAATTAGAAAAAGAGGAAGTAAAACTAATGGTGTTTGCAGGTAATATGATTGTATAGCTAGAAAAACTAAAGATTTTGCCAAAAGACTCTTAGATTTGATAAATGAATTCACTAAAGTCTCAGGTTACAAAATGAATGTACACAAATCAGTAGCACTGCTACACACCAGCAATCACTAAGCTGAGAATCAAATTAAGAACTCAATCCCTTTTACAACAGCTGCCAAAAAAAAAACTACCTAGAAATATACCTACGTGAGGAGGTGACAGAGCTCTAGAAGGAGAACTACAAAACACTTCTGAAAGAAATTATGGGAGACACAAAAAATAGAAATGCATTCCATGCTTATGGATTAAAAGAATCAATATTGTGAAAATTACCATACTTCCCAAAGGAATCTACACACTCAATGTAATTCCTATCAAAATACCAAGACTATTTTTCACAGAATTAGAAAAAACAATCCTAAAATTCATATGGAACCAAAAAAGAGCCCCAAAAGCAAAAGCAATAATAAGCAAAAAGAATAAATCTGGAGGCATTACATTACCTATCTTCAAATTATACTACAAGGCTATAGTTAACCAAAACAGCATGGTACTGCTATAAAAGTCGGCACATAGACCAGTGGAACAGAATAAAGAACCCAGAAATAAAACCAAGTACATACAGCCAACTGATCTTCAACAAAGCATACAAAAACATAAATTGGGGAACGGACACCCTATTCAATAAATGGTGGCTGGGAAAACTGGCAAGCCTCATGTAGAAGAATGAAACTGAATCCTTATCTCTCACCATATACAAAAATCAACTCAAGATGAATCAAAGACTTAAATATAAGGCCTGAAGCCATAAAAATTCTAAAAGACACTGCTAGAAAAACTTTTCTAGAGTTGTCCTAGGCAAAGAATTCGTGACTAAGACCCCCAAATTAAGTAAAACAAAACAAAAATAAATAAATGGAACCTAAATAAACTGAAGTTTCTGCACTGGCCAGGTGCGGTGGCTCACGCCTGTAATCCCAGCACTTTGGGAGGCCGAGGCGGGTGGATCACGAGGTCAGGAGATCGAGACCATCCTGGCAAACACGGTGAAACCCTGTCTCTACTAAAAATACAAAAAAAAAAAAAAAGAAAAGAAAAGAAAAAATTATCCGGGCATGGTGGCAGGTGCCTGTAGTCCCAGCTACTTGGGAGGCTGAGGCAGGAGAATGACGTGAACCCGGGAGGTGGAGCTTGCAGTGAGCCAAGATCGCACCACTGCACTCTAGCCTAGGTGACAAAGTGAAACTCCATCTCAAAAAAAAAAAAAAAAAAAAAGAAAAGAAAAGAAAATTTCTACACAGCAAAAGAAATATTCAACAGAGTAAGTAAACAGACACCCCACAGAAGGCAGAAAATGTTTTCAAACGATGCATCAAAGAAAGGACTAGCATCCAGAATCTATAAGGAACTCAAACAAATCTCCAAGAAAAGAAACAATCAATTATATTAAAAAGTGGGCAAAAGACATTAACAGACATTTCTCAAGATATGGCTGGGAACAGTGGCTCACACCTGCAATCCCAGCTCTTTGGGAGGCTGAGGCAGGCAGATCACTTGAGGCAGGAGTTCAAGACCAGCCTGGCTAACATTGTGAAACTCTTTCTCTACTAAAAGATACAACAATTAGCCAGGTGTGGTGGCACATGCCTGTAGTTCCAACTACACGGGAAGCTGAGGCACAAGAATCGCTTGAACCCGGGAGGTGAAGGTTGCAGTGAGCTGAGATTTTGCCACTGCACTCCAGCTTGGGTCACAGAGTAAGGCTATGTCTCAAAAAAAAAAAAAAAAAGAAAGAAAGAAAGAAAAAAAGAAGCAAAGAAAAGAATAATTAATTAAAAAATAAAAAAGATAAAAAGATATACATATGGCCAACAAATATATGAAAATATGCTCAACATCACTGATCGTCAGGGAAATGCAACCACAATGAGATACCACCTTACTCCTGCAAAAATGGCCATTATTAAAAAGTCAAAAAAACAATAAATGTTGGCATAGATGTATAAAAAGGGGACACTTATACACTGCCAATGGGAATATAAATTAGTATGACATCCATGGAAAACAATATGGAGATTCCTTAAAGAACTAAAAGTAGATCTACCATTCAATTCAGCAATCCCACTGCAGGGTATCTACCTAAAGGAACATAAGTCATTATAGAAAAAGACACTAGTACACTTATGTTTATAGCAGCAGAATTCACAATTGCAAATATACCGATTTAAGTGCCTGTGGCCTAATGAGTGGATAAGGGAAATATGCTATATATACACAATAGAATACTACTCTGCCATTAAAAAGAAACAAAATAATGTTATTTGTAGTAATTTGGATGGAGCTGGAAGCCATTATTCTAAGTGAGGTAACACAGAAGTGGAAAACCAAAGACTGTATGATCTCACTTACAAGTGGGAGCTAAGCTATGAGTAGGCAAAGGCATACCAAATGTTACAATGGAATTTACAGACTCAGACAGGGGAGGCTGGAAGAGGATCAAGGGATACAAAACTACACATTAGGTACAATGTACACTACTTTGGTGATGGATGCACTAAAATCTCAGAATGGATCACTATATAATTCATCCTTGTAACCAAAAACCACTTGTACTACAAAATCCATTGAAATTTTCTTAAAGAATTAGGATTGTGCAAATCTATTGACCTGTAGCATTTACCCATGTGTTTTACATGCAGTATTTAATATGGAGAGGGAAAGTTTGCATTAAACTTGCCAGCATTTACTTGTGAATATGTCAAGAAGTATTAGCCATTACATTTCTTTCTTTGTGTAATATAATATATTCCTATATCCATGTAGTTGTGATTCTAAACTCACACAATATTTGAAACAAACCCATTTATGATCAAAATTAGAATTCAGAACAATCTCTAGAAAATATAGGTTTGGCTTTACACTGTTACATTATAGTATTGTACTACTTATAAGCCAGTAAGTGAATTCATAGTTTCTTGCCTGGTAGCCAAAAATGTTATTAAGTTTATGCCTTATCTCAGAAATAATTGTATACCATAATTAACATTCTAACTCAGGATAGAATAAACAAACAAAAAACAAAATTGCAAAACCTCAATCACACTTTCTGATAAAAATATATACAATAATGTTTAATCGGAAATAATACAGTGGTTACAGAATTAATTTATCAATTAAACAAATATAAAGAGATAACAGATTTAATAATTTAAAGATCACACAGATAATATGTAAAGCATTAAAAGGTACCTATGTCAAATAATGCTTGATCATGCTTTATAATCATTGAATTATATATTAAAACCTTTTAGGTACATAAGTTATTTCAAAAATGTGTTTAGAACATTGTTATACATCTGGAGACCTCACTTGTTGAACAAAAATCTATACATTTAAAACTTACGTACACATTTACACACAAATACATCTCTATTTAAGTATTTAAGGAATAGACTGAATTTCGTTGATTATAGCGAACTACTCTCTTAAGGTTATTTGACTTCCCAAATATGTTATTATAGAGAATAGCAGATATATGTTTTCCACATTAAAGTATTGGGATGGCAATGTCATCCTTTCTCCTAAATGTAAGAATGTGCTTTGCCTGATGATTATAAGGAGACCTAATCTAATGAAGCAAATGTTAGATATATGGGGGATATGGAAAATTACTATACAAACTCGGTGAATCCTGATGAATCTATCCACTACAGGAAAATTAAACAGTACCTGATTACTATTTGCTAAGATTGGGTTCATCTGTGCACACATTTAATTTATGGTTTTAATTTACCTTTAATGTAAAATATAACTTCCAAGGATTTAATATATGATTTGTCTTTAATAAATCTGTCATGAATGTGAGTTCACCTTATACAATCTTTAGAAGCAATCTTGGAAGTCTAGGAAAAGTTCAACTAAATCACATTGTTTAATGTTTGCTATATGCATAAAATATACCTGCAATAATGCTGCAATATTTAGTGGTGACATTTACTTTGAATGGAGAAGAACAAAAGATTAAAAAAGAAAAAAACTACATCCCTTAGAATTTTCTATATTAGCATATTTTAGTAATGCAGGAAATATGACTTTCGAAATGGCTAATCTTCTGGATATTCAATTTCATGTGATTGGTGTTTACAGAAAAACACACAAGGAGCAAAATCTAGGAAGATAAAAAGAAAAGAGATATCACTCTGGGACTCAAGGAAAAAAGTTAAAATCCCTTCATCATATGCTAAAAGTTCACCAATGTCTGTGTACTTGATCACATACACTGTTAGCCACATTTAGAGCTATTAATGATTTTCAAAAAGACTTTCTTAATTTGCAATTCATATTTCAGCTTTGGTTTCCTTTTTAAGTATTTAAGGAAACATTGCACAAAGCAAAATTTAAATAAGAAAGCGAAAAAGGAAGGAAGGAAGGAAAAAGAGAAAGGAAAAAGAAAGCAAACTTCTGTGCACTGATCAATATGCTTCACTGGCTTATCTTGACTCTGTGTCTTAAAAATATACATAATTTTTTACCTTGGTTTTGTATTTATTTATTTATTATCCAAGAATTTTGGGATATACACCATGCCATTTTCTGCTGAAATTTGCCCTATTTTTGCTTATAACTAGAAAACAAGCACATAATTTCCATTAAAACTAAAACTGGGGATTGAGACACTGAAATGGAAAAGTTTTTGTATTTATTATCACCTTATTCAGAATCCATAGTGAAAAATGTAAATAATCTTGACTTAATTTAAGTACAGAAAGAAAAAGATATTTTTGAGGGGTCTAAAAGAAGGTCATGTAAAATTGCACTGTGATTGAGAGCAGAGGGCCATCTACCATTGGCATGTAGCACAGATACAATCCAAAAATTACATAGTGAATTACAAGCTACAAACATTTTAGTAAGGACTATGTCTTTTTCCAAGAGAACAAACAGGTAAACACATAACAGATATAAATTACATTTAACAGAGCTTTTCTTTGTCATTTGATCATCAATTGTCAAGATAGTACAAAAGAAAATTAAAACAAAAAATAAAAATATGATACAGTGTTGCCATGAACTCCCAAATTAAATAACAAACAATAAATGGCTCACTGGAGATTGACATTGGCTTGATAAACTTTTTTACATTTAATGAGGCACAATGTTTTCCTAATAATTATAGTAAAGTGTTAGGTAAACCTTCAAAACAATAATAGATACATAAATAAATTTTCCAATTGCATATATTTATTTAAATATATATTATGCTGTATTACTCTGTTCTCATGCTGCTGTGAATAAATACCCAAGTGTGGGTAATTTATAAAGAAAAGCGGTTTAATTGACTTACAGTTCCACACGGCTGGGGAGGCCTCAGGAGAGTTACAAGCATGGTAGAAGGCACCTCTTCACAGGGTGGCAGGAGAGAAAATGAGAGTCAAGTGAAAGGGGAAGCCCCTTATAAAACATCACATCTCGTGAGAACTCACTCACTATCACGAGAACAGCATGGGGCAAACCGCCCTTATGAGTCAATTATCTCCACCTGTTCACGCCCTTGACGTGTTGGGATTATTACAATTCAAGGTGAGAGTTGTGTGGGAACACAGAGCCCAATCATAATATTCCAAGCTTATAGTTTTTATATCAGTTTGTACGATCAATAGACTTTACTTGTTAAAAAACTGCAGTTGAACTAATTATGTAACTTCAAGCTTAAGAATACACATTTTCATACACCAAGCAACAATTTAAAAATAAAGGGAAGTGCATGAAGAATAAAACGTATTTAGGCACCTCATAAAGGACAATGCAGAGTAATGGTTAAGAGCACACACCATCTGGGTATAATTTTCAACTCTCTTTTTCTTCCTGTATGAAGTTGGACAAGTTGCATAACTCATTTTTCTTAGTTTCCCCATTTGTAAAAAGGAGAGCATAAAATCTACTTCACCGGACTTCACTGGATTATTGTAAAAGCTATATAAATTAATGTATGTAAAAAATTGAGAACAGAGCCAGGCATATCATAAATTTTCGGTATTAAAATATGACATGTTTCCTTATTGCAGCAAATATAAATATGTTTTCCTAAGAATTGGTCACTAAACATTTAATTATACTGTCTTTTTCAAAGTTATTCGTTTTAGTTCTTGCTTATTTATTTATATTTTAGGGTTTCTTTCTATCATGATGGATTTTTTGAAATTATAGGCAGCATTATTTAATTGTGTAGTATATAAAAAACTACTGTGCAATGTAATCATTTGGATATTATTTTCAAAGAGGTTTCCAATACAAGTAAAGAATTTCTTTAAAAAAGTATAACTGCTTTACAATGTGAATAATTGAATAGTGTACTGAAAACTATTTGTCTAAAAGAAAAAAGATGGAATAATATTGTCTTTGTACCTAAAGGTATTTCTAAGGACTTTATAATGATAAAACTGAAATAGGTATATTTACAAGATTAAGAAAGTAGTAATATAAAAATGATTCTCATTCTTATTCTGCATTGTCGAACTAGTATTTCTAATTACAAAGGAAAATAACTTATAGACAGGTAAATAGATTATTGGTTTTCAAGATATTTGAAATATCAAAAATGAGTAGAATAAAAATTAAAAGCTGCATCCTAAAACACAAAACTGCATATGAGCATATGAACATGCAAAAATCACTGAAGAAGTAGAAGATTGACTCTGTTTCTGAGTCTACATTTGCATTGAGTATAGATCACTCAAATGCACAGGCATCTTACGTCAAATTCTTGTAGTGGGAAAATCGAACACCGTCATGAGTAACAAGAAATCATTCATTAATCTAATCTCATTGAAATGTTCTACTTTCTATTTTGAAAAAACAAAGAGATTTTAAACATATTATCACTCTACTCACTCACAGAAATAATCATCATTTCATTCCAGTAAGAATACTGGCATACAGAAGGAATATAGAACACAGAGTTAAATTATTAATACTAAATTCACAGGAATCACAGGGTAATTGGCTCAGGGTTATGGTTTTGATTTATATCTCTGAGTATGAAAGTTTCAAGGAATATTCGATCTAGGCATTGTTAACTTTAAGCGATAAGGTGGTAATAGTTATTAACTAACAAAAAAATTATAATTAGGACATTTTGATAGTTTGTCAACTTTCTACCCACTTAGAATAAACATCAAGTCACCAAATACTCTCTTTTGTTTACATCCAGTATTTTAAATTTTGGGGTTATTTTTATTTGTTATTGATATACAAAAATGCATATATTTATGAGGTACATGTTATATATTATTACATTCATAGAGTTTGTAATAATCAAGTGAGAGGATTTAGGGTGTCCATCACCTGGAGTATTTATCATTTATATGTGTTGGGAACATTTCAAGTCCTCTGTTTTAGTTATTTTGGAAAATATAGTACATTATTTTTTCATGCACTACTCTGCTATTGAACATTAGAACTTATTCCTTTATCTAACTATATATTTGCACCCATTAGTTGCCTTGTCTTCATTCACCCCCACCCACACATCCGTTTCAGACTCTGGTGTCTATCATTGTCCTTTCTCCCTGCATGAGATCAACTTTTCACATTCTTATGAGTGAGAACATGTAAAATTTGTCTTTCTGTCCCTGGCTTTTTTCACTTAACATAATGACCTCCTGTTCCATCAATGTTGTTGCACATGACATTATTTTATTAGTTTTTAATGACTGAATAATATTTCATTGTGTATATGTACCCATATTTTCTTCATCCTTTTGTCCACTGATGGCTACTGAGATTGATTCCATATCTTTGTTATTGTGACAAGTGCTATAATAAACATGGAGGTTCAGGTATACCTTCAACATGCCGATTTCTTTTCTTTGGTTAAAAAACAAGTGGAGACATTGCTGGATCATATGGTAGTTCTGTTTTTAGTTTTGTGAGAAACATCCATACTACTTTTACATAGTGGTTGCACTAATTTACATTCCCACCAACAGTGTATAAAAGTTTCCTATTCTCTCCATCCTCATCAGCATCTGGTATATTTTATTTTATTAGTGATAGCATTCTAACTATGCTAAAATGATATCTCATTGTATTTTTAATTTACATTTCTGTAAAGATTAGTAATGTTGAGCATTTCTTCATATACCTGGTGACCATTTTGTATAAATAGTTATTTTTCAAATGACTATTGTTGTCCTTTGCCCATTTTTTAATGGAAATATTGGTTTGTTTACTGTTGAATTGTTTCGGTTTCTCATTTATTCTGGATACTAACCTTCTGTCAGATCAATAGCTTGCAAATATTTTCTCCCATTTAACAGGTAGTCTCTTCACTTTGTTTATGGTTTCTTTGCTCTGTAGAAACTTTTTAGTTTAATATACTGTGATTGGTCTGTTTCTGTTTTTGTTGTCTGTACTTTTGATATCTTAGCCATAAAATTTTTGTCTAGATCAATGTACTGAAGTGTTTTCCTTGTTTTCTTCTAGTAGTTTTAGTTTCAGGTCTCACAGTTAAGTCTTCAATTCACCTCCAGTTGATCTGTGACTATGGTGAGAGATATGGGTCCAGTTTCATTCTTCATCAGGTGTTTATCCAGTTTTCCGAGCACTATTTATTAAATAGGGTGTCCCTTCCCCAGTGGATGTTCTTGATGCTTTTCTTGACAATATATTGGCTGTAAATACATGGATATATTTTCAGGTTTTCTATTCTGTTCCACTGGTTTATGTGTCTGTTTTTGTGCCAATTTATTGCTGTTTTTGTTACAGTAGCCTTGAAATATATTTTGAGGTTAGGTAATGTGATGCCTCCAGCTTTGTTATTTTGGCTCAGAATTACTTTGGCTATTCATGCTCTTCTGTGGTACAATATGAATTTTATTTTTTTTCTATTTCTGTGAAGAATGTCATTTTTATTTTGATAGATATTTTATTGAATTTGTAGATTGCTTTGAGTAGTATGGTCATTATAACCATATTAACTTTTCTAATTCATAAGCATGGAATGTTTTTCCATTTCCTTGTGTCTCCTTCAATTTCTTTTATCAGTGTTTTGTAGGTTTCCCTTTTGAAAGTATTTTACCTCCTTTTTAATAGATCTTTACCTTTTTTAAAATGTCTTTTACTTCCTTCAATGTATTTCTAGGTATTTTTTGTTTTAGCTATTGTAAGTATGGTTCCTTTTCAGCTTTCTTTCCCAGCTAGTTCATTATTGATGTATAGAAATGCTACTGATTTTTTGTACATTGATTTTTTTATCCTACAACTTTACTGAATTTATTTATTAAATCTTAGGGTTTGGAGAACCAATCTTTAAGTTTTTCTAGGTATATAATAGTGTCATTAGCAAAGAGGGGACATTTGAATTCCTCTTTTTCAACTTGAATGTCTTTTATTTCTTTCTCTTCCTTGATTCCTCTGGCTAGAACTTCTAGGAAAATGTTGTATAGGATTAGTTGGCTATACTACTACTAATGTGTTCTGTGTATATTTCTTCTATTCCTAATTTGTTGAGAGCTTTTATCAGGAAGGGATGTTGAATTTTATTAAATTCTTTTCATGTGTCTATTGAAATGATCAAAGGTTTTTGTCCTTCATGCTGTATATGTGATTTATCATGTTTACTGATTTGTGTGTGTGTTAAACCATCCTTGTATCCCTAGGATAATTCTCATTCGATCATGGTAAACTTTTCTTTAACGTGCTGTTGGATTTGCTTTGCTAGAACTTTGTTGAGGATTTTTGTGCCTATGTTCATCAGGGACATAGTTTTGTGGTCATTGTTGTTTTTGTTTCCTTGTCTGGTTTTGGTATCGGTGTAATGCTGGCCTCGTAGAATGAATTTGGGAGAATTCCCTCCCCCTGGACTTTTTGGAATAGTTTGAGGAGAACTGGTTTTAGCTTTTTGTAAGTGTAGTAGAATTTGGCAATAAAGCCCTCTCGTCCTGGGCTCTTCATTGTTGGGAGACTTTGTTTTATCATTGATTCAATCTCAGTACTCATTATTGGACTACTCAGATTTTCTATTTCTTCCTGATTCATTTTTGGAGGGTGTTATGTGTCCAGGAATTTATTCATTTTTTTCTAGATTTTCCCATTTGTTAGCATATAGTTGTTCATAACAATTGTCCAGAAATTTATCCATTTTTTTCCTGGATTTTTCAGTGAGGGGTATAGTTATGCATAATAATCTCTGATTATCTTTTCTATTTCTGTAGTATCAACTGTAATATCTCCCTTTTCATTTTGGATTTTGTTTATTTGGGTCTTCTTTATTTTATTCTTGGTTGGTCTAGCTTGTGGTATTGACATTATTAGTGGCTGGTTAACATTCTGACTCCCAAGTAGTCTGCATTGATTTTAGCAGTGGCTGAAATGGGCTGAACAGGTCAGTCCTCAGGTTCACAAATAACACATGTCAGGAAGTACCAGCTGTGGTAGTAGTCAAAGGTTAGGTGGGCCTATCCTCAGGCTTCCAAGGGGAGTGCTTAGGTGCCAACAATGGTAGACAGGGCAGGGTGATCCCCGGGCCCCTGAAGAGCATTCTTGGGCACCAGGCGGAGGACAGGCATTGCTGAGCCAGGTGGGTCTATTGTCAGGCACTCTGGTGGTGCATGTTGATGCTGGCTGTTTTGGGCAAACATTGGGTGATTCCCAGGCCCCTAATAGAGTGCTCAGGTGTTGGCAGTAGTTGTTGCACTGCAGCCTTGCTGCTGATCAGGGAGGGGTTCTTTAAGTGAGAGCAACCATAAGCAAGCAGCTGGAGAGTGCACACTTTGTCCCCAGATAGCAGCTGCAAGTGGAGGAGCCTGTCTTCAGGGCACTTATAAATACATGGTGGCCCATTGCTGAGGGCAGAAGGGATGCTGCCAGTGGCTTGTGTTTTAGACCCAGGAGCAGCAGCCAGTAGCAGTGGTGGCTTCAGGTCAAGGAACCTATTCTCAGGGATTGTGTAAATGCATTGCAGTCTCTTTGCTGGGAGCAGGAAGGTCACTGCCAGTGGCTCACACTTTAGTCCTGGTGGCAGCAGCCATCAATGACAGTGGCTATGGATGGGGTTGTCAGTGGGTCTTCAGGGATGTAGAGACAAGACACAGCGGCTGTTGAGCCCAAGAACAGAATGCAGTCTGGTGGGAGATAGGTTTTCAAAATGATGCCTTGCTGTAGCTCCTTAAAACTTGTAGGACCCATCATGAGCTTCCTCTCTGGAGCAATGCCTCCATGTGGTGTCCAGGCAGCTCCTACATTAGTTTCAAGGTCCACAAGGGTCAAGTGGCTCTCCTGTGGCTAGGATTGCAGGGCTCTTCGGTGGAAATGTGAACCACTGGGAGCCACTCTCTTACCCTTTCCTCGCACTGGGGAGCTCCAGACTCCCAGTCAATCTCTTCTCTCTCTTGCCTTGCCTTAAGTGTTTTCTGTCACTTCTCTGTTGAATTTCAGTGTTCTTGGATGATCTATTCAGAGTGTGATTGTCTACTTATTAGTTTGAGTGTTTTTAATGGAGGAGAGGAGTTTCGGATGCCTAAATTTAACCATCTTTTATTACTTACCCAAAATAAATCAACTTTTTCAAAATAAAATTTTTCTTTATTCCATATTATTAAATAAGTTATTTTCAATGAAAAGTCCTAAAAATAAGAATAAATAACAGCACATTGAAAATATGATTCTGTATATTGCTACCCTAAAATTATACTGAAAGTTAAAATTAATTGCAATAAGAAAAATATATCTATACAAAAAGCAGTTATATATAAATATATACATATATAATTTCTGAAAACTAAATACTATGTAATTGTCACTTTTCTTATAAAAATAACTGATAACTTTTGGCATAGTAAAAGTTATATCAAAGTTTCTAAGTGAATGTCAAATATAGTTTAAGAGAAGAGAGAACTAAGTTTATTTACTATAATAATTCTTGTAACTAGAAGGAAGAAAAAGCACAATTATATTAAATAATGCAATATAAATTCAAACTCATCTATAATTAAGTTTTAATGCAGTAATCCATTCATAGGTTACACATTATGTATTCATTCTTACATGAAACACATACTTTCTAAAAAAAAATTGTACAATATGTTACAATTACTTGGGAATAAGAAACTCAGAAAGTTAGAATATAAATTTAAATTAGAATAGTCCAAAGTAAAAGCCAGAATATATATTGATCTTTATGAGAAAGTAGGGTGTTGAGTATTGCTTTTCCCATTTAAATAGAATTACAGTGAAGGAAATACCAAAATTAAGCCACATTTATAAAGAGCTAGTCAGGGGATTTTATTAGGACTAAGAGGTGGTCATGATGAATTTCCCAAATTCCCAGTCTCTATAAAAATACCAGGAAAGAACAAAGGATAAAGGAGAGTGTGGAAGAGAGGTAGACGCAGATGCACCATCAGTATGTCAAGTTGAGAGGAGGGCAATATTTAAGCTTTGATATGTTTTTTTTTCTCCCATTAGCCCATTATATGTATGTGTGAGAGGATATTTATACTCTGAAAAGAAAAGGTGAGGGGGCTAACATTTCATTTGTCATTGATATCTCTGCTAAACAAAAGTTTTGCTAACCTTCCCCTGTGCACCTGTAAGCAATGGAGAAGAGAGTTGGAGAGAGATCTCAGAGCAGAGAGAAAAGTGATAAGGAAGTAGCAACAATTCCCACTGTTACTACAACAGAAACAGCAAGTTTTTCATAGGGTACATGGACTCCCCAGAATTTAGTAGAGCTTGTGCTGCTTTGCCGTTATTTCTCCAGGAAGGTTGTCTGTCATATAATGAACACCAACAGCACGGACTTGTGGGATATAGTAGTTAGTAAGAAGCAAGGAAAATTTGTTGAAAAAGACAAGGTAGAACTGGGTCTCCAGAGCCAGGAATACCCAGGGCCACTTAAGAACTCACACATGAAACCTTTGAAAGAGGTAACCCTGGGATTTGTTCCACAGAGGGGACATTAATGGCAATCTGTGTCAACCAGAAAGAGAGTCAAAAACAGCAAAGTAGAAAGAAGCTAGTGCCAACTGGGTGAAAAGACATGCCTTCTTCCCCAGTTTTTCCCTTTCTCTGTAATACTTCAGAAGAACGTAGCCTTAAAGAGATAAAATGGAAACCGTGGCTCAAAACTAAGCATAAACATCCCTTTTTATTTCTATAATTTAGAGTTTCAGATAAAACATGAACTGGGGTCTGGACATGAAGAAAGGGGAAAGATTAAATTAGATTATCCTTAAATTGATTGACTTTTAAAAACCTTAAAGTCTTCACAAAACTGTGAAATCTGCTCAAGATATCGTTAAGAGATACAACATGAAAATTTGACAGAGCATGATACATTTAGTAATGAAATATTTCATTTATACTCTCTGATTTGAGATTCCTCAATACAGTAGCTTAAATATTATATTAGTCGGGTTCTCTAGGGAGAAAGAACTAATAGGATATATATATATATTTTATATATATATTTATATATAATATATATTATATATTTATATATATTTATATATAATATATATTATATATATTATATATAATATATATTATATATATTTATATATATATTTATATATTATATATATATAATATATAATTATATATTATATAATATATATTAGTAGAGCTTGTGCTGCTTTGCTGTTATTTCTCCAGGAAGGTTGTCTGTCATATAATGAACACCAACAGCACGGACTTGTGGGATATAGTAGTTATATATATATATATATAGTAATATATAAATATATATTTACATATATATTTATATATTTATATATAATTATATATATTATATATATAGTATTTTTATATATATATGTAAAGGGGAGTTTATTAAGTATTAACTTACATGATCACAGGGTCCCACAATAGGCTGTCTGAAAGCTGAGCAGCTAGGAGAGCCAGTCTGAGGCCCCAAACTGAATAACTTGGAGTCCGATGTTTGAGGGCAGGAAGCATCCAGCACAGAAGAAAGATGTAGACTGGGAGGCTATACCAGTATCTCCGTTTCATGTATTTCTGCCTGCTTTATGTTTGCTGGCTGCGGATTAGATTGTATCCACCAGATGAAGGGTGGACCTGCCTTCCCCAGCCCACTGACTCAAATGTTAATCTCTTTTGGCAACACCTTCACAGACACACTCAGGATCAATACTTTGTATCCTTCAATTCAATCAAGTTCATAGCATTAATCACCACAAATATTTATAAAATTATTTTACAGCTGTGTTTTTTTCTAATAGAGCTGTATTACTACTTGTATTAGGGTTCTCTAGAGGAACAGAACTAATAGGATCTATCTGTCTATCTATCTATCTATCTATCTATCTATCTATCTATCTATCTGAGTTTATTAAGCATTAACTCACATCACCTGATCACAAGATCCCACAATAAGCTGTCTGCAAGCAGAGGAGCAAGGAGAGCCAGTCTGAGTCCCAACACTGGAGAACTTGGAGTCCGATGTTTGAGGGAAGGAAGCATCCATCACGGGAGAAAGATATAGGCTGGGAGGCCTGGCCAATCTAGTCTTTTGACATTTTTCTGTCTGCTTTATATTCTCGCCACATTGGCAGCTGAATAGATGGTGCCCACTGAGATTAAGGGTGGGTCTTCGTTTCCCAACCCACTGACTCAAATGTTAATCTCCTCTGGCAACATCCTCACACAAATACACAGGATGAATACTTTGTATCCTTCAATCCAATCAAATTGATAATCAGTATTAACCATCACACTACTTTTAATATACTGAAGCAGCTTTAAAAGTATATATCTCTCTCACACCACATGCGTGCACGTGCGTGTGCACACACACACACACTTGCACATTTAAAGAATGTAATATGAAAGAAAGAAAGCATATATGAAAATGAACCTAAGCTAATGGTTGTGCTGGAACCATAGATATTTCACAGTTGACAATGTCATGTCTAGTATCATTTCTGTACATTATAGTAGAAATGAATAGGGAGAGACAGTAAATAAGACTTAATTCTGTCATTGTTTTGAACAGAAACCCATAGGAGAAGAAACAGAAACAATAGTTTCCAAAAAAAATTCTCCTCTTTACCTAGTTAAGAAATATTTATTGGCCAAGGAAAAGATGTCTCACAATGTTTTAAGAAGTGACTTTTAAGTGATATTTATATTGTTAACAATTTTCTTTTCAAACGATCACCCTATTTCAAATATAAAATTTTATGTCTCTAACCTTTATAGCTTGCTATTTAAATGGGTTACCCAGTACACAAGCAATTACACTGTACTAGGAAACATTATTTAGTTTGACAAGTTAGTCTGTTTTCAGGAAACCCATTGAACTCAAAACTAATTGCTCAAAGATAAAATTTTTGTATTCTGATTTATGTGAAATATACTATTCAAGAAAAGCCATGGTTACCCTTGAAGTTTTATATATGTGTGTGTTATATAGTTTATTAATTTAAATTGTAGCCAACACAGATTCTAAATATCAATTATCCTAAAATTAATTTTATTCTAATGCAATTTGTCAAAATGATGTTCAGTTATGCTCAGTAATTTTTTTAAAAAATTAGAAATAATGTTTAAGAAATTATAAAATGAGGCCACTCAAATATGAGATAATGTCATTTAAGATCTGAATATGACACAATAATATTTGAAAATAACATTGTTAGAGTATATTAATTATTTTATTAAATCAATTTGGGCAATTTCTTAACCTACTGCTTTTTGTCTGAGGGAATGTGTATATACAAGTTGCCATGTCTTTTGTTTTTAAAGCCTAGTCTGTTTGAATAGTCTAAAAAGTAGGTTTCTAAATATATTACAAGTAGTTGAGAGACATGTATGTAAGAGGAGATAAAAGAGAATCCTGGAGAGAGGGAAAAAGAGAATACTTGAAACCTATTTTCCCCAAAAAATCCAAGAGTAATGGTAAAACTTCAAATTATTTTGTAGGATATGACAGTAGAATGTGTACCTGAGTATGAATGTATATTTGTCTTACTCAGTTTGATGGGATAACCATTGGGCTCTTTCTACCTGAAGGGAAGCGTCTTAAGTTTACTGGTCATAATAAATGTGGTATTAATTAAATAATTTAATGCTATGAAGATAATACAAATTATATATAAACGTTAAGTATAAATTTTGACTAAATGTAAACAAGCATTTACTTGTGCCAACACCAATTAATTATGTATTTTGACAAACAGCATTCAATTATTTCCTTTTATTTCTGTATCTCAGTTTTCAAAAAGTATACCACCTGACAAATGTTTTAAACTGTATCACACCTCATAACACTCTACACATAGGCCCATATTTGGTAATTTCATCTAGAAAGAAAGAATAAATTAATTTTAGCAGTTCTTAAATTAAACCTTTACTTATAGGCTATTCACTCATAGCCAATTTTCACATAATCCCATTTGCTTGGTTAGCTATTTTCCAATACTTCAAGAAATTAAAGGCTGTAATTCACAAGTGGGCAGGCTGCTAAATAAAAGCAAAATAAGAACTGTTAATTTTTGTTTTGTTTTTAATTAAAAAAGACTAACAGTGGCAACTTAAGCAACTCAAAAATATAACTACAGATCATATTAATATATAACTTTATAAAATAAGCCATGACATAAGAAAACAACAAAATTGAAACAAAATTAGTGAATTAAATTCTAATGGAAATAATTTCATCATATATATATATATTTTCCCCTGGTCTTGTAATAAATTCAATTCAATTTCCACATCTCCTTCCCCTTACACACACACATACACAATGTAACACCACATCCTCATGATTTGACTGCTGCTGCAAAACTTCTCTTGAGTATGTATATATGAAAGAATTATCAGAGTTGTAGAAAAAGAAGGAAAGTATATAATTGTGAAAAGCTCTTTTCCTATTGAATATCACCTTTGTAATTATGTTTAAAGCAAATCAAAATGTTGAGGAGACACTCATACTTTGAACAAAGACAGAACTTCTTTAGGCCCAAATGGTGGAAACTACTTTTGCACACCTCAGACAGCCTGAGATGAAGCTCTGGGAATATCGGAATAGAGAAACCATAGCCATGGACACTTGGCAAGCTTCTGTGGGAGCATGAAAACACTGAGACTTCTCTAAGCCATTCATTAAAGCCAAAGAGAAAGAAGATAGAACTCCCAAAAGATGACTTCAGATTTATCTGTGGAACAAACACTCTCTGGTAGGTCATCAGATATAAGTAGAGGCCACTTTCAGAAGTGCTAAGGTTCTCTTGTAACTCATTTAGAGATTATTATTGCAATAGACATTTAAGATATATGCATTTGTATTAGTCTGTTCTCACACTGGTATGAAAAAATACCCAAGACTGGGTAATTTATAAAGGAAATAAATTTAATTGACTCACAGTTATGCATTGCTGGGGAGCCTCAGGACACTTATAATCATGGTGGAAGGCAAAGGAGAAGCAGGCACCTTCTTCAAAGGGCAGCAGTAGAGAGATGAGTGCAAGCAAGGGAAATGTCAGATGCTTATAAAACCATCAGATCTCATGAGAACTCACTATGGTGAGAGCAGCATGGGAGAAAACCACCCCCATGATCCAAGCACTTCCCACAGGTCCCTCCTACAGCACATGCGGATTATGAGGATTACAATTCAAGATGAGATTTGTGTGGGGACACAGCCAAACCCTTTCATTCTACCTCTGGCCCCTTCCACACCTCATGTTCTCACACTTCAAAATACAATCATGCCTTCACAACAGGCCCCAAAGTCTTAACTCATTAAAGCATTAACTCAAAAGGACAAGGCCAAAGCTTGATCTGAGACAGGCAAGTTCCTTCTGCCTAGGAGCCTGTAAAATCAAAAGCCAGTTAGTTGCTTCCAAGATACAGAGGGGGTACAGTCACTGGGTAGATGCTTCCATTCCAAATGGGAGAAATTGGCCAAAACAAAGAGGCTGCAGGCCCCATGCAAGTTTGAAATCCAGTGAGGCAGTCATTAAATGTTAAAGCTCCAAAATAATCCCTTTGACTCAATTTCATACATCCAGGGCAGGTTGATGCAAGGGCAGGCTCCCATGACCTTAGGTAGCTCTGCCCCTGTAGCTTTTCTCTGTACAGCCCCTCGCCCTAGCTGCCTTCATGGCTGGTTATGAGTGCCTGCAGCTTTTCCGGATGCATGGTGCAAGCTGTCAGTGGATCTACCATTCTGGGATCTGGAGGACAGTGGCCCTCTTCTCACAGATCCACTAGGCAATACCCCTGTGAGGACTCTGTATGGGGGCTCCAACCCCACATTTTCCCTCCAAACTGTCCTAGCAGATGTTCTGCATGAGGGCTCTGCCCCTGCACAAACTTCTGCCTGAACATTTAGACATTTCCATACATCCTCTGGAATCTAGGTGGAGGTTCCCATACCTCAATTCTTGAGTTCTGTGTACCTGCAGGAACAACACCACATATAAGCCATCAAGGATTGGGGCTTGCACCCCCTGAAGAAAAGGCCTGAGCTGTATGTTGGCCCCTTTTAGCAATGCTGCGAGGCAAGTCACCAAGTTCCAAGACTGCACAAATCAGCAAGGCCCTAGGCCCGGCCCACAAAACTATTTTTCCCTTCTAGACCTCCAGATCTGTGATGGGAGGGGCTGCCATGAAGAGCTCTGTCATGCCATGAAGACATTTTTCCATTGTTTCTGGATTAACATTTGGCTCCTCGTTACTGATGAAAATTTCTGCAGTCAGCTTGAATTTCTTCTTAGAAAATGAGTCTGTCTTTTCTATCACATTATCAGGTTGCAAATTTTCCAAATTTTTATGCTCTGCTTCCCTTTTAAACATAAGTTCCAATTTCAGATAATCTCTCTCAATCTCAAAGTTCCATGGGTCTCTAGGGCAAGGGCAAAATGCCACCAGTCTCTTTGCTAAAGCATAGCAAGAGTGTCCTTTACTCCAGCTCTCAAGAAGTTCCTCATCTGTATCTGAGACCACCTCCACCTGGACTTCATTGGCCATATCACTATTAGAATTTTGGTTGAAGCCATTTAACAAGTCTCTAGGAAGTTCCAAACTCCTCATATCGTTCTGTGTTTTTCTGAGTCCTCCAAACTGTTGCAACCTTTGCCCATAACCTGGTTCCAAAGTCACTTCCACATTCTCAGGTATCTTATAGCAATGCCACACTCCCAGTACCAATTTATTGTGTTAATCCATTCTCACACTGCTATGAAGAAATATCTGAGGCTAGGTAATTTATGAAGGAAAGAGGTTTAATGGACTTACAGTTACATATTGCTGGGAGGCCCCAGGTAAGTTACAGTCATGGTGGAAGGCAAAGGAGAAGCAGGCACCTTCTTTACAGGGTGGCAGGAGAGAGAATGAGTATAGTCAGGGGAAATGCCAGACATTTATAAAACCATAAGATCTTGTGAGAACTCACTCACTATCACAAGAACAGCATGAAGGAAATTGCCCCCATGATCCAGTCACTTCCCACTGGGTCCCTCCCATAACACAAGGGGGATTACAGGGGATTACAATTCAAGATGAGATTTGGGTGGGGACACAGCCAAACCATATCAGAGTTTTTGTTCTTGAAGAGAAAATATTTTTTTTCAAATGATTCACTTATGTAGACATACCCAGGAAAAGTTGGTAATTCCTTACTGTCTTGTATCATGATTGTCATACTTAGAGTTTATAAATTTCAACTCAGAGATAGTTTAAGCAAAGGTCCACATGAAATCCTGGATCAACTCCTACCTGGTGATGCCAGCTGGCTCTCTTTTCACTTGAAATTCTAGTCTAATGCTTTAAGCAGTTAGGTCCTTGCTGATTCTCCCTGCATCCCAGGTGACCCCTTTAGTCTTCCTAAATCAATAGTTCTTCGTAAGCAGAGAAAATAAAGCTCTAGGCCAAAATAAGATAGAAAGAACAAAAAACCATAAATAAAATAACTGGCGTATCTTTCTCTCATCGGATTTCTTTACTTCATTCACTGAAGGCCACAAACTCAGTTTTATAAAGTCAGAGAATCATGATAGGAAGGAGTAAAATCAATAAAATCTTCTTTTTGTTGCAGGTTAGGTATTATTCAACATTCTTCCAATAACTGCAGGTTTGTTTCATCAATATATTTTTGTGGTGTTTTTACTATGCTTTAGCTTTTTTTTAGTACTTTTTTTGATATGTCCATTATATTAATTGCCCTTCCCCTCCTATCACTACTTTTAAAAGACTGAGATGTAGTAGGTAATTTAGGGCCAATTTGTATTTTGCTTTACTTCTTAACTCATTTCCATGATAATTATTATATTTTGCTAACAAAAAGTGGGTTTGAACTATTGTTTGCTGTAAATAATTATAATCTGTTTTCTAAATACAGCATTTTTTGGCAAAATACTTCACATGAAAATGTTAATTAGATTATATATTAATATTGGTGTAAAATTGTTAATTCAATCCACAAAAGGAAGTCACATTAACTAAAAATATGAGCTATAATTTGTCTATTTTAGATTTGCTTATATGGGTGTGTACATGTGCATATCCTTGTTCATGTATATGTGTGTGTTTGTGTATATATCCAATAGTGTACACATGTTATTACACATGTGTTTATGTACATATATATGTATACACTAAATTGGAAATGAATGCTGTACTTAATATTCAAAGCATGTTTTATTTCTCTGAATTTGTTGCTACTTATTGTATAAAAATTTCACCATAAAATGTGAATTAAACAAATTACAAACCCATGTTATTTGTGGTTTATACAAAGTTTTAAGAAAATACTTTTGACCAATAAAATTATAAAGGAATAAACTGAAGAGCAACATTCTTATTTATAAGCTTCATTTATAGCTTTATTTTTTCACAATAAAATGCTATATTCTTATTATAAATGGTTTGCATGGGATAAGAATATACATTAATGTATAATTGACTTATACTCCAAAGTTTAATCCCCCCAAAATTTAATTTATAACATCTTATTATATACATTTACAATTATAATTATCTGCTTATCTCTGGGGAAATTGAATAACTATAGACATATTTTCTAATCGTTTCTCTTTTAATTTAAATGTTATTATTATCTTCAACACAAATCTATTTAGGTATACATCTAGTGATTTCATAGATTAGCAAAGCAAGTTGCTCAAGGAGAAAAATATCTATTACTACAAAATAAAAATATTTGATTTTTAAATAGTTTCTAAAATTATTATGGATCATATTAAACAGATTCAGAGAAGAAGTCATGCATAATCTAAATGGGGACTTACTTTGTAATATTTTTCAACTTTATTTTGTGCTTGAGATTCTTCTTTCTGAGACTATGGTTTATCACTTGAAAAAACTATAATTCTTTTTTTAGAAGTAAATTTCATTACTGAAATTACTGTTACATTTGAAAATTTATTATATAGTTTCAAAATGGTTTCAATATTATATTTTGTTAATGCCTTAAATATGAAACTATGGAAATATCAAAAGCAATGATTTTTAAAGACAGGCACATTATAAAAGCCCTTTGAAACTACACAACAAATTTTAAAAAATGAAAATAATTTTAGTAATAAAATTATAACCTGTTATAATATTTTATTTTCAGTCATTCTGTGTAAACATTTTATGTCTTTATTTTTGACTTATTATTTGAAACAACAATTTTCTTTGTAGTAAGACAATATTGAAATTTTCCATTGTTACAGCTTGACCACAGACCATATTTTATCATAAGTATCTTCTTTATTATCTTCAATTGTAAAACACATCAGAATTATAACTTTAATTTAATCTTTAACTTAAGGTTTATTTAAATTATTATTGTAATATCTAAATGATTTATATGAATATTTATTTTTTGCTTCTTTTTATACATTAATTTCTAATTTAATTTTATTAAGATTTTTTTTGGAATTTGTTAATGATATTTTCAGGCATCAACACATAGTTTGGTTTTGTAAAATGTTTCACTTAAACATAACTGTATAATTTATTCTTTGCAAAGTGATATCAATCTATTTCAGTATATAACAAATCTAAAATCTACTATATATTGAGATTACATGCAACTGTATTTATTTGTATCTCTTTTCTATTTCAAGGAAAAAATGGAATATGCACTATACACATATAGTTTTTTACTCTGTGTGTGTGTGTGTGTGTGTTTATTCCTTATAAAAATTTCAAGACAAAGTATTGTGATTCTAAGTCCTAATGTTTGATAGTAGAATAAGGTAACTATAGTTAACAACAATGTATTGTATATTTCATAATAGCTAGTAGACAAAACTTGATGTATTCACAACACATAGAAATAAATGCTTGAGGTGATACATACCCTAAATACTCTGACTTAATCCTTACACATTCTATGCATATAACAAACTATCACATGTACCACACATACATGTACAAATATTATTTATCAATAAAATAGCTTTCATGATTCAATACTATAAACAAATAATGTCCTATTTTGTCTCTGTAGAAGATGTTTCTATATTTTAATTAAATATCTCAGATATTAATCACAACTAATTTTTTAAAATGTGTCTAGTGGTGGTACATTTATCAATCTTTATTTTTTTAATTTATGTTATTGTTCTTGCAGATATCAAATAGATTATTCTTTTGTTTTATTATCCAGGATGAGAACACGCACACACACACACACACACACACACACATATATATAGTAAGTAATAAAATTGGTATTTATTCTGCCCAAGTGGTTTTTAATTTTATGAATTATTATTGTCAATGCTGTGGTTAGTGGTGGTGTTTTATGGTCCTTTGCTTAAAATTTCATTTTTTTATGATAATAATGTAGAAAGTCATTTTTTTCTTTTTCAAGTTTTATTTTGTTTTTATTCTTCATGTTTTAAACTCCAAATAATTTTGCTCTTATCCTAGATAAATCAATACGTGTAATTCAGAAATAAAATGGTATTTATTTATTCCAAGTAATGGAAAGATAAAAATTAATATACAAGCTAATCCTCACAACCTACACCTTTCTACACCTGCTTTTTTTCTACTAAAATTACAAATTTTTGTCTTCACAGATTATTCTTATACTCTTACAAAATTTATTACCTTTTTTCATAACATTATGTTTTAGTCTATGAATAAATTAATTTGATGCTTACCATTACTTTTTTTGCTATCATCAGTTCCAACATCATGAAAATTATGTCATTCAGTTAATTCAATGGCTGTACTCTTTTACTATAAAATATTGCTGTACTGTGATTTTCATCTTGACACATTTTAAAGAGGTATCTACTAAGTTTTTGGATACTTCAAAATATATTTCTATTGAAATTATGTGCAAATGATATCGTTGCTAGTATAAAATTCACAGTTCTATCTTTTCTCCTCATTATTTTAAACACAGTCTTTGTTATATTCTGAAATTTTGTGTTTTGAAGTTGGATTATTTCTTTGTTGTTGTTCTGTTTCTCCCTTTTATGTTGGAATTAATTTTGTTCTGAAATTCTCTGAATTATTTAGAATATTTCTTCTTTTTACCTGAGCTTTATATGTATTAATTAGTAAATATTACACACTTTTCTTTGCATATTAAGAATTTCCAACAGTTTATAAAAAGTTGTCTTGTGATGTATCTTTTAATTATTTTTCATGTAAGCTGTTTAGTTTCATATTTCTTTGTATATAATTTATAAGTAAGATATTTTAACTTCCTTTTTGTTGTGGTTTATTGGTTATATTTTGATTGATTTTCTCAAAAGACATTTCTATAGCATCAAATTTGTACTTCCCTTTACCTAATGTCAATTTCTTGTTTGGCTGTATTATTTATGCTATTACCTCTTTCTTTATCATATTTTACTTAATGAAGTTCCTAGAAATATTTAAATGATTATATTAATCTATACTAATCATTTAACTTCATCAATAATAACATTAAACCTATACGGTTTAATATTTTTTCCAGAATATTTTGTTAGAAAAATTATTAGACTTCTGTCTGGGCTCGGTGGCTCATGCCTGTAATCCCAGTACTTTGGGAGGCTGAGGCTGGTGGATCACGAGGTCAGGAGATCGAGACCATCCTGGCTAACACGGGGAAACCCCACTAAAAGAAAGAATTGAGAGAGAGAGAGAGAGGAAGGAAGGAAGGAAGGAAGGAAGGAAGGAAGGAAGGAAAAACTATTAGACTTCCTCTAAACTTCTTGATTCTATGTAGTCTCATTTTCTTCACACATGGCTAAATAATTCAAAATAATTCATTCATTTATTGTTTTATAGGGGATGCCAACATGATAGATTTTTTTAATCGTCAGTAATATTACCTATTTGGAATGTCTCATAAGCACTGTTCTTATTATTGACTGAGAAAAAAATTCAACTATTGCTTTATTAAAACAAAAATAAAAGCAAGTATTTGAGAGATGTAAACCTAATGCTGCAGAAAAGTGGTGTCTAGATGTTATAGAGCAGCAGCTATAATTTTGGTTAAGGAACTAGTCAGCATACGTGGCAGATTAAACCTGCATTTACTAAAATCAAGTGTTCTTACCAAACTCTATTAAAACTTACAACTCACAACAACAGAAATATATAAAATACAAATATAAAAAATTACAATAAGTTTAGAACTCTTCATACAGATTCATGCAATACTTTTAATGTTAGTAGCCTACATTCCTAATTTATTTCCATTGATACTACTGAATAAAATTATTTTAAGTATATTCAATAAAAATATTATCATGAAAAGACATCTGTCTCTTTTTAGGTATTGCAATGCATTTTATTTTAAATATATCAATAGAAGTATAGTACTAATAATTACTATATCAACTTTTTCATAGATTGTATTTTTCATGAAAAGCTGTCAGCAAATACTTAGAAGATAAAGTTGAGAGAATAAATGGAAGATATATTTTTACTTATTTTCGATAAGCTAAGAGAGACTAAATTTTTTCTGTTCATTTGTAATGTAGAAGGGAGAAAATTATATAGGTTTAAAAAATAATGTTCTCTTCCTAGGGTAGTAACTTTGGAAAACGTGTAACCAGCACCTGAATCCAAGTATCATCAAAGAAGTTGAAGCAAATGAAAATAGCTCTTTGAGAATAACTAAAAATAAATATTTACAATATCTAGTTCTGTGAAACAAAAAAGAAAGGTGAAAAGAGTTATGAGTGATGTTGAGTAAATAACATCTTTGGGTAGACTTTGGCATTTGTTCCTGCATAATTTGAAAAGTCCATATCAAAATTTTAAAAAGCCATGCCTAGTCCTTTTTATTAGCGTACCAGAAATAATAACAATAATAATGCTGGGTATTTGCCTAGCCTATACTAATATAATATAATTTTTTAAAGAAATTATATTTTAAAGCCAATTCCTGGATACTCAAAATACATAGCAATATGTTTCCTGAAGAGTTTTTTGAAGAAAACAATCTCAAAGCTAATAATACATACAAATTAAAGGTATTTATATCTCCCTTGAATAAAACTGTCCTTATAATAATAATCTGGTATAGCATGTGAGTTCATGAGTGTTCAATTTTTAGAAGCTTTCTGTGTGTTTCCGTATGCATGTATGTATGGAACATCTAGACTAAAGAATTCTTACTTTCCATCCAGTGATGAGGGTGACAGTGTTTACTCTGAATAACGGGATATAATCTAAAATGTATCAACAGTGTACCTTTGAGTTTACACTTAGGGTGAATATTGTTTTTAAATTTTTTTACAATCTTTTAATATACAAGTTAACTAACAAAGAGCATACTTTTTGTTTCATTTTCTTTGCGTGAGGAATTGAAACGATTTTAAAAGTCTGATTCAGAAAGCTAAACTTGGATACATAGGATATCATGTTGGAAAGTAGTTACACTGATAATAGTGTAAGTATTGCCATGAAAATTATCAAACTATTTGGTTCTGATCTCCATCTCCACACTGTTGTTAAATGCATTCTCACTTGCATCGTCTTTCAGCCCTCTCTAGCCACATGAGGACAGGCGACTGTAACATGTTTTTACTGAGTGATAGAGCTCTCACAGCCTATGCTGAACTTATGACCTTGTGTGGAAATAACTTTTTCTGTGTTAGACTCAATGTGTGTGGCTTTTTTCTCCTTAAGCCTGTGTCATATGGCATGTGACTAACCCCACTGCTATATGTGTCTCTTGTCAGGAGGAGACAGGTCCTTCTGCTGCAGCACAAGAGAAATGTGTGCTGGACAATTGCCTTTTGTAGGCTGCCAGGAGGGACCCGCGGATCATGGGAGGCTCATGCCCACATCTGAAACTGATCTTAAGTTGCCTATTCTCTATAAGACTAAAGCTTTTTCCCATCCAGTCCTTGACAGTATTATGGTTCTTTTTGGCCACACTGATATGAAGATATGGTGTGCAGAAGTGCTTCGATTTCTACTCCTGATAATAAGCAACAGATGCAACGTACTCAACATACACCTCTCTGTCTGACTTTATTTCAGAATCTTAGAGGAACTTAATTAAAATAGAGATTGGTGGGCTGCAGACATTACACAAGGTGGGATCATTGAAATAACTCATGAGACTTCACATTATATACTCACATAAGACCTTACTAAATTAAAAGATACATAACAGCAGAATAAATGAGCATAAGCAAATATAAGAAAGGCCCAAAAATTCCAGGCAAAGCTGCCAAGGTTCTTTCTCAGGAACAGAGGACATGCTTCATATTTGGAACACAAACCACCCATGTACATAAGAAATATCTGGGATGAAGGGAAGACACAGGTCATATAAGGAAGAGTAGTTTATACATCTCTGGACACATAAGCCTTCACCAGGCTACCAGATTAGGGTCAATAACAGAAATCAGGAGAAAATAACTGAAAAGAGATCCAACTTATTAGTCCGTACACTTTCCATAAACAATGTAGAAAGTTGGTATAGACTGTCCTCTTGTCTGTTTTAGACCCTAGAATATATTAGTCACTAGTTAATGGTTCAACTTTGGCCATAAATCAGTCAGAAACATGGCTCCAAGCATCCTGAATATAACACAGGATTTCAATAGATCAATTAATATTAATCTTATACTTACACATGACAACAATCATATGAACATTTTGGCAACATGACATCCCCAAAGTTGAGGGAAGTAGACCATATTTATTTAAGTCTCCAATGTAAAGTGTTTTGATGCTATCTTGTCTTGAGTTTTAAATCTTTGTTATTACAAATGGGTCATATTTTAGCACTCTGTGATTAAATCAAATATTATATATTTTCTAGGTTATAAATATCAAAGGAAATGGGAAACATATGCCTTCTTTTTTACAATCTTTTGTTTCTCCATGAAGTTTTACTATAACTAACCTTAAGCAAATAGGTTTTCTTCTTTAACAGAGGACTTATAAGGAACTATTTGGTAAATAGAATAGCAAAAGACAATATCTACAACTGTGCTAGATAAAAAATGTCTCTCTAAAGAAAAACAGAGCACTCTTAGACATTTCTGTGTGTTTATTGATATTTCACATCTGAATTGTGATGACTGAAGAATAATATCAATGAGCATACCAGAAACCTGGTACTAAATGTATAGAGATGCAATTATTAATCCAAGTTTCCTTGATAGGAAAGCACAATGAGTTGTAGGCCTAATATACCACTATTGTGTAAGGTTTGTAATATTTAAGGCTCATATGAGATAATGCAGATACTTAATACAGATATTGCTCACAACATAGTGGATATAAATAAGTGGTAACTATTGTATTATTGGAGATAAATTTTAAACTTTAGAAGGTGTTCCTGAAATGGGAATATAAAAATAAGGTTCCCAAAAAAAGTTGTTTTATAGTTGGATTAAGTCACAACATGTGTATAAAAATTAAAAAGAATACAAAAAGAAAGACTTAAGCATGGAAAAACCCCAATGAAATGTTGAAAGAAAAACAGTTTAGCAAAGGACCAATTGTAGAAGTTAGAGAGCTAAAAATATCATCAGAAGTGTGAGATGACACAGAAGTTAAAAGAAGGTATTTTCAATAATGCTAGAATAATACATACGTTCTGGCCAGGAATCACAGAAAACTGGGATGTTCTGTTATTTATACTTTTGTTTATTAGTGATTTGCTTTCTTACCCTAAAAATCACACTGAAAAAACATTATTGTCATACACTAATATTAGCAAATATATATGAAGATAATTAAATATTTTCCATTTATTTTAAATTGGTAGTTGTGCATTCATGTATGCATATAGAACAAATAGTGTATCTAAGTAATATCTAATCCATTAAATATCTGTTTAATACTTTCAGCTTTGGCATTTTTTAATCATACACCACATACTATATACCTCTTTTCATTTACTGAAATAAAAGACCTATGAGATGCTTATCAGTAACAAAATGATCTACCTATATACAATCTTGGTTGTAGCTCTTTCCAGGAACTCCTGTCTAATTATAATTATGAGGTTTCTTTTTCTCTGAAATAGGGAGTGAGTCCCAATTTTTTTTACTGTAACATTCTTAAATTTTACTGGATGTTTATTAGCTATATAGAATACCCTCTTCTGCAAGATATACATACCCACATTTAATTTTACCTAATTCATCAAGAATGCCATCTTGTTAAAACCATGTTTATCAAATTTTGACATGCTTTATAATCACATGAAGGGCTTGTGAAAACACACATTACCGGGTTTTCTCTCACTTTTTTCTAGCCACACTAATCTTCTTTCTGATCTATGCTCAGATCAGTCATCTCCTTTATTGAGGCATTTACAATTGCCGTTCATTCTATTTGAAATGTTGTTTCCTTGTTTATTTCACGACTTGATTTTTCTGTGTTTATCAAGTTTGACCTCAGAGAAACCATCTATGAACAACATATGTAATGTTACAACCAATACCCACCCTGACGTAGCAAATTCTATACACATTTCTAGATTTTTTTAACATAGGAATTTTTCTCATAGAACCTACATATGTTGGTTAATATTCCAGATATTGAACTATATAAAAATGCTATAAGCACAAAGATATTATCTCTTTTGCTCACCTCTATTAATATTACCACACATAGTTGAGGTCTTATAAATACTGATTAAAATAATATATTTACATTTTATAATAATTGTATGCCTGCAACCATCTCCTTCTTACTAATAATGTCCAACAGATAAGGCTGTTAGGTTGGTTATTCATTTATTTCAGACTTAGTATTTGCTTTTTAATACCCATGTAAATAATTGTTTAATCTTTGAGTCGTAGTGGCAGACCCTGCAAACATGCATGACATCATACATGGTCCAGTTATGAGTTTCATTTGGTTCTGGTAATACTGACTTAGAAATAGATGATTAAATTTTATTTATTTTTAAATTATTATTATTTAAATTGACAAATGTAAATTTTATATATATATACATACATATAAATTTATGGTGTACAGCATAATGTTTTGAAATATATTCATGGTAAAATGCTTAAATTAAGCCAATTAATATGTGCATTACCTCACATACAACTTTCTTACTGCAGGATATTAACCAATATTTTAAAAATAAGTATATTTGAATTTAAGCTCCATACATTAATAGTAAACCTGGTCTATTTTCTCTTATAAAAATAATCAGTTAATAATCAACTATTAGTCGCTTTTTCTAGAGAGGGCATATGCTCATAATTAAAAATAGACCTCTTCCCAAGCTCTCTTTATTCATTTAAATTTTTTGACTGGCTTTCTTCATATTTTAGTTTGCAATCTCTGTTGTAATTAATTGAAAACTTGAGAAGAATAAAAAAATTATTTTCACTAAGTATTAGAATCTCTTCGGAGGAATTGGTTTTAATTAGTTCTATTTTATAATGAAATATAACTATTGATAGAACTGTATTCTTATTGTATTAGTGTGGATATTTTGGTAGTATTTATAATTATTTTTTGTTTTTTAATTCAATTTATTTGCCAGTTTATTAGTTAACATCAGCTCTCTAGATTACTTAAAGCTAAAACATCACAAAGAGTCTTGCTGTCTTTAATTAGTGATTGGGCTTTAAAAAAATCTGAACAAGAAAACCTGGAGCAGAGAAGTAGGATTGGGAGGCTGGAAAGCATGAACAGAGGTTGATCAACTTGAAATACTCTTTGGCACTGGTATTTTTGTAATCTACTTTAGAGATAATATAATACTCTGACAGTTTTTAAAAGTAAGTTGAGAATACATTAGAAGGAATTTGAAAGTGTGGCCCTGATCCATAGTGAGAAGGTGGTAATATATTCACGAGTATCCAACAAACATGAAGGAAGGCTGACCTTTTTCCTGGCCCCAATCCAGACTCAGCATCTTTGTATTAAAAACTTCATAAATCTTGACTATGCCTCCTAAAAGTTGGAAAAATTCAAAGGAGTGATTTAAATTATATTGTGCATCTGCACTTTTAGAAATCCATGTAATATTTGAAATTTGTTGATGTCATTGCTCTAGCACAGAGGATTAAAGGGTGATTTAGAAGAAGGGACTATATTTATAGAATTAAATGTCCCAGAGAAGGTGAAAATAGATCATTTCAAAGCTCATGAATACAAGATAGCCTCTGGCATGTGGCATGAGTTAAGGGACACAGAAAGTGCAGCAGAGCATGAATGAGATGCAGGTGGTTTGCTACATTTGGTGCTTGGAAGAGGACATTACTATCTAAGTTTTTACATGTTATCAATATCTATGCAGATACCTATTATAATATCTATATTTGAAGGAAATGAAAGGCAATATCATTCAACGTAAGAAGTGATAAAATGTATGGGAAGTTTGAGGAGAAAAGAGACGGAGTACAAATAGTTATTGGAGAGTCTGGGAGAGCATACACCCTCGTGCAGGGCAGTAGGGGTTGGTAGGCTGTGTTGAGTGACTGTTTGAGATCTTTCATAATAAATTAGGGATGATCACTCAACATAAATATGTGCTTTCTCCAGGTGCAATCAATTGCTCAGGTGTTTGTGAAAATTCAACTAATATTACTATTAATAATTACTAATAATTATTCTATCAAGGACTGTATTATACACTTTAAATATATAAACTCTCTTACAACAACAACATACTAAGGTACAATAATCAATCCAATATTACCCATGATTTTGTGAGATTAACTTGCAAAAATGTTTGTGTTTATCCAATGTGCGAGATGGAGAGACAGAGTGAGAAGATACTAAGAATGTAGGAATGGAGTGAGTCCTAAAGCAAGTGAATGATAGAATATGATAAGCAGAGAGTGGGATGCCTCATATCTAGATATTAGATATAGCAGTTACTGACAAGACAAGGTCACATTTTTTCCTCTTCAAATGGTTGACTTATGTTAAGTACCAATGAGGTATTTGGAAGTGAGGTAATGAGAGCAACTGTGAGATGAAGCACAGTAGGAAAAGAGAAGAAAATAGTGGAAAGGGTGATCATCAATGAACATGAAGAAATAACTAAGAAAACATCACTGAGTATGGCACCTACAACACAATTGACCACCATTTCTTACTGCTTTCAAAAGAGATTGAAAATGCCTAGAAAACAAAAGAGGGAATATTGAGAATGGAAGCATAAATGTTAAAATTTTAAAAATAAAGTATAATATCTGCCTTTTCAATTTCAAGTCTTGACTGCATTTTACCTATAGAATGTCTCTGGAATGTTTTTGCACTGTCTTTAGAAATTCTTCAATTTTAATCATTTGTATAGCTGCAAGTAGACATAAAATTCTCAGATGATACTTACGACATCGCCTATAAATATGCAATAGATTTCATTTGCTGGTGTTTTATTTTAAGGATAAATAATTAAAAGGTCTAAAAATGTATCCCTACTTCCCTATTTTAAAGAAAGAAAAACAAAATAATAGCTTAAATAGGTTTTTCACAATGTTATTAATATTATTCTTTTATTTATTTTCACATTTTTCTGTTCAAGTTTCCATTTTCATGAGTGAATATTACACTCTACAATCAATAAATACTTTTATAGAAACCTATACATCTGTAAGTTCCATAGCATGGAAACAAAAACAGAGTAATCCTTGCAATTAGATTAAGTGTACCTGCAATAATTTTATATGTAACATTCAAATAGCCTTTTATATCAATAGCTACAAAGTTTCATATTGCTCAAAAAGTAATTACTTTCTGTAAACTCTTGTCCAAGCTATCATATAAAATATTTGTCTGATCATCATGGCAGAAAATGTCTTCAAAGAAAATATGTATGTTTCACACAATGGGCATTTTATCTACTGTCATAGAAACCCTTTCCTTTTATTTCCTTCAGAAGTTTTGAAGAAAGAATCTTTAAAAGAAACCTCTTTATATAATTGCGAATAATCACTTTCTAAATAGGTTATCTTGTGTAGAATAGAAATAGTTCGGTCAGTCTTTTGTGATCCCCATCCTTTTCACAAATGAGGTTGCATATTAAGCTCTACTGAATATTCTTCATTTGTAACAGTTTAAAAAGGTGATTTTTAAACAGTATAACACAATTGATAGATTTGTATACATTTTTTATTTTATTTTGCTTCCAGGATTACTGTTGAAATGCTTGCACTCACTTCACTTCATCTCTAGTTTTTGCATGCTCTAATATTCTTCTTATTTTATCACTGATATATAACTTTAAATCTATTTTGTATTTCATATCCTAGAATAATATGTTTTCTTTTTAATTCATTCCTCCTTAAGCTGCTGTAGTCCTCTGGGAATATTAACTCAACTAAAAACATGCTGACAAACCACCAACCAAAAATCACTTGAAATTTACCAAAATAACTCAAACCCAACATTATTTATTCACTTCAAGCTCAAATAGTGTTTTTTGCATTATTTATTGAATGTATACAAGTAATATTTCAGTTATTTTTCCCAAATGCCATTTCAGCATCTACTAACATACAGGCATACCCTGGAGACATTACAGGTTTAGTTCAATACCACTGCAAAAAAGTGAATATCAGAATAGAGAGTCACACACATTTTTAGGTTTCTCAGTATACAAAAAGTTATGTTTACACTATTAGGCAATCTATTAAATGTGCAATATCATTATGTTTCAAAAAAAGATATATTAATTTAATAATACTTTATTAGTAAAAATGCTAGTGATCATTTGATCCTTCAGTGAATTGTAATTTTTGTGCGTGTGGAGGGTCTATCTCAGTGTTGATGGCTGTTGATTTATCAGGGTTGTAGTGGTTGAAGGTTGGGGTGGCTATGACAATAGGACAACAATAAAGTTTACCACATTTATTGACTTCACCTTTCATTAAAAATTTCTTTGCAGTGTGCAGTGGTGTTTGATTGCATTTTTCCCACAGTAGAACTTCTTTCAAAATTGAAGTCAAACTTCTTAAACTCTGCTCCTGCTTTATCAACTAAGTTTAAGAAATACTCTATACATGTTGTTGTCACTTCAATAATTTTCATGGCATGTCAGCAGGCAGATATTTCATCTCAAGAAATGACTTTTTTGCTTATCCATAAGGAACAACTCCTCATCTGTTCAAGTTTTATTATGAGATTGCAGCAATTCAGTCACATCCTCAGGCTCCATTGGCAATTCTAGTTCTCTGACTATGTCCACCACATTTGCAGTTACATTGGCCACTGAAGTCTTTGTTTATTTATTTTTTCCTATGAAGTTCTTAAATTCCTCAAAGTCATGCATGAGGGTTGGAATCAACTTCTTCCAAACTCCTGTTAATAGTATGTTGACCTCCTCTCATGAATTACAAATGTTCTTAATGACATCTAGAAAGGTAAAATCTTTCTAGAATGTTTTCACTTTACTCTTCACAGATCCACCAGAGAAATTCTTGTCTATGGTAACTATAGTTACTATATACGAATCATTTTTTAAAAATAATACGACTTGAAAGTCAAAATGAATTCTTGTTCACCAGGCCTTCAGAATGAATGTTATGTTAACAGGCGGGAAAGAACATCAGTCTTCTTGTACATCTCCATTAGAGCTCTTGGGTGAATATGTGTTGTCAACAAGCAGTAATATTTTGTTACTGCTAAAAGAAGAACAGGAATCTTCTTTTTCTGAGCTTTTTCTGACACTTTTTCAGTGTCAACTGTGGGCTTAAAATAGTCAATAAACCACGCTGTAAAGAAATGTGCTTTCATACAGGCTTTGTTGTTCCATTTATAGAGCACAGGCTGAGTGTATTTGATTCTTAAGAGCCCTGGAATTTTCATAATGATAAATGAGCATTGGCGTCAACTGGAGGACATTAGTTGCATTTGCCCCTAACAAGAAAATCAGCCTGTCCATTGAAGCTTTGAAGGTGGGAATTTGCTTCTCCTCTCTAGGTATGAAAGCCCTGGATTGCATTTTCTTTAAATATAAGGCTGTTTCTTACACATAGAAATTGTACTGTTTAATACAGTCACCTTCATCTATCATCTTAGCTAGGTACACTGGATAACTTGCTGCTGCTTCTACATCAGCACTTGTTGTTTCACTTTGCACTTTTATGTTATGAAAATGGCTTCTTTACTTAAACTTCATGAACCAACCTCTGCTAGCTTCAAACTTTTCTTCTGCAGCTTGTTCACCTCTCGTAGGCATCAAAGAATTGAAGAGAATTAGGGCCTTGCTCTGGATTAGGCTTTGGATTAAGGGTATATTGTGGCTGACTTTATATTAATTCAGACCACTAAGGCTTCCTCCATATCTATAGTAAGGCTATCTCACTTTCTTAACATCCATGTGTTTACTGGAATAGTGCTTTTAATTTCTTTCATGAACTTTTCATTTGTATTGGCAACTTGGCTAAGTGTTTGATAAAAGAAGCCTAGCTTTTGACCTGTCTCAGCTTTTGACATGCCTACCTTACTAAGCTTAATCATTTTTAGCTTTTGATTCAAAGTGAAAGATTTTGACCCTTTCTTTAACATTTGAAGGCCATTGTAGGTTTATTAATTGACGTACTTTTGTGTTTCATCAAAGAGGGAGGCCGGAATAGAGGGAAAGAGACAGGCGAATGGCCAGTCAGTGTAGCAGAGCACACACATTTGTTAAGTTCACTGTACGAATATGAATTTATGAGTGACACATACATTTAATTCATTATAAAATTATTTAAAACTGTCCATGATGCTGACAAAAAAAATATTCTAAAACTCAATACATTATGAAGAGTAATTATATATTAACATTACATATAACATTTTATTCTATTTATGAAATAGTAATAATTCATAAAATTTTGATTCAGATGCAAAAGAATAACAATATACATATACAGTGCAGAAAAACCTCTCTTCTGGTATAGTCACCAGATTAAAAATAATCAACTTACCCTCAGTGAAATTCTAGCCACATTTTCTAAAAGACATTTTGAAATCTAAATGATAAATTTAGATGAAAATAAATGATATCATATTTTTAATATGCAATTCAAAATAATTGCATATGACACTATTTTAAACTGCATACCTAAAGGTTTAAAAATTATCAAAGTAGTTAAATTGGATACAACACACTTTACAGATTTCCTTCAAAATAAGTCATCTTATATACATTAATAGTAGTTCTTGAGATATTATTTCATAATTAATGAGCAAGGATATCAAAGTGTTTAAAATGAAAATTAATAATTGGTTATCAAGTCTTAATGTAGAAGGGAAAGCCCAGGACAAGGCTGATTTTGGAGCTTATAGACAGTAAGAAAGTGCCCTTATTGTGAATTCTTAGCACTTGTCAATGTTTCTTCTGCCATAGTCCCCTCACTCTTATATTTATTCCTATCATAGAACCATGTTATTCTTTCATATCCATCGCTTTCATACATAATTATTTTATTATTTGTTCTGCCTGGTATTGTCTATTATCCTCAGAAGAACACATAACTAATGCTACCTACTTATAATGTTATAACTCTAGCTCTTATTCCACTATGAAATCTAGAATATAGTAATGGCTGAACCCGTATTTGTTCAGTTAATAAAATAATTATGGAACTTGTATTTGTTTTAAAGTAGTATATAATGTGTGAAAGCAGTGGCAATAGAAATTATTTATTATGATTTACTTAATAAGTAAATGAATTGGGAAGAAAATACATCTACTGACCACCTACATTACACACCGAAATTAGTTAATAGACATGTGATATCACAAAAAAAATAGAAGTGGAAAAATATCATTTTACCAAAAAAACCCACAAGCAGTATTTTCTGGAAAATAAAATACAGAAAAAAGAATACTAAATGAAATGAGAGGCTTTAAAAAGTGAAGAGAACAGCAACACAGGTTGTAAGCTGGAAGAGATGAGATCTGGAGAGTTGCTGTGAGCCATTGTGATTTGTTAAAGACAGATAGAGAAACAGAATTTTAATTGAGTTTAACTATGTTTTCTGCAATGTAATTTTTTTCCACATTTTGTAGGACTGTCGTAAAGATGTATGTTTTATGAGAGATCCAGTCTGTTGTTGGACACATATGTGCACTTGTGTGTTCTATAGATATCATACTGACATGAATCTTTAAGTGATAACAAAGCATCTCAAATTTATTTAGTTTACAATACACAAAGCCAAAAGATTCTGGTGGTAGAGTGCTGTTGGGTTGTGTAAATAAGGAAGAGGTACAGAGGCTAGATAGAAACAGACAGTTGATAAGTGGCAGGTTAAATACAGACCAAGTAAAACATTACAAAGATAACAATCCAATTACAAGGCTGCCCACACTACAGCTTCATTTTTCCCTCCCTTTCTCCACTCCATTGTCTTACTTATCTTGTAATGCAAATTTAATAGAAACAAATTTCCAACTTGATCTCAGAATAGTAGAGTCTAACATAAGTAAAAGGGCCTAAGGGAATGCCATCTTCCTCACTAGAACATTGTTTATGTAATTGAAATAAGTGAATGCAAGACTCTTCTCTCAGAGGATGTATAAATTATTCTGCAACATTCAAGCTGGAGTATGCAATGCTCAATTTATAAAATTTAAAAATACCAGAATAAAATAATAGGGGGAATGCTTGGTTCATATATCTCAGGCTTTATAAATTTAATACCCCAAAGGAAGTAAGCATACTGATACAGTGAAACAAATGTGAGTTAAGAAGTGGTATCGGGCGCGGTGGCTCACACCTATAATCCCAGGAATTTGGGAGGTCAAGATGGGAGGAGTGCTTGAGGCTTGACCCGGGAGGTTGAGGCTCCAGTGACACCTCATCATTATCGTGCCACTGCACTCTAGCTGGAATGACAGAGCAAGATCCTGTCTCTCCAAAAAAAAAAAAAAAAAAACCAACAACAAAAAAAAACTAGACATTTAGGTTATGTCTGAAACTCTTTGTCTCATAACCAGAAAATGATCTTTCTCTTCTAATGAACATCAAACTCCTTTTTAAAAAATGACTCAGTAATAGGCCAAAAAATGTAAAATTTTTAAAGAAGATATAATCAAAATATATTTTCAATACAACAAAACTGGATATTAATATAAAAATATGTAAATGGAACAGCAAGAACAAGCACTTGAACGTTTATAAATACTAACTTAAAATCAACTCTTTTACAACCAGCTTTTTGGTCAAAGAGAGAATTCAACCCACGAATCCAGTATATTTGAAATACTATGGTAATAAATTACTCTACATCAATTCTGAATCTAAGGGATACTGCCAAAGTAGCATTTAGAGAAAAGATAATTGAACTTGTGTGTGTGTGTATGTGTGGGTGTGTAATTATTAAATAAATAATACAGAAAATAAACATATAAAAGGATGATACTAACAGATAGTCTTTTACATAGTTATTCTTTCTGTATTTCGCCTTTACCTGACCCCCATTTGCATAGGTAGTAAACCCTTTGTTCAGCTCCTCAGGGATAGGTGGAAACCAAACATAACCCAACATTTTGTGTCTGCTCAAAGAGAAACTTAGATGATTTGAAACCTAAGTAAAAAGAGAATCTGGGGAACTGTAAGAGAAAAAATAATGGTGCAAACATAAGGAAGTAGATTTAATGTAAAATTTCATTTACTCATTGAAAAAAAAGGGGGGGAAGCATTAGCAAATAGGAGAGCAAATAGGAAGCATGAAATAAGAGTGCAGAAGATAAAAATATGGTCTTCAGGCTTCCTCAGAAACCTGAAGAAAGCCTAAGAAAAGAATGTTGCATTCTACCCAAATGATAGCCTTGGAAATAGATTGTCTATTTCCAAGCATGTCAAAGTAACATCAAGGAAGGAGTCGCCAGACATGAAAGCCTGAGTTGATCTGGGAAATGGGCACTTCAGAAATCTATGGAATATATGGACAGATGACTGGGAGCCATTCCAACACTTGAGTACTGCATAACACTTTGGAACCTTGGGAAATATTAAGTGCATGGGAAGGAGAGAATCCCTAAGAATGCCTGAACTTAAAATGTTCCATCAAATTGGTGGAGGAGGCATAAAAGCAAAATTAGCTTGAGTCATGTAAAATAGAATAATTTTTTTCCTTCCAGACAATTTCTGGGCTTAGACTTTTATTTATTACACATTACTAATGACTTTTATGTGGTACATGAACTATGCTATGACTTGATTACAAATTAACAATTTAGCAATAATACTGATACAAATATGTTGACTTTATGGAATATCTGACGTTCAAGGGGTAGATGTCTTCTCAAGCTTGACTGCTGATTTCAACAGTATCATTGAAACCTATGAGACTAAATTTTAAAAGTAATATGGAATATTTATAGTCTTCACCAAATGTAGCAGCCTGAAGAAGGAAAAAATAGTGGGTTAGTGAAAGCTTTTAAACAATTTTTGAGCACTTCAAATTCTCTCGGTTTTCTGGAGGATACCTAGAAAGAGAAGTAGGAGCAAGCAGTTTTTAAAAAATGCTTTCTTTGGATCTCCTTCTTCTAGTAGCAAAAATTAAGCACTTTTAGCTAGGAAACATAAGGACTTATCACACAATGTAAAACTTCAGCTGTAAATTCAAAAATTGCCAGTGTTTAAGCCAAGTTCAGCCTAATTATGTAGTTTCTTTGACCGGAAGAATGTTAAATAAATTAGAAAATAAATAGAAGCAGATTATTAAGAAGTAAATATGCAGGCAGAATTGTCACATTTGCCTATTTTCTCTGTTATTTTTTAAATCTTATGTAACCTAGTTTACTTGCCTTTTTAAATATACCTGGCTCCTCCACAGTATTTTTGCCCACTCTACTTTGCATGCTAATTGGGGGTTTATTCCCAAAGATGATGTAGAAATTAGTTGTCTTTCAATTGAGACCTTTCCAATCATCTGAATTAGTTAATTATTTGAATGGTCTCAGATTCTACCATTCAATTCTACAATAGCAAGTAGTAGCACAGTTTCACAGATGTTGGCAAAAGACATAAGACTCCTGTGTCAGAAACAAAGGATTTCATTTCTCTCAGCAGAATAGAAACCATGACATTTGTGTTTGCAACAATTTCCCTTGCTTCTAATGGTAGATGCTGCACACACAGTAGGTTTAGGTCACAGTTGAGCAACCTGAAATTTAGGAAACCTCAATTTTATGAAGGGAATGTTAGCAAGCCTACTCAATATTTTCCCTGGAGAAAGATTTATGTTTATTGTCTTCATCAAGAAAACAAAACTATGTCCCCGGCCCTAGAGAAAGACATTATCTCTACCTTTCAAAGGTGTTTGCTATACAAGCATTCTTGAACAAAAGTTGTCAGTGTCTCTTAATAAGAATTACAGAAGTGCATGAGACACTGTGTGTTGTTTTTCAACAGCAAAAATCTACCATGCTTGTGAGGGTGCCCAGCTACACTTCCAGAAATAATAGACTTCATGAGAATTCTAGAGATTGGACTTCCTAGATTTGGCAGATACTATTTCTAAGAAGCCCTCTAAAACTTTAGGAAAGTGCAAGCACTATTGTTTATCATTCACTTATGCAAAACACAGGCATTTAATCCTGCATTGATCCATTAAGAAAAACAGTATTTTTATTTTAGAACTTCAGATGCTTGGAGTAATCTCATGTAACCTTCTTTTGTGGGAAATAATAGAGGTCCCCAGGCTGGAAAAAAAAAAAAAAAAACAGTTGAATCTGAAGGACAAGCTGGGTCATAATTCAGATCCCAGTTGAGACCCAGCACACATGCATATTACCTCCATCCATTAAGCAAAAAATTATCTGATTATGCAAGAATGACAAGTGGCAGGGAGAGCTGCTACATACCCTGTGGCCGAGCTGAGTGGGGTGCCTCTTATGGGCAGACATTGGGCTCTGTGGGAATGAGTAGATGTCATGTGAGGCAGATGATGAATTTATGTGTAGTTAGGATTACCTAGTTGACAATTATGGAGTGTGGGTAAAATAGCACCTGAAGGATATGCGTATGGAAATTACCATTCAAGAGATCCAGTTTGAAACAGACTCAAGACCAAGAAATTGGAAAAGCAGAGAAGTTCAACTGGAAATAAAATACATTTGCAAGGACAATAAAGAGATACCATAGAGTCTTAAGTCAAGATATCCTACAGACACACTTAATTTTTAAAATTTCTCATTGTCCCCTTTTCCTACATTGTTTTTAATAATTATTCAATTAATCACACTGGGAAAACTAACCACAAAGAGCTTAATCTCTCTACAAATATTTATCTCTCTCTGTGTTCACTTACACACAAAAATACACATGCAAAAAACAAAAAAAAAATGTGGAAAAGTCTTCCTATATAAGACATCAGAGCTAGGAATCACAAGATAAAAATAAAATGTAATAATTTTGCCAAAGTAAGAATTTTACAAAAAGCTTTATGAGTAAAAATAAAAATATTAACCTAAGATTTAGAAATAAGATTTGCAATGCATTGGAAATACTAGTAAAGTGTTTATTATGGTTTGATATTCAGCAGGATAAATCATTACTGTGCATGGATCATTTACAAGTACAAAAGAGATTATCAACAATATAAAGAAAAATGGTTAAAGAATATCAGTAATTCAAAAATTAGAAATTTAAATGACTAAAAAGTATAAAATACATTCAATATCCTTACTTATGCAAGAAATACAATTTAAAAATAATGTATCATATCTGAAAAAATGAAATGGTTTCATAAAGAACTTTTGATAGCAACTACATAGACTATCAAACAACCACTGGCTAGCATGCAATTTTTGCAATTATTCTGGAGGCCATATTAATAAAGCAAATCAATTTATCACAAGTTTTTCTTTCTTTTTCCATTTCCTTTATTTTATTTTATTTGAAAGAGTGTATGAATGGAATGGTTTTGGCTATAATAGTGCTGTAGGATTAAAACAGCACGTTCTTAGTGTTAGCTATTAGAAGCATTAGTTGTTTTATTATTTATCACATTTTAAATGTTCCTTTCATGTGATCTAAAATATTGAACAAATTCCCCAAGGATACCTTCAGATAGATAAAAATATCATAAAATAAAGCCTATATTTTTATAATTTGCATAAAATATGAGGATCTTTATAATTTTGAAACAATGTTTATCATTAAATTATTGGTTAGGTAAAACAAAGTACATTAATTTCATATAACTTTATGACATTAAACTTTGTGTATATATATTAGGCACATAGGTACATATATGTTGGTGTCACAATATGTGATTGTTATTAAAGTTAAAATATACACACATTAAAACTGTGTGTGTGTGTGTCAACACTATTTCTACAAATGTCTTGGAGGAGAGCTGACTGTGCACTAGTTAACAGAAGGCAAGTATATTAAAAGACCAAGCCTTAAATCAGAGGAGTAATTTTAGAACTGTATACAGTTTCAGACAGAACTTGATCCCTTCCTCCATTTCCAAATGAGTGGCAACTGGGCAAGGTTATTCAAAAGCAGTGCCATCGAGGTGCATAGAAGCCATTAGTTTCATCTCCATCCATAGACATTCATTCCAAATAGTCCCATGAAGGTGGCTAGGCTGCTGTAGGGCCATGATTATAAATACAAGATAATCAACAAGATCAGTAGTACAGGATAATAGTGCCTCTGACTTTTTAAAAAAATTTAAGAATAAAAAACATACTCATTTCTTTTTAAATTCCTCATAGTAATGTTTTAAATTGATATAAAACTAGTGGGTAGACTGTGTAATTATGAAGAGCATTCATTCCACCTAGATTCCTCTAGGTATATCAGAATAACCAATGGACACCTGAGGGTGTCTGAAATGAAAATTATTTACATTTAAACAATTATTATCACTTAATAAAGGTATTTATTTTGATTTTTCACGTGTTGTTTTTATAATTAACTATATGTAGCATATGTGTACTTTGTAATAAAATAATAAATGGCCAAAATAATACCACATTTTAAAAAATATCAGAAAAAAATTCACGAGGAAATAAATTGGGGAAACTATTTGCAACATAATAAAAAATTGATATTTTTATGATGATATAAATAGTAACTATGTATACAAGCTAGACAGTTCACATATAAACACTAAATTCTGCATGGAAAGTATTTACATAAAAGCTTATTCATTCAAAATAAAAGAAATTCGTTTTTAAATAAGGAGACACTATATTGCTCAAATTTCCAATGGTATTGTTTAAAATGTCAAAACTCTGTATCATATCAGATGGAGGAAGCTCCCTGTAGTAGTCCATTCTCACACTGCTATAAAGAACTACCTGAGGCTGGGTAATTTATGAAGAAAAGAGGTTTGATTGACTCACAGGCTGTAAAGGAAGAATGTCTGTGGAAGCATCAGGAAACTTACAATCATAGTGGAAGGGGAAAGGGGAAGCAAGCACCTTCTCCACATGGCAGTAGGAAAGAGAGAGAGAGCACGAAAGGGGTAGTGCTACACACTGTCAAACAACCAGATCTCATGATAACTCACTATCATGAGAACAGCAAGGGGGAAATCCACCCCCATGATTTAATCAACTCCCAACAGGCCCCTCTCTCAACAATGCAGAGTACAATTCAACATGAGATTTGGGTGGAAACACAGAGCCAAACCATATCACTCCCATACAGTCAGAGACAACTCTAAATCATTGCAGCATGTATCAAAGGTAATCTTCCATAATTAATTAAGACTCTTTAGTAGTATGTTTTAAACCATGATTTCTATTTCTATAGTTTCATGTTCAACATTTTATGACAAAAGATTACCTAAAATTGTAAGAAATTTTAAACAGTGCCATGTACAATGGTAGGAATTGATTAAAATAATAGCTACTATTATGAGAAGAGCTAGTGTGTACTGAGTACTTTGTATTTTATAGAATTTCCATATGTACTTTATAAGCATTGTTTCACTAGTCAACACAACAATGTACATAGGTAGTTATAACTATTTTTATTTTACAGAAAAGAAAACAGGTGTAAGGAAGTAAATTACATGTCTAAAATGTAGGTGCTGGAGTCAAAAGGTTATTATAAGTTTTTAAGATCCCACAACTTATGCTTTTAACTATCCTATTATAGTTCAATTCTTAAATAATAAAATAAAACTCAGTACAATCCTAACAATTATTTTATCAAAGTACTTAGAATAATGTGCAAAGCATATCAAATAAAATTACACAATTTAAAATATAATATGTGAGTATAATCTGATTTATGTGTGCGTATTCAGAAATATCTAAAAATATATTTTTATTCTGATGCATGCCCAGCATGTATTGCCTTAAATATTATCTTAAAATTCATAAGAATAAATATTATTTAAATGTAAAAGTATTATTAAGCCTAAATAAAGCAATGTATACAATGAATAAAAGATCAAATTCCAATGAGTATCTGAATCAAGGGAAGGCAATTAGCAAATTATTTCAACAGTGAATATGTATTCCGCTAATAGGGTTAAACATTTGTTTAAAGATGATGACCTAGTTTTATTAACATTATCACTGCATGTAAACAGTGTGATTATTTTCACAAATGTTGCAGAATTACACACATTTTAAACTTCACAGCAGGACTCTGTAACCATGGCAGAAGGTCTTTCTAAAGCCAACAGTATTTCTATCCCAATAGAACCACAAACAGACAAATGAGTATATTAAGAATAATCATGGCTTTCATAAAACAGCAGTAACGTTAATTTAGTATAGTTTAAGAATTATATCTCTGGAGGCAATTTCTGAGGGAAAAAAATAAACAAGCTTTGCCTGGAAGCCATTGCATAATACAAAAAGCTGAATTAAAATTTTAGTATCAGAATAAAAAATGTATTATCTGCCAATTTTTTAATCTAGGCATACATTTCTGAAAGTTTACCATGAAACACTTACTAAAGTATAAACTACATATTCTTCTTGACTTTAGTAAAAACAGATTAGCACACAGATTTCCATAGAAACTTTACTTTGTGGAATATATATATATATATATATATATGAGGTAAACAAAAATTGCGGTGGTTAGAATTTTGAAAAATAAACAACAAAGTAATTTTGAGAACAAACTTTTTTTTCTGTCTTGCATTTTTTTTAAATTCGTGTGACGTTAAAGAAAGGTCACTTGGAGAAAACAGAAATTTACTTAAAATGTCCTTATATAAACATTAAAATTGTTGAAGCAAGGATTCTTAAAGCTAGAGTGAATAACAACACTAAATTAGAAGATAACATTACAAATATGTGTGTGACTGTGTCCATATATATATAAATATATTATATACGATATAATATATAATATATAGCATATTATATATCTTATATATGCATTTTATTTTATATACTATATATTATTTTATATATTTTATATTATATAATATATTATGTATTAATATAATATATAATATAATATATATAATTATTATGTATTATATATGTATATATATAAATATATATGTGTATATATGTATATATAAATATATATGTATTGGATGATGAAAGATAGTACCCCAAATGAGAAAATGAATATTTTTTCTTGACCATATAATTTTTTTCCTTTACTCATTTTTATCATTTCTTTGAATGAATAAGAAAATGTACTATGTAGAAAATACAGTATTTTACCATCAACAATTGTGAAGGATCTTTAACCATCTCTACTTGCAACCTAATAAATTAGCTTGCCACTATTTCATTGATAATTGCAGAAGATAGGAGAGCCCTGGCTCAGAAAACAAAAAGAACATTATTATTCACAAAAGAGCTATAACTAGAGTTTCTGAAGCCCACATGTTCATAAAGAGTCATGAAGATAAGGTGATACCTATACACTCAGTAGGTGGCATTACATGAGAGAAACCTGATTTTAGAAACCCCCCCCTTTTTTTTTTTTTTGAGACAGTGTCTTCCACTGTCACCCAGGCTAGAATGCGGTGGCATGGTCTTTGCTCACTGCAGCCTCAACCTCCCAGACTCAAGCAATCCTCTCACCTCAGCCTCCCAAGTAGCTAGGACTACAGGTGCATGCCATCATCTGGCTAATTTTGTATTTTTCTTAGAGACAAGGTTTTACCATGTTGCCCAAGCTGGCCTTGAACTCCTTGACTCATGTTATTGGCCCACCTCTGACTCACAAGTGCTGGAATTACAGGTAGGCCACTCCACCTGGCCCAAGGAACCTATTCTTTTTTTAACTATTTATTTTCCTTCTGGAGGAAAACACTATCTCTTTCTTCCAAGCTGTTTGCTATACAAATACACTCATAAAGATAGTCCATAGTAAAGGTAGTCAGTAGTTTTTATCACAATAAGTGCTAAAACATGTGAACCCATGAACAATTGTCCCACAATTCCCATACATTGAAAGAAAAAGATTAACTATTAAGATTTTACATTAAACCATGAAATATATTAATATTTTTGAAGTCAATACAATCTCATCAAAATATCTATATTTCTTCTGAGATCATGTTATTCAAAAACTAAATATTACATTTATAGCTTTTTCAAATACATTTTGTATTTTACATTGACTTTCATCAATAGAATATAATAATTATACACATGATGGAAAATTGGAAGAATAATATACTGGGCAGAGCAGAAGACTAGGTGCATATGCCCAGCAGAAGACTGGGCATAAAATATTGCCCAGCTGTAGCATTAACTAAAAATGTGTCCTTTGACAAGTCACAGAATAAAGCTGTTTTATTTCATTTATCTATAAAATATGAAAAATAGACTAGATGATCTCCAAGGATCTTTTAACATAAAAGAGTTAATAAAAAATATAAAGTGTGCTGGAGATTTACAAAGGGTTGTCTGTTTTCTTTTTTTCCCCAGTGTAATTTGTTTCATTTCAACTCAGTAAAAATTTATATCATATAAGAAGGCTTGTATGGACACACAGAGGAGCAAGATTTGAACACTACCTCTCAGTAAATTTAATGTATGAAGAAACAACTGTCATATCATTGTGCAGGTGGTACATTACATAAAGCTAGAGTGTGTGAATGGGATTCCCTAGACTTGTGTGTTACACAACGGGAAAAACTATATAAACAAATCGATGTCAGTTTTCTTTGATGTATAATAAATTTCCATAAACTTTTCAGCTTAAAGGAACACATATTTATTGTCTCAATGTATCCCTGGTCCAGGAGCCAAAGATTCATCTAGCTGGGTCCTCTGTTTCAGGGTCCAATTACAAGGCTGAAATCAAGGTAGAACTTGGACCATGGTTTCATCAGAAGCTCAAATAGGGAAAGATCTGCTTCCAACCTCCGTGAGCTTGTTGGTAGAATTTACCTCCTTGGGGTTGTAGAACTGAGGTCCCATTTTCTTTCTGGCTGTTGATTGGACTCACTCCCAATGACCAGGAGTTGCCCACAGTTTCTTGCCATTTGAGCTTTTCTTAATAAGCCCTTTTACAACAGGCAGCTTACTTCAAGCCAGCGAAGGTGAAGTCTTCTACCTTCAATTGGTTAAGACACAGTCTTTCAAAACATAACTTAATCGCAGGAGGAAGTGATATCCCTTCACTTTAGACAAATTGTGTAACCTAATCACTTTTACTTCTACCATATTCAGTTGATTAGAAAGAAGTCACAGGTCCCACCCACAATTAAAGGGAGCAACATAATTTCATGAAAACCACTAAGCACAATTGTTGATAATAGTTGAAGTTTTCACACATATACACATGCACAAATGTATATATTTATAAAATACAAGGAGATATGGTATAAAAACTGCTCTAAGAGGAGCATATACAAGGTGAGGTTAGTAATATATTATTTGAGGCTGTGAAAATAAAATGAGATAGCACATGAAACTAGGTTTTTAAATTGACTTGATAATTAAATGTATAGGCAGAAGGTCACTAGATATTACAAGCATATTTTTGCTTTCTGTGAGAGCACCACATTCCAAGTTTAAGATAATAGCTCATGCAGCAACTGTGGCATTTTCTATCAATTTTTGTTACTAAAAAGGTTGATGTTCACAGAAATTTCTGTATATGAATGTATACAGCAGCTTTACTCATAACCATCACAAACTGGAAGCAAACAAGATGCCCTTCAACCAGTAAATGGATAAGCAGTACATCTATACAATGAAATATTATTCAGAGGTATAAAAGGACTGACTTATTGATTCACAGAACAATATGGATGAATTTAAATACAATTTGCTATGGGAAAGAAGCTAGACACAAACAGCTACATACTGTATATTTGATTCGCATAATATTCAACATAAGGCAAAATTATAAGGATAAAAAGAATCCCTTCATCCCAAGTCTTATCTCCTTCTCATCAGAATCAGGAAAACGTACTTTCAAGGTCTCATATGAGAAGAATGGCTCCATAGAGATAATCTAGGATAATTGTTACATCTTAAGGTCCTTAACTGTAATCTCATCTGCAAAATCCATTTTGCTGTGTAAAATAACATTCACAGGTTCTGGGAATTAAGTCGTGGGTGTATTTAGCAAGCCATTATCCTGCCCACCATAAACATAAAATATAAAATAAATAGAATCCATACTGATATGTGATTCCATATTGATACAAATAAATGAACACTTATAAATAAATAGGAAAAAAGAAAACATGTTTTTCTTATAGAAGAATTTCAAATATATGTAGATTCCCTTTCCTCTACAAGGTGGAGCGTTTCAATGGGTTGGACTTAGTGCCTCATTTCTGGAGAATAAAGGATACATAGGGAAATAGTAATTTTCTATAGAAGCCTGTCAGACGTTACTTTAACCAAATGATCAAAGTTAAAGTCATCAGTAATGTCATATTTATATCATGCACCCCTTGATATCATGTGTTATGAGGGCTTCTCACTTCGGTGGTAATCTTCTCTGATACAGGTAACTCTAGTCTAATCAGGAGAAAAGCATCAGAAAAATCCAAATTAAGAGCATTTTACAGAATATCTGACCAGTACTTGTCAAAACGTATGTTCATGAAAAATAAGAAAAGACTGAGAAGCTGGCACAGAACAATGAAGACTAACAGACATCATAACTGAATGCAAGGTGGTGTCCCAAATTGGAGGGTGATTTCTATTGATTCACGTCCTGTCTGCTAAAATAATAATAATAGCCAACATTAATCATGTGCCATCCATGCTTAAATACTTTACATGTTCTAGTTCATTTAATATTCACAACAATCCAATACATCCCATTTACAAATGAGGAAACTAGGCAAAATTTATGATACTAATAAACAGCAAATTTGGAATTTTTACTAGGGCTATTTGATGGGAGAGTAGGTGCTCTTTATCATGCGTCTTTACTGCCTCACTCAGAAACGAAGGACCTTTGTCCAGATGCTGCGGGAGTGTGGCTCACTCCCAATACAGCCATGTTTCCTCTGTCTTCTGCTAAAGACACTTCCAGCTACAGTTTTTTACCTGTAATTATTTTTCTTATAACTTTATTGATAACTCACATACTGTGACAGTCTCCATTTTTTAAAGTTTATGATTATGTAGTTTTTAGCATATTAACAGAGTGGTGCAAATATCACCACTATTTAATTTTAAAATGTTTTAATTGCTCTTAGGAAAGACCCCACTGCATTCATAACCTTTCTGTATTCCTCTGAGCCCCTGGCACCCACTAACATACTTTTTCTCTATGGATTCTCCTATACTGGACATTTCATGTAAATGGAATCAAAATATATGGTCCTTTTGTGACTGGCCTTTTCACTTAGTACAAGATTGTCAAGCTCTTTTTATGTGGGATTAGTATTTCCTCTTTTTAATGTTTTATTTTATTCTTAATTAACACTTAAAAAATATACATATTTATTGACTACAAGATGATTTTTGATACATGACCACATCAGAATAATAAGCAAATCCATCACCTCAAACATTCATCATTATTTGCGGCAGGAACATTTAAAATCTTCTCTTCTAGACATCTGAATGTATATACAATTCAATATTGTTCATTCATTTATCAGTTGATAGACATTTGAATTGTTTGTACTTTTTGGCTTTCATGAATAAGGCTGCTATGTGCATTCATGACAAGTTTTATATGAAAATATGTTTTCATTTGTCTTGATATATAATTAGAAATTAAGTCATTGACTCATGTAGAGCATTCTCTATTTTCAACAATTTCATAAACTGACATGGCTTTTCCAAAGTGGTTAACAATTTTATAATTTTGTCATCAGTATATGAGGGTTTTAATTTACCCAGATTATTTATTTAGAAGTATGTGTGCTGTTTGATTTTCCATTTCTGTGTATCTGTATACTTCTTAAACACCTTTCTGTTATTATGTCTAACTTTGTATCATTTTGATGAGAATACACTTCATATGATTTCAATCCTTTTATATTTATTCCAGCTTCTATGTGGTTTAACCAGTGTCTTATGTCAACCTTTCTGAATTGTACCTGTGAACAACACCTTAACTGAATGTACATGTACTAGATCACTTAATATTCCGGTCCCATAAAGAGAAGACAGAAAATGCCGCAGTACTTCAATCTCTGTCCTTCAGCATCCTGAAGTGTATATTTATATTAATACTATAAAATTTGAAATCCCATGATATATTCATGTTACTGCCACCATGAAATTTTTCAAAAGGTGTTAGCTCTTTTCATTCCCCTTTAGAATAGCTTGTATATTAAATTCTTTAAAAACTTTGGAAAATAATGTAACATAATAACAATAAAGCTTTGGAGGTGCTCCTACAACTACTAAAAAGATAGAAGAGAAATATTGTGAGGAAGAGCAAAAGAAAGAAAACAAATTGAGAGAATAGAGTCAGAAACTACTTTGTCATATACTTTGAAACTTAAGAAGGTTCATGTTGCCCATAAAATACAGACAAGTTAAGGAAGTAGAGAACCAATAATAAGTTATTATGTGAAAGCATCTGACAAACCATGGACTTGGAAGTGTATTTTGTCGAAATTAAAATTATATTTAATATTTAAAAATTTGTTCAACTTTAATTGAAGAGAGAGCTAGCTAATGAGAAAATGAGAGAGCTACTTAAAAAAAAGTACTTTTGACCTAAGGAAGTTTCATATATAAATATAGGAATAAAACATTTTTAACAATTCAACATTAGTTTATGAGTGTCCACCATTTACTATCATTGATCTTGAGAATAAAAAAATTGACAACATACACCTTGCCCTAGAATGACTTACGGTACATATCGATACACTAATAATTATTTTTTAAAGTATGGTGTGTGCTATTATAGATATTTTTGAAAGATTTTTGTGTGTTCAGTGAAGATATAATTTATCAGCCATACCCAGATGTAACAACAATTATAAACTAAGAAAGGCCAAGTAAATCTGGGAATATTAAGTGACCTAGTTTTGGAGATTGCCAAAATAATCATAATCATGGACTTAGACAAAGTTAAGCAAAGACAAACATATTAAGAAATACAAGTGTATAAATGGCCACAGTACCACTATGCAGAAGAAATATGTTGATTACAATAGGGATAATGGCGCATTATCTGCTTATACTACAGAATATTTTGCAGAATATTTTTTATTTCTGAAAAAAAGTACTTAAAACATATTTAGTGAGATTTTTCATTTGTTTCCCATGAAACTTTTAAAATTACTATTTAAGTTGGTGAATTAGGGATATCAGAGAGCTCACATTTCTTTGGGTCATATTGCTTTAAAACATACATCAAAAGAATATACTACAGGCCTCTTTACCACTTATAATTATGCCGAATTTATGCAGATTGCCTGAGGCATATCCCACAGAATTTATTTAAACTATATTGTAAAAATAACATATTTATTAAAACTAGATTGTAAAAATAAAATAAATTAAAATTGAATATTTATTAAATCTAGATTGTAAAAATAAAATAGTTGGGTGTTACTAATGATATTTATCTTGGTAGGAATTTGAAGAAATATTAACAAAGTCAATTTTTTAAATATGGTCAAAAACAAATGGATCTCTGGCATGTTGTTACAATGTAATGATAAAATATAATGATTTATTATTTATTATTTTCTAATTTTAACTACAATATTTATTTTTATCATGTTTATTATATAAAATATAGGCATCATGGATAATAATATATAATTTGCCTATGAAAACAGATCTTTCATGTTTCTCTTGAGAAACCAGTGGAAGCCAGTGGGAAGGAGTTTAGAAGCTCTTGGAAAGTCCCCTTAACTTTGAGCTCCCAGTGGTTTAATACTCTTACACTAACTCATATATGGCCTTTAATATTTATCTAGTTTTAGTAAACTTATTCTTACACACTTGTATAGCAGTCTCTCCTTTCTCCTGCACTCTGCCACAGGTGAAATAGTTTACATACTCCACATCTCAAAAAGATGCTTCACTTCCCTGTTCCCAGAATTTAGGCCACTTGGTTGCCTTAAAACTTCATCTTACTGATGAGTTCCAGGAAAGCTATGATTTTGTACCTTCTTTTTTTAAAGAAAAATGACTCTGAATGAATTTTTTTTATTATCCTTTAAGTTCTGGGATAATGTGCAGAACGTGCAGGTTTGTTACATGGGTGTACATGTGCCATGGTGGCTTGCTGCACCCATCAACTTGTCATCTACATTAGGTATTTCTCCTAAAGCTATCGCTCCCCTAGTCCCCCACCCTCCGACAGGCCCCAGTGTGTGATGTTCCCCTCCCTGTGTCCATGTGTTCTCATTGTTCAACTCCCATCTATGAGTGAGAACATGCAGTGTTTGGTTTTCTCTTCCTGTGTTAGTTTGCTGAGAATGATGGTTTCCAGCTTCTTCTATGTCCCTGCAAAGGACATGAACTCATCCTTTTTTATGGCTGCATAGTATTCCATGGTGTACGTGTGCCACATTTTCTTTATCCAGTCTATCACTGATGGGCATTTCGGTTAGTTCCAAGTCTTTGCTATTGTGAACAGTGCTGCAGTAAACATATGCGTGCATGTGTCTTTACAGTACAATGATATATAATCCTTTGGGTATACACCCAGTAATGGGATTGCTGGGTCAAATGATATTTCTGGTTCTAGATCCTTGAGGAATCGCCACACTGTCTTCCACAATGGTTGAACTAATTTATACTCCCACCAACAGTGTAAAAGCATTCCCATTTCTCCACATCCTCTCCAGCATGTTGTTTCCTGACTTTTTAATGATCGCCATTCTAACTGGCGTGAGATAGTATCTCATTGTGGTTTTGATTTGCATTTCTCTAATGACGAGTGGAAATGGGCTTTTTTTCATATGTTTTTTGGCTGCATAAATGTCTTCTGTTGAGAACTGTCTATTCATATACTTTTCCCACTTTTTGATGGGGTTGTTTAATTTTTTCTCGTAAATTTATGTTCTTTGTAGATTCTGGATATTGGCCCTTTGTCAGATGCATAGATTGCAACACTTTTCTCCCATTCTGTAGGTAGCCTGTTCACTTTCATGATAGTTTCTTTTGCTGTGCTGAAGCTCTTTAGTTTAATTAGATCTCATTTTTCAATTTTGGCTTTTGTTACCATTGCTTTCGGTGTTTTAATCATGAAGTCTTTGCCCATGCCAATGTCCTGAATGGTATTGCCTCGGTTTTCTTCTAGGGTTTTTATGGTTTTAGGTCTTATGTTTAAGTCTTTAATCCATCTTGAGTTAATTTTTGTATAAGGTGTAAGGAAGGGGTCCAGTTTCAGTTTTGTGCATATGGCTAGCCAGTTTTCCCAACACCATTTATTAAGTAGGGAATCTTTTCCCCATTGCTTGTTGTTGTCAGGTTTGTAGAAGATCAGGTGGTTGTAGATGTGCAGCATTATTTCTGATGCCTCTGTTCTGCTCCATTGGTCTATGTATCTGTTTTAGTGCTAGTACCATGCTGTTTTTGTTACTGTAGCCTTGTAGTATAGTTTGAAATCAGGTAGCATGATGCCTTCAGCTTTGTTCTTTTTGCTTACAATTGTCTTGGCTATGCAGGCTCTTTTTTGGTTCCATATGAAATTTTAAAGTAGTTTATTCTAATTCTGTGAAGATAGTCAATGGTAGTTTGATGGGGATAGCATTGAATCTACAAATTACTTTGGGCAGTATGGCCATTTTCACAATACTGATTCCTCCTATCCATGAGCATGTAATGTTTTTCCATTTATTTGTGTCCTCTCTTATTTCCTTGAGCAGTTGTTTGTAGTTCTTCTTGAAGAGGCCCATCACATCCCTTGTAAGTTGTGTTCCTAGGTATTTTATTCTCTCTGTAGCATTTTTGAATGGGAATTCACTCATGATTTGGCTCTCCGTTTGTCTATTATTGGTGTATAGGAATGCTTGTGATTTTTGCACATTGATTTTGTATCCTGAGACTTTGCTGAAGTTGCTTATCAGCTTAAGGTGATTTTGGGCTAAGATGATGGGGTTTTCTAAATATACAATCATGTTATCTGCAAACAGGGACAATTTGACTTCCTCTTTTCCTATTTGAATACCCTTTATTTCTTTCTCCTGCCTGATTGCCCTGGCCAGAACTTCCAACACTATGTTGAATAGGAGTGGTGAGAGAGGGCATCCCTGTCTTGTGCCACTTTTCAGAGGGAATGCTTCCAGTTTTTGCCCATTCAGTATGATATTGGCTGTGGGTTTGTCATAAATAGCTCTTATTACTTTGAGATACATTCCATCAATATCTAGCTTATTGAGAGTTTTTAGCATGAAGGGGCACTGAATTTTACTGAAGGTCTTTTCTGCATCTATTGAGAGAATCATGTGGTTTTTGTCTTTGATTCTGCTTATGTGATGGATTACGTTCATTGATTTGCATATGTTGAACCAGCCTTCCATCCCAGGGATGAAGCCGACTTGATCATGGTGGATAATCTTTTTGATGTGCTGCTGGATTCGGTTTGCCAGTATTTTATTGAGGATTTTTGCATCAATGTTCATCAGGGATATTGGCCTAAAATTTTCTTTTTTTGTTGTGTCTGTGCCAGGTTTTGGTATCAGGATGATGCTGGCCTCATAAAATGAGTTATGGAGGAATCCCTCTTTTTCTATTGTTTGGAATAATTTTAATAGGAATGGTATCATCTCCTCTTTGTACCTCTGGTAAAATTTGGCTGTGAATCCATCTGGTCCTGGGCTTTTTTTGGTGGGTAGGCTGTTAATTAATGCCTCAATTTCAGAACTTGCTATTGGTCTATTCAGGGATTCGACTTCTTCCCGGTTTAGTCTTGGGAGAGTGTATGTGTCCAGGAATTTATCCATTTCTTCTAGATTTTCTAGTTTATTTGCGTAGAGGCATTTATAGTATTCTCTGATGGTAGTTTGTATTTCTGTGGGATCGGTGGTGATATTCCATTTACCATTTTTATTGTGCTATTTGATTCCTCTCTCCTTTATTAGTCTGATTAGTAGTCTATTTTTTAAATCTTTTCAAAAAAAAAAAAACAGTTCCTGGATTCACTGATTTTTTTTGAAGTGTTTTTCATGTCTCTATCCCCTTCAGTTCTGCTATGTTCTTAGTTATTTCTTGTCTTCTGCTAGCTTTTGAATTTGTTTGCTCTTGCTTCTCTGGTTCTTTTAATTGTGATATTAGGGTGTCGATTTTAGATCTTTCCTGTTTTCTCCTGTGGGCATTTAGTGCTATACATTTCCCTCTAAACACTGTTCTAGCTGTGTCCCAGAGATTCTGGTACGTTGTGTCTTTGTTCTCATTGGTTTCAAAGAACTTATTTATTTCTGCCTTAATTTCATTATTTACCCAGTAGTCATTCAGGAGCAGGTTGTTCAGTTTCCATGCAGTTGTGCGGTTTTTAGTGAGTTTCTTAATCCTGTGTTCTGATTTGATTGCACTGTGGTCTGAGAGAATGTTTTTTATGATTTTCATTCTTTTTCATTTGCTGACTTTTTTTTTTTCTTGTTAGAAGGGAGAGGTACTCTTTCCAACTTTCTTCATCCTAGGCAGAAGTGAAACATTGTGATCCTTCAGAATATTACAGTTGAGGACCTCTGCTGTAAACAACTAGAAAGAAAGCTTTGGAATTTGTAGAAGTTTAAAATGTACTTTAAGTATTATAGCAGAGCCTTCATTCATGAGGCATACCTACGAGCTATGTACTTCTGAAAAATGTTGGAGATTGTCAAAATAATCACAGACTTTCTATAAAATAACCTATTTACCTGATGCACATCCCTGCTCAAGCCCCCCCCCCACCCACTGCAGAGTATACTCTTAAACTAAGGATAATCTCCAAACTACACATAACATTGTCTATGAAGCCCTCAGTGTCTCACCCTTTGTTCTTTCTTAACTCATCTATCGCTTTTCTTTCCTGACTGAGACATACTTTCTACTTGTTCTTTAATCACAACTCAAGGAAATTGTATTATTAGTTTCCTGGATTTCTCACTGTCCATTCTCCCATGCTTCAGAGATGACTATACTACACATAAGTTAAATTATCAAAAATGAAACCAAAAAAAGCACATTTTTAGTCTCTATATGATTATATTCATACACTGCTTTCATTTTTATTCATAGTTCCTGTATCTAAAATATTATTTGTTTATTTTCATGGGTTACGTAAAATTTATTTTATTTTGTTATTGATACATAATAGGTTTACGTATTTTGGTAGTACATGTGATAATTTAATACATCTATATAGTTTGTAAAGATCAAATTAGTGTAATTGGTATCCATTATCTTAAATATTTGTTTTTTCTGTATGAGAAACTTTCAAATTATTCTTTTCCAGCTATTTTGAAATATGTGAGAGACTATTGTAAATTACAGTCCCAGCATAGAAAGGGCATTTTCAGTCACATAGTAGTCACTTAATATATTCATTGAATGTATAAATATGAATATATAAATGAAAAAGAAATGAAGGATCAGCGATACTATCACAAGTTCAACAATAAACTGAAATTTTCTATTCTTGCTCTAGATTGTGTGATATTCATCAGTAGATATTCTGGTGAAACCTTTGGAAAGTTCTCTAAATGGTACAGGATATCTCTTTGACATTGTGTTACTCAGGGTTCTCCAGAGGGACAGAACTAATAGGATATATCTACACATGGAAGGAAGTTTGCTGGGAGAATTGGCTCACATGATTACAAGGCAAAGTCCCACCATAGGCCATCTACAAGCTGGGGAAGACAGAAGCAGGTAGTGGCTCAGTCCTAGTCAGAAAGGTTCAAAACCAGGGGAGACTACAGTGCAGGTTTCAGTCTGTGGCCAAAGGCCCAAGAGCCCCACCTCTCCAGAGTACGCTAGTGGTGCAAGTCCCTGAGTACAAATGCTGAAGAAACCGGAGTCTGATGTCCAAGGACAGGAGCAGTGGAAGAAAGCATCCAGCCCAGGAAAAAGAAGGAAAAAAGAAGACTTGCCAAGCAAGATTATTCCATCTTCCTCTGCCTGCTTTGTTCTAGTCATGCTGGGAACAGATTGGATAGTGCCCACCCACGTTGAGGGTGGATCTTCCTCTCCCAGTCCACTGACTCAAATGTCACTCTCCTCTGGCAACAACCTCACAAACATACCCGGAAACAATGCTTTACCAGCCATCTAGTCATCCTTCAATCCAATCAAGTTTATACTTGATTGGCACTTGATAATATTAGTAATCACAGATATTGTCAAGTTTTTTTTTATTTTACAGGTAATGAACGAAAGAAAACAGGATACTACTATAAAGACATATGCACACATATGTTTACTGCAGCACTATTCACATGAGCAAAGACTTGTAACCAACCCAAACGCCCATCAATGATAGATTGGATAAAAAAAATGTGGCACATATACACCATGGAATAGTATGCATTCATAAAAAAGAATGAGTTCATGTCCTTTGCAGGGACATAAATGAAGCTGGAAAACATCATTCTCCTCAAACTAACACAAGAAGAGAAAACCAAACACTGCATGTTCTCACTCATTGGGGGCCAGGGGAGGGAGAGCATTAGGACAAATACCTAATGCATGTAGGGCGTAATACCTAAATGACAGGTTGATGGGTGCAGCAAACCACCATGGCACATGTATACCTATGTAACAAACCTGCACATTCTGCACATATATCCAGAACTTAAAGTACAATAAAAAATAAAATTAAAAAAAAAAGAAAGAAAACAGGATATAAAAATGACCTCTCAGAAAAGTACATCAAGATTACGTGTTTTTACTAACAGGTATTTGTAACAAATAAGAGTGAGGATAGTCTGTCTAAAGTTCTTCCTTACAAAGTTATGTTTGCTTGAGAATTGCACTAGATTATGTGTTCATCCACTCATCAACCTACTCATCTATCCATCCATTACTTATCTCTTCAACTTTCTGTTAACCAAGACATCCTAAATGTTCCTCTCAGCTTTACTAAACTTAAGAAAGTTTTATTCGTTACTATAATCTTGACCTCTCTTTTCTTAGAGCATTTACTTTAGAAAACTTGTAAAAATTATCTATCTTCCCCTTTGAGATATAATCTTCTCCTAGCCTCTTCCCAGTATTGCAACTCAGAAAAGACTTTCTCCAGGACCTGTGAGCCATTCTTTTGAGATGTAATCACCCTGAAAGTCAGGAGCCATATTGCCAGTCTCTATGAGAGAGTAGGAACCTAACATAGATTAGTGCTAATTAGCAAATACAGATGGTCTAATCACATTGACTTACCTCTCCATAGCATTTTTCAGTACATTTCCAATACCTCACCCAGCACCTGCCTTTTGTTTCAGGGAAGATGACTTCCATCTCTCTCCACTATTATAACAGTGTTAAAGTCTTCTTTATCTATCTGGTGTATTTTTTTCTTTGACGTTGTCCAGCTGTCTCCCAACAAAGACTGCCTGGGGTTAAACCAGATGCTAAAATTTATGTGATATTGTAAAATATTTTAATCTCTCTTTGCTAAATTTACTCACCTTTAAAAGAAAAGAAAAATAATTCATCTGCTTCAAAGATGTGTTAAAAGTTAATGTAATAATGTAATGCACTTAAAGCAAAAATTAGAATGAGATAAATCTTCACTATTATTTCTGAAACTTTCCATCCAAGTCTCAGTTAAGGAAAAATAAAAAGTTTTATTCAGATGTTAGCACCACCCTTCATTTTTCTCAACTTAAATAATAAAAAAGTATAATGACTTCCTAACTACATTATTAGCCTCAAACCCCCAAAGGTTAGTCATCTTGTCATATTTAAAGAGATTCAGACAATCCTAATTTACTCCCACCTTCTTTCCAAGTATTCTAAGTCCCAGACAATTGGATTTTAGATGTATTGGGACATAATTCTGTGCAGATTATATTTAGTATATCTAGTATATGGGAAATACAGAGAAAAATACAATTTTAACCATCTCTAGACTTCTTAGTTCCTTAGGGCTCTTTTTCTTTGTGTTTAAAATAGAAATTCTGGAGTTAGAGATTCTCTATCTTTTTCAGATCTGAAACCATGTCTTTCTCAAAATCTGGGAATGTAGACAAACCCCGAAAGGACACAATAAGAGATGAATAAGGGTAAGAAAATCCCTTTGTCTTCCTGGGAAGTAGCAAATGCTTTGAGGTGATCACAGCACAAAGAGATCAAAATGGAGTCTGTTTCTGAAGCTAAGTTATTCTATAGTTATGAAATATACAGATACTAACAGCAATGTGTTTCTTGTGTTTATAATACATGTGGAATTATACTTCTATTATATTTCAGGATCATGGTATGGATATCAAGAGAGAAATAGCACTTTTTATAATCTTTTCCTCATGATTTCTTTCTTAGTAAAAGTAATGATGGCACTTACTAGTGAGTATACATTTATTTTTTATATATTTATTTTTGCTTAAATATGCAAATATTTAAATGCAAATATGCAAATTTTGCATATTTAAACAGCACAAATAAATAATCATGGCATATATGATTACTTTATCCTGAAGCAGACCTGATATCCACCCTCAATATTTCTCTGTCGAATTAAACTTTTGGTTTAAATTGTGCAGTTTTCAAATATTTTTTTTTCCTGAAAATCCAACTTAATTTGAGAATCATTCTTGCTTGGTTAGACATTCACACAATAGATAGATTTGGGGGAAGAAAATAATACCTATATTAAAAGCTCTTTCTTTGAATTTACTATATATCCTATCAGAGAATTTCAATCACTCATGAGCAAAACAATTTATATGTAACCATTTTCTTTCTAATAACAGGTAACAAAATATATTTCTTCAACTTTTATGAGATATTTAACACAGAAGGTTTGACTTAGTCTATTTAATGGTGGGGATAGAAAAGTTTCCATTTCTATCATGGAAATTATAGAAAATGTTTTATTTCTAGCAATATAAAAACTACAAAGAGAGTCCTAGGTCATTTGATCATATCTAAAGCTTTCCAGCATTTGTAGAAGTTATTTTTAAAAGGTGTGTCTGGAATCTGCAAGTGACACTGACATTTTCAGATGTTTGTTTGTTTTCCCATTTGAATCCTCAAGGATATGGAGTAGCCTGCTGGGCAATTGGTTAGTCAAGTGTTATTGTTGGCTTCTGTTTCATTGTTTCATTGGGGGATTTTTGCTCTAATCAAAATAAATAGGCTGTTTCATACCAAAAGTGATCGTATTGACAGATCCTAAAAATGTTAAATGCGCAACCTATCCCAGAAATGTTTTCTAATTTAAAATCATTACAGTGCTGGAACCTTGACATGAAGTTATTTGTAATAATTTCTTATTTAGTTAGTGTAAGTTAACCCAGGTATTCTTTGATTTTTGCTTTACTTAAAATTATTCACACTGTAGTTACATTTATGCTTACAACTTTGACAAAAACTGTAGCACAAATGAAAATTACTTTCTGTTTTATTATTTTATTTGACAATTGCTAAATTGGTACTTAGGTATTTTAGTATTTAACAGTTAAGAGTTTTTAAATAATTTCTATAATTTATCACATTTATTATATGTTATTTTTCTAGGCATGTAAGTATTCTTAGTGCCTGGTTTCTTATATAATTCAAACTCAACCCCCACCCAAGTAAAACTATTTACTTAGTAAAGGCTTTTACGCTTGAGCCAGAGAGGCAGAGGTTGCAGTGAGCTGAGATCGTGCCACTACACTCCAGCCTGGGTGACAGAGGCTGACCGTCTCAAAAAAAAAAAAGATTTTTATGTATTATTTTACATTTTGACTGTTTACAATTTTTCCGTAAGTATTCTTATTTTTATTTTTCTTATGGTATTTGGAGGGCAACTGTAGCTGTAAGTATAGACGTTATCTAAAATATGAGCTATATTTTATTTTCTAGGAAACATGGATATTTTTCCTGTCATTGAAAAAATAGTCCAGTAAGAGACTAGGAGTGCCGAGTCCAGGAAGAAACCATCTGGGTTTGAACCACAGCATTATCTCTAACTGTGATTTTTAACATGTTGTAAAACCTTTTGTGCTTCAGTTCCCTCATCTGCAAAGTGTGGACAATGATAAAATCTATTTCATGAGGTTGATGCAAGATAAGGATTTAATAAATAAAGGTAAGCATACTAAGAATAGTGCCTGGCTACATAAAAAAGACTAATATGCATCACTTTTTATTATCTTATATTGTTCAGTTGGACTTTTTCTTATAGAGTTAGCTTTCTTCCCCTTCAATTGAAAGAAAAGCTCACACACACAAAATGAAAGACACAGAGAGAAAGAGAAAAAAAGAAAGAATTGTGAAGGAGCTGGTTTAAAAGCATATAGACTTATAAAGCCACAACAAATAAATTATAATCAATTTAAAGTCATTTTCTTTGAATTGTTTTAGCAACTAAGATATAGACTGAAACTTCATATGAAAAGTAAAGGTTCATATTATGTTTTTCTTAATTAAGCAGGCTTAATTTTTAAAATCTAATTTTAAATGCCTTTTAGATTAGTTTGTTTTACACTTGCCTCTTAGTAACTAAGAAAAAACTCCATTTTCCTATCAGTGATGTGAATCTATATTGCTACATTCATGCCTGAAGCTGAAGCTAAAAAGTCCTTTTCTGATTTATTCTTAGAGCTTCCATCTCTCTGCTATACCCATTTATTCTTGTATGTTGTCTATTTTTTGCATTAGATCCCTTTGCATATTAATCATAGTTATTTCAAATTTCTGATACAATTCCCAAAATATCTGCCATATCTCAATTTGTTTCTGAGACTCAGTTTATCTCTTCAGACTGTTTTTTACCTTTTAACCTGATTTATGCATTTTATTGAAATCTGAACATGTTGTATTGGATAAAAAGAAAGAAGAACTAATGCAGATAGGATTTAGTGTGAGGTTTATATGTTTCTGGCCAGGAGTTAGGCTGTGTTTATTGTTTGCTGTAGTTGTAGTGTCAGAGACTAAAGTTTTTATAGTGTTCTTGTTTTTGTTCCCCCTCTTATTTGTGGACATTCCTAGAGAGTTTTTAAGTAGAGTCTGAGGCTCAGAGTTGTTTTAGCTGTAATATCAATATCTTGTCATTATACAGCAGCCCTACTGATGTGCAAAGTTTTGGGGTGAGAGAAAATGATATATTGTCTTACGATTAGTTGTTTGTCATATAGTGAGCCTCAGTAATGTATATATATATATATATTTCCCTCATGGCAAAGTATAGTAGGGGTTGGAGTTAGGTATTTCCTCCCATGTGGTTTATCCTTTGGTAAAACCTCAGTCAGTTAGGTTCTGGTAAAATACTTTTCCCTGAGGGCAGGCTTTGCTAAGGAGAAGGGATCGCTCTGGGCATATTTAAAAATTGTTACTTTTCCCCTTCCCTGCCCAAAGCATGAAATGATTTTTTTTTTAATTTGTACAGTGAGAAACTGATATGGCTCCTGGAGGTAAACTCAAGAAAGTGTGAGGTGACCCCTAAAACTGGGTCCCTTCAGAGTTTTTAACACTCAAGCTTGTCTACATTGAGCCTCAAGCTATTCATCAATTGCAGTTTAAAATATTCTTATTGACAGTAGCTTCAGCTGCAGGGATCTCTGTAGCCAGCTGTCTGTCTCTTCAGTTTGGGACAGCAGTTTTCCCTGTAACCTCAACTCTCTAATGGATCCAAAGAAGAGTTTGTGACTGTCAGTTTGCTTAGCTTTTCTCTTGCTTGCAAATGGGAGAGATGACTTCAAGTTTTTTTTCACGTTGGATCATAGAATGGAAGCCTCCCCAATTATTAAATCTGAATAATGATATTTCCTGTATGACATAATATTTAATTATATCATGAAATAATATTTCCTATAAGATATGATAAATAGAATTTTATTTGCTGTCATTTTACTGATAAAATATTATCAATGATACAAATTAAATTTTCTGTAAGATATAATTTTATTTATGTAATAAGTTGTCAAACCTTATGAAAAATTTTGAGTTTCTCTAATCACATACTCATTTTATAGGTCAGAAAATGTAAGTGTAGGTCAATCACTACATTCCTGGTGAAACTACACTTGAAACTTAGTTATCTTGCATCCTTACCCAGAATTCTTTTTTCCTAATACATAAATAAAATAAAAGGGATAGAGGTGGAAGCATAAGAAATGTCTGAAAACCTCATGTCTCTTCTTACAGCTCTGATGTCCGAATAAGAGAGTATTAGAAGACACACAGAGCGACTCTGAATTCAGAGAAACTATCCAGGGAAAAGGTAAAATTAATTGGTTGTGGTCAGTGAAATCAGAAAAATGGTAGGAGTGCAGAGCTTTCAATGGGGTCAATTTATTCACTTTGTCTATATACAGGATGGACAGAAAAAGGACAGAGGTGAAAAATGTCAAGAACTTAGTATACGTATATGTCACTTAATGAACTGACTCATATTTGAGCACTCTGAAAAATTAAAGGGTAGGATAAACCTGATGAACAGGAAAGAAGTATTGCTTTGTGTAAAAGGTAACAATAGCTTATTAAAGTTAAGAAAAGATAGAAAAATGTGCGCTTTGAGTTTGAATAACCTGGTTCTGACATTCTTAAGAGGAAAGGTTGCTTCATGTGACTTTACATTTTTATTATGCATTTTATCTTAGGGAGTACAGCACATCTAATTAATGTACCATGATAAATGGAGTTTCTATATCATTAGAACCCACTTATAAAGAATGAAAGGGGACCTTCATGTGCAAACACAGAAAAGTTAATCCCTAGCTATCAAAGGTTCAGCTCCTACAAAGTCATTTCACTTTGCTCATACATTTAATAGGAATCATTTATATAATATTCAGGCAATGGGAGAGAAACGGCAAAAAAAGTTTTAATTGAGTTATTCAACTATCAATTCTGGCTTGTCAGATTGTAAGAAGAGAAATTGAGATAGAAATCCCGAGAGAGGATTTCTTACTTAAAAAAAAGCCTGGAAAAACCCAAGTGGATCTTTCCACTGTTCTGTGATGGAGAGGAAACTTGACAATTATAATTTTTAGAAGAAGGAAACATGCAATGGTGTTCTATTATGATTCTGAGAACTGGCTTCTTTAGCCACTAATCTATGGAGCATGTTTAAAATGCTTACTTTAACAATGACCTTTTAAAAATATATTTGGTGGCTGGGCATGGTGGCTTAGGCCTGTAATCCCAGCACTTTGGGAAGCCAAGGTGGGTGGATCACCTGACATCAAGAGCTCGAGACCAGCCTGGCCAACATAGCAAAACCCTAGCTCTACTAAAAATACAAAAATTAGCCAGGGGTGGTTGTGGGCGCCTGTAATCCCAGCTACTCTGGAGCTGAGGCAGGAAGAATTGCTTGAACTGAGATCACACCACTGCACTCCAGCCTGGGCGATAGAGTGAGACTCCATTTCAAAATTTAAAAAAAGACAAAAAGAATATATATACATCTATAATTACATAAAAAGCTACTATATATATAATATAGATATCTGGTATAAAGTAAAATAGAACAAAGGCAAACTGAGAGGCACATTTGTGAGTTCTACCTTATAAGTATTCTTTATTAGTCACTATATGATAAATATTTTCAAAAAATTGTGATAGAGAAACTTTAGGATGTTTTATTTTCATCAAGAGAAGTCAGTTAAAATGGCTAATTGAATTCTCCATGGATAAGAGAAATAAAAAGTCTTCTGCTTCCATGCCTGAGCAAGTTTACAAGTTAGAACTTTATTACCTAAAAAGACGCTTCACATAAAACATGCCAGCCATATTAACTAATATTCTAGTCTGTATGCTACACTGCTCATATCTTTCTCCATTATTACTTCTTATTCTGGGAAAATTTTCTTTTTTTTTTTTTTAACATTTTTACTGAATTTAAAGGCCAAAAACACAAAAGAATTTCCTATTGCATTTGCAGAAAAGATGATGAAATAGAGAATTCTCTATCGTACAAACTGGAATAAAGAGCAAATGTGAAAAGTCACATGAGATTTTTATATATCTTGTAGAACCAATTTGTTAACAGATATTTACAAGCTAAATCCATAACATAGAAGAAAATGGTAAGTTATAAAAATACTATTTCAAGATAGAAAAAGTAAGGTATTTTATCCTTGTATTTACAGATTTTTAGGAGTTTGCATCATATGTTAAAAGTAGGATATTACTGATGAAGATTGAGTAGATATTATTGCAGAGGATTTCCTGCTCTAAGTCATTACTTTAAGTCACCATTTCTCCTTGTAGTGGAAAATGCTAAAGAACAAAGGATCGTAATATTGGGAGTCAAGATAGTTCTGTAACTCAGCTTCTAAAATAAAATTATATGACCCCATAGATTAAAAATGCATGTTACTAAATGAAATTTCTGCTCCTGCTTCACCAGTTTTTTAAAATAACGTATACCTTGCATACACACATACAAATTAAATGTGTTAATTTTTCTAATGTCTTCATATACCCTGTAAAAATCTGTGTGTGACTCATCACTAAAATCATATATATGTAAGTCATTATGCTACTGATTCTGTCCTGGGCCGCATATTCCTTCCAAGGTGACCACAGAAGTCTGTTAATCTCAACTCAATCTTGTAGGTTCATGTGCTATCATTTACACTAAACAGTGCCCTGAAACAACTTCTTATTGCCCAATTTACTAAAAAATTAGTAGTTATTTAAATTATTCTTTAACTAATTAAGCATTAATTTGGAGTGATGACTTTGTGCCAGATACCATCTCAGACATCCAGGATATAAAAACAAACTCTATTTATTGGTAAATGTTGAACGGAAACCTCACTTTCCATCCTGGAATTACCCTGCTTTTTACTCTAAAGGGTAGAAGGTTTGGAATCTGAGGTCAAATCAGGAGAAAATAGTGACTTGAAAGACAACTAGTTCTGTATCTATTTATTTAACATTTTGGATTTGTCTTACTGCCACTTAAGTTTCTTGAAAATAGGACCATGCTTTATTATTCTAGTGCCATGCATAGAACACCCTGCATTTGACAAATGTTGCTGAAAAAATGCATTAAAGAGAGAACGAATGGATGAAACTGTCATAGCATTCTCTTAAGCAAAACCTGAGAAGAAATTATTGAGGGAATCCTAAATCGGCAAAATAGAAATTTAGTTGCATTCAGATTTTCAGTATTAAAGATAAACACCATAAAGGCCTATATCCACTGAAACTTGTATGCATTGTCTAATATATACAATTAAAATTTTATATCTCTAATTCTAATATCTAATAATTATATGAATTAAGATTAGATGTTAGATTATTAGGTAACTAATATCTGAGATATTAGATTTCAAGATATACAAAAGATATTCACTAAATATAAGTTTCATAAACGGGATAAATTTCTCTATTGGCCCTTATTGTAACTTCTAGCTTTCAGCAATACCTGGAACAGGTGGAGCCTAATAAATATTTGTTGAGTGAAAGGATAGATGAATGAATAATATTCTACAATAAGTATTCATTGTCTTTCTGATCTTAGGGGAATCAATAGCTCTCAATAAATGTATAAAATTCCTGTAGCTACTTACCCTGAAGAGTAATGTCTACAGACGCTTATATAAAAGTCAATACCTGTCATTCAGAGCATTTGTGATATTTAATTTGGGTTCATATTTAAATCTGTTTATTATATATTCAGATGTCATAATTTACATGTCATGTATTTCCAAATTGGTAATTATACTTCACTTGTTGTATTTTATAGTTACACAAGTGAATAATTGCTGATTTAATTGAGAAGAATCTTAGAATTATTCTATAATGAATAGTTTATATTTTAAAAACTTAATCCTCTAATATAACTCTATAAGTGCTGAAAGTCATTGACACATTTTTAAATGTTGAGCAGACTGAATTTTATATTTATGTGTATAGATTAATTCATAATTAATAAATTTATTTGAAATCGTAAGTGAGGGATCACCACAGTTTCAAAATTCAAATTGGAGTTATAAATGTGAAGCAGAAGAAGCAGAAGGAGGAAGAGGAGAAAGAAGAAGAGGAACGAGTAAGAGGAAGAGGAGAAAAAGTGGAAAAAAATGAAGAAAAGCAATAGCAACAATAACAAATTGATAGCCTAAAGTTTGAGCATATGAGAACTGGTAATAGTGTATTGCATTTGCTGATGACATTAAGATTTTCCAGTTATAATTTCTACGTGTTTATTTTCATTGGCTGACACTTATTAAAGACAAGCTTTTTACAAGACTTACCTTATAAATACACATTTTCTAAATGCATGATATACGTTATTCACCTGGCAAAGTAGAGTTTTCATGGAAAATGAGGAGAGTTAAAATAAATGCCACAATACAATATACACTAACAGTATAATTGATAATATTTTATAAGGGGAATTTTTCCATATTTTATGTTAGTGCCTTTTCTATTTCTTAAAAGATAGAGACAAAATGACTATTTGGGGGCTTTACTATAATGTTGTTTACTGCGCATCCATGGTGGGTTCAAATGCTACAAAGTTGAAAACAATAAACAATCATTAAATGTTTTATAAGGGTCATGAACTGGCCTAGCTGCCAGCTTGACTCTCTCCTTGAGTTTTGATCTACCCGAAGCTTGTACCATTCCATTTTGGTTCTAAGCTTTAAATATCAAGGATTAATCATATTGAATATATCGCACATCTATATACAGTCTATCTTCTTGGTTGCTTATACTGGAGTCTATTTTTATGTGACTACATAAATAGTAAGCCTATTTATTCACAAAATTATATTCCATGGTACGTTTAGAATTAATGAATGAACACTTGAAAATTGCAATTTTGAAAAGCAATATAAATTACTTTATGATAACATTACATTTTGGCATTTTAAATATCTGTGTCATAAGGTTCTTAAATTTAGTGGTATTTTATTTTGAATCATCATGAGGCTTGGCATTTAGATTGCCACCTATTCAAAACATCTTCTCAATTTTTTATTCATTATTCTTTTGCCTTTGGAAGCATGAATTTGGTGAAAAAAAATCATTGCTTAGAATCCCTGATGAATACATTATAGAACAAAAGTGAAATATGATAACATATAATGGCAGCATTCAATAGTTTTCCTAGACTATATTGTATTACAGGAAAAGATAGTAGAGTTCCCATATGCATACCCAGTTCCCCCTAATATTAACATCTTAAATTAATATATTATATATGTCACAATGAACCAATATTAATGTATTATTATTATTTTATTATAAGCAGTAGTTAACTAAAATTAAAGTGTTATTCAGATTTTCTCAGTTTATACCTAATGCCATTAGGTATAATGGCATAGTGTTTCACTATTCCATCCAGGATATAGTATCACATTTATTTGTCGTGTTTCCATAAACTCCTTCTGACATTGATAATTTCCCAGACTTCCTTTGTTATTGAAAACTTTGAGAATTGTAAGAAATAATCATCAGATATTTTGTAGGAAGCCATTATATTGAAATTTGTCTAATGTATTTCTCAATCTTTGACTGAAGTTGATGGGTTTTTTGGAGGAAGATCACAGAAGTAATGTGTAACTTTTATCAGATCATATCAAGGGCACATATTATCAAATGATTTTTTATGGTTTACATTGACCTTGATCATCTGGTTGGGATAGTGTTTATTTTTCAGGTTCCTCAATGATAATGTTGCTCTTACACCTCCACTCTCAACCTCCTTCATACTGCACTCTGGAAACATCATAATGCACAGTCCACACTTCAGAAGTGGAGAGTTATGCACCCTGCTCTTAAGGGTAGAATTGTCTAAATGATTTTAAATTTTTAAGCATGGGAGATTTTTCTTTTATCTGTATTTATTTTTAATCATTTTAATTATGTCAATATGGAATCACAGATATTTATTATTTTGTTTATAATCTAATACAAATTTATTTATGTTGCTTAGGTTGTTCAAGCTTTAGCCATTTGAAGCCCTATCAATTGGTTCCTATGTCTTCTTCATATATGCAGATCATTTTTTAAAGTATTTCCATACTTTCTGGTACTCCAGGCTTATTTTGTATATTTCCTGCCCAAATCTTAGCAGGAGCCATTTCTCCAATAATCCCTAGGTTTTTTTAAATTCCAAAATTGTATTAGAAAGAAAGATCCGGGTATTAGGTATGCCTACTAACTGGATTATCAGGGTGGTCATTGAGACTAGGTGTTCTCACCTGACCACAATAATAAATACATGCATATTTCCCAATGTGTATACAAATACTTATAAGTATTTTATATGTAACTATCTGTATCTATATTAAGATCAAAGAGTTAATTATATAAATACAACAGTATATTTCTAATTTCTTTCTCTCATCTCATTTAACAACACTGTTATTTAATGTATCCATACACTATAATCACTCAATATATTTTTTCTATTATTACCTCAAAAATTACCATTTAGATTCATTAAGAGGAAGAGAAGTCAAAGAATATGTTTGTTTGTTTGTTTTACCTTGGTGTATTTCTTCTCTGACACTCTTCTCTACTGTTTGTAGATACAAGTTTCTGACTTCTGTTATTTTCTTTCTCCCTAAAGAACTTCTTTTAGTATCTCCTGCAGGGCAGGTTTAAATTTAATTTGCCATATAAACAAAGTAAAAAAAAATAAGTAAGACCCTATAATCACCTCAATAAATAAAAGATTTGACAAAATTCAACATCCACAGTAATTGTAAAAAAAAACAAACAAAAAACACACACTCTTAGAAAACCCAAAAATATTACTAAAGCAAGAAACAAGGGAAAGTTTTCAACCTGATATAGGATTTTTACAAGTAACTACAGCTAGCAACATATTTATTCTGAAAGCCTAAAATATTTTTATGTAAGATAAGAAAAAATATATCTCCTTTCTTTACTCTTCTTTAACATTGTACTGAATAGAGGTACTGTACAATGCAATCAGATATTAAAAAGAAATAAAAAGCATCCGGATTGGAAAGCAAGAGTAATACTTCTCATTCACAGAAAACATGATCATCTATACAGAAAATTAATAAAATGAACAAAGAATGACTGATATTAATAAGTAAGTAAATCAAAATTATAGGGACCAAAATAAATACTTAAAAAATTAATTATATTTCTATGTAATAGCAACATATTATGACAAATAAGGTATTTTAAATAATTTACAATAAATTAAAAATAGGAAATTCTCGACTAAATTTGACAAAACTGTGAAAGTCTTTATACTAAAATGCAAAAAAAATTTGCATAAATTTTAAACAACCTAAAAAATAGAGAAGTATGTATTCTTCATGGTTAAGGAGAGGCTATATTTTTATACTGTTAATTTTTGACAATATGCAAAGTGTAATGCAAAAAGAACTTCACCACAGACACGAAAATAAGACTATTTAAAGTCAAAGTGGAAGAGCAAATTCTCAAAACAGCAAGATGAAAGTATCTGGCCACTTAAAAAGAAACCTCTTCAGACTGACAGTGAACTTCTCAGCAGAAATATTACAGGCCAGAAGAGAATGGGATGATATATTCAAATTGCGAAAGAAAAAATATTCCAGCCAAGAATTTTTTATCAAGCAAGATTAACTTTCATAAATGAAGGAGAAATCAAGACTTTACTAGATAAGCAAATGCTAATGAAATTTGTGACCATTAGATGGCCCTACAAGAAATGCTCAAGGAAGGTCTGATCTTATAGGCCAAGTGGGCAAGGTTTACTATTATGAAAATACATGTAAGTGTAAAATTCACTGGTAAACCAATCACAAAAAAGAAAAGGAAAAAAGAAATCAAATTATACCATGACAAAATTCCACCAAACCGCAATGAGAAACAGTCAGAGCAAAAAAAAGAAAAAGAAGAAAAAAAACCAAAGAATTTATAAAACACCAAGAGAAAAAGTGGAAATAGACAACCTAAGGTCACACCTCAAGGAACTAGAAAAACAAAAGCAAACCAAACCCAAACCCATGAGAAAAAAAAATAACCAAGATCAGAGCAAAACTAAATAAAATTGAAAAAAAATACAAAAGATAAATGAAAGAAAAAGCTAATTCTTTGAAAAGATAAATAACATTGATAGACCATTAGCAAGATTAACCAAGAAGAGACAAGATCCAAATGAGCTCATTTAGAAATGAAATGGGAGACATTACAATGCATATCACAGAAATACAAATACCATTCAAGGCTATAATGAACACCTTTATGTGCATAAAAAAATAACCTAGAGGAAATTGATAAATTCCTGGAAATACACAACCCTCCTAGATTAAACCAGGAAGAAATAAAAACTCTGAACAGACCAATAACAAGCAGCAAGATTGAAATGGTAATAAAAATTTTGCCAACAAAAAAAGGTTCAGGACCAGATGGATTCACAGCTGAATTTCATTAGACAACTTCATTCCATTCTAACAGACCAATTAAACAAAGAAGAATTGGTAATATTCCTATTGACATTATTCCCAAAGATAGAGAAAGAGGAAATCTTGCCTACGTCATTCTACGAAGCCAGTATTACCCTAATACCAAAACCAGGAAAGGACATAACAAAAAAAGAAAACTACAGACCAATATCCCTGATGAACACAGATGCAAAAATCCTCAACAAATTACTAGCTAACTAAATTCAACATCATATCAAAAAGTTAATCCATCATGATCAAGTGGTTTTCATATAAGGGATGCAGGAATGGTTTAACATATGCAAGTCAATAAATGTGAAACACCCCATAAACAAAATTAAAAACAAAAATCACATGATCATCTCAACAGACACAGAAAAAGCATTTGACAAAATCCAGCATCTCTATAATTAAAACCCCTAGCAAAATTGGCATAGAAGGGACATAAGTTAAGGTAATATAAGCCATCTATGACAAACGCACAGCCAACATTATATGGAATGGAAAAAGTTGAAAACATTCCCCCTGAGAATTGGAACAAGACATGCATTGCAACTTTCACCACTTCTAGTCAGCATAGTACTTGAAGTCCTAGTCAGAATAATCAGACAAGAGAAAGGAACAAAGGACATCCAAATCAGTAAAGAGGAATTCAACTGTTGCTGTTCACTGCTGATACGATCGTATACCTGGAAAACCCTAAAGACTCATCCAAAAAGCTCCTAGATCTGATAAACAAACTCAGCAAATTTTCAGAATACAAAAATCAATGTACAAAAATTAGTAGCACTGCTATACACCAACAGCGACCAAGCTGAGAATCAAATCAAGAACTCAACCCCCTTTACAATAGCTGCTAAAACAAAAACAAAAAACAAACTAACTAACTAACAAAAACTTAGGAATATACCCAATCAAGGAGGTGAAAGCCCTCTAAGGAAAATTACAAAACACTGCTGAGACAAATCATAGATGACACAAATGGAAACACATCCCATGCTCATGTATGGGTAGAATCAATATCGTAAAAAAGACCATACTGCCAGAACAATCTACAAATTCAATGCAATTTCCATCAAAATACCATCATCATTTTTCACAGAACTAGAAAAAACAATCCTAAAATTTATGTGGTACCAAAAAGACAGCCCACATAGCCAAAGCAGGACTAAGCAAAAAAAACAAATCCTGAAGTATCATATTACCCAACTTCAAACTATACTATAAGGTTATAATCACCCAAACAGCATGTTACCTGTATAAAATTAGGCACATAGACCAATGGAACGGAATAGAGAAGCCAGAAATAAAACAAAATACTTATAGCTGACTGATCTTTGAACAAAGCAAACAAAACAAAAAGGGGGGGAAAGACTCCATTTAACAAATTGTGCTGGGATAATTGGCAAGCCACATGTGGAAGAATGAAACTGGATCCTTGTCTCCCACCTTACACAAAACAACTCAATGGAGCAAAGACTTAAATCTAAGACCTGAAACCATAAAAATTCTGGAAGATAACATAAGAAAAGCCCTTACAGACATTAGCTTAGGCAAAGAATTCATAACCAACAACCGAAAAGCAATGCTAAATAGATGGGACTTAATTAAACTAAAAAGCTTCTGCACAGCAAAAGAAATAATCAGCAGAGTAAGCAGACAACCAACGGAGTGATAGAAAACATTTGCAAACTATGCATTTGACAAAATACTAATATTTAGAATCTAAAAGGAACTCAAACAAGTCAGAAAGAAAAAAATCCCATTAAAAAGTGGACTAAGGACATGAGTAGATAATTCTCAAAAGATATACAAATGTCTAATAAACATATGAAAAAATGCGCAATGTCACTAATCATCATCAAGTAAATGCAAATCAAAACCACAATGCGATACTACCTTACTCCTGCAAGCATAGCCATAATTTAAAAATAATTTCAATTTAAAAAATTTAAAAGTTAAAAAAACTAGAAAGCAATGAACAATATAACAGGAACAAACCTCTCATAACATTATTATCCTTCAGCATACATGGATAATTTGACTTCTTCTTCTCCAATCTGGAAATTATTATTATATCTGCAAAGCACATATCTAATAAAAAGATGCAAAGATGGTAAATAAGCAAATTGAAGATGGTCAATATAATTAGTTGCTAGGGAAATCCAAATGAAAACCTCAATTAGTTCATCTTATCCATCTATGAGATGTTGAAAAAAATTGCCCGTGGCAAGTATTGACAAGGATTATGGTATGAATGTAAAACGGTGCAATCAACTTTGAAAATAGTTTGTCAATTTCTTAGGAATTGTAAACATACCCATAACATATTATCCAAACTTTCCATTTTTAGGTATTTACTCAAGAGAAAAAAGTACATATGGTAAGAGGAAGGCTTGTACATAATTGCTTATAGCAGTTTTATTTGCACATATACCCCATAAGAGGACAAAACTGAAAACCACCATAATCTCTATCAACAGGTGAGTGGAAAAACAAACTGTTGTATACCCATACAATGGAATGAATATCAATACAAAACAATAGACAATTTAAACTACCAAAACATGAATTAATTTTAAAATAATTAGGCTGGATAAAGAAGGCAGACAAAAAAGAATATATGCTGTACAATTCTATGTATACAATAGCCTACAGCATGCAAACTAATCTATAATGATAGAAAATAGACCAATCATTTCTTTGGGGAAGAGGAAAGTTGTGAAATGGCAGAAGATGGAAAAAAAATAACATAAGGATACTTTTAGGGTGAGAGAGATGTTTATTATCTTTTTTATGATAATAGTTTCATGGGTGCTTACATATGCTGATACAGCAAATTGTACATTTTAAATATTTGTAGTTCATCTTGTCTCAAATATAATTCAATAATTAATTCTAAAATATTAAAATATTTAAAAGTAATAAATCTGTTAACATAAAAACTGGATATGGAAACAGGAGCAGCAAAAACTAAATTGAAGGTTATCACTTACTTTAGATCATTATCAATATAAACATGTTGAAAGGAATTAGCATCTGCCACATTATTTGTTTTTTAATTAAATGAATTGATATGAATATAAAATTATAAGCTTGGTTATAGGATTGAAACATGAAACCAAAGACACAGACAAAACTCATGCTAGAAAAGATAATTTAGAATTAAGTGGGCTTAAATTAAATTTACAAACACTGCTATCACTAATCTAACTGAGAAAGAATGGCCCAATAGTCAATGTTCATTAGTAAACTCAAAAAAGTTTTGAGATTAACTAGGGAAAAAGCAGTGCTACTGGAGAAAAAGGCATAGTAAATGGGAAATTAACTGAGAATATTATAACCTATTATACATTCCAAGATTCATTCTGAAGATTAGATATTGATTATTTAAAAAGCATATGTCTTAAAATGGAAGTCTAATACTATGTTTTAAAATAGTTCCAGGCATAAAGTCATATTGTCTTCTTTTCTGTGTGCTGCTATGTTGCCATACCATATATTGGGTACATTATAAAGAAAATAAATTTATTTTTTACAGTTCTGGAGGCTGGAATGTCTAAGATAAAGGTGCTGGCATAATAGGGCTTGGTTTCTCTGCTTCTTTAAATAGTGGCTTAAATCCTGCATCCTCCACCTGACAGAAGAGTAGAAGAAAGCAAACCCACTTACACAAATTATTTTCATAGCTGCATTAATTCATTCACAAGGGCAGAGCTTTTATGACTTAAACACCTCTAATTAGGCCTCTCTTCCCAAAGTTGTTGCATTGGAGATTAAGTTTCTAACACATGAATTTTAAAGGGGACAAAAATATTCACACCATAACTAGTATATTGGTTCATATTTTATTTTAACATAATATTCTGTAGGTTATCTCCTCACTTAGCTAATTGTTTGCTATGCAAAAGCTTTTTTATTTTGATGCCATCCCATTGGTCTATTTTTGTTTTTGTTGCCTGTGATTTCTGGATCATTTTTAAAGTCGTTGCTCAAATAAATGTTGTAGAGTTTTCCCTGTTTCTTCTAGTAGTTTTACAGTTCCATATCTTAAAGTCTTTAATTTAATTTGAGTTTATTTTTGCATATAGTGTAAGATAAGGGTCTAATTCATTCTTCTGCATGGGGATTCTAGCTTTCCCAAAAGCATTTATTGAAGAGACTATTCTTTTCCTCTATGTGTTTCCTGGTTCCTTGTCAAAAATCAGTTGACCATGGAAGTGTGAGTTTATTTTTGAGTTTGCTTATTTGTTCCTTAAGTCAATGTGTCTGTTTCAACACCAGTAAAATGCTGTTTTGATTGCAATCACATAATACTGTTTTAAAATCAGAGAAATAGGTGATACCAACAGCTTTGCTCTTTTGTTCAAGATTGTTTTGGCTGTTCAAAGTATTTTGTGGTTCCACATGAATTTGAATCTTTTTTTTTCTTATTTCTGTGAAAAATGGCATTGGAATTTTGATAGGAATTCACACTGAATCTGTAGATCGCTTTGGATAGTATGGGTATTTTCACAATATTAATTCTTGCAACCCATGGCCATGAGATAAGTTTCCATTTAGGTCTGTCTTTTCCAGTTTCTTCCATCAATATTTTATAGTTTTAAGTATACAAGGGCTTTTTTTTACCTCTTTGATTAAATTTACACCTATGTTTTTTATTTTTTGTTGCTATTGTAAAGAGGATTGTTTTCTTAGTTTCATTTTCAGATAACCTATTATTTCTATATAGAAACACTACTTATTTTTATATGTTGATTTTGCATCATTAAACTTTACTAAATTTATTTATCAGTTTTAACAATATTTTGGTGAATTCGTAGTAAGGAACAAAATATTTGCAAACCATACATCTGATAAGAGGTTAATGTCCAAAATATATAAGGAACTCAAATGACCCAATAGAAAGAACCCATGTATCCTGATTTAAACATGAGCAAAGAACCTAAACAGACATTTTTCTAAAGAAGATAAACAAATGACAAATAGGACATGAAAAAATACTCAGCATCACTAATCATTAAATAAGTGAAAATGAAAATCATAATGAGATATCACCTCACAACAGTTAGAATGGCTTTTATCAAAAAGATGAAAATGTGTTGGAGAGAAAGTGAAGTAAAGGGAACTCTTATGCAGGTGGAAATGTTAAATTAGTACAGCCATTAAGGAAAGATGATATGGTGGCTTCTCAAAAAAAAAAAAAAAACATAAACCAAAAAAAAACAAAAAACAAAAAAAGCCAGAACAACCACATAAGCCAGTAAACTCATGTCTGGTTATCTATCCAAAGGAACTAAAATCTGTATGTTAAAGGAATATCTGCACTCCCATGTTCATTGCAGCACTATTCACAATAACCAAGATGTGAAATCAACCTACGTGTCCATTACAGGTGAATGAATAGAGAAATTGTGGTATATATATACAAAATGGAACATTGTTCAGCCTTTAAGAAGGTGAAATTCTGTCTTTTGCAACAACATGGGTAAATCTGGAGGACATTATGCTAAGGGAAATAAGCCAGTCACAAAAAGACAAATGCTGAATGGCCTCAGTTATGTGTGGAATATTACAGTTAAACTCAAAGAAGTATAGGACAGGACAATGTTTTTCAGAGTCTGTAGGGTGGTGAAGAGAAAGTAAATGGAGAGTTATTCATCAAAGGGTACAAAGTTTCAGATAGATGGAAGAAATAGGTTTGGAGATCTGTTGCACAACAGAGTGACTATAGTCAAAAATATATATTTAAAAATAACTGAAAAAGTTAATTTCAAAATTCTCTCCATAAAAAATGCTAGGTGAGGTGATAAACATGTTAATTAGCTTTGATATAATTATGCTAAATATATATATAATGCATATGTATAAATATATATTTTCCATAATCCCAAATAGCTACACTTTATACATTTAATTATTTTAGAATTTTATTTAAATTAACCTTAGTCGCATATTTTGTGATATCTCATATTATTTGACTTTAATGTGCAAAAGTCCTGCCCCTCTCTGAAATTTACCAATTCAAGTTTCAGACTTTTCCTTCTTCAAAGGAATGCACCAATGATACCAATATTATCTTCCTGGTCTCACAGGTAAAATGGGGAATGATATGTTACCGCCTTACAAAGGGAAACAGATTTATCCCTGTAGTTTAAGAATCTGATTGAAGTTTCTCAAAATATAGTCAGGGCATTCAAATTATTTCAGTGATATTCTCCGACAAATTAAATTTGAATTACTTTTTAAATGTTTTGTGGAAAGACTAACAAATGTTAGAATCTTACCCATTTAGAATAGGTCTTCAATCAAGTCTCAGCCCTTTTGCAATTATATATTTATTTTTTGTGATGACAATTATACAGAGTGCTAAAATATAAAGACACATCCAATTATTAGCCAAATAAAGGAAGAATTACATCATTATTTGGACAAGATTCTGTTGGGAAAAGAGTTTGTGAAATTATTGAAGACGTGACCCATAATTCCTAACTTTCAACCCAAAGATCTATGTTGTGCAGCATTACCTTCTACCAAACGTGATGTAAAATGGCAGACTTTTCTATCCCTCCACTTATTTTTGCTATTGAAAAAGTGGCAACCTTTACAAACAAGCCATCAAATATCAGGACAGTTAGGGAGATTTGAGAAATTTTTGTTTATTGTTAAAGGTATAGTATTGTTATGTTTTAAATGCTTCAAACAATAGCTTAAAACTAGGTGTTAAGCATATTAATAAAGAGAAATAGCAAAATTGTATTTTATTTAAAAAAGAATTATCAAAATCTAAGATAAATGCTTAAAATAAAAATAGATTATAGCAGGCATATATGAAACTTTTGAATTTGTTTTTTTTTTTTTTTTACAATCTAAGAACAAGCAGAAACACAACTTTTAGAAATGTATTTGAATAGCGTCTCTCACTTTTTATTTATTAAACTAGTCAATCCTGAAATTTTTGAAAAGGATTTTCATATATTCATTGATTTTCTTAGGAACCTTTGTCACAATCAATTGACCAAAATAAATGTGGTTTATTCCTGGACTTGTGGGTTTTTTTTTTTTTCATTTTTACACTCTTACGCCAAAATTTAGTACTGTAGATTCTCCAGATTTACTGCTCATTTAAAAAATCATTTTACTACTCTTGGCCATGTGAATCTTATTTTAGAATCATCATGTCAGAGTCCAGTAAAAAAGCCTCTGGATTATGATTGAGGTGCATTGAATTCATAAATTAATTCATGGAAAGTCAAAATGTAACCACATTGAGACTTTCATTTTATGAACACAGTCTACCTCTTGATTTATTTATGGCTTCTTCAATTTCCCTCAGTTTTGTTTTATAATTTTCAGTAAAAAAAAAATAAAGTCATGCACAGCTTTTGTTAAATTCTATTCTAATATTAGTATGCTGTTAAATGCTAATGTAAACTGATTTTTATAAATTTTATTTTCAAATTGTTTACTGCTAATATATAGAAATACAGCTTTATGTATAGACTTTTCATCCTGCTGCTTTGCAGACTGCAGTTATTTAGCTGTAGTGGTTAATTTATAGATCTTCTTGTATTTTACTCCAATATTGTATTTTACTTCACGCTATTTGTGACTATGGACTATCTCATTCTCTCTTTTCTATCTTTATGACTTTTATTTATTTCACATGTCATATTGAAATGGCCAGGGCCTACACTATAATGGGGGAAAAATGATCAGAGTGAGTGGTAACCTTGTCTTGTTCCTGATTGTAGGAAGAGAAAATTCAGTAACTCACCAATAAGCATCAACATGATGATAGTTATAGTTTCGTTTTGTTTTTTTTTTTTGAGAGAAGGGGTGAAGTGGGCATTAAGAGCTTTAAGAAATTTCTTTTTATTCTTAAGTTGCTCAGAGTTTATATCCTCAATGGGTGTTAATTTTGCTAATTTTTTGCCTTCTGCATCTGTGGAAAGATTATATGATCCTTCTACATTATTTGTTTAATATGGTGAATAAATTACATTGATTAAATGTGTTTCTACCCGTGAGAGAGATTGGTAAGCAATTTTATTATCTTAAAATGTATTTATTGGGTTTTAGAATCACAGTCCTTTGATTCTTATTCTAATCTCCTTATCATTTCATTATCAGTTTGAATCATTTGTCTATTGAATATATCTTATTTTTCTCTTTTTTCAAATGTTTAGCAATTTTAATTGTATATTGTACATTTGGAACAATACATTGTAGAGTCTCTGGATTCTGTTTGCATCATTTAAATAACATTATTTTTTGTTTTAGCAAGAATACTACTTGATTGTACTCAAATTCCAAACTTTGTTTCCTTTGCAGTAGGCAGCAGCTAAAATCTCCAGTCTGTGGTGTTTTCATCCTTCTAGGTCTTTCTTTCCACTGGGCCCCTTGGAGGCACCCCTACACATGTGCAGTCTGAAAACTATCCAAGTATTTAGATGGAGTTTAGTTCAGATTTGGGGGTTTCTCTTCGTCACACATTTTTTTTTAAACCAGGCTTTACCTCACTTTCTAGCCACTCTGGCAGCCTTAAACTCTGTCCTCTGACACCTAAAGCTGTATAAATTGTAATTTTTGTTTTAGTTTTACCGACATCATATTTTGTGGAGTGGAGAGGACTCTTAGAAGGGAGAGGGGACCTCATGAACACAAATATTATTCATTTTATATCTCTTTCAATGTTTTCATTGCCTTCCTTTTTTTTTTTTTTTTTTTTTTGCATTTTTTCAATCTCCAAGTCCTCAAATAATTTTTTAGGAAATATTTTTCCAGATTATAATTTGATACTTTTGGAAGCTTTTGCAATATACAAGTCTCCTCACCATTTCCAGAAATGAATTTCCCATCTAGTAATTTTTATTTTTGTTGACTATTTGTGTTGTAAATTACTTTAGATCCTTCTTGTAATATGAAAAATGTATGTATGTGTTTGTCCACTACATACACATATATATAATACATACCCATATTATATCCACATGTAATAGCTATGAGTTAAGTATTTTACATGTATTTTAATATAATAATTCGGTTTTTAAACAGTATATTTTATGTTTATAGATTCAGAGGTACATGTATAGGTTTGTTACATGGGTATATTGCATAATGGTGAGGTTTGGGCTTCCAGTGTACCCATTACCTGAATAGTAAACATTGTACCCAGTAGGTAATTTTTCAACCGTCAACCATTTCTCTCCTCCACAGTTTTGGAGTCCCTAGTGTCTGTTATTTTTCCCTGTGTATCTATGTGTATGCATTGTGTAGTTCCCACTCATACATGAGAACATGTGGTATTTGATTTTCTGTTACTGAGTTATTTCATTTACAGTAATGGCCTCCAGGCCTGGCGCGGTGACTCATGCCTGTAATCCCAGCACTTCGGGGGGCCAAAGTGGGCAGATCACTTGAGGTCAGGAATTCAAGCCCAGCCTGGCCAACATGGCAAAACCCTATCTCTACTAAAATTACAAAAATTAGCCAGGTGTGGTGGCCCAGGCCTGTAATCCCAGCTATGTGGGAGGCTGAGGCAGGAGAGGAGAATGGCTTGAACCCAGAAGGTAGAGGTTGCGGTGAGCCAAGATTGTGCCACTGCACTCCAGCATGGGTGACATAGTGAGACTCTAACTCAAATAAATAAATAAATAAATAAATAAAGTGGCTTACACTTCTAACCATGTTGCTGCAAAAGACATTATTTCATTTATTTTTTATGGCTGAGTTGTATTCCATAGTATATATATACCATGTTTTCTTTATTCAATATACTGTTGATGAACACTTAGGTTGATTTCATGACTTTGCTGGGAATAGTGCTGTGATAAACATGCAAGTGCAGATGTCTTTTTAATATAATTATATGGTTTTCTTTGGCTGGATGCTCAGTAGTGGGATTTTGGGGTCAAATGGTTATTCTAGTTTTAGTTCTCTGATAAAGCTCCATACGTTTTTTCCATAGTGGTTTTTACATTCCCACCAATAGTGTATAAGTGTTCCCTTTTCTCTGCATCCTCACCAACATCTGTTGTGTTTTGACTTTTTAATAATAGCCATTCTGACTGGCATGAGATGGTAACTCATTGTTGCCTTAATATGCACTCTCTGATGATCAGGCATATTGAGCACTTTTCATGTGCTTGTTGGCATTTTGTATGTCTTCTTTTGAGAAATTATCTGTTCAAATACTTTGCCTACTTTTTAATGGGATGATTTTTTTGTGTGTTTTTTCTTTTTGAATTATTTGTGTTTCTTGGAGATTATGAATATTTGTCCTTTGTCAAATGCATAATTTGCAAATATTTTCTCTCATTCTGAAGGTTGTCTTTAGTCAGCATTTTGAGATGTCTATTTTTATTTTTATTGACAGACAAAATTTATTTTAAAGCAGATAAATTAGTTTCTCAAGGTTACAATTAGGTAATAGAAACACCAAGCAGGCCTAACTTACACCAAAATCCTCTATTTACCTGTACAACTATAAATTGATATTGTCACATTTTATAGATTAAGAAAAAATTGTCAATCTCAAATACAGGTGTCATTAACAAACCCTGTTTGCTGTTTGTCTCAATCTTAGTCTGGTTTGTTCTCATGGATTATGCTGTAATAATAAATGTTTTTAAAATATTTGCCATAATGTGATTAAAGTTTAAATTCTATACTGTGAATTTCTTAAACTAAAAAAATTATTTCTCCAAATAAATTTAACTGCCCATTTTAAAGAAAATCAACCTCATTATCCATTCTGAAAAGTGAAGCTCAGCTCTCTTGCTGCCTTAGTGTGATTCAGAGGGATCTTTTGAAGAGCTATATCATTCTCTTGATTAAATAAATGTCCCACTTTTCTCAGAGGAAGTTGGCCAAATGAAATACTTGGAACATATTCTTCAAAGAAGATAAATTCAAAATCCACACAACATATTGCACATACTGGGGACAGAGCCCATGTCCTTTATATCTGAGACCCTGAACCTGGCACATTGCCCAGAATGTGTTAACAATTGTGCTGCGTGAATACAAATTATTATAAATAGCTGAAATATAAATTAACGCCCCATAATAATTTTAGTATGCACCATGAGTCATTTTTTTAATGCTACTCTATTCACCACATAGAAAACCTCGGAATTTCTTGGTTGCTAAAATAATAGGACTTATGGTCAGGAGAAACTGAAATGTCTAGTTTGTTTTAGATAGTTTAAATTTTACATGTTAAATTACTACATACATACTCCATGAATTTCAGTTTAAATAACATGTGTTGTTAAATCATAAATGAGAGAAAATAAATGATGAAAAGTAGTCAAAATGGTATAGGGCCTCCTAATAGTAGTTAATTTCTGTTTACATTTTGTTCCAGAAATTTGTGCTGAGTTTTTACAAAATGCCAATAGCAAATGAATCATGTTATGTACTAGTACAAAGACATTAGTAGACATAGTTAATGCTGCAGCTTTCTTTTCGACTATTATTTGGATATAAGCAAACTTTTAATATACTGTTTTATGATACCCCATAGATGTAACTGTCTTGAAAAGCCATAGAAGCTGTTGACTTAAACCAATTATTTACTATCTAAGATTTTCATTTGCAATAAGGACCATTTGATTTGAAAAGTTTTGAAACGTGTTGCTGTGTGAAAAACAAACAGAAAAAAAAAGATGACTGCTAAAAAAAAGTCCACTGCATTGCAGCAAACAACTATCACATCAATAACTACTCATCTCTTTTACACTCATCTATATCCAGCTCCAAATTAGCATGGGGACATAATGAGATATACAAGGAGACAGATCAGTCAGAGAATGGTTTCAGCCATATTAAGAGTGAAGTTCAGAATTCTAAGATCTATCAAACACAGCATGCTCCCTGGAATTTAACAACCAACTCTAGGCTGCATAAGGACATAAAGTAAACTGACCAAAACAATAGGAACTTCAGGACAAACACAGAAAATACCACTGTTGTGTGATATTTTTGGAAACATACACAGATAGGAATGTTTGTGTTTAATATTTCTATTCTGTAACACTAAATAAGCCAAGTTCCTTTTCAGAAACAGTTTATTAAGGGGTATATTTTCTTATTTGAGGCATTGCTGTTTTACTTTCACTGATGACCTGGGTTTCACCTTTTAAAAGTTGGCTGACTGAAGCACTTCTCCTTTATTTCCTGCAATAGAAATGTCAAAGACGTGTTTTTGTTATGTGCCCTGTCTGCTTTTGTTTTTTTTAACCCCATGCATATACTTAAGAAGCTCATTTTCAAAAAAACTTATATTCAAAAATATCTTTTAAATGAAGTTTATATCTTTAATGCAGTTAAAAAATCATTAGTAATTCTATTTGCATAGTATCAACCAGATAAAACTCTACCAACTTATTCTGGCTATCTTCTACCTGATGTATATCCAGATCCACCTCCTCATGTTTCATATATTCTCTGATTGAAACCACCTTTGCAGAGTATAGGCGTATAAAAAAGGATATATTTGGTTGTTTGTATTTACTTTGTCATAAGATGACATTTCCAGTACAAAGCATTAGAGAAAAAGATGTTTTCTATAAAGTATAAAGAAACGTACACTTGACATGAGAAATTTCAGTTTTTTCTAAGTTATAATATTTACTTTCTGTTACGGAATCATGATAGCTACTGAGAAGATATATATATATATATATATATAGATAGATAGATATAGATATATAGATATATATATAGATAGATATAGATATATAGATATATATATATACATATATATATATATACAGAGATGATATGTAGAGATACAGATATATTTATGCATATATAATTTTATATATATAATAGAAGAAAATATAAGCCATTTTTGAGTGAGTTAAATATACTAAGGTGTAAATAACATCTCAGTAGTAATAAAATTCATTGCTATGTTAAAACATTCCCATATTCCCTGGCAAAAAAAAATAGACTTTTATCAAGTAAAATTCTATAAAATTTCATTCACATTATTTATGTAAGATAGAAAATTTGAAAAGAAACTCTTTTAAATAATAATTAACTTCTGAACACTTATTTAGTGTTATCCTAATAAGTATGTCATTCTATTGCATCACTATTCTAGAAATACAAACTCCAAGAATTAAAAATGAACACACACATTTCTTGATTTCCCCCTGCAAACCAAATTTAATTATACCAAGCAATTGATAATTAAAGTAAAAATACAATGATCCACCCATAAGAGCAAAAATGGAGAAGAAACATAAGCCAATAAGAGAAGTCTGCAATTTCCTGGAAGGTTGAAACACTGTGGACATCTGCTTAATGGAACTTCTGTGGGTGGAAAGAAAAATGAAACCAATCCGGCAAGCATTAGCCCAGGTGCCTCCATACTCAAGATTGGAAGTTTTAAGAGAGGGCAGGAGCTCCATGTAGGACCCAAAGGGCTGTCTAATTGCCTGGACACAAGTGAGTTTTTGACTCCTAACTTAAAGACAACCAATAGTATTTATTTGTTATTTATTTGTTTGCTTGCTTATGATTATTGAACATCTTACATCTTTTTAAAATGATAGGTGAAGAGAGACAGGCAGAAGATGTGTACTTCAGAGTGAGAAATAAAAGGAAAAATCTTAGGTTGTTTAAAAAAAATTGAAACATTATTTAAAGTTGAGAAAGCTAAGAATTAATTACATAAGGCATATAGATAGAAATAAAAGTAATTTTTAAAGATGTAATAATAGAGGTGAGGTGTGAGGCTTACTTCTCCTTATGAGGATGCTTATGTCTCATTTTGAATCTTATTTTATTATACATATATATATTTTTTTCAACATGGATCATCTATTTCCAGTATAAGAAGGAAGAAGTCAACTATCGTCTCTCTGCAGAGTCCAGAAAGTTAATACCAGCCATATTCCACAAATAAAATTACCTACAATTAAGCCACATTACAATGCCTTTATATTTGGCAAAAATTTTTTTCTCTTAAAACACAAAGACTTAATAATTTCTAAATTCCCAGTGGTTTAACACAGCATCATTCTGATCTAAGAAATTTTCAACAGTAAATTGAGATGAGAAACTTTCCCTGAAGTACTTCCAGAAGGATACAGTATTTAATAGTAAATATTAATTTACAATAGATCTCATTTATTGAATGCTTAACTACCAAGCATGATTTTAACTGCCTGTGTGAATAGATTTAATTAGTTCTCAAAACAACACTTTCAGAAGGGAAAACCCACATAAGAAAGGTCAAGATTTGTCCAACATCCCACAGAGAATATGACAGAATTAGAATTGGTAACTGGGAAAGCTTATTACAGACAACTTGCACTTAACTACCACAGTTACTTGAGTTAACTGCCTCTCAGTTAGGGGAGACTTAGATGTATATGACCACATTTTAATAAATGTTTTAAGCAGCAGCTCCTTTCCTGTTTATTCAAAGCCTCTATACATCTGGTTAGTGGGTTGCTATACACATCATCAATCTTCCATGGAAACACTATTGCCCAACTTGCCTCAATTTTAACATGGGGGATTGGAAAGAAATAAATATCTCAAGGATATTAGAAAATTATATTGATTAAATATGTACAATACTTAAGATAATGTGTGGTACAGAAATACTGGTATTACATTTATCACTATTAATATTACCAATAGCCAATTCTTTCATCTGCTTTTAAATCTGACCTCATGCTGGGAAAGGCACTGGACTCATTCAGATATAGTATGTCTATCTCCAATTTGGCTTCTAATTAAGCACAACTCTTGCTTTATGTGCTGTCTTTTGAACCTAACCCTATATAAGATGTGAATCAACTGTCCCTTGTAATTCAATTTATATTCACGTATTTTTGCTGTTTACTCACTTTTTCCTTACATACTTGGAATATATGGCACAATGTGCCTAAAGTTGCAGGCCTAGGGCATGATAAAAGGCAACTTTCTCATAGAGTGACATAAAAATGTGCAAAAATATACCCAGGTAATGGAATCCAAAATAAGCCTGGGCACGGTGGCTCATGCCTGTAATCCCAGCACTATGGGAGGCTGAGGGAAGTAAATTACTTGAGGACAGGAGTTTGAGACCAGCGTGGACAATGTGGCAAATCCCTGTCTCTACTAAAAATACAAAATTAGCTGGATATGCTGGTGCATGCCTATAATCCCAGTTACTTGAGAGGCTGAGGCAGGAGAATTGCTGGAACCTGGAAGGTGGAGGTTGCAGTGAGCCAAGATCGTTCCACCGTACTCCAGCCTGGATGACAGAGTGAGACTCCATCTCAAAAATAAACAAATAAATAAATAATAAATTACACTAAGCAAAGAGAAGAAATTAAGATATTAAGTCATATGAGACTAAAGAGATTGAAAAAGGAAGGCATTCTAAAAAGATTGAAAGCAGATATGGAAGAGTAAACAGGCCTCAATCTAGACCAGAAATGCAGGCAGCTGTGTTGAGTGACTTATCGGGTTCTTGCAATGGATGATGTGCAAAAGGAGATACAGATATAGTGGCAGAATGTACAATTTTAAAATAACAATGAGTGTCATATTATTGAAGCAATATAACTATATGCACATACCTGCTTTCTCATTGTGTTATTTCTATTTTTAGGGGGAGAGTATGTTTTAATTACCTTTGATTTCTAGTACTAGACTAGTATAGGGCATATAAAATCCAAACATCTTGAGTGAGTGCACTAATGTACACTTGGACAGATGGATTTCAATTCTAAAAGTACACAATTATTTTTTGAAGGACAGGCTGACCGTGGTGGCTTACGCTTATAATCCCAGCTCTTTAAGAGGTGTAAGCAAGTGGATTGCTTGAGCCCTGGAGTTTGAGACCAGCCGGGTCAGTGTGGTGAAATCCCATCTCTACAAGAAATACAAAAGTGATTTTCCATGGTAGCATGTGCCTGTAGTCCCAGCTACTCATTACTCAGAAGGCTGAGGTGTGTGGATAACCTGAACCCAGAATGTGGAAGCTGCACTGAGTTGTGATGGTGTCACTGAACTCTAGCCTGGGCAGTAGAGTGAGACCCTGACTCAAAAATAATAATAATAATAAATGAAGAAGAAGAAGAAGGAGGAGGAGGAGGAGGAGAGGAAGAAGAAGAGGAAGAAGAAGGAAAAGGAGAAGGAGAAGAAGAAGAGAAGAAGAAGAAGAAGAAGGAGGAGGAGGAGGAGGAGGAGGGGAAGGAGAAGAAGAGGAAGAAGGAGAAGGAGAAGGAGAAGGAGAAGGAGAAGAAGAAGAAGAAGAAGAAGAAGAAGAAGAAGAAGAAGAAGAAGAAGAAGAAGAAGAAGAAGAAGAAGAAGAAACCGTATCATCAAATGTGAGACCTAAAAATGTGATCTCAAAAGTCCTCTACATGTTTTTTAAACAACTGCATTGGCATTGTCTACCATATGATAACCTTAACAAATGTATTTGGTGAAGGTCTTAAATTAGTCATCCAGAAAATCTTTTGGAAATAATCTTACATGCACTGTGGTAAAAAAAAAAAATTAATAACATTTCTCCTTTAAAACCATTTTCTAAAAAGATGTGAATCCCTTTGATCATTTTGTCCAAATTGTAATTATTATAATTTGTACTATGATAATAGAGGGCAAATATAATAGTTGTATCCATCATTTTTGATAAATTATATTGTACTACATATGATTCTAGACTACTTTGCAAATGTCATTTAATTGAACTTCTGTACCACTGTGCCAAGTAAATATTGTTCCAGATTACAGATGAGGTTGTTCATAAAGCTATTTCCTTTTTGAGATAGGGTTCCTCTGGGGATGATGATGGTAGTGGCAGTGGTGGTCATGAAGATGATCACAATGACAATGATAGGATGACAGGTAACATTCATTGATCATTGACTAGGGGCAAAAAGTAATAATCATTTTATTTTAAGACACCAGATGGAGTACTCTTATTATTTCTATTTCATATACTAGGAGGCTGACTTTCAAAATTTACATCACTTGCCCAGTGTCATACTCTAGTGTACTTTCTTTAGATGCAGGGGTTTTTTAAATTAACTGTTGCATCATAATGCCTAGCACAGTGTCTAAATATAGTAATTTCACAATAAAATTTATTGATTGACTATAAAATATAGCACTATTCATATTCAATTAGGTTTTATTGTTTAGTTTTCCTTTTGTTTTTCATTATGCTGCCTCTCATTACCATTAAAGTTCATCTTAACTCAAGTATTGGTTGTGTTTGTTGAAATGGTTATTTCAAGGATTGGTATGGTTTGAAAATTTTCCCATATGCAGAAAATTATATGCCCTTTTTATTTATCCTTTAAGTGATTCTATCATCCTCTGTCATAGGAAAGCATTCATTATATATTTTTAAGATGGCTTTATATACTATTGTCTACATTTGTTAAGTAGCTGATTCTGAAAAGTCATCCAAATTCCAAAATTAGTTCTTAAGTTTTCAAACGTAAGTGAAATAAATACACTCTTATTTGTTGGTTAATATAATTAGTTTACACTTACTTATTTATGACATTCAATCTTCTTTCTCAGGATCTTTGAAAGGTCTTTATAAGAGGATATGTGACTTTAATTCTCATAAGGATTTCTTCTGATTAGACCTTTGCACCGGTTCTTAAAATGTACTACTATCAATTAACTGATTTATAATATCATTAAATAAAGAAAAACCTGAATAATATAGATTGGGCCCAACACATCTATATTTATGAGATTAATCAGATGGAATGCATCAAAGATTTTACTATCTACTCACATCTAGGGGCAACTCCATGATTACTGACTTATAGTATTTACACAACATATTATTTTTTACTCTTTTTAAAACCATTTTAGTGTTATTCAACTTTGTAAACTAACAATTCTCCCTAGGATTTTCTTTTCTGGTGCCAAAACTACAAAGCTCCCATTCAACATGAAGTATCAAAACTCTTTGGGGTTTCTGCATTAGATCTCAATTTCTCAAGGTAGTGAACAAAAAGCACAGTAGGATAGTTTTGCATACACTGCCATTCTTGCGGTTTCAGATGTCGTGGTCAGCAGGGCCATAGCATTAAAAATGCAAGTTTCTGTAATGATAGTCCACAAGGAAAAGGGATGAGAGGTTACTTTGAATTTTCTTTGAAGGTGATAGATAGTGGAATAGCCTTTGATGCCAGGAATCAACTCTAGTCTACTCACATTAAGGACATCTGTCCTCCAAAACAGGACACAGCAAAAAACAGTTATTGATGGGTAGCTCAAGCGGGGAAGGAAAAGGAGAAAATAGTTATTTCTCAGGTGTTTAGAGAGCTATGGGAAAGGGTGAATTAAAGTGGACAACATTGCTTTTGGAAAAACATGGAACAGTGGGTATTCTTTACTTGTAAAATGCAAAAAGATTGAAAAAATTGTTAAATGTGTCTTCTGGCTGGTTTACTGGCAAATACAAGCTGTTCTACCCAGATATCCACAGTTATATGTTTCTTTTACTAAATTCACTAAAATATTTGCCACTTAACAATTTCCTTATTCAAACTGGCTGGGGGGAGACTCATTAAAAAGAGTAAAGGTGACATAAAGCAGAAAAATAAAATTAAATAATATTCACATGTCCTAGCAAATATAGGTAAGTGAACTGAGAATGACCAATTTGATTTCCAAATATTGTCAGGCATAAACAAAGATTTTCAGTGAAAGGTGAAAATTTAATAAAGGACTATATTTTAGGTTCTCTGAGAACACACATTGTTAATATCTATGAGAAAGAATATCTTTATATTGCAATAACAATAGCTAACACTTACACAATGCATGCTCTATGCCAGGTTCTTTTACACATACTAAACACATTGAATCGTCATCATAACCTAGTGAGGTAGATACTCTTTAATTATCATCTTGTAAATAGTAAATGGAAACACAAATTGCTCTAGTAACTCTTCCCAAAGCATACAAACTGTAGTAGGAAAAGTATAATTTGTAATCAGCATACCTTGATCAAAAATCTATGCTTTTACCCAACATGCTATGTTCATTTTCTGATCAATAAAATTCTACAAGCTGTTACAGTCTCACAAAACCTTTTTCTTCCAAAAATGGGAATCTTGGTAACACTCTTACTTACTTTAATTTTAATTGCACACACACAGAAACACACACACATGAACATTAGAAGTATCATATATTTTTGCATATACATGAGGACAATTGAAGCCTCTCTGGTTTGCCTAAACTATGCATAATGTTATAATGCTTAAAAAAGATATGTGCCCTGATTAAATACTACCTTTCAAAATACTTATGTAAGTATGTTTATGATATTACAATACACTGTCTCAGCACTCTTTTCAATGGGAAAAGACTAGCTTGGCATGACAATTTATTGTAGAATTTGCCTACTATAAGAAATATAATACTAAAATAATGTCACTACAGTGTGACACATGAACAGTGATGTCTATAATATATTAATCATGCATGATATTCATTCCACAAAATATTCCTATGCATGTTAACGTTACCTGAAATAGAAAATCAGATAACTTTAAAAGAAACTAGGATGGGTTCTGTGGTATTGAACTGAATATATCAGGGTGAAGACATGATTTTTCAAAATGTAGTTAAATAGATAAATAAGTGATAGACACATAAGCTTAAATGTTTGTGTATATTTGTGTATATGTATATTTTTATGTACACTCGTTAGGTTTATTCATTGAGAGGGCCTGTTGTTAGTGACATTTCACTCATTATGAGCATAATTAGAATGCAGTTCTTAATTTTTGAATGTAATTTTCTGCTAAAAGAAACCAAAGCTTCTTGAGAAAATGGTTGGTTCCAGTGTTAGCTCACAGAAATAAAGCTTCTTAAAAGTAAAGTGGTCAGGCCGGTCCTGGTGGCTCAGGCCTGTAATCCTAGCATTTTGAGAGGCCCAGGTGGGCGGATCACCTGAGGTCAGGAGTTCAAGACCAGTCTAGCCAACATGGCAAAATCCCATCTCTACTGAAAAAAAAAAACAAAAATTAGCCTGGCGCAGTGGCACACACCTGTAATCCCAGCTACTCGGGAAGTTGAGGGAGGAGAATCGCTTGAACCTGGGAGGTGGAGATTGTGGTGAGCCGAGATGGCACCACTGCACTCCAGCCTGGGCGACAGGGCAAGACCACATCTCAAAAAAAAAAAAAAAGGTAAAGTGGTCAAAAAATTATGGGAGCATGTCAGAAGAACATTGAAGTCGACTTGAAAGAGCTTTTCCCATTGATCAAATCAAGAATAATTTGAATATCATAATAAAAAATGATATTAACAGATCCTAATGTATTGAATACAACAGAAAACTGTGGGTCCCCTAAATATATCGGTAAATGAATAAGTAAATTGAAAGTATAACAAAGAATGAAACATGTATGTAGAATGAATGTAACCTCCCACTGAACACATATTAACTTCAATGGGGAAAATGCCAACCACATGATAGAGAAGCCTGGCAAATATGCTTAATCAAATGATCAAAATGAATTTCATCATAATTAGACAATTTAATATCATGTCTTACCTAATCAGGCATCATGAAAAAGAATAGTGTTAGTTCTATGATATTGTGGCCAAAGATGCATAGTCTAAATCAAATCATGAGGAAATGTTTGATATCTCAAATTGAGGGGCAATCTAAAAGATATCTGATCTCTCATCTTCAAAAGTGTCAAGGTCATTAAGACCAAGAAAAACTGAGGACTGTTCCAGTCTGAGGAAGATTATACAGACAGGAAAACTAATTATTGTTTGTGATTCTGAACAAGATTATTTTCCTACAAAAAGCATGAATGTAACAATCTGCAAAACTTCAGTGCAATCTGAGGATTAGATGGTGGCAATGCATTAACACTAGCTTTCTGATCTTGAAAGTTATATTGTGGTTTCATACAAGAATACTTTTGTTTGTAGTAAACATATATTTAACTAAGGGTAGATACAGCATCAGGTCTACACCTTACTGTTAAATTGTTCAAGAAAAAATATTCTTTGTACTTTTTCTAACTAATCTGTAATTTTGTGTTAAAAAATAGATTTGCAAAGAGTACAAATTTCGTTTCATTTTCTGAAAATTACCAGAATAGAAACTCTCACTAAACACGATCACACAGATGTATAAATGATAACATTTAAAGGCCACCAAGAAGCAGATGAATTCTATTTTGGTTACTAAATACCTTTCCGGAGGATTGATTACATAGAAATATATCTAGAATTACCCAAGGTTTTCCAAATGTAGTGTGCTGTTATAGACATGACTCCTGGTTCAAGAATTCTCTTCTAAGACACTTAGTATGAAATATGGCTTTCTCAAGTAAATATTCCCTGATCTGGCCTTAGTTGGGTGAGTCATTATTGCAAATTCAGACTATGTTGTATTTCACCTAAAATGCTTATCAAACTAATGTCATTAATTTTCAATTCTGTACTCAATTAAAATGTTAGTTTCATGAGATAAGAGTAATGAATGATAAATAAGCAATGTTTCAGTGGGTGTTTTATATACGTTTCAAAATATATGCACAATTATTAGAAATAAAGATGGGAAAATAAGTCAGAATTCAGTTCTTTTATTTAAAAAATTAATTTTTGTTGGTATATATGTATATATATATTGGGTACATGAAATGTTTTGATGCAGGCATGCAAGGTGACGTAAGTACATTCTAGAGTAAAAGGGCTTTTTTTTTTTTTGCTATTTTATACTATTCTAGCATAAACGATTTTTGTATTTTTGTTTTTCGTTTTTTGTTTTGTTTTGTTTTGTTTTCCCTTGAGCACTTTAAATACATCATGCACTCTTTGCTGGCCTGTAAAGTTTCCACTCTAAAGTTTGCTGCCAGACAGATTGGAGCTCTATTATATGTTGTTTGTTTCTTTTCTCTTGCTGCTTTTAGGACCCTTCCTTTATCCTTGGTCTTTGGGACTCTGATTATCAAATGCCTTGACGTAGTACTCTTTGGATTAAACATGTGTGGTGTTCTGTAACTTTCTTGTATTTGGATATCAATATTTTTCTCTAGGTGTTGGAAATTATCTGTTATTATCCCACTGAATAAACTTTCTACCCCTATCTCTTTCTCTACCTCCTCTTTGGGCCAATAACACTTATATTTTTCCCTTTTCAAGCTATTTTCTGGAGCCTGTAGCTGTGCTTCATTGTTTCTTCTTTTTTCTCCTCTGACTGTGTGTTTTCAAATAGACTATCTGCAAGCTCACTAGCTTTTTTTTTTTTCTGCTTGTTCAATTCTGCTATTAAAAGACTCTGATGCATTATCTGTATGCCAGTTGCATTTTTCAGCTCCAGCATTTCTGTTTGATACTTTTTAATTATTCAATCTATTTCTTAAATTTAACTGATAAAATTCTGAATTCCTTCTCTATGTTATCTTGAATTTCTTTGAGTTTCCTCAATATGGCTATTTTGAATTCTGTGTCTGAAAGGTTACATACCTCTGTTTCTCCATGATTGGAACCTTATGGTTTATTTACTTCATTTGGTGAGGTCATGCTTTCCTCAATAGTGTTGCTGATAGTAGGTGTTCTTTGGTGCATGGGCATTGAAGAGTTAGGTATTTATTGCAGTCTTCATTGTCTAGGCTTACTTGTACTTGTCCTTCTTTGGAAGCTTTCCAGGTATTTGAAAGGACTTGGGGGTTGTAATCTAATCTGTATCTTCTTTAGGGGCCACCCTAAGCCCAGTAATGCTGTGATTCTTGCAGACTCATAGAGTTACCGCTTTGATGGTCTTGGATAAATTCCAGGAGAATTATCTAGTTTGCCAGGAAGATTCTCTTGTTCTATTCCCTTACTTTCTCCCAAACAAATAAAGTCTCTCTCTATTCTAAGCCACCTAATGCTGAGAGGTGGAGTGACACAATCACCCATGTGGCCATCACCACTATGACTCTGCTGGGTCAAATCTGAAGCCAGCACAGCAGTGAGTCTCACCCAAGGCCTGCTGTAACCACTCCCTGGCTACTGCCTATGTATGCTCAAGGTCCGGGGCTCTACAATTAGCAAATGGCAAAGCCAGTTGGGCCTGTGTCCTTCCCTTCATGGTGGTGAGACCCCTAGGCCCTGGGTCGGTCCAGAAGTGCTGCCTGGGAGTCAGGGCAAGGAGCCAAAAACTTTAGAAGTCTATTTGGTGTTCTATTTTACTACAGCAGAGCTGGCCTTCAAACCACAAGACACAGTCCTTAACACTTTTCCCTCCCATTTCCTAAAGCAGAAGACACTCACCCTGTAGCTACCACTAGCACAGGCCTTGGAGAGTACTGCCAGACTACCACTAATGTTCCCTTAAGGGTCAAGGTCTGTGAAGTCAGCTTATGGTACATGTTGCCTGGCCTGGGACTTACCCTTCAGGGTAGTGGGCTCCCTTCCTTCCCAGAGTAGGTCCAGAAGTGCTATCTAAGAGTCAAGTTCTGGAATTGAAAAACCCAAAAGCCCACTTGGTGCTCTATGTCCCTGTGTCCATGCTGGTACCTAAGGTGAAAGACGAAGTCCCCTTTGGTTTCCCCTCTGCTTTTCTCAACAGAAGGAGTTTTGTCTCATAGCCACCATAGCTGGTAATAAGCTGAGTCTCACCTGAAGACAGCAATTCTCAAAGGCTTACCCAAGGCCTTTGATATAGTACCTGGGTATCACTGCTAGATATTCAGGACCCAAGGGCTCTTTAGTTAGCAGGTGATAAATGCTGCCAGGATTGGGTCCTTCTGTTCAAGGCAGCAGGTTCCCTTGTGGTCCACAGCATGTCTAAAAATGTCATCTTGGAGCTAGGGCCATTCAGGGGCCTCATGACTCTGACTAGTGCTCTGTCCTACTGTGGCTGAGCTGGTATCCAAGATGCAAGGCAAAGTTCTCTCCACTCTTCCCTCTCCTCTTCTCAAGCATAACAGAGTGGTCTCTTTTGGAGCCACAAGCTGTGCAGCTTGGGATCAGGGGAGGGGTAATACCAGCACTTCCTTAGCCATGCCAACTGATGTCTCAGTAGGTCATGTGCCCCTCCATTCCACTGTATCTGGGCTGAGTTCAGCCCTAGGACTTGCCTACAAATTGTAGTTCTTATGGTGTAGACTGCCTTTCAATAGAAGCAAAGAGCACTTTAGCCCACAGTGGAGAAGTTTGTGGCCACCAGGACTGGTGATTCCCCCTGGCTAAACCTGGTTTAAATGCTCCTTCCGTGGGTAGGTTTCAACTGAGCTTTACTCTCTGCTATAACCTCCCACCTTGGCTTCCCAAAGTGCTGGGATTACAGGCGTGAGCCACTGCACCTGGCTCCTCTCTGCTATAACTGAATAGCACTGAGTTCAGTGTTTCACAATCGCTGTTTTCTTTCTTCCTCAGCACCCAGAGACACTCTGCTCTCCACACCATGTCATTTTTTCCAGGGGTAGGGAAGGCATGGCAATGGAGATTTAAGACTTTTTTTTCTATCTTTTCAGTGCCTCTTTTAGCTATACAGAGTAAAACCAGGTACTATGAAGGTTCACCTGATTTTTGGTTCTTATGAAGATATTTTTTCTGTGTAGATAGTTGTTAAATTGGTGTATTTTCAGGAGGGACAATCATTGGAGCCTTCTATTCCACCATCTTGCTGTGCCTTCTTCCCAGCATCCATTTCTTCATCCCTCATTCTTGATTCTTCTCAGGGAGAGGAGGTATTAACAAATTTATTAGATTCCAAGATAAGTCTTGTTATTTTGGTGTGTTTTATTATTCAAAGTTTTAAATATATACCAAAATAGCTGTTATGAAAGCAATGCTGTACTCTATTAAATAATCAAATTGTGCTAAAAAAGACTATAATGAATATCAGTAATTCCTGACCTGCTCCTCATAAGCCCAAGTCAACCTCCCAGGGGGAATTGATTTAATTTCTAAAAAAAAGTTTCCATATTTTTTACCACATTTCTAAATAATATATTTCTCCTACTTTTTAAAATCAATCAATTTACATTCTGTTTTGACTGATAAGTGTTTATGATATTTAATATCCCACAAGTAAATTCATCCCCTCTAATTTAATAATAATACTCTTTTGAGTTCCTCTATCAATTACCATTATAAATGTCAATATTACAGCACTAGTATTTATAATTCTAGCAACCCTAGCTATTACCTCCTGCCCATCATTGTTTGTAAGATGAGGATATTTGCATTCCTACACTTCTCAACATCCTTTAAATCTCCCAGCTATATATTCATGTTTGAAATTTGACATTTGTTCTCTAAATATAATGAAGTCACCTTTGCTTTGTCTATTGTGGGAATCAAAAACTCAAATGCCTACAAAGGCAATGTAGTAAACACAAATAAGTGGACAATGGTAGAAATAAGAAAAAATGCTTGGTGGGGTGGCTCATTCCTGTAATTCCAGCACTTTGAAAGGCTGAGGTGGGAGGACCACTTAAGGCCAACTGAAACCAGCCTGGGCAACATAGTGAGACCCTGTCTCTCAAAAATATGTTTAAAAACTAGTCAGGCATGGTGATATGCATCTTTGGTTCTAGGTACTTGACAGGCTGAGGTGTGTATTAGTTCATTTTCATTGCTGATAAACACATACTCAAGATGGGGCAATTTACAAAAGAAAGAGGTTTAATGGACTTACAGCTCCACTTGGCTAGGGAGGCCTCACAATCATGGGGCAAGATGAAAGGCACATCTCACATGGCGGTTGACAAGAGAAGAGAGCTTGTGCAGGGAAACTCTCCTTTTCAAAGCCATCACATCTTGTAAGACTTATTTGCTATCATGAGAACAGCAGGGGAAAGACCTGCCTTCATGATTCAATTACCTCCCATGGGGTACCTTGCACAACATGTGGGAATTCAAGATGAAATTCAGGTGGGGACACAGCCAAACCATATCAAGGTGGAAGGACTGCTTGAGCCTGGGAGGTCAAGCCTGCAATGAACCATGACCATGTCACTGCACTCCACCCCAGGGGAAAGAGCAAGACTCCATCTTATATAAATAAATAAATAAATAAATAAATAAATAAATAAAATTAAGTACCAGAAGTAAAATTAAATTATTTGGTTAAGTAATATAATAATTTAATATACATATCACACAAAAATATATCCTTGTAAAATATATAAGTGTTTATGTTATATAAACAAAGAATAAAAGTATAATATATATGGTGTCAAGTGCTGCACTTTACATTTTAAATTGATAATAAAACATATTTGAAGATAATATATGTGTATATATTTCCAACTCCATTCTTTCTTTTATTTAGTTTCAGATATTCGACTCCTTTTGTTGTTCACCAGGAAACATCAATGTCATTCTTCTGCTTTCGGTTTTGTAGCATGCAATAAGTCAGCTTTGAATCATTTAACATGGAAAAATATTTAATTATGTTCAGTTTTATAGTAGAATACAGCTGTTCACCATTGTAAGTGCTTCCAAAGATAGATATAATTTTTTCACAATGGTTTTTATATTTATGGTAACATGTCCCAAGGTATTTGTAGAATTCCAATATGCCAGCATTATCAGATTTAATTTTTAGTATCATATATTTATTGTAGTTCAGTAACATCTACTTGAAGCTCTTCATTCACACCATCAATATTCATTGAGTGAGGTGAACTGAACAAAGTTCATTTTCATAAAACAAGAAATCAGAGAACATTTTCTAAAATCTAATATTTAATTTCACAATTTATAGCAATGTAGTTCAGAATATTACTTTCATTTCTGAAAACTTATATCTGTGTAGAAAATTGGGTCAGATTATTCCTTGCCAAATGAGTTTCCCAAAGAAATCATTTCTGTCAGGACGAGCAAAATAAATTCTATACCTTGTTATATGTAATAAGGGGCAATTACTAAGAAATACTCACTATTTAGTTAGGGTTTATGTCAAAAAAACTTCACTAAATTTTAATTCTACTGTTTTCAGAAAACTAAAACATACATTTTCACTGAGTTGAGAGGGACAACTTCATTTCTCTTAACAGTTCAAAAATTGTCTTCAGCATTATCATACCAAATTCTCTTTGTGGTAGAGCAATCAACCATGTTGTGCATACAACATACCTAGAAAAGCATTATTTTTGTGACACCTTAAAAGTCTGTAATATTGTGTTAATTGTTGCATTCAAGGGCTTTCCATTCACTTTTTAACTTCCTGAAATGGAGCAATTATTGTGAATGGTGCAATAATGTATTTATAGCTTGCATTCTTGAAAACATGCTGCCACACTGTATTTCAATTTCTTAACTAAGATTATACACTAGTTATCACAGCTGGAATACTATCTATATATAGCTGCACTGTGTGGTAGGATAACCACTAGCTACATGTGGTTGTTAAAGCGGAAATTAAGTTAAATAAAAATTGTGTTCCTATGTAATATTAGCCATATTTGAAATCCTCAATAGCCCCATGTGGTTAGTAGCAACCATCTTGTACAACACAGATATACCGTATTTCCATTAACTCAGAAGGTTTCATTGTAAAGTGCTGATTCATAACAAGGGGTGAAACATGTTGTCTGTAGAGGGCCACATGCTAAATATTTTAGGCTTTGTGGGCTGTAGGTTCCATGTAAGTTACTCAGTGCTGCCGTTTTAATGGGAAAGCAGCCACAGACAATACATAAATAAAGATGTGTGACTGTGTAGATAAAACTCTATACACAAATTAGGTGGCAAGCCAGATTTCGCCTGTAAGCTGTTTTTTAACCTTGATCTACATTAGCATCTATTTTGATCGATGTACATGAAGATTTAAACACTTTCCAAATACATACAATAGGTAACATCAGAATATTGAGTGTTTTTGGCATTGTGTCCAGTAGACTTTTGACCACATAAATATTGTTAATAGTTAAATATTGTAGCCATGTAGCTTTCTTTTTGTATCTATGTAGTTATCAACTGCAATATGAAATGCTTCTTTTAAAAAATCTAGGCCAGGCGTGGTGGCTCACACCTGTAATCCCAGCACTTTGGGAGGCCAAGGCGGGCAGATCACCTAAGGTCAACAGTTCAAGACCAGCCTGGTCAACATGGTAAAACCCCGTCTCTACTAAAAACAAAAATTAGCCAGGCATGGTGGCATGTGCCTGTGGTCCCAGATACTCAGGAGGCTGAGGCATGAGAATCGCTTGAACCCAGGAGGTAGAGGTTGCAGTGAGCCGAGATCACGCCATTGCACTCCAGCCTGGGCAACAGAGTGAGACTTAGTCTCAAAAAAAAAAAAAAAAATCTATTTCACAGAATTTCAGGTGAAAGTTTATATTCATAATGTCAAAAAACAAAGTTTAGAAAATTTGTAGTTGAAGGCCAGGTGCAGTAGCTTACACCTGTAATCCTAGCACTTTGGGCAGCTGAGGCAGTAGATCGCATGGGCCCAGGAATTTGAGACCAGCTGGAGCAACATGGCAAAACCCCCCATTTCTACAAATTAGCTGAGTGTGGTGATTCCTGCCTGTAGTCCCAGCTACTCAGGAGGCTGAGGCAGGAGGATCACCTGAGCCTGGGGAAGTTGAGGCTGCAGGGAGTCATGATTGTGCCACTGCACTCCAGCCTGGGTGACAGAGTAAGACCCAATCTCTAAAAACAAAACAAAAGAACAGAAAAGAAAATTTGTACTTGAATTTTTATTAACAAATGTATGTTTCTATTTAGTACAACCAATATTTGCTATATTCATTCAATAAACACTTTTTTACAGTCAGCATTTATTAAGAAGTTTTCACTTAACATACAATTACATTTCCTTTAGTAGCTCAAACTTTATTTTTATTATTGAAAGTGTTCTCTGTCAAGGCTTTAAATTTTGTATTTTGTTTTTACTTCTTTACATGAGTTATATTTTTTTCCCTGGGGACTCAAGCTATACTCATTCAATTTATATATGCTTTTAAAATTAATTATATAAAAATTATCTCTTTTTCTCAAAGTATTCTATCTCCCATTTTTCTTAAAGCACGTTAATAAAAGATATGTCTATGTCCTCACTTCTGAACCTTTTGAATGTGATTTTTTTTTAGAAGAAAAGTCTTTGCAGATCTAGTTAAGTTAAAGTTCTCAAAATGAGAATATCAAATATTTTCTTCTTCTTTTTTTTTTTTTTTTTTGGAGAGGGAGTCTCACCTCTGTTGCCCAGGCTGGAGTGCAGTGGTGCAATCTCGGCTCTCTGCAACCTCCGCCTCCTGGGTTCAAACAATTCTCCTGCCTCAGCCTCCCAAGTAGCTGGGATTACAGGAGCGTGTCACCACGCCCAGCTAATTTTTGTATTTTTAGTAGACACGGGGTTTCGCCATGTTGTCCAGGCTGGTCGAAGTCCTGACCTCAGGTGATCTGCCTTCCTCAGCCTCCCAAAGTGCTGGGATTACAGGCATGAGCCACTGCACCCAGCAGAATATCCTAGATTTTCTATGGTACCTAAATCTCACGGCAAATGTATTTAGAAGAGAAATGCAAAGAGAAATTTGAGACTCACAGACAGGGAATAAGCCTTTTGAAGACAAAGACAGAGATTGGAATGATGCAGCTCCAAGACAAGGAATTGCTAGAGCCACCAGAAACTGTAAGAGCAAGGGAGAATTCTCCCCTAGAGTCACCAAAAGGAGCGTGGCACTGCTGTCACCTTAATTTTGGACATCTGGCTTCCACAAATATAAGAGAATAAGTTTTTATTGTTTTAAGCCATCAAATTTGTGGTAATTTGTGTGCAAGTTGAGACACATGATTAAGAAAATAATCAATTTTTAGTCTATTTCATTGAAAACATAAAGCTAAACAATATAAACGGCAATTTTCATTTTACTTTTGCTATAGTCTGGGGAACACTGGAGAACCAAAGAAAGCAAGTTTCATCTAAAAGAGACATCAATTATCTTACACTAGTCCATTTGTGACATAAGATATGACTTCCTATGTTCTGATTTGGGGAGAGAGTTTGGAAAAAATAATATTTATATGAAATACCACAATCATTAAAATATTAAATGCATTAAGATCTAAAATCCTTATCTTTCAACTGAATCTCCAACTTAGGCAACTAGTTTGCAGTCTCAGATATATACTGTGTGATTCCAAAAGTTGAAAATGAAAAGATGCCATTTACTGACTATCATGTACAAATTTTTACTTGAAAGCCAATTAATGCACTATGATTAATTTATTTTGTTATATCATTATGATTTTCACCTATTTTCCCCAAAGTTTGCCCAAGGACTTAAACAAATCTCTGGAATTGTTTTTTGTCTTCTAAAATCTGTATGCCAACAACTCCACCCTGTTACTCCCATCCTTATCAACTGATTTTTCGGCTACTGAAGAGAATCTCACATTACTCTCTGGGTTGTATTGACATTTTCTAGTTTCTTTGTCTTCTGCCTTTCAGGTGTATTTTCTTTTTTTTCTTTTTCTTTTTTTTTTTTTTTTTTTTGAGACGGAGTCTCGCTCTGTAGTCCGGGCTGGAGTGCAGTGGCATGATCTTGGCTCACTGCAAGCGCAGGCTCACTGCAATCTCCACCTCCCAAGTTCAGGCCATTCTCCTGCCTCGGCCTCCCGAGTAGCTGGGACTACAGGCGACCGCCACGTCGCCCAGCTAATTTTTTTGTATTTTTAGTAGAGACAAGGTTTCACCATGTTAGCCAGGATGGTCTCCATCTCCTGACCTGGTGATCCGCCCGCCTCGGCCTCCCAAAGTGCTGGGATTACAGGCGTAATCCCGGCCCGTCAGGTGTATTTTCTTATTTATCAAAACTTATTCAAAGTAACTTGTTAAGAAAGACATTGCTCCAGTCAGATATCTGGCATACAGGAAAGCTTATTACAAAAATGGTGTTAGCTTGATTTTAATTCCTTTCTTGGAAAAAAAAATAATAATGTGCTTGTTATTATTATAGAGGTAATAACATATTATTTCTCTAAGGAAACATTGTTTTCTTTAATTTCAAAATAATGTATCTTGATATAGGTTTTTTTCTTCATATATGTGCTGAAACTTTCCATCCAGTTTTGAAAATTTTGATAATTATTTTGTAAATTATAGTTTACTATGTATTTTGTTATGTGTTAGTTCCCTATGCTTTTTTCTCTTATTAAATAATGTAAATAATATAATAATTTATATATTTCCTTGATTTGGGGATATTTTTAGTTTTCCTTCAAACATTCTATTGATTTTTATGTTTTTCAAAAACCTATTTCTGTTTCTTAAATATTTATTTTATGTAGCTTTCAGTTCTTACAACATTAATGCAGCATCCTGTTGGAGTTTTTCTTGTTCATTTTTAATTTGGCTGTGTTTCTTGCATTATTTGTCTTCTTTAGGGTCATATTATGTATTTTTTTCTTTGTTTATCTGGATTTTCATGTTCTTATTGTTGGCGTTATTCAAATATATGGTAAACATTGCATAATATATATATTCATTGCATAACATTCATATTTAGGAGTGAGGTTTTTTAGAAAATTGATTAGAAATCTAAGTCACATGACTGGATTTTTCAACTGGGAATTTTTGCCCTTCACGAATAAAAGTCAGAGCATCAGCAATTAAACATTGATATGCCTAGATGGCTAAGTACAGGCATCTTTGTTCTAGAATAATAGCTGCGTAAGTTTTTCTAATCTTGTTTTTCATTTTAATTTTTAGAATCTAATCCTCTTTTATCAAGCTACCCTTTTGGAGATGACAAATAATTGGACAAAGTATAGTACATATGGGAATATGTATGGGAGGTGTCAGTGAATCTTTTTTTCTTCTTTCCTATTTCACACACTTCTTCTATATACTTGTGTGTTCTAAGATCTGAGCTGATATGGTATCCTACAGGGATAATATACTACTAATTCCGCCCCAGTCCCTCTGACCAATAATTTAAGCTGTGTCTTTTCCTGCTTCATTAGTTGCTAGTTATCAACATTTTTTGAAATCTCTTATCCATTGATATGACTACCTCCCAATTCCTTCAATTCTTATGTTCCTTCACTTATGGAATGTTAAGAGAGGAAGAAAATATATGTGTGTTTGGAATTACATCATGTAGTAGATACCACTGTTATCTACTAATTTATTCCTTAGATTTATACTAATAAAATAAGAAAACACATAATATTAATCAGAAATCTGTAATCACCAATAACATAGTTAATCACAATGTCATTTTTTGTCTAAGAAAACTTTTTTATATGCACTTTACTACAGTATTTTGATTTATTTAACCATATTTTGAAAAAGTTTATACAAAGCATGAACTCCAAGTTCCGCCTAAGAACATAAAGACAATATGGGAAACAAACTTAATATGCAAAATATAAATATAGTAAAAATTAATTGATACAAAGTGTATTATCATTATTTGGTACATAATTTAGCAAAATGTAATGTTAAATAAATTAAAATTATGATTCTATAATTTTTTAGTTATAAAATACTGATGGACTGAAATATTTCAAGGAGAAATTGCATAGTTACTTGCCAGGTTTATTTCAGAGGTGGATTCTTCAGAGGTGGATTTTTCTGTAAATAAAAGTTTACAGATACATGGTGTAGGAGTGAACCAAAAATCTTGAGATCCCGTTCATTTTATGATATTCCTGATTTTGTAGAAATTTTTGTCATGTACCATAATTCAGATCTTCACTATAAAATGTTACTCTGATTATAATGTTTATCAGAAGATAAAAAGCAAATTATTTCTAGAGAGCTATTGGATGTTTAAACTGAAGTACCTTTTGCTATGTGTTAATATATATAAAAGTGGGAGAAAAGTATGTTACAGATGCCTTAGTAATGTAAAATAACAGTGATTTACATTTTCCCAAGTAGCTGCTTTTATATTAAACACTTTAGGACTGTGGGCAACAGAACCATTTACAGCGACACGAATAAACTTTAATTTAACCAGAACATTTGATTAACTACCATTTCAATTTTATACAACATGCTGAAAAATCAAGTTATAGCAATACTTTCATATAAGCTGTCCTGAGATTTTGTCATGAAGTGTTATTCAAAGTACTAATTTAGCATTTTAAAATATGTATAACAATCCTCACATATCAACGAATGTTAAGGCATAAGAAGTACTTGTTTCTACTATGAATGTAAAAAAGAAAGAATAAAGATATAAGATGGAATGAAGGGCAAAATCCTTTCAATAATATTGACTTCTATAGAGATGGAGGTTTGAAATTTGGGCGTATAATCATATATTACAATATAAGCCTTTGAGTTAATACATGCCCGGACCATTTTCTTCTTGAATACCATTAAATGAATCTCTGTGCATCTTAGTTTCATTACAGAAAAAATATGACTAAACAGGGCTACTCTCTAGGATTGTTAAATATTTCATGAATAAAAATTACCCAGGCAGAGGCTATTTCTTAAATGGCATCTTAATTATCTTTATTATAAGACAATTATTAAAAGGCATATTTTTAAGAATTCTTTTTTGTTATTTTATTTAACAACTATTTAGTGATCTCTGACATGGTCAGAAATCTTATGCCAAATACACGGTTAGGTGCTAGAGATTCCACTGTGAATGGGAAAGGCATGGTCTGTCCAAAATGGACTTGGCATTATAATTAGCTGCAAGCAATAAGAAAAGCAATTAAAAATGTACACTTTTGGGCTGGGCGCAGAGGCTCACACCTGTAATCCCAGCACTTTGGAAGGCAGATCACTTGAGGTCAGGAGTTTGAGACCAGCCTGGCCAACATGGTGAAACCCTGTCTCTACTAAAAATACAAAAATCAGACTGGCCTGATGCTGCACTCCTATAGTCCCAGCTACTTGGGAGTCTGGGGCAGAAGAATTGCTTGAACTCACTAGGCAGAGGTTGCAGTGAGCCAAGATCGCACCATTGCACTCCAGTCTGGGCATCACGGCGAGACTCTATCTCAAAAAAAAAAAAAAAAAAAGAAAAAGAAAAAAAAGAAAAGAAAAGAAAAAGAAGTACAGCTTTGATGTGCTAAGAAATAAGCATGTCATTGCCTAGAAAGAATAATAAGGAGCCTATTTCTGCACAAGTTTATGAGAGGCTGATTCTCCCAGAGGAAATATTTATACTGGATGTGTAGAATGAAGAGTCAGCCATGTAAAGAGTAGAGAGCAAAAGTTTACAGATATATGGAAAAATAATTTCAAGTTCACCGAGGCCAAAAAGAAGCTTTCTTGTAGGAATTGCTGGATAAACAGTGTACTTGAGCCAAATGCAGTAAGGGAGCACGATATAAGAATGCACAAGACCAGGTCAAAGAGGATCTTGCAAATCTTCCTAAAGAATTTAGAAGATTTTTTTCAACTTCTATGAGAAACTATTTAAACATGGAGACCACGTGGAGATTACATTATTTGTTTTACGTATTTAAAGTACTCTTTAGCTGCTGAGTGAAGAAAATACAGAATAGGAAATAAGAACAGTGATAAAATGATTAAAGTGGTTCAGGATTTAAGACGATGTAGCTTGCATTAGTGAAATTATAAGATGGTGAGAAGTGAACACATTTGAAATATATTTATGGAAGAAGTGGAGGCTTGACCTTTAAGCTCACAGTTGACTCTCATGCTATGTACCTCTGATAGTGGAGCAGGTCAATCAGAGAGAATGTGAGTAATCATAGAAGATTCGAAGAGTTCTGATTTTTGCCACCAGGTGAATGGTGAGATCATTCACTCTAATGAAGGATCTTGGATGAGCAACTCATTAGAAAGAAGAAAATCAAAATTTCTATCATGGTCATGCTAAATTAGAGACAACCAGAAAACACCCAAGTAAATTTGTCAAGCGGACACATAGATACCTATCTGAGAACTGAGGAAAGGTCTGGACTGAGATTACCAACTTAAAATCATCCACATTAAGTTAACTTTTAAAATCATAATACAAATAAAATTTATAAGGGATAGAATATATAGAAAAACATTTTTACCCGGGTGACAGTCTTAAACCTTAGAATAGGATAAAAGGGCAAGAACTCAGCAAGTAACACTGAAAAGTAAAAAAAAAAAGGTGTTAGGAAGAAAAATTGAATTGTGTATTGCCTTAGAAGCCAAGAGGGAGGACAATGTTTCAGCTAATATTCAATAAATCTAAGAAACTAGTAATATAAAAACAGAGAGTAATGTCCCTTTATTCAATTACTCTATAGAGAAAAAAAAACTTAAACTCTACTCTATGTTAGGGATTCCTCAGGCACCAGAGAAACAGTAATGAAGAAAAAGGTCAAACATTCCTGCAATTGTGGAGATTAAATTCCAGAGAAAGGAGACAAATAAGAAACAACAACAACAAAAATATGTAAAACATATGGCATAATAAATAATATTAAGATCTAAGAAAGAAAATAAATAAGAGGTTAGAAAGCCTAGGAAATAGTTAATTAAATTTGAATGCTTTAATGTTTACATTTGGAAATAGGAGGACTACTTGTGGCTTGAAGAAGCGTAGGTTTGGGAAAACACTCATGACAAAGGTCTCAAACCTTGGAAAGGGCTAAGAATGAAGATGGAGGCATAAAAAACTGAGGGTAGACAGTACTTCCAAGGACTCTTGCTGTGAATAGAAAATGATCTAGGCTTACAGGTGAAAGGAAACAGGGGACAAAGGAGGATTTATTGTTTTTTATGAACTTATTTACTTATAAGTAAGGGTATCAAGTTTGCATGCTGAGATGTATGCTCTAGTAGAAATACAATTTAGAAAAGAATGTAGAGAAGGCCAGGTGTGGTGGCTCACACCTGTAATCCTAGCACTTTGGGAGGCCAAGGCAGGAGGATCACCTGAGGTCGGGAGTTTGAGACCAGCCTGGTCAACACGGCAAAACCCCGTTCTCTACTAAAAATACAAAAATTAGCCAGGCATGGTGGTGCATGCCTGTAATCCCAGTTATTTGGGAGGCTGAGGCAGGAGAATTGTTTGAACCCGGGAGGTAGAGGTTGCAGTGAACCGAGATTGCACCATTGCACTCCAGCCAGGGCAACAAGAGTGAAACTCTATCTCAAAAAAAAAAAAAAAAAAAAGGAAAAGAAAAAGAAAAAGGATGCAGAGAAACAATAGAAAAATAAAAGAATGAGTGAAGAAATTTGTCTTTAAAGAGTAAAGTCACTTGATTAATATTAACAGAAAAGAATGGAAAACAAAATGAGTGAGATTGTATTAGTTTTATAATCAAACGGAGAAAAGATGGGGCTACATAATCATCTAGGAGTAGTGATGGAAGAGAGAGTTTAAGTGGCCAGCAAAGAATAATGTATTTCAACAAAGATTGACAAAGCATGTGAAATCCAATGGAAGAAGAGTCAAGTGTTGAGAATATTTTCAAATGAGTGATTACATAAATAAACCATGAGATATAAACTAAGTGAAAATAAAATATGTACAAGAGAGGGTCAATGAATGAAATATCTTAATGAGGTCAAACATTCAAGGCAGGGGGTATTCAGGGAACACTGAGTGAGGAGTATAGGAAGTATACATCAAAGATTGAGATATCTGAAATTAATTAAGTTCACAAAAAAGAAATATTTGATTACTTTTAAAGCAAGTATTCTGGATGTTATTTTAAAGTTTACATTGTTGTCAATTTTTGTACTGAACTTTTCATTATTTCTAACCTGTTCCTTTCACCCCTACATTTTAAGCAAGCAATTATTTGGCACTCTATTGGGTTAGTGGAAGGTATAAGCGTGGAAAGTAAAAGCAGTGTGTGAGACTTTCTGACTTTCATTATCAAAAGTTGAGGACTTAAGATAGACTTTTTAAAACTCTGTAAGCAGTGTTTTTTTATTGATACATAATAATTATACATATTTATGAGGTACATTTGACATTTTGATATATGCATACAATGTGTAATGATCAAACCTGGGCAGTAAGGATATCCATCACCTCAAATATTTATCATTTCTTTGTGTTAGGAACATTTTTAAATCTTCTCTTCTAGCTATTTTGAAATATATAATATGTTATCTTTAACTATAGTCACCCTCCTGTCCTATCAAACACTGGAACTTATACCTTATATCTAACTGTAGTTTTGTACCTATTAACGAACCTCTCTTTATTCCCCCAATTCCCCTACATTTGCCAGCCTCTGGTAACCACCATTCTACTCTTCAGAATCATGAGATCAACTTTTTAGCTCCCACATACAAGTGAGAAGATGCAATATTTGTCTTTCTGTGCCTGGCTTATTTCACTTAATAGAATGTCCTCCAGCTTCTATTTTGCTACAAATGACAGGATTTCGTTGTTTTTATGGCTGAAGAGTATACCACTACATATGTATGAAGTAAGAAAAAGAAAGTGTTAGGACTGAGAATGGTGCTCTGGATGAAAGGAGAAAATAGAAGGCCTTCTTCATCTGCCCCCCCCAAAAAAAAAGAAAAGATTCCTTTAGGCTTGGTGGAAGAGAGTGAAGAGTGTGGTTCCAGAGGCAGAAAACTATGTGTTAACTGTATCCCCTAGTAAAATAGAAAGGTACAGTGGCATGAGTCAATGCATGTAGGAACATAAGCACATAAGCAAGCACATAAAAATTTCCCATTTTTTTTACCACACATGAAGCACCATCTGGAAAGCAACAAAATGATAATTCTTTGGCATATAAGAACAGAGGTGCATATAGTTCCCTATACTCTTGATATGAAATAGTTCTCCTGGAGCATGCCACAGCACTGGAAAGTGGAGATGGAACTTGTAAACTAAAATAAAATTCTAAGCTTTAAAACCAACTGAATGGACCCCCTCTTGGATAAAGGGACCCCAGAGAAACCTAAAAACTGAGCTCCCAACAATGATGGAATGGAAGTCTGGACATGCCTTGTTATACCCCCTCTTGTACAGTTTAGACACAACCGACCAGCATTAAAGTTAAAAAAGACCCTAAGCCTGACAAAATGGGCTCTCTGTGTCAATAAGGTATCAAATTATAAACAAGACCTAAGGCCATGCCAATCACCCCTACACTTAAAAATCAACTGTGTTCTAAATACCCCAAGGTTTTTTCTAAACAAGCACTGGCATTGAGATAAGCAATGTTGATGTGATTGCAGCTTACCAACCATCAGACACAGACTAACTGTGCCACTCTGTTCCACAAGCCTTAACCAGAGTTTTGAATGGACAAGAGATTGATTTCAGTAACTTTCTCCTGATATACATTCATGAGCATGGTCTGTTTCTGGCCAGTTTACAGAGGCTGTGCACTTGAGTGCCTTTGTGTCCTGAAAATAAGACCTTTTGACATATAGGACCTAATTGTAATACAATTAAATGTTAAATCTCCACCCCAATGTAAACATGGGTTGTATGTTACATGCATGTTTAATAGGCATGTATCAGAACTGTCTTCATGAATATTACAGCTCTTCGTGTAACCTATTGAATATATATGTTTAGCTAACCCATTCAACTTAAATTTCCCTCTTACCCCTTCTTCTCCCAAACTGTCTGTCTCTGGTCTTAGCTGGAGGCTGGGCTTCCAAGTCTGCCGGATGCCCACCTTTCAGGCTATAACATTTTATAAGACATTTTATTAAAAATCTTTTCTAAGATTCTAATTGTGTGATTTTTCAGTTAACAGGCTGAAAAAATAGAAACTTAGAGAAGAAACTAACATCTAAGTTCCTGCAGAATGAGGACCCAGGTGTCAAATTGGGTTGACAAATAAAAATGATTCAACATCTTTTGGATACTTTATTTTGTGAATTGTTAGTCACTCCTTCTTATGAACATAGCTTTGTTGTTGTTTGTTTTTTGGTTTTTGTTTTTTTTACTGTCTTCACTCTATTGGAAACTGGGTAATCTGAATATATGTTGTTCTTCATCTTAGATATCAATGTTTTTACCAAAAGCAGCAAGAGCCAAATGCATGCAGAATGTTTGGAGGAAGCCATAGGAAATCCAAGGGGTTTATCCTTCTGCTCTTCAGAAAGGCACTTATAAAAGAATTGTCATTTCATCATTAATGGGAACAAATGCTACCATTAGTGTAAAACAGAAAAGTGAGTTTTAAGGAAGTAGTTCTCCAGGGAAAGTAAAATTGTTAGAGATGCTGTTTTTGCTCTTTCAAAGCTTTGGTGAAGAATATGAAACTAAAATGTCCTCAAAAGCCAAAACCAAGAATTATGTGATAGAAAATTTATTTGTCAGAACGGCAGCAACATTATATCCTAGTGTATAAAAGAATTGATTCCAAAGGGAGAAGGACAAACTCAGAAATGTGCCCACAATGTAGTACACATTGTAAGTAAAGATTTAATTTTTTTTAGTAAACTGTGATCTTTAGCCTAGAGAAATTTTAGGTGGGTGCCCAGTATAGGAACCAACCATTCCTAATTGTACTGAACTCTGGATGTTTCAATATGCAACCAAAAGTTAGATCATCATTCATATGCAAGTTTAAACAAGATGAATTCTAAGATCTTGTTAAATACCAAGATTCCATAAATCACAAAAAATGTGCAAAAAAAAAAAACATAATTGTGGAATAGCGACAATTTCTTAGTGTTAATAGAGAGGAACACTTGCTTGTGAACACATTCTTATTATCTGTGTCCATATTAAAATCTCTTGGGATTTAAATTTCTTTTGTATTCATAAATATGTGAAATAGATGTGGCTATGGAACATAGCATATTAAATATTATTTAATATGACATGTTACATAGGCACATGTTATATTAAATATTATTTCCTCCTGACAGAATTTTAATGGAAAAGAGTTATAAATGGGGTTAGCAAAATTTAATGAATGCATATTTCATATTATTGTATTTTCAGGAACTTAGAAATCACCTCCTTTTATTAGGTAGGTAAAAACAATGTCAATTTATTCCAGGTCATAACTCTTTTCAATATATTGATTGCACATCTATGAATGAAAAGGGGATATAACAAAAGGAATGCATATCACAAGGTAGGGATCATGGAGGTCATTTTAAAGACTATGCATCCCAAGCTTCAAATTAGAAACTGTTCAGTAATTGTGTGAGCGAAATAGGAAGGAACATAATATCAATGAGACCATTGAACAATAAGCTAAAATATTAATGGGAATTATTAATGTGGTATTTAATTTCTGTCAGTCATTGTACTGTGTACTTTTATAATAGCTACCTTAATTCAAACATTAATTCTATTAATTCTTTACTTTTATTAAAATAATTAGGGAGAAAAGGTGTGCCAAAGCAGTGTTAGAGATTGGACCATTTTGCCTTTCCCTGTAATATGAATATGTGCTCATACCCATTGCCCTGAGACTTTTCTGTGCCTGCCAATAGGAAGATGAAGTATTTTTCTATATGGATGAACTTTGGCCTGGGCCATTTAAGTTTTTTAACCAACAATATGTGAGGTAGAGTAATAGCGTGTCAGTTCCGAGCAAAAGCTTTAGGCAGTGTCATGTGTTTTTCCTTGATCCTCTTGAACTCTCACACTCAGCCTGAGTTCTGGAAAAAAATTGCATGTGAAGATCTGCACTCAATATAGGTGGCTGAGTAAAGTAGAATTGAATTCAGCTGAACAGAGCAGAAGCATAGCCATAGGCAAACTCTGTAGAACCAAGATTTGTGTTTGTGAACCACTGAGATCTGGAGGTCACTAATTGCAGCAGAAAATGCTGATGAGTATGGTAGTGGTTACTCAACTGGTCACAGAATTCGTAAGTAGAAGAACTTGAATTTCACTTCTAGCCATCTAACTCCAGAGCTCTGCGCTCTGCTTCTTTTTTTTTCCAGACAGAATCTCACTCTTGTTGCCCAGGCTGGAGTGCAATGGCGTGATCTCTGTTCACTGCAACCTCTGCCTTCTGGGTTCAAGTGATTCTCCTGCCTCAGCTTCCTGAATAGCTTAGATTACAGGCACCTGTCACCACACCAGGCTAATTTTTGTATTTTTAATAGAGATGGGATTTCACCATGTTGGCCAGGCTGCTCTGGAACTCCTGACCTCAAGTGATCCACCTGCACTGGCCTACCAAAGTGCTGGGATTACAGACATGAGTCACCACATCTGGCCTTGGAGCTCTGCTTCAATATGCTGTTTTGTCTCTGGTTTCAGTAAAAATAAAATTTAGAAATAATTTATTTAAATATTTTTTCATCTATATATTTGCCCAGTACTCAAATGTATATTGAGAAACTACAATGTGCTCAGCAATGTGCAACTCCAAAAAATGCAGAAGTGAATAAGTTATTATCCCTGCTCTCAAAAAGTCAAACAAGCACGGTGCTGAATGATCTCTTGAATATATCAACTCATAAATATGGAGCTACATTAATAATTTGAAAGCATCAACAGAGAAATAAAAATCAACTCCTAAGCACCCAAACCAACTGAACAGAGCCCCTCTTGGCCAAAAGGACCCCAAAGGAACCTTGAAAACTGAGTTCCTGGCCATGAGCAGTGGGCGATCAACATGCCTCATTATATACCTTCCCTCAGTAACCACGGTTAGACTTTCTTTCCTAAGGGTCAAACAGAAACTAGGTTTTTGGAAAGAAGCACTCCACCCCAATATCAACCAACTGCCTGCTGCTGCCCCTCTCTTTTGCAATTTAAATAAAACAACTGACCAGCATTCCTTCCTGTTAAGATATCACCAACCACAGAGTGCATCTGGCCAATCTACGGAAGATGCACAACCTGGATTTTCTTGTCCCCTGCTTCACCTTTTGATGTCACAGGGCCAAAGACTCTACCCTCGGATCATGCTGACACCACCATTTTTTGAACACAGGTCCCATGGAGAGGGACAAGTGGCATGTGCATGTGTTTTATTTTTATTTTTTATAAATATTCATGACTCCTCCTATAGCTTATTGAATATGTATTTTTGGCCAACTTGTTTAGCATAGATTCCTGTTTCCTTTTCCCCTGCATTGATGTCTCTGTGTTTGGCTTCTAGCCAGAAGCTATGCTTCCCAGCCAGTCAGAATGGCCACCCTGCAACCCTTTATGCGATATAAAGCTCTTCTTTCCAAATTTAGGAACCTTCTCATTTTTTGCTTGACATACACCAACCTTCTTTGAAGTTAATTCATGCATAAAAATAAAGACTAATTAGAAGCTAGTTAATTGCATGACTTTTTTCGCTTTTAAAAGAAATGTAGGTTTAAGTGAATTTGGGGGCTAAAATGATGGCAGACTTGATCTTCTAAATAATAATACATACTATTTCATGTATTTCTTACTGATGTCATAAACATGTTAAGCTTTATAAATTTTATTTCATCAATATAAACATTAGTTTTATTCAATGGATGAGGAATGTGAGGTTTAAAACTGTCAAATAATGTAAACCCAACATAATCAGTGTCATTATCTAGACTAACTTCTGGCAGTGTAACTCCAAAGATTGAATTTATCCCTTCTTCTACATTCCTCCTTCTTTGTAACAGAGTCTCAAAGAGCAACAACTCATTTTTAACCACACAGAAATGTCCCCAAAGGCCCCACGGAAATTCTCTGAAATGGGAAAGTCTGGTATTTTTGTATTACTCATCAAAAACTATAGTATCTGAGCTTTTCCTTTATCTAAGACAATCAACATAACTTAAACAAAATCATATAATATGACCAAATCTTGATAACTGACACATTTTAGGAGGAGTAAAGCTCTTAGAATATTGCCTAGGATTTGTATATTGCTTGTTAATTGCTAAACAATTAGTAGTAGTAATATTTGAAATATATTATATGAAAGTAAAGAAAATCAAAATATTTTACCCCCCCTCCCCGCCAGTTTTTTTTTTAACATATTTTGAAATGGCTGCCACAGCACCAGGGAACTGAAGAGACCCTGCAAACCTGTCTTTTTGGGAGAAAATTTGCATCTTTAGATCTGGAGAGAACCTTCATTAATGTCGTCAACCTTTCCCTTGCCTGGATTTGGGAAAGATTAACTGAGGGCCTGGCACCTTTAAAGGTCCTAAAAGAAATATTAACCTGCTATTCTCTCTGAGGTCTGCTACCTGGGAGGATTCATCTACATAACAAGACCACCTTTGCTTACCAAGCCTCTTTCTTTCAACCTCCAGTCTTGCCTATAAAACCTTGCTTGGGCCATGTTCTGAGCCTACATTCTTTCTGTAACCTCAAGATGAGATGTAAGTTTCTCTACCTCATTAAGGGGTTGGGTTTTCATTTCTAAGTGCACCCCTGTATACAGTTTAAATAAATTTGTATACTGTTTCCCTATTACTCGGCCTGCTTCATGTCAGTGATTTTTCAGCAAACCTTTAGGGGATCAAGGGCCTTGGCCCCCACAAAAGGCTTCCCTATAAAGATATGAATCTACAGACTAGACTAAATATTTCAAGCCAAACTAATATAATATACACATATATACAAACATATAAAAACACATGCAGACCTGTCTTGGTGAAAATAAGGTCAAGAATTGCAAAAATAAGCTTTTTCCAAAATCAAATACTAGTGATTACAATTGATGTGATGAGTTTTTTCAGAGGGCTAAGAAATTAGAATAATTTTATTTAAATTATAATGACATGTCTCTGAAATAAGTGTTCATTATGTGATGGTTTGCTTTTATGTTAATATTTTTCTATAATTTTTTGGCTTTAATAAAACACTGTAATAGGCACCAAGATATTCTGTAAACTACAAAATCTAAACAATTATAAATAGTTCAAATATGCTCTATATTTTCTTTTTTCCAAAATCAATGAACTTTGGTATAAATTATAAAGAAAAATAAAAAAATCTCAGGATTCCTAAACTTCTTATGCTAAAGAGAAGGTTAAGCCTGGAAGCTGTGATGCAACACCCTCTTCGTTATTACTAACGTCATGTATCAGCTAGATCCCCATGGAAATGTAGAAGGCCTCAGGCATCTGTGAATGACTGCCCTCACAGATCATTCATAAGTAAAATTTGTTGCAGCCTCCCCATTAACAAGAATATGCCAACTGCACCTTTAGGTCTGCAATCTAAGCCCAGATCCTAAATCTAAAGTGTTTGATTCCACACTGTTAAAGTCCATTAAAAGCTTATCTTCCCTGATGCAAAACAATGACAAGACTCATTCCTCTACCTACCCAGAGATGTCTGCATAATTGACCCTTTACTGTCCTTTTTCTCTTCAAACATTCACCTTATCTTAGGCAGAAGTAGATTTACTGGACACTAACTAAAATCCAACAGAAATGTAAGCATTCACCTTATTGCCTACCTATGCCTTTTCCTACATGCCTTCCCTCTTTAAGGAAATATATAAATATTAAACCTTCTGAACACCTCTTCAGAAAAACAGCCATAGATAGGTCTGTTGCTTGTTTTTTCCCCAAACATGCCGAAAGCTAGCTTAATAAACCTCAATGACTGAGACTTTCACCTCACTCATTTCAGTTGTATATTATTTAGTTATATATCATTTATAATATATTTTAAATGTAATGAAAATTAGTTCACTTTGACTAGCACTTTCAAATAATTCCTTTGTAGCTTCCCTAGATGGTAAATGCACGTATTGTTAGCAGCAATGATTCATAAGGGTCTGCAGCAACTTCAATTCTTACCTCTTCAGAAGAAATGATTCAACCAAGGGAACAAAAGGCAGAGTAAGAAGCTGAGCCCATTTTTAGAGCAGGAGTGAAAGTTTATTAAAAAGTTTTAGAGCAGGAACAAAAGGAGGTAAAGTACACTTGGAAGAGGACCAAGTGGGTGACTTGAGTGTGCAGTTAGACCTTTGACTTGGGCTTTTATATGTTGGCATTCTTCTGGTGTCTGTGTCTCTTCTTGCCCGATTCTTCCCTTGGGGTAGGCTGTCCGCATGCTGAGTGGTCTGCCAGCACTTTGGAGGGGCCATGTGCACAGTGTGTTTACTGAAGTTCTATGCATGCTCACTTGAGGCGTTTTTCCTTTACCGGTGGAGTATTCTTAGAGGCAGGTCATATACCAGTAAAACTCCACCATTTTGCCTCTTAGTGTGCATGCGTGAGACCACTCGCTCCACTCCTGAGGTCATATCAGGAAGTCACTGATCACCAGCTTCAGGTGTTTATCTCTTGGGAGAGTGCCTTTCCCTGGCATTGGCTGTGACCAATTATTATTTTAAAGAGACAGTTTAACAACTGCCTATCACCTGAGGATTGCCTGACATGTCTTGTCGGTGTCAGGCCTCTGAGCCCAAGCTAAGCCATCATAACCCCTGTGACTTGCACGTATACATCCAGATGGCCTGGAACAACTGAAAAACCACAAAAGAATTGAAATGGCCAGTTCCTGCCTTAACTGATGACACTCCACCATTGTGATTTGTTCCTTCCCCACCCTAACTAATCAATCGACCTTGTGACATTCCTCCCCTGGACAATGAGTCTCAGGAGTTCCCCACCGAGCACCTTGTGACACCCTCCCCTGTTAACAATAGATAACCACCTTTAACTGTAATTTTTCACTGTCTACCCAAGTCATATAAGACTGCCCCTCTCCCATCTTCCTTCGCTGACTCCTTTTTCAGACTCAGTCCCCCTGCACGCCGGTGATTAAAAAGCGTTATTGCTCACACAAAGCCTGTTTGGTGGTCTCTTCACACGGACGCATGTAACAGGGAAGGGGATGAACAGGATTATCTCTCCTGCCCTGCTCATGCCTGACTACCTACCTACTCTAACAATATCTTTCTTTGCTATTTGTCTTAATTTGAGCTATGTACACAGAATGTTTTAAAAAAATATATGGTTTATGTTTTTCTATGTCCTGAGTTAATTTACATGAAGTATTGTTTTCAAATTGCAAATCAGACTATTAGTATATTAGAAAGATACCAAATATTGTTTTTCAAATAAAAATTGGGAAAATTCTACATGTAAAACAATATCTATGTAATTTTCAATATTTCACTTTAATATTTTTTCTCTTCTAAAAGCTATGGCTACTGTAATATTTATTTCAACTGCAGAAAAATAGTGCAATTATTACACTATTAGAATTGTAGAGGGTCATATTATTAATAAATAAGATAAATCTACACTACTTTTGGTGAAATGCATATATGAAATGCAGAATGTTGATGATACCTTTATGAGATGAAATTTAGGACTTTAATAGAAAACATTTCAGTACAGAAATTGTGGTGTCAAAGAGGCATAGAGAGAATTTTATAACAAAATATAGTTACCTTAGGATTTTACCGGTTTTTCAAACAAATGTTTGCATTTCCTTTGAAGCTTATGATGTTGTCACTCAATCCTGTGGAGGGCCTTGTCTTTTGGTGACCTGAGTTTGAAACAAATCAGTAACATATGTGTTCTTTTAAAATTTTCTCCCTCCTTTTTACTCTCTTTGTAAGTAGAAAATCACCTTCTAAAATGCCCTTTTAGGATTTCTAATATTTCCACAACTGGCTGAGAGCTAATTATATCTTACATGCACAACTGGCTCATTTTAGTTAAGTTTTAGATAAACATGTGGGCAGGTGCCAGCTGAAACAGCACTTTGAATCATTCTTTTATCAGTGACTTTTATAAAAAAGAATCTGGGCGGTTAAAAAATTTTTCTCACCATCAAAGCATAGTAGAAAACTGAAGCAGTTTTCTGGCAATATTTGTCTAATTTTTCTCTAAAATCAAGTTTATGTATACTATCAAGTTGAATCTATGGTATAGTAAAACCACTTCTAATTCCTAAATTAATTTACCTGTCTATGAAAGTTACCACCTATATGAGTATATTCTTGATGTAAGCTAAATTGAATAGGGGCTTTTATAATCTGTTTGTTTTGTGAGTCATGAATTATAGAGATTTTCTTACTGTGACCCTTAACTTTAGTGATTTTAAAGGAAAAACAACTTTTGGTGTTGTAAAGGTACTTAAACGGTTAATTATCTAGAATAGCTATATGAACTTCTTGAATATAACTAATCTTTACATTTTGTATAGAAAATATAGATATAAATTTCTTCTTGGATTTGAAATTAAATTATTTATTCTTCATGGCTTTCATCTGGTTTATTTCTTGTATCTGTTACTCTTTGCCTTTATATGTGTCTTTGTTTAATCCATTATTCCAGATAAGCCTTTGTCCCGAGATTCCTTTTTATTTTAATCTTTTTGTCTTTATGTAGCTTCAATTGTATGTAGTACTAGAAATTACTTTTTTAAAATTTCTTCACTAATTTAGAATGTTATTTTTTACAGTAAGTACATGGTAGTGTTTAATATTTTATGTATAATTTGATCTTTTTATTTATTCCACATCTGATGTGTCAGAGTATAACACATTTAAATAAATGTATTTCACTCATCAAATTATAGATCAGCATCTATTACATGCTGAGTGCTCATCATTGCTGTAAAGTGGTGAATAAGAACAAAAGAAACTTGTCCTCATTAAGATTAAATTGTGATATGGGTGAAAAAAATACCATAAACAAATATAAATTCTGACACATAACATAATATTTTAAGGACAACCTCCGGACATATCTGTATATTTTCTACATTCTAATTACATCATCTTTTATCCCTTTACATGACAATACATTTGTAATATTATTTTCCATAGGAAGACAAGAAAGATTATTCACCCTTTTCTTTAATATGACCGAGAAATATTTACTTTTTGTTATTGGAAGTTTAGACAGATGCCTTTTGGCTTCACAATTTTATAAAAGTTAAAATAGCTTCTTTGAAATATTATTTAACTTCAATAACAATCTATATCAAATGTTTACAAATATTTTCTGTAAAGGCCTAGATAGCAAATATTTTAGGCTTTGTGGTCCATATGGCCTCTGCTACAACTACTACATTCTGTTCTCGTGGCAAAAATGCAGCCATAGACAATACTTAGAAAGTAATACATGTGGCTGTGTTCCAATAAATGTTTATTTATAAAAGCAGGCAAGAGGCCAGATTTTTCCCTAGGGTAATATTTAGGCTAACCACTGATATATATGAATTACTTCTCTATGGTAATCTATTTCATAACATATACATTACTTGCATAGTCAACAAAACCACTAAGCTATTTAACTAGAGAAGTTTTTTTCTTCTAACCATTTTGCTGAATTTCTAGGCTTACTTCTGTTTCTTGCAGCAATAGTTTATAAGAAGGACCTAGAGTAAGTCTGAATTCAAATTCCAGCATTCTAATTTAAAGTGCATGACCCTGATACAGTGAGGCTTTGTGTCACCACCCAAATCTCATCTTGAATTATACTCCTCATAATCCCCATAATCCCACCTGTCAAGGAAGAGACCAGGTGGAGGTAACTGGATGATGGGGTTGGTTTCCCCCATGCTATTCTTGTGATAGTAAGTGAGTTCTCATGAGATCTGATGGTTTTATAAGGGGTTCTTCCCCTTTGCACCTCATTCTTCTCTTTGGCACAACCGTATGAAGAAGGTCCTTGTTTCTCCTTTGCCTTCCACCATGATTATAAGTTTCCGGAGGCCTCCCCAACCACGTGAAACTGTCAGTCAATTAAACCTCTTTCCTTCATAAATTATCCAGTCTCAGGCACTTCTTTATAGCAGTGTGAAAATGGACTAACACAAACCCAAGCATGTATTTATCTACTTCAAGCTCTGATTCTCTTCATCTACCAAGTAATGATAATAAAAGTTTGTACCACATAATCATAATATTTTTTGAAAAATAATTTGCATAGATAGTGGAAAGTGCAAAATTTAGAGTTTAGGAAATAGCAGATATTTTATTAATATAAAGCATTATTTTGTAGAGTTGTAGGCTTTTCTACTTCCTTAGGAAATAAAGGCCATAATGTGTTATTCACAAGAATATACAGAGATTTTAAGGTATTAGAAAAATATTTCCGAAAGTAGAGACTAAATTAATGCCAGTACTTTTTTTTTTTCTGGTACCAGTAATTTGAAAACCAAAAAAGGTTTGGGAAAAAAACATTGTCAAGATATGAAGATCAAAATATTTATTTTATATTCTGAAAGAGCAAAATATTGATACATTCTTTTCTCGTAAAATCTGATTATTTTGGATTCTTGTCTAATCCTTGTTAAAAGCATGTTTACACAAAAAGAAAACAGCAAGGGTCACATGATGGAAATATCATTTCACAATAACCAGTGATTGCATGAAATTAAAATTGCTGGTAACAGAAATTGCAAATAGGGAGGAGGAAATGTATATGTATTTGAATAATCTCTAAATTTTCTCAGTGAATAGGTTGGATGATTTTATATTCATGGGAATTTGAGAAAGGTTTATATTCTCTTTATCCTTTTAAAATTATTTTACTTCAGCAACATTTATATCAGTTGAGTAGGAAACATAGTCATCGAAATATCATTGATATTCATGTCATTCAATATACTGGAAAAAGAGTTTCTGTCAAAGCAGTATGTGTGCCAAGTATTGGTGCTTTTCTTGTGATGAACATAACACAAAACCCTGATAATGTGTTCTGTTAGGAAAGTGAATCTGCCAACAGCAGATCAATACTGGAGATGGATATCAGTGCTGAGATATTCACTAACGGCTACTCTAGGTCCCAGGGCAGTCGAGGAGGAGCAAATTATATCTTAATAAGAGTTACAGATCAGTAATGACAGTGAAATACAAAGCATAATGTAGAGAGCTTCAAAGTCATTTTTATCATGGAATTGAATCACCAAAATTTTATAGGATTGATGGGTTCTTAGAGTCTGAGAAATCTTATTTAATGTCCAATGTGTCACCACATAACAAGGTAAAAACTGATTATAATAATTTATTTGTTTTAAAATTTGATTTGGCAATAGGGTCTCTGCAAGGCGCAACCCCAGCAAATTTATTCACACTGGAGCCTGTAAGCTATCCACTATAAAACTAGCAATGAAATGTCCGTATCCCTCAATATATTCTCTCCATCTATGTAAAGGTATTCATAGAGGTGTGCAACACAAAAGCCCCATTTGGCTAAAAGATTAAGGAAACCTCAGATAAATTTCACTTACATGTGATAGGAATCAATTTCACAAAAACATGAGCAAAGGTAGGGTACCTTTACTATTATCAGACACAAAGTTTCTTTGATCCTGTTTTCCCCTCTCTAACAAATGGCATTGAACACATTTCAGGAAACAGGCAGGAAAAATTGTTGAAAAAGCTTCCCCTTTTCATCTTAAAAATTCTTGGATGCTGCACACAACACTTCTAATTTAAATCCCTTTGAAAACACATAATCATAAGGCCACAAAGGGTATAAGAGAACCCAGAAAATGTTTCTATTATTCTGGATGACTATCCAGAATGTGCCGATGTGAATATGAGAGATTCAATCACTAAGAAATAGAGGGTAAACAAACATGGGGAAAAATCAGCATCCTTTTGCACTGTTATTATAACTGATATATTGATGTATCATGAAAGAAAATTAAAGTATTACGTCAAAAATATAATGTTATGTATTTGTGTCTGGGACACTCTGAAATTGGATTCAATGATTGAAAAATATTTCGGTACAAAAATTTCAAAGTATAAAGATTCAGAAAATCAGTAGCCAAAATATATACTTCCTTTACTTTCCTAAATGTTCTCTATAGATTTTTCTTTTAAAAATCCAATGTATTAATATTATCAAGTAAACTATAATAACCTATGCAATGTTTGATTATTAAAAATAAAATATGACATATGAAGAAAATAAAAATGAATTAAAGAAATTGTATATATTAAGATTTTTTAGCCTTCATGATTTAATGCTTTGCTGTGTATTGAGATCACCTTTTAATAAAATACTGGTTTATGGAGTGTAATCTGGGCATCATTTTTTAAAGTCACTCAATTGGTTCCAATGTTCCTCAAAGTTAGTAAGCAATTGTTTTTAAGTAAAATATAACACTACTCACATTTAATGAAAATGAGGGAATTTATTAGCTAACGTCACTGAAAATTCCTTAGATAAGAATGTGATGAGTTGTAGCGTAATTTAATTGAGTCTCTGGATTTATCTTTCTACATTTTCTTTTGTGTTTTTACTCTTATGATGTTATGGGCTGAATTGTATCTCCCCTCTCCCCCAGATTCATTTGTTGAAGTCCTAATATCCAACACGTCAGAATGGGACTCTATTTAGAGATAGGATCTTTAAAGAATCAATTAAGATAGAATGAGGCCTTCAGGTTCAGCCCTAATCTAGTAATGGCTACCTTCCTTACTAAAAGAGGAAGTTTGTTTGCAGGCATGTAGAAAGAAAACAAAAAACAAACAACAACAAAAACGTGTATATATGGGAGAGGACAGTCATCTATAAGCAGCAAGACTTCAGAAGGAACTAACCCTGCCAACACCTTGATTTTGGACTTCCAGCCTCTGGAACTGTGAGAAAATAAATTTCTATTTTTTATGCCACTGTCTGTGGTATCTTGTTATGGCAGTCCTAGCAAACAAGTACAGCTGTGAACTATATAGAACTAATTTTCTGTCTGATGGCAAAATGATGATACTTTTAGGCCTATATGCAAAGAAAACAGATTGTCTTTTTAGTGACTTACTTTTTAAAGTTAGGAAACATTATTCCACACACCCTAGAAAACTTCCTTACAGATCCTGCTAACTGCTTCAGTGCCACATACTGTGTTTGATGGGATAACACATACCCAATGGCATTTCAGTGGTTTAAAGTAAATATAAACTATGGCGCCTATTTCATTCTCATGTACTGAGTCCACAGTGAACATATCAGTCTGGCAAGCCACTTTCCTTTACAAGGTCTGTTCAGAGACAAAGAATGAAAGCACTTTTGCTATCACTAACACATGATTTCAAGATTCTTCTAACTATCCTCTATTACCCATAATCTTAACCCCTAGAATAGAGAAACAAAACAAAACAAAAAACAAGGACTCAAATTGTATATATATATTTAAAGGACTGTCCTTTAAACATGACAGGTAAATTTCACCCATTCATTTTGCTCTTTATGTTTTATTGTCAATGTTTAATTACATAAGCAAAATTATAAGAGAATTTTGGAAATATAATCCAGCCATGTATTCAAGAAGAAACAAAAAAAAAAATGACTTCTGTTCAACAGCTAGCAATCTATACACTCTTATTCCTTCAAGAAACAATGTCTACTATATCCACAGCCTGTGTGCTATAAGTCTACATTTCTGAACGAGTCATTTGCAATGGAGACAGAATTATTTCCAGTAAATTAGGACAGTCCCTGAAACTGTAAGGGAACATAGGTCTGAATGCTTGCCGCTTGCAGAGTCCAGTTAACAGTAGTGAGGGCCGGGCACGGTGGCTCATGCCTGTAATCACTGCACTTTGGGAGTCCAAGACGGGTGGATCACCTGAGGTCAGGAGTTCGAGACCAGCCTGGCCAACATGATGAAACCCCATCTCTACTAATAACACACAAGATTAGCTAGGCATGGTGGTGGGCTACTCCCAGCTACTCAGGAGGCTGAAGCAGGAGAATCGCTTGAACCCAGGAGGCAGAGGTTGCAGTTAGCTGAGATTGTACCACTGCACTCCAGGGTGGGCAACAAGTGAAACTCCATCTCAAAAAAAAAAAAAAACAAAAAGAGAGGTCTGGTAGAAAATGAATTTATTAACCAGAACTAAAGGAAGTAGCTGGATTCCTATCCAAAGTAACTGCTTTGATTTTGGTGGGGGAAAGCAGGGATTTAGAAAGGGAAAGCTGACAAGGAAGGCATGCAAGAATTTGGCTGAGTACAATGTCTGTGTGTCTTGCCCTGGTGGCTGTCTTGGGTCCCAGTTCACCTGGACCTCGGGCTGACATCATGTCAACAGTGGTCAGGTTGTTAACTAGCTGCCTTGAAGGAATCTTTGGAATGTTGCAGATGGGTTTCCAAACTTGGTCTGTCTGTCTCAAGATTATCTCCTGGAACTTCTAAGACGACACATAATTAGATAGCAGCAGTTAGGTAAATGTTAAAGAGGTATAAACAGTGAGAAAGAAAGCGATATGGAATCTATTTTAAGGCTAAGAAAAAAGGCTTCTGGAATTTGCCTCTAGGTTATATCTTGAAATCCAAGAGAAAGGACAAAAAAAAAAAAAAAATGAACACATTTTGAAGTTAAGCTGCCCATGGAGGATCAGCTCAACCTGAAGCCTACCACTGTTTCAGGGCAAACAGCAGCATCTTCTACAGAATGATTTAAAACAGGAATGACAATGATTGCATTGACTACCCATATATGCTTAAGATCAAAGGATGAATAGATTTGAATACTAAAAACAAGTAGTAAGTCCTGATATAATCACATTTTTGATACTTTGAAACAGGTGGGGACCATGCAATTCTTGGATCTCTTTATGAGAATAACTAGAGAAACACCTTAACTCTGAAAACCACAATATTTACTGAGATCAATTAGACCCAAAGTCTTAAGGAAAAAACACTATATTTTACTTCAAAAGCATATCCTTTTAAAAATTTTATATGCTCATCTCCCCAAACTACACACAGTTCATTCTTATTCACTACATGTTACAAAAAAAGTAGTAATTATTGCAATCCAAAGTAACCACAATCACTTGTCTATTGTTTATTACATGTTTCTCTTACTGGAATACTAACCTCATGGAAGTAGAGATATCACTTTCTTTGTATACTGCTCTGTATTCAACAGTTGGAATACAATACAACTTGTACATAATAAAACCCTCAAAATATTTGTGGAATCAATGAATGAAATAACAGCAAAATAATAGTTGGAATGATGAATGGAGACAGAGAGAAGAGACAGAGAGAGAAATCTCCAAAAGTAATTTTAAGGTGGAGGGTGTTAGAGAGAACTGGAAGTATAAAGCCTACAGATGGAAGTAGATATAATGAAATAATGTGTATTAGGTTATGGTGAGTCAAGATATAATCTCTATCTTTAATCTGATATATCAGGGAAAACTATTATAGGAAATAATTGCCTTGCACAACATCTGTAATATTTCAGCTGCTTAGTAAATTGTAGACATTATTATGACCAGTAAGATATTGTTTGAATAAAAGAAGTAGCAAAAAGCAAATAAAAAAATTATCAATTGTCACACATAGCAACTTAATCTTATCCCTGAAAGGAGAAATGCCATTTTTATTGTAAAGCTTAATGAATAGTATGAAAATAAAACTGTCTTCAAAGTAATGTTCCTCCTCAAATAATATTATTTTTGGCATATATTATATAGACAAAAATTATTGCTAAGATTAATTTTATTGTAGTCATTATTTTATCATCATTATTGTAATAATTTTTTCTTGCTTCTGTAGCAAATTACCACAAACTTGATGGACTGAAAAACACAAATTTATTCTTATATTTCCATAGGTCAGAAGTCTGATGAAGTTCTCATTGGACTAAAGGTAATGTGTTGGCAGGGCTGTACTTCTTTCTATAGATGCTAGGGAGAATCTGAGTTGGTTGTTTGTTTGCCTTTTCCAGCTGCTGGAAGCATCTGTATTCCTTGGTTTGTGGCCCATTTCCTGAATTTAAAAAGCCAACAATGGTAGATTGACTCCTTCTCATATCCTATCACTCTGATCTGCTTTTCTGCCCCATTCTAATAGTTTCAAGAGCACTTGTGATGACTGACATTGGGACCACATAGAAAATTCAGGATGATCACCCTCTTTTAAGGTCAGCTAACTAACAACCTCAATTTCATCTTCAACCTTAATACTATTTGTATAATTAGCCTAGTCACAGGTTACTGGGATTAAGACAGAGACATCATTGGGAGACACTGCTCTGTTCATGGTGGGTATCATTTGTAAAACAAAAATAAAATTCTAGACTCCCCAACTGATTAAATGGACCCTTTTTGGCCAAGGAGACCCCAAAGAAACCTGAAAAACTGAATCCCTGGCCATTTCAGAAGGGAGGTTGGACATGTCTCATTATATCCCCTCACTTTTGGAGTTTAGGTTAAAACAGATCATAAGTCTTATAGGACAGACTTATTGTGCAATAAGACACCAGATTATAAACAAGACCTAAGACCATGCAAGATAGGGGTTAAGTCATAACCTACAAACCATATAATCTCACTAAATCATTTCTAAAATTATCCCAGTATAATGTGGCTGAGTTTCCAACTTGACGCTGGTATAGCATCACATAACAGATGGCAGACCTTGAAGGAAATCAAAGTATTTTACCCCCAAAATATATTTATTTGACATATTTTGAAATAGCCCTGCAAAACTAATGTTTTTTGTGGGGGAAATTTCTGTCTGTAGAAAATCTTCACTAATGCATCCAGGCCTTTCTTCCTAGCCTTTGCCCAAATCTAGGAGAGATTAATAGAGAGTCAGATACCTTTAAGGTTTGGAAAGAGATATTTACCATCTATTCTCTCTGAAGGCGGCTATCTATGAGGCTTCGTCTACGAAACAAGGGCCTTGACCTCTACAACTCCCTCAGCTTGACTCAAGGATTCCTTTGTACCGACTTCAAGTCTTTACACAAAGCTTAATTCAACCAATGGCCATTCAGACACCTCTTCTCTCCTTCTCTGCTGCACCACTCTGCCAGTGGAGCTTGGGGTTTTTATGGGCACAGGAAAAGGTGTATGGCAGGCCAAAAGGCGACATTTGGGTGGGAAAATGGGGATGTGAAGTTCTCATTTAGGGCAGTGGGTCCAGGCTTGAAGGTAAAACCCTTGCCAAACACCCTGCCTTTTCTATCTAGTATTCCTCTGCCTCCTGTCCATATCACCAGTTTCTTCATGGTTATTATTTCCTATCCTGCTAATTTGGGCTACAAGGGTTGTGAAAAGTTGTCATAAGCAAAAATACATTTGTCCTACCGTATCACCAAGCCCTGTCAGAGTTAGATTATCTTAAAAAGTAAGATTATTATCTAAAAAGATTTTTATTAAAAAATAAAAGAACAAAGACAAAACATATCAAAATGCTCATCCTTACTACATGAGGGAGCTTACTGCCAAAAATTTACTTAAGGCACATTAGTCAGGATTCCTCAGAAAAAACAACCAATAGGAGAGTGATAGACGAGTGGAGAGGAAGTACAAGAGAAAGGGTGGGAGAGGGAGATAGAGAAAGACATTTATTTTCAGGAAATTGGCTTACTTGATTTTGGAAGCTGGCAAGTCTGGAATCTGCAGAATTGGCCAGCAGGCTGGAAATTCCAGCAGTAGTTAATACTGCAATTTTCAGTGCAGACATAGTCAGAAGCCAGAATCCTTTCCCCTTCAAGGGACCTCAGTCTTTTGTCTTGAGTTCATCAGATAATTGCATGAGGTTCCCCCACATTATGAAGGTTAATCTGCTTTATTCAAAGGTTTACTGATTTAAGGGGGTAGAAAAAGAGTGAATAATGAGAGATTACTTAATAGGTTTTGTCAGGCCTCTGAGCCCAAGCCAAGCCATTGCATCCCCTGTGACTTGCACGTATATACCCAGATGGCCTGAAGTAACTGAAGAATCACAAAAGAAGTGAAAATGCCCTGCCCCACCTTAACTGATGACATTCCACCACAAAAGAAGTGTAAATGGCTGATCCTTGCCTTAAGTGATGACATTACCTTGTGAAAGTCCTTTTCCTGGCTCATCCTGGCTCAAAAAGCACCCCCACTGAGCACTTTGCGACCCCCACTCCTGCCCGCCAGAGAACCCCCTTGACTGTAATTTTCCTTTACCTACCTAAATCCTATAAAACGGCCCCATCCTTATCTCCCTTCACTGACTCTCTTTCTGGACTCAGCCCACCTGCACCCAGGTGAAATAAACAGCCATGTTGCTCACACAAAGCCTGTTTGGTGGTCTCTTCACATGGACACGCATGAAATTTGGTGCCATGACTCAGATCTGGGGACCTCCCTTCCCAGATCAATCCCCTGTCCTCCTGTTCTTTGCTCCGTGAGAAAGATCCACCTACTACCTCAGGTCCTCAGACCGACCAGCCCAAGAAACATCTCACCAATTTCAAATCTGGTAAGCGGCCTCATTTTACTCTTTTCTCCAACGTCCCTCACTATCCCTCAACCTCTTTCTCCTTTCAATCTTGGCGCCACACTTCAATCTCTCCCTTCTCTTAATTTCAATTCCTTTCATTTTCTGGTAGAGACAAACGAGACACGTTTTATCCGTGGACCCAAAACTCCGGTGCCGGTCACGGACTGGGAAGGCAGCCTTCCCTCGGTGTTTAATCATTGCAGGGACGCCTCTCTGATTATACACTCATGTTTCAAGGGTGTCAGACCACGCAGGGACGCCTGCCTTGGTCCTTCACCCTTAGCGGCAAGTCCTGCTTTTCTGAGGAAGGGACAAGTACCCCTCAACCCCTTCTCTCCTTGTCTCTACCCCTTCTCTGCTTTTCTAGGAGAGGGGCAAATACCCCTCAACCCCTTCTCCTTCACCCTTAGTGGTAAGTCCTGCTTTTCTATGGGGCAAGAACCCCCAATCCCTTATTTCCATGCCCCAACCTCTTATCTCTGTGCCCCAATCCCTTATTTCCGCACCCCGACCTCTTATCTCTGTGCCCCAATCCCTTATTTCTGCACCCCGACCTCTTATCTCTGTGCCCCAATCCCTTATTTCCACGCTCCAACCTCTTATATCTCTGCACCCCAATCCCTTATTTCCACACCCCAACCCCTTTTCCTACTTTTCTGGAAGGTAAGAACCCCCGAACCCCTTCCCTCCGTTTCTCTACTCTCTCTCTTCTCTAGGCTTGCTTCCTTCACTATAGGCAACCTTCCACCCTCCATTCCTCCTTCTACTCCCTTGGCCTGTGTTCTCAAAAACTTAAAACCTCTTCAACTCACACCTCACCTAAAACCTAAATGCCTTATTTTCTTCTGCAATGCCGCTTGACCCCAATACAAACTCGACAGTAGTTCCAAATAGCCAGAAAATGGCACTTTGAATTTTTCCATCCTGCAAGATCTAAATAATTCTTGTCGTAAAATAGGTAAATGGTCTGAGGTGCCTGACGTCCAGGCATTCTTTTACACATCAGTCCCTTCCTAGTCTCTGTGCCCAGTGCAACTCGTCCCAAATCTTCCTTCTTTCCCTCCCACCTGTCCCCTCAGTACCAACCCCAAGCATCGCTGAGTCTTTCTAATCTTCCTTTTCTACAGACCCATCTGACCTCTCCCTTCCTCCCCAGGCTGCTCCTTGCCAGGCCGAGCTAGGTCCCAATTCTTCCTCAGCCTCTGCTCCTCCACCCTATAATTTTTTTATCACCTCCCCTCCTCACACCTGGTCCTGCTTACAGCTTCGTTCCCTGACTAGCCCTCCCCCTCCTGCCCAGCAATTTACTCTTAAAAAGGTGGCTAGAGCCAAAGGCATAGTCAAGGTTAATGCTCCTTTTTCTTTATCCCAAATCAGATAGTGTTTAGGCTCTTTTTCATCAAATATAAAAATCCAGCCCAGTTCATGACTTGTTTGGCAGCAACCCTGAGACACTTTACAGCCCTAGACCCTAAAAGGTCAAAAGGCCGTCTTATTCTCAAAATACATTTTATTACCCAATCTGCTCCCGACATTAAATAAAACTCCAAAAATTAAATTCCAGCCCTCAAACCCCACAACAGGATTTAATTAACCTCGCCTTCAAGGTGTACAATAATAGAAAAAAGTTGCAATTCCTTGCCTCCACTGTGAGAAAAACCCCAGCCACATCTCCAGCACACAAGAACTTCCAAACGCCTGAACCGCAGCAGCCAGGCATTCCTCCAGAACCTCCTCCCATAGGAGCTTGCTACACATGCCAGAAATCTGGCCACTGGGCCAAGGAATGCCCACAGCCCGGGATTCCTCCTAAGCCGTGTCCCATCTGTGTGGGACCCCACTGAAAATCGGACTGTTCAACTCACCTGGCAGCCACTCGCAGAGCCCCTGGAACTCTGGCCCAAGCCTCTCTGACTGACTCCTTCGCAGATCTTCTTGGCTTAGCGGCTGAAGACTGACACTGCCGGATCGCCTCGGAAGCCCCCTAGACCACCACGGATGCTGAGCTTCGGGTAACTCTCACAGTGGAAAGTAAGCCCGTCCCCTTCTTCATCAATACAGAGGCTACCCACTCCACATTACCTTCTTTTCAAGGGCTGTTTCCCTTGCCTCCATAACTGTTGTGGGTATTGACGGCCAGGCTTCTAAACCTCTTAAAACTCCCCAACTCTGGTGCCAACTTAGACAATACTCTTTGAAGCACTCCTTTTTAGTTATCCCCACCTGCCCAGTTCCCTTATTAGGCCGAGACACTTTAACTAAATTATCTGCTGCCCTGACTATTCCTGGGCTACAGCTATATCTCATTGCCGCCCTTCTTCCCAATCCAAAGCCTCCTTTGCATCCTCCTCTTGTATCCCCCGACCTTAACCCACAAGTATAATATACCTCTACTCCCTCCTTGGCTACCGATCATGCACCTCTTACCATCTCATTAAAACCTAATCACACTTACCCCACTCAATGCCAATATCCCATCCCACAGCACGCTTTAAAAAGATTAAAGCCTGTTATCACTCGCCTGCTACAGCATGGCCTTTTAAAGCCTATAAACTCTCCTTACAATTTCCCCATTTTACCTGTCCTAAAACCAGACAAGCCTTACAACTTAGTTCAGGATCTGCGCCTTATCAACCAAATTGTTTTGCCTATCCACCCTGTGGTGCCCAACCCATACACTCTTTTGTCCTCAATACCTTCCTCCACAACTCACTATTCCCTGCTTGATCTTAAAGATGCTTTTTTCACTATTCCCCTGCACCCCTCGTCCCATCCTCTCTTTGCTTTCACTTGGACTGACCCTGACACCCATCACGCTCAGCAAATTACCTAGGCTGTACTGCCGCAAAGCTTCACAGACAGCCCCCATTACTTCATTCAAGCCCAAATTTCTTCCTCATCTGTTACCTATCTCAGCATAATTCTCATAAAAACACACGTGCTGCCACACACGTGCTGCCAATCGTGTCCCACTGATCTCTCAAACCCCAGCACCTTCTACAAAACAACAACTCCTTTCCTTCCTAGGCATGGTTAGCGCAGTCAGAATTCTTACACAAGAGCCAGGACCACACCCTGTAGCCTTTCTGTCCAAACAACTTGACCTTACTGTTTTAGCCTAGCCCTCATGTCTGCGTGCAGTGGCTGCCACTGCATTAATACTTTTAGAGGCCCTCAAAATCACAAACTATGCTCAACTCACTCTCTACAGTTCTCATAACTTCCAAAATCTATTTTCTTCCTCATACCTGACGCATATACTTTCTGCTTCCCGGCTCCTTCAGCTGTACTCACTCTTTGTTGAGTCTCCCACAATTACCATTGTTCCTGGCTCAGACTTCAATCCGGCCTCCCACATTATTCCTGATACCACACCTGAACCCCATGACTGTATCTCTCTGATCCACCTGACATTCACCCCATTTCCCCAAATTTCCTTCTTTCCTGTTGCTCACCCTGATCACGCTTATTTATTGATGGGGGTTCCACCAGGCCTAATCACCACACACCAGCAAAGGCAGGTTATGCTATAGTACAAGCCACTAGCCCGCCTCTTAGAACCTCTCATTTCCTTTCCATCGTTGAAATCTATCCTCAAGGAAATAACTTCTCAGTGTTCCATCTGCTATTCTACTACTCCTCAGGGATTATTCAGGCCCCCTCCCTTCCCTACACATCAAGCTCCAGGATTTGCCCCACCCAGGACTGGCAAATTAGCTTTACTCAACATGCCCTGAGACCGATAACTAAAATACCTCTTAGTCTAGGTAGATACTTTCACTGGATAGGTAGAGGCCTTTCCTACAGGGTTTGAGAAGGCCACCACAGTCATTTCTTCCATTCTGTCAGACATAATTCCTCAGTTTAGCCTTCCCACCTCAATACAGTCTGATAACAGATCAGCCTTTATTAGTCAAATCAGCCAAGCAGTTTTTCAGGCTCTGAGTATTCAGTGAAACCTTTATATCCCTTATGGTCCTCCATCTTCAAGAAAAGTAGAATGGACTAAAGGTCTTTTAAAAACACTCCTCACCAAGCTCAGCCACCAACTTAAAAAGGACTGGACAATACTTTTACCACTTTCCCTTCTCAGAATTCAGGCCTGTCCTCGGAATGCTACAGGGTACAGCCCATTTAAGCTCCTGTATAGATGCTCCTTTTTATTAGGCCCCAGTCTCATTCCAGACACCAGACCAACTTAGACTGTGCCCCACCAAAAAAAAAAAAAAAAAACTTGTCATCCCTACTATTTTCTGTCTAGTCATCCTCCTATTCACCGTTCTCAACTACTCATACATGCCTTGCTCTTGTTTACACTGCCGGTTTACACTGTTTTTCCAAGCCATCACAGCTGATATCTCCTGGTGCTATCCCCAAACTGTCACTATTAACTCTTGAAGTAAATAAATAATCTTTGCTGGCAGGACTATGCTGAATCTCCTTAGGCACTCTCTAATCAGATATCCTGAGTCGTCCCAATTCTTAGACCTTTTATACCTGTTTTTCTCCTTCTGTTATTCCATTTAGTTTCTCAATTCATCCAAAACCGTATCTAGGCCATCACCAATCATTCTATATGACAAATGTTTCTTCTAACATCCCCACAATATCACCCCTTACCACAAGACCTCCCTTCAGCTTAATCTCTCCCACTCTAGGTTCCCACGCCGACCCTAATCCCACTTGAAGCAGCCCTGAGAAACATCGCCCATTCTCTCTAGATACCACCCCCCAAAAATTTTCGCTGTCCCAACACTTCAACACTATTTTGTTTTATTTTTCTTATTAATATAAGAAGGCAGGAATGTCAGGCCTCTGAGCCCAAGCCAAGCCATCGCATCCCCTGTGACTTGCACGTATATGCCCAGATGGCCTGAAGTAACTGAAGAATCACAAAAGAAGTGAAAATGCCCTGCCCCACCTTAACTGATGACATTCCACCACAAAAGAAGTGTAAATGGCTGGTCCTTGCCTTAAGTGATGATATTACCTTGTGAAAGTCCTTTTCCTGGCTCATCCTGGCTCAAAAAGCACCCCCACTGAGCACCTTGCAACCCCCCACTCCTGCCCGCCAGAGAACAAACCCCCTTTGACTGTAATTTTCCTTTACCTACCCAAATCCTATAAAACGGCCCCATCCTTATCTCCCTTCACTGACTCTCTTTTTGGACTCAGCCCGCCTGCGCCCAGGTGAAATAAACAGCCATGTTGCTCACACAAAGCCTGTTTGGTGGTCTCTTCACACGGACGCGCATGAAAGGTTTAATGTGTGTATGTTTTTTGGGTGATGTATACTCTAAAAGTTCTGATTTTGCCATTGCAGAATCTATGCATGTAACAAAATTACACTTATACCCCATACATTTAAACCCATTAAAATAGACAGATGGATGTATAAATGTTAAGCACATCTAAAAAAGATCTTCACAGAACATCTAGGTGGTTGTTTGACCATAAAGTAGGTACTATAGCCTAACCAAGTTGATCAAAAAATTTAATCATAATAGTAGGGATAGTGAAGGAAATTAAAAGAAATTTTTTAAAATGATGGGTATACAATGTAAATCAAAAATAAAATTTGAAGTACCCCCCACTGCAATCATCTGAATAGACTCCCTCCTTGGCCAGCAATTCCTAACATTTAATCTGAAAGACTGGTTCAGGCCATAATGGGAAGTGGGGGTCAAACATGCCTCATTATATCCCTCCAGCATTAAGATCAACAAAGACCTTAAGTCTGATAAGAAATATTTACAATCTATTTTCTCTGAACCTTGCCACCTGGAGGCTTCATCTGCATGATAAAACCTTGGTCTTCACAACCCCTTATCTTAACTCAGTCATTCCTTTCTACTGATAATCATTCTTTCAAACAATTTCCAATGGGAATATGTTTAAATCTACCTATAACCTGGAAGCTAAGTGCCCCAACCTGCTTCAAGTTTTTCTGCTTTTCCAGATCAAACTAATGTAAATCTTACATGTATTGATTGATGTATTATGTCTCCCTAAAATGTATAAAAGCAAGCTGTACCCCGACCACCTTGGGCACGTGTGGTCAGGACCTCCTGAGGCTGTGTCATGAGCATGTCTTTAACCTTGGCAAAACAAACTTTCTAAATTGACTGAGACCTGTCTCAGATATTTTGTATTCATACTCATCACTAGCACACAGAAGTAGATCTGGCATGCCCTTCATAGTATAAATAATATTTAGAGAATAAAATATTGGTTTTTAAGAACTTTTTATTTAGTTTTATTTGGATACCAGCTAAGGAGATAAATAGTTCCTACTAAAAATTACTCCACTCATTCAGTTATCTAACAGATAGTTACGTGCCTTCCATGGGCCAGGTATATTCCCTAGGCTGTAGAGAAAAATCAGCAAGGAGGCAAAACGTTTGCTTGCATGGAACTTATCTTCTAGTGGTGGAGTAAGACAATTCACAGGATTGGTTTATCCATCCTAGAGCAAACCTCCAGGATTCAAACTTATTCTAATTCACTTCAGCAGCTGCACTCAATCACACTCCAGGGTATTACTTTAACAGGATCTAAATCTCCACACTTTAATGACAGATCAAGCAATTAACATCTCCTAGAGGGATGGAATCTAAATGCAAACAGCTTATGCAAAGCAATATCCCTGAAGGAGATTTTAAGCACCTAACCCCTACGGAAAACTTATGCAAACAAGTATCAGTTGAAGTAGTTTATCCTTAATAAACATTTATTCAAACTAATACCCTCAAGCAAATTCTAAAGTCTAGCTACCACTCTACGCTCAACACACCATTTATTCACATTGGCACATGGCCACACACACCACACAGGACATTTCTTATTACTCCTTTGCAAAGTATACATTTAGCTGGGTCAGTGAGTATAGTAGGCTTGATTCAGTTCATCTAAAGTATGGACAAAAGCTAGATAAAAGCATTAACTCATCAAAGTTGTTTTATGAAATTTAATATTTATATATGTCTTTGATAATTTGATGTGATTATGTAGGTCGTGTTGGAAATTTAAGTCAGTGGTCCCTATGCATTCTCTAGTTATTTATTATTTATTTATTTTTAATTTTCAAAATGGAACTTCAACAACCTTGAAGATACGCATAAATTCAAAGCTAGGAATTAAGAAGAGACAGTGAGTCAGGAGTTTTTCCTGCTGATGGGATAGGTTCGTGGTCTTGCTAACTATGAAGAATGAAGCTGCAGACCTTCACAGTGTTACAGCTCAAAAAGAGTCCACAGACCAGGACAATGAGTAGCAGTGCAGTTTATTGAACAAAGTGAAAGGAAAGCTTCCACATAGCGGAAGGGGAGCCGGAAGGGTTGTTGTTGCTGGCTCCGGTGGCTAGGGCTTATATCCCTGTGCTACCCCCTCCCCTTTCTTTCTTTTTTGTCAACTGAGAATGGTTCTTTTTTCAATCCTCCCTTGGAGTGGTTAATTTTGAATCCTTCACTCAATTGGCTAAGAACTCAAAACCCTGAGTAACAGGGGACTTTTGTGAAGGTCCCTGAACCGGCCCAGGAAGTCCCGACAACTCCACCCCTCAACAGGACTTACAAAAATTATAAAGAACATGTTTAAAATTTCATAGCTGAACATAGAATAAATCCTGAGCATTTCTTTATATGACAAACTTGAGATAACATGGTTAATGAACAAAAGTTGGTCCTTAGAAAAAATATTAACTTTAATAACGTGATATTAAAAATGTAAAGACTAAATATTATCTGTACTATAATTGAGTTCTACAATTTATTAAAATACATATAAAAAGTATTTATTTTTCACATGGTAATCCATTAATTTGAAGGAGATAATGGTCATAGATAACACTATGGAATACCTAGGCAGAAAAACCTATGCTTCCATATTTGTATTAATTTCAACTTTGAAAATTAGTAATTATTGGCCCCATTTTAGACAAAGGCATACTCAAACCCAAAGAGGTGAGGCCATGTAGTGTCTGCACTTTGTACATCATCACATTTTATGGAACATGTTAATACAGACACTCTGTGGCCTTTAGAGATTTGAACTAAACCATTAATAGGGGAAGCCTTCCACATATACAGAACTCTTGAACAGATGTAATGAAAATCAAACTCCTGTGAGTTGGTTATTATTAAAAACATTTTTATTTGAGTAGAAATTAAAACTCTCCTTTTTCCTAGACACTCTTCCTTATTTAAGTTTCAGTTCTGTGCATTGCCAACATCACGGAGATTTCGATCTTATTCTGGTAATGTTTGAGACAGAATTTATAAAATGTTGTTGTTCTGTTTTCCTCTTATAATTAATTAATTTTTCTGTGACTTACATAGCACAAAACTTTAAATAATTGATGATGGTGATGAGAAATGAATAGAAGAAGGTTGGGATATTATACTTTAAATACCTATTTGCTTTTCAGGAAGATACCATTTTAAGAATAAGATTTAAAAGGCAACAGTCCCAATTTTGTGACTAAGCTAGGAGAATATGACCAGAGGCAATATAGAAACGGTTTTATATTCTTCCTAATCATAGAACACTGTTTCACCTGTATACTGTTTTACCTGTACACTGATCATATCTGTAGTTAACATACTAAGTAAGATTCAATCTTGTAATGTATGGTAGCAAGTCCTTCAATTATAATTGATTTAATGCATTAGGTTTTAAGTCAATTTTGCTACTTCTTATCCTGTACCATTTTAACATCATTCAGTGTACATTCAATCTATCCATCTTGTGTCTGCATAAGCACATATGTGTATGCATATAAATGTATATGTATACACATGTGAAAAGATATGTGAAATGCATGAACACACAGCTGTACATGTGTGCACATGATATATCACATACATGATGGGTATACACACATGTGTATATTTATGAATGTATACACACATATATGTATACATACACCTATGTATGTGTATATATACACATACCTTTTTAATTATAAAGAATTTCAATTCTTAGACACTTACAATAATAAAAGTGCAGCACATTTACCATGTGGAATAAAATCATAGTATTCTCTAGCTTTTCTGCATCATTTTTTAAAGTTATTTTTAAAATTGTTTTTTTTCCTAGTTACTATCAATTTTGTTTTAATATTGGAAGTAATCATTTCTTATAAAAATCTTGTTAGTGTGAAGGTTTCCATCATTCTATTACAACTTGGCATAATTTAGCAATATCATTTAGGTAATCTGATTAGTGATCTAGATTATAATTTTATCATCACACTTATATTAATGTTTAGTTATGAAATTTTCAGTAGCATAGTTCTGTTCAAGATTATTCTCAATTTTATTTAGTATGCAATTCAATTAATTTATTTTCTTTGTAGGCATCTACCATTTATTCTAGCCTTCTCAATTAACTTATAATAACATCTACCAGTAAAGTTTTTTATTAAAGTAAGCTGCTTGATATTTTTATATATTAAGTAAAATTGTATTTCCTTTCTTTTTGCTCCTTCCTTCCTAAAATTGACAACCTGTGGATAATGCATCTGTTTGGGCCTTAATTAATCAGAGGAATACATCAACTCTCTATTTGTCTATAAATCCTAGATAAGATTTTAAAGTATTTTCTTATTAACCTTTCCAGAAGTGTCATTATTATCCTTTCAAGAAATTTCAGAAAATACCTAGAAAACTATGACTCTCTCCTCTATTCCTTAAAATATAGATACTGTGTGATGTCAATTGACTGATGATTTAAAAAAAAAAAAAAAGAAAAGAACAGAAAGTCCAGCCACTTTCAATGTGTTTTTAAAAGAACTCTTAAATGGAGAATGAAATAAGTATGTGCATTTTTTTTTGCCGGTTTTTCACATGTATGAAAGATCTATAATTCACAAATGCCACAATTTTAAGTGAGTTATATGCAGGTGCATTCCATGATTGAAATAACTCAGAAAGCTCTCAGTTTTGTGAAAGGATTTATTTTTGTCCGCTACACTGTAACTCTGTTTCAATTCATTTCAAACTATATTTTCCTGGTGTTATTTACTTATTGATTTGGACTGAGCATTTTGTTGGCAGGATGAGCTCTATGAGGAGAGGCTACGTATACTGTACCAGAATTTGGCACAGTATTTTTCTGTTGTATTTCTAACAGAATAGAGCATTGGATCAGAACTTGGCTTCTAATGGAATTAAAATAGTAAGGCTGCAGCTTAAGTCATCAAATCCAATGATATGTGAATTGTTCCACTATATTAATGTGCTGTTTTAAAAAGAAAACATTATAATCCGCCCCCAGGTGCTGTATGGAACTTCTACCTTGAACACATTTTCTTTTATAACTTTCTGTATGTAATCAGTTCTGTGCTTTTGATGATTAATTCATGTATTTTTTTTTTAGCACCTCCTGGATTAGAGACATTTTTCATAATTTCTTACTGTTTTATTCTGAATTTTCAATTTAAGGCCTGAGTTTTTAATTTGCTGATTTCAATGTTTCATATTGTGCCTTTAAGAATATAGCTGACTAAGCAGATGGTAGGATATTGGACATCTAGGAGGACAGATGTTTTCAGCAGAATGCTCAGGATGACCAGAAGCAACCAATGAGGTCTTCTGTGGGGAATGTTATGCCCTTGAAACACTTTTGTATGCTTGTTGCTTTAAAGTCTTCAGAACGGAACTCTGACCCTGATTGTGAGGGCTATCTTTGAATACATATTCTCCACTTTTGATAGTGTGTTTTACAGAAATGGGAGAAAAATAGACAGGTCAGGTTGAACAGATATTAATATCACGGCTAAGGCTGAACTTTTAATTTATATTAGTTTACCCTCATTTAATAAATTCATGTCTTCTATTTCACAGCTGAAAGCACTAGATTTTAAAGGCAAAATATGTCATTTTGTAATGTCTATTAAATTATGTTGATTGCTAAGGTTTGAAGGATTACAAATATCCTTACTTTTTATACAAGACTTGTTTTGCTTTCTTATGACTTCTTGGATCTTAAAGCAATTGCCTCCTAAAAAATCATTTCTATTGTATTGCTACACCCAAGTTTAAATTGTATCTTCTATTAATTTTGCAGCAATAAAGAGAAAACACAGAGTGAAGAACTAGGGATGCAAGAGAGGGTAAAACTTATTCCCTGATTTACTCCCTGATGATTTCTCGGTTCCAATAGAAAGAAAGCTGCATCTGGCCAATACATGGTTATTTTTTTCCCTCGTTTACCAATCAAAAACATTGCTTTATCTTCTTAGTGACAAAATGAAATGGTGAAGCAGGGTCAGGAAGTTTTTCAATATTGAAACTTTATACACATATAAGGAAGTATCAGGAGTAAGGAATTAATTTTTCCCCCAAAAAATGTCCCTGAATGTCCAAGAGGCAAGTCAAAGCAGACAAGTATATGTCTGCCAGTATAATAGGTGGTATGCAGGGAGACTAAACCTCGGCAAACTCCTTCCTAGAGTTCTCCTTAATAGGCAAATTAATTTAAATAGATATGAAAAACTTAGCACTGTGCCTGGAAGATATTACTCAACTAAACATGTTATTTATTATTTTAAATAGTTTAATTTTAGTTATTAGAATATGTGATTTTCTACAGAATCATTAATAAAAATCTCTGTTTCTATTTAGAAGGGAACTGTTAATAGAAAGAACTGTATGAGTAAGTGAAAGTATATCAGTATCTGAAGTAAACTGTATCTCCTGTGGTATTAAATATATTTTATTAAACAACGGTTATTAGATTTAGCTTCTCCATTATAAATTATTTTATTTCTTTCTCTAACAAAATCAAACTTCACAGATAATCAGAGTAGAATTCATTTTTGTTTATGTTTTGTTTTCCTTTAAATTGTGTTAAAAGTGAACAGTTTTTTAAAAACTTAAAAAATAAAAAGTACAATGGGAAAAAGTGCAAAACCCAAATATTAATTGGTGCTTAGAATCTTTTACTATTTTTTTAAGGCTTTGGGGACAAAGCCCATACTCCTTAGTATAGCATGCAATATCCATCATAATCAGGCTCTAGTCAATCTAACTTTTATTTCCTCAAATTCCCAGCTCCAGCCCAGAACATATACCTTCAAACACAAGCTGACATAGCATGTCCTACTCATATTGAAAACACTGCATTTCTCTAAACACAATAAGCTATTTCATACCTTACTGATTTTCTACATTCAGTTCATAGCTCAGGATCCTGCATTTGAAGCCTTCAAACTTAAGCTTTTTTAAAATTTATTTAATAAAGCTACAGCAATAAAGCAATAGCAACCACAACAAGTATTACCTCAATTTATTTCCATTTGAAGAAATCTAAACTTGTGTTGCCTTTTTAAATAATGTAATCATATTGCAAGAAATCAAAGCACACTAGATTTAAGAGGAAAAAAACACCTCCACAATATCTGGTCCAGGTTCTTGTCTTTAAGCATGCAAATTCTACCTCAATAAAAATTGATTGTTGCTAAATTTTTATTTTTTATTTATTTATTTATTCATTTTTCTGAGATGCAGTTTCACTCTTGTTGCCCAGGCTGGAGTGCAATGGTATGATCTTAGCTCACCGCAGTCTCTGCCTCCTGGTTTCGAGCAATTCTCCCGCCTCAGCCTCCCAAGTAGCTGGGACTACGGGCATGTGCCTCCATGCCCGGCTGATTTTTGTATTTTTAGTAGAGACGGGGTTTTTCCATGTTGGGCAGGCTGGTCTCAAACTCCCGACCTCAGGTGATCTGCCTGCCTTGGCCTCCCAAAGTGTTGGGATTACAAGCATGAGCCACCATGCCCGGCCTAAATTTTTAATATATATGTACACAAAGGTGGATATCATAAGAAGAATTTGGGAGTTGTGCCATATTCAATGAACTGATGCTCAAAATGTAGTTTTTGCTTCATATATAATGTTCTATTTATGTAAGACCTTTTTTACCCCATCCTGGTTTGGACTTACACAAATTTAACGCAAAACTCTAATATGCTTTTGTAGTTATCATTCATTTGAAGACAAAGTAATTTGTTTTGATTACATATAATTCAGTAAGTATAACTTAGATGAATATCATTTTAAAGATTAACTTTCCTTACACTCCTTTAATTTTCTTGTAAATTTTCAATTGTAAATAAATAGTATTCTTTAAACCTTAGAAACTAACTTTTTGAGATATTGAGAAAACACATTATTGAAAAGAATTGTATATTATAGACAGGCTTATTATCAATGCACCTCAGAACATATTTTTATGCATTTCACCAAATAACTCTGATGGTGCTTTGTTGTATTTCAAGATTGCCCTAACAATTAGATTTGTGTATTTGTTACAGATTAAGTCACAGTGTTCCTAAATTTAGCCTTTAGGTCAACCCTGAAAAAATACAAAAAGTTTTGTACATATGCAAAAAATGTTATGAGAGTACTATTAATAGTAAGTAAAATTGTTATTATACAAAATTTAGCACTACTCAACCTCCTACTGACAGTAGCCATCATGCTAAAAGATTAGGTCATTTCTGTCAACAGTAGTATTTAGTTTAATGATTCCAAAATTTACTTTACTCTTCATACTTGTCTAATGCTCAAAAGAATGCTTTATTGCATGCCTTGTTGTAAATATGCATCTTTTGTTTAAAAGGTATAATTATTTGGATACACCCTGGCTATTCCAAAAGTGCTAGAGCAACATGATACTACTCATACATTCTGTTTCCCTTAAATCAAATGTTTTGTTTTGGATTATTTCTCTCTGAGATTCATTATTCTGCATCAACAATGGCCATGCAGAATAAATATGACTTTTTCTTGCCATATGAGATTAACTGTGATTATTTCTATCTGCCACTCTTTCTTTTTAACAAGAAATTTGAAAAAAAAGTTAAAAAGCTTTCTAATAACTGATTATGCATACATTTTCCAGGTAAAACATTATTTTATTAGAAAAGTAAATGTTTTCTAATATATGTTTTGTCATATTGATACAAACTGTAGGTATATGTCGTCCATAAGTAACAATAGAGTTGAATTTAAAATTCATTTTAATTAATTTTTGTTACATAAGGAAAAACATTCTTATCACAGTATAATAAAATTAATGACATGAACAAGGTATGATGGTGATGCATATTTATAACATCCTTAACTAGATATCAATGCCTTAATTTAGTGCACTCTAAAATATATTGTGGCAAACTAAAAATGACATGACTTGATATGCTATGTTGATCAAAAAATGCATTTAACAAAAATAACACATTATGTAAAAACATATTAGACTCTACAGCTTTCTCTTCCCCTCTTGTTCTGAATAATTTTTACTCTAGCACACTTCATAATGAGGTAGTACCCTCAGGACTTGACTATGCCTTCAGATATGCAGATGCATGTTGCCAGAAAATGGAATAATTGCTTCCATTTAAGACTTTGCAAATCAAAATACTTTCATAAATAAAGTGTTACTATAGTTAAGTAACACTAAAATTGAAGTCTCTTACTCATGGCAGAATAACAAGTAGCTTTTCTAAGCTGAATAATGTTACGGAAAGAACAAAATAGAAAGAATTAGAAGGTACTGGTTTAGGGCAATAAACAGTTTTGTGACACTGGCAGATTATTTATTTAACTTTTTAAGGGAATTGTCATATTCAAAATGAAAGGTAATACTGGATGATTTCTCAGGGTCTTTCCAACTTGTAGTTACCACTTACTGTATACTACCATTTTATAAAGTAGCCTGAACATCCTAAAATAATGTTTTACTGCAGGAGGTTCAAAGTAATTTAGTTGCAGGACTAAGTCAATTAGGTTTATATGATTATAAGGAAAATTTAATAAATATATCAAAAGTAAATTAAAAGTAGTAAATGTCAGCAATGTGAACATATTTCTACAAGCTTGGTGTTTTGTCTGTTGGTCCTGTTGTGATTTACTTTTGAAATTTGAATTCTATTTTACTCCACAAAGGGTAGTGGCCTCTATTTGTATTCCTGTAGAAATTCTTTCTTCATGAAAGAGTCATCAATAACACTGAATACTTATGACTGGCAAGACCTAACTTCTGAATTCAAGCCCTAGATTAGCAATTAGTAATTTCCATGGTATATGTGCATTTCGTTTTTCTGAAGGGTGACAATTAGATAAGGAAATGAGATTGTAAAGAAGAAATTTAAGAAGAGTACATCCCACTGATGTCTTTTTTTTAATTTTTATTGGCTCCACTTATACGAGACACAATCAATAAATGAAAACGAAGAGTTTAAAGAAATAAGCAACTGCTTCCACAAATTAACTATATTTCCTATATCTCAACATGTGAATGTCTTATACTTGCTTCCTCAAATTCTGACTTTGTCCACACAGGTAAATGACTTATAGTGCCCACAGGCATAACTGAGATATATATTCCAAATCCAAAGACTAATCCACTCATATTTTATTACATGAAATTCCATTAATATTAGCAAAAATCTAAAATTCCTAGCAGAATGGCAATACAACAAGAAACATAACATAAATTTTAAATTATTTATATTTGCAATTTTTTCCTATATGTTATTTAAAAATCACTTAGGACAGTAATAGAATTAGCACAGTTTCCTTTATATTCTTTTTTGTTGTTTGTTTTTTTACGTAATGGATTTTCTTCTCTAGTTTTACTAAGGGATAATTGACAAATAAAAATGGTATGTATTTAAGGCATATAATGTGATGTTTTGATATACATATACATTGTGAAAGGAATCACAATCAAGTTACTTAACACACTGATCATCTCACAGTTACTGTGTATGTGTGTGTGTGTGTGTGTGTGTGTGTGTGCATGCGCGCGTGCGCATGTGCACGTGGGGGAGACGGGGTGAGGGGGGCAGTAAGAAAACTGAAGGTTTCTTCAGTGCAAATTAAAGGGTAAAAATTAGGTAAGGGAGCCTGGCGCAGCGGCTCACACCTGTAATCCTAGCATTTTGGGGGGCCGAGGCGGGTGGATCACTTGAGGTCAGGAATTCAAGACCAACCTGGCCAACATGGTGAAACCCCGTCTCTACTAAAAATACAAAAAAATTAGCTGGGCGTGATGGCAGTTGCCTGTAATCCCAGCTACTCAGGAGGCTGGGATTACCTGGGAGATGGAGGTTGCAGCGAGCCAAGATCGCGCCATTGCACTCCAGCCTAGGCAACAAGAGTGAAACTGCTCCAAAAAAAAAAAAAAAAAATAGGTAAGGGAATAAGATTGTAAAGGAGAAATTTAAGAAGAGTTTGTCCCACTGAAGTCTTTTTTTGTTTTGCTCCACTTAGGTGAGACACAGTCAATAAATGAAAAATAAAAGTTAAAAAAAAGCAACCATTTCCACAAATCAACTATACTTCCTATACATTATGTTAATATAACTATAGTCACCATGCCGTACATTAGGTCTCCAGAACTCATCCCTCTTATAACTGAATGTTTGTACCCTTTGACCAATATTTTCCTCTCTCTCCCACCCCCAAACCCTGGTAGACCTATGAGTTAGGCTTTTTTAGGTTCCGCATATAAGTGGGATCACTCAGTACTTTTTTTTAACAAACAAGGCTATCAGTAATGGAAAGGATTGATTAATCCTTGTATTTTTACTGGGTTAATTGCTTAAGGGTTATCCTGTTAATTTGTTATTCACTGTAAGTGCAAGAAACCTGTGTCTGTTAGCCACAAAACAAATTAAATTATGCACAAATCCTATTTTCATCATATTTATAAATAGTCCACCAAAACTTAAAAAATTTTGTGGATTATTACGTTTGAAACAAATGAGACATTTCTACTCTTCAAATTAGTTGTCGTCATATCCACAGCACCTGCTTATTATGCTCTGCTATTGCTTCCAGAAGTGAGAGGAAGAAATTGAAAAACTTCAGCTCCTTTAAATTCCTGGTGCAGAGAAGACTAATACTTCCTTTCGCTCTATTTGTTATGTTAAAAATAGAGTGTCTCATGGTCCTCTTTTCCAGGATTTTAAGTTACTGTGCTACCATAGTGATATGAGAAAACACTTCTTCAACCTGACTTTCAAACAATGTCTCTCATTTTCCCTCACTGCTGATAAAAATTTGAGGTTTCATTATAGAAATAAAGTGGGCTTTCAGGTTGAATACATTTGAGTATACATTTCTGCACTGCCATTTCCAGAGTAGGTTACCTAGGGCAAGCAATAACCCCTCAATTTTAATTTTCTATTTGTAAATCTATGTTTACAGAAGTATTATGTAAAGTGTTATAATACTAATTTTCAAACATTACTGTGAAGATTACATTAGATATTATTAAGGGTCCTTGGGAATATTACCACCACTTAATGTGGTGGTAATCTTCATAAATTTAATATTATTATTATTCCTATTGATAAATAATATAATTTTTCATCTTATTGATTATGCCATTTCTAAATAAGTGTTCATACATCTGATAGCTTCCAAACAGGCAACCAAACAGCGTAGCAAAACAACAAAATAGGAATTGAGTCTCTAAATGAGAAGCTCACCCACAAAACACACAGAATAAATTCCATTAAGTGCTATAAAACCACTTATCTCTCATAATCTACCAAATTAGATAACTGATTAGAAGCAGTGAGGAAGGGCTGAAAACAGAAAGATGAGTATTTTAAAAATATGCCTAGGGAATAAGAAAAATTTAAGAAAACACAAAGATCTGAGAGCATCAGATCTTTGAACATCAGAGAAAGGCAGACCCAAGAAGGGGCATATAAGGCTATAAACCACAATTTACAGTAACATACACTTTTTGGGATTAAAATAAGTCACGTGAAAGTTTCAGAGACGTCACTACCTGATTACAACAGATAGTGTATGCTTGCAGGTGATGACTGTAGTGAATTCTTATAATTTTATGTTGTCTCAGCAACTATTTTGAATACAAGTTTAATTTTCTCATGCCAGAAGCAGGGTTCAGTCATCCTTGACATAGTTTCCAGTTCTACATCACACCCAGATGGCTCAAGCCAGTGACCGGAGGTTAGAACTTAGAAGCAACTCTCCTGTCTAGCAGGCTGGGCTCCCAGCTTTTCAGCTCCTTCCTTTAAAGGGACCATTTAGTCATTTGCCCATGAACTTGAAGTTATCCACATGCTATTCCCTTGTACATATTGCTAGTCGCCATGTGCTTTCTCTCTCTTCCTGACTCGTTATTCCTGCATGTGTCCCAGGATGAAGGCCTTTCCTCTCAAATAATTTCACCTCTCTTGCTCAGTATCTACAAGCAAAAATCAATTTGCTTTTTCCCTATTATGGTGGTGTATCGAAATTGTGACTTCCACCAGAAGAACTAGGGGCTGCCCCAGGCTAGGTTTTACCTAGGACATGGGTCGGTGAGGGGGAACACAAGTTTGAGCTCCCAGCATGAGAGCAATGGACAGGCAGGCATAAACTGGACACAGGTCTGACAAGACCTGCAACAGTGTCTGCCATTATAAACAAGTTTCCTGTGAGGGGCTTGCTTTGGTGTGAATCTGACAACTAGTATTAGGCTGTTAGCCAGGTAAAAGAAGTATTCTGTGAAAGTTGTACAGTAAACACCCTGGTCTAGCCTCCCCTTCATTTCCTGTTGAGGCAGGGTTGCTAGCTGCTCTGGGACTGGAACCCCAGTTTAGCTAAGGCTCCCAAAACAATGACAAATTTCATGGTAAAGATTATGGAGCCCCTTTAAGCTAGAAGAATTTGTTCTTTATGAAGTAGAGAGACATTTTAAATTCTAGGTCAGGTAATATGACAAAAAGCCAGTAATGTTAAATTCTTATAGAACAGTGACTGGGACCAGAAACTGGTGTGGTAGTAAAGAAAATGAATATAAGTGATAGATATGAAAAAACAGTTACACATGATGGATAAACCTGATTTAGGTAACAAAGAAAGGTGATATTATATTATGTTACAGACTGGACATTTGAAAACAGTAATATACAGAGACTGGAAATGGGAGATGAGCTAGTTTGGAGAAGATGGCAAGTTCGATTTGGATTGGTGAGATCATTAGATAAATTTCAAGTGGAAATGTTTGTCAGCTAGATCCTGGAAAATCATGGGTAAATTAATTCACCTATGAATTTCCCTCAGTACTTTATTATACAAGATAATAAACACTGGAAGGAGATATACTCAAATGCTATTTTTCTTCCACATTTTCCCTTAAGTGTCATTTTTAAATTGAGGTGTGTAGGTAGCTAATTAAATTTGTTTGGTTCAAATTTAGTAATGATTGGAGGTGAATAAGCTATGATTAGATATTATTATTTCATGATTTTTACCAAAATTTTTATTCTTTACAGGGACAGTGATTATGATGGGCTGTGTGTGTGTGTGTGTATGAAATATACGTTTATTATATATAAAATACATATTTATTATAAATATAATATTGGTGACACTCTAAGGGTGCTTCTGTAGGTAACTTTTTTGACATTAAAGTATTAAGAAAATAATTTAGGCTGGGCATGGTGGGTCACACTGGTAATCTCAGCACTTTGGGAGGCTGAGACGAGTGGATCACTTGAGCCCAGGAGCTCAAGACCGGACTGGCCAACATGGTAAAACCCCGTCTCTACAAAAATACAGAAAATCAGCTGGGCATAGTGGCCAGTCCCTGTGGTCCCAGCTACTCAGGAGGCTGAGGCAGGAGAATTGCTTGAACCTGGGAGGCGGAGGTTACAGTGAGCCGAGATCGTGCCACTGCACTCCAGCCTGGTGACAGAGCAAGACTCCGTCTCAAAATAATAATAATAATGATGATAATTTTTAGTTTGAATATCTTGTGCATGTATGGATGTTGTAAATTATTATATGTTATGTTTAGCTATACAAACTAGATAACAATTTACATACTCTAAATTCTCTCACACAAAAATCATCAATTTACAGTAGTAAATCCTGTAAGTTGAAAATAGCTAGGCGGAGAACGTGATCATAAATGTGGCTTAGAGGAGATAAATCATCTTTATATTTCATAAAATATTCTGGCAGGGCCTGAAATAATTTAAAAATGTGTTTGCAGGTGAACAATCAGAGAAAATCCATTTTAGAAAGGGAGAAAATAGTTTCTGAATTTTTAAAAATACGTATTCTAAAATTAAAGTTGATTTTCTAATAAAAAGTTTATGTATCTTAAAAGAATTGCATTTGATGTCTAGTAACAACAATCTCAAAAAATAGGAACGTAAAATATATTAACTTACTTTTTCCTCATGAAACATAAAAAAATCCAGCGTAGGCATTTCAGATTTGGTAAAACAGCTCCTTGTTTACCATGGACAAATGTCCTACTCTGTTTATGCGTCAGTCTCCCTAGCCTGGGTTTCTGTTCTCAAAATTGCCTTGATATTTCTTTATTCTAATCAGGAAAGCAAAAAATAATCATGGGAAGGGTAAAAAAATAAAAAAAAAATAAAAAATAAAAAAAATATATATATATATGAACTCTCCACCCCCTTTCTAAGGAGCGTTTCCAAGATTCCTATACAACGCCTGTTTTTAAAGTATGTTGGCAAGTTTTTTTTAATTTTAATATGGCCAAATCAATCTGTAAGGCAGGCTAGAAACACTTTTTGAAAGTTGTTTACACTGCTACCTAAATACAATTAGAGTTCTGCTACTAAGGAAGAAAATGGGAATTTGTTTTGGGTAGGGAACTAGGTATCTTCACCAGGAGTTTTTAGAAAATCATGATGAATCCATTGATAAACGAAAAATATATGGGAATATATGCAAGTTTCATTAGCTGTGACAGAAGGGAATAGAAAAAGACCATGAATTGACACATATGATTAGTCTGACATTTGTCTTTAGGCATTAGTCAATGCACTGTTTTCAATGAGGGGGATGGTATAATGGTATTCTGATACCATAGTTGGCTTAATCTGCTCTCCTTTACAGATATTACAGCTAATGTAGAAACTGTAATCATTCATCAAGTGATTTTTTTGGTAGCTGTTGGTAAGTAACTAAAGATTAATAAATAGTTCTGGGAGAAGGCTATTAAGTGGATGGAAAGTTTATCATGGAAATTTCTATTTCACACAGCTGATGTCTTGAAGCATCTTACCTTGAATATTCAGGTGAAATATGAGATCCTGATCATATCATTTGTTTAAGTGTTTCTGTTTTCTTAGAACTTGCAAAGGTTGCTCACTACTCCCAGTATGTGAGCCTCAAGGCATTAAAAAAAAATAGTGTGAGAGAGAAACAGACCAGGCATCAGGCAATATGCATGTGCCTTCCCCTGCAAGATTGGCTGCTGAAGGACACAGGGCTATGGGATCTCTTTTATTCTTAATGTTGCTTTTTTATGAAATATTTGCTTTTTATTGTAAGATTTTCCTAATATATCTAATTTTATTGAGCTTTTGATAATCTATTTTTTTCTAGGTCAATTTAATATCTGCTTACTTATTCTTCTCTAATTCTTTTTTGTATATATTATCTGTAATATTTTAGCTGTGCGTTGTGAGTTTAAAATTATGTGGAAGAAATTAGGGTATTCCCAGATAAACAAAAACAAGGCCACTTCATCACCACTACACCTACCCTACAAGAAAAGTTAAAGGGAATTCTTCAGGTTCAAATAAAAGGACACTAGACGGTAACTGAAAGCCATATGATCATATAAAGATCTCTGTTAAATGTAAATTCATTGGCAAATTAAGAACCAGTATTATTGTAATCTTAGTTTATAACTGCACTTCTTATTTTTCTGTAAGATCTATACCTTTACTTCTTTTCCAATCGGCATTTTTGTTATTTACATCGCAGCTTATTTAACAATTTATTGCAGCTATAGTTTTTTCTTAACAATTTATTGCAGCTATAGTTATTCATACTATAGTAAAAAGTGATTTATGCACTACAATTACGGTATTAGATTATTCTAAATTTAACCATATACTTACATTTGCCAGTGATTTTTTTAATAGTTTATATGCTCATTGTGCTAATTAGCATCCATTTATTTCAACTTGAAGAACTCGCTTATAATTTTTTATAAGAAAGTTCAGTTGTAATGAACTCTCATGTTTTGCTTATCTGGGAAAGTATTTTTCTCTGCTTTATTTCTGAAGGACAGCTTTGCCAGAAAAAATATTTTTGGTTGGTTACTTTCTTCTTTCAGCACTCTTAATATATCATCCCACTGTCTTCTGTCATTCAAGGTTTCTACTGGGAAATCTTCCAATAGTCCTACGGATGTTCTCTTGTGATTTCAAAATTCTCTCTTTGTCATTGACGTTTGGTTACTTAGTTATCATATGTTTTGATAAAGACTTCGTGTTCAATTTATTGGTAGTTCTTTGGACTTTGTAACTCTAGATGTTCATTTTCCTCCTCAGATTTGGGAATTTTTCTTACATTATTTCTTTAAATAGCATTAAGTCCCTTTCTGTCTCTTTGCTCCTTCTTGACTCTCATAACACATAAATTAATTCACTTGATGGTGTCCCATAATTTTTTTTTTGAGACAGGGTCTCTGTTGCTCAGTGAATAGTGTGATTACAGCTCACTGCAGGCTTTAATGCCTAGGCTCAAGCAATTCTTCTACCTCAGCCTCCCAAGTAGCTGGGACTACAGCAAGCATCACCTTGCGTAGTTAATTTTTTTTACCTTTTTAAATTTTTTGTAGAGATGGGGTATCACTATATTGCCCAGCCTGGTCTTAAACGCCTGGCCTCAAACAATCCTTTCATGTTGGCCTCCCAAAGCCTTGGGATTATAGGCGTGAGCCACCATGTCAGTGTGGTATCTCATTTGTCTTACAGGCTCTCCTTTTTCTTTTTATTCCTTTTGTTTCTTGTTTTTTTCCCCCTAACTACATAATTAAAAATGATTCATTTTCATGTTTGGTGGTTCTTTCTTCTGCTTAACTGAATCTGCTGTTGAATCTCTTTATGGAATTTTTTATTTCAGCCATTGTATTCTTCAGCTTTAATATTTCTGTTTTGTTGTTTTCTATGGTTTCTATATCTTTGTCAATCTTTTTGTGTTTTTCCATGTACTGTTTTCTTAATTTTGTTTAGCTATTTATCTGAGTTCTCTTTTAGTTCACTGAGTTTCTTTAAGACAATTATTTTAAACTTATCTTTTCATTTATATATCTTCATTTTTGAGAGGTCATCCATTGGAGCTTTATTTTGTTCCCTTGGTGGTTTTATATTTGGGAGAGAATGGCTTACCCTAATTAACCCAACTAGAGACTGTGGGGATCTTTCATGCAATTGCTGGATATCCTCACTCTGCTCCTCTGGTTCCCTCTTGGTGGGCAAGTCTTAAGATTATGTGCCTTTTCTTGGTCTTGAAAAGCTAGTTCAGATTCTGGGAATCTCCCTTTTATTTTCTTCTGGGGCAATTTTCTTAATTGTTCATGGTTGCTCACCTTCTTACAATTCAGCAGAATAGAGACAGTTGCTGATATCCATGTTCTGTCTGTGGAGGAGCACACATGCTTTCTGTAGGGGAGAAACTGAACTACAAAATTGTTTGCAATAAGTCTAATGTTAAAAACAAAGCAATACTTAAGTAGGCTAGTATGCAATTGCCCTTAAAAATTATTTAATTAATTTATTTTTTTTCCTTTTTTAAAATTTTACTTTGAGTTTGGGATACATGTGCAGAATGCAGGTTTGTTACATAGGTATACATGTGCCATGGTGGTTTGCTCCACCCATCAACCCATCATTTAGCTTTTAAGCCCCTCATGCATTAGCTGTTTGTCCTAATGCTCTCCTTCGCCTTGCCTCCCAGCCCCCGAGAGGCCCCAGTGTGTGATGTTCCTCTCCCTGTGTCCATCTGTTCTCACTGTTCAACTCCCAAATATGAGTGAGTACATGTGGTGTTTGGTTTTCTGTTCCTGTGTTAATTTGCTGAGAATGATGTCTTCCAGCTTCATCCATATCCCTCCAAAGGACATGAACTCATTCTTTTTTATGACTGCATAGTATTCCATGATGTATATGTGCCATGTTTTCTTTATCCAGTCTATCATTGAAGGGCATGTGGGTTGGTTCCAAGTCTTCATGCTAAAAACTCTCAATAAACTAGGTATTGAGGGAACATATCTCAAAATAATAAGAGCTATTTATGAAAAACCCATAGCCAATATCATACTAAATGGACAAAAGCTGGAAATATGCCCTTTGAAAACCAGCAAAAGACAAGGATGCCCTCACTCACCACTCCTATTCAAAATAGTATTGGAAGTTCTGGCCAGGGCAATCAGGCAAAAGAAAGAAATAAAGAGTATTCAGATAGGAAGAGAAGAAGTAAAATTTTCTCTGTTTGCAGATAACATGATTTTATATTTAGAAAGCCCCATTGTCTCAGCCCAAAACCTCCTTAAGCTGATAAGCAACTTCAGGAAAGTCTCAGGATACAAAATCAATGTGCAAAAATCACAAGCATTTCTATACACCAACAATAGACAAGCAGAGAGCCAAATCAAGAGTTAATTCTCATTCACAATTGCTACAAAGAAAATAAAATGCCTAGGAATACAACCTACAAGGGACGTGAAGTACTTCTTCAAGGAGAACTACAAACCACTGCTCACGGAAATCAGAGCAGACACAAACAAATGGAAAGACATTCCATGCTTATGGATAGAAAGAATCAATATTGTAAAAATGGCCATACTGCCCAAAATAATTTGTAGATTCAATGCTATTCCCACCAAGCTACCATTGACTTCCTTCACAGAATTAGAAAAAACTACTTTAAATTTCATAAGGAACCAAAGAAAGAGCCCGTATAGCCAAGACAGTTCTAAGCAAGAAGAACAAAGCTGGAAGCATCACACTACTGACTTCAAACTGTACTACAAAGCTACAGTAACGAAAACATCATCGTACTGGTACCAAAACAGATGTATAGACCAATGGAGCAGAACAGAGTCCTCAAAAATAACACCATACATTTACAGCCATCTGATCCTTGACAAACCTGACAAAAACAAGCAATGGGGAAAGGATTCCTTATTTAATAAATGGTGCTGGGAAAACTGGCTAGCCACATGCAGAAAACAGAAACTGGACCCCTTCCTTACACCTTATACAAAAATTAACTCATGATGTATTATAGACTTAAATGTAAAACCCAAAACCATTAAGACCCTAGAAGAAAACCTAGGCAATAACATTCAGGACATAGGCATGGGCAAAGACTTTATGACTAAAACAACAAAAGCAATTGCAACAAAAACCAATATTGACAAATGGGATCTAATCAAACTAAAGAGCTTCTGCACAGCAAAAGAAACTATCATCAGAGTGAACAGGCAACCTACAGAAGGGGAGAACATTTCTGCAATCTATCCATCTCACAAAAGTCTAATATCCAGAATCTACAAGGAACTTAAACAAATTTACAAGGAAAAAACAACCCCATCAAAAAGTGGGCAAAGGATACCAACAGACATTTCTCAAAAGAAAACATTTATGCGGCCAACAAACATATGAAAAAAAGCTCATCATCACTGGTCATTAGAGAAATCCCAATCAAAACCACAGTGAAATACCATCTCATGCCAGTTAGAATGGCAATTATTAAAAAGTCAGGAAACAACAGCTGCTGGGGAGGCTGTGGAGAAATAGGAACAATTTTACACTGTTGGTGGGAGTGTAAATTTGTTCAACCATTGTGGAAGACAGTGTGGCGATTCCTCAAGGATCTAGAACCAGAAATACCATTTGACCCGTTACTGGGCATATACCCAAAGGATTATAAATCATTCTACCAGAAAGACACATGCACATGTATGTTTATTTCAGCACTATTTGTTTATTATTAATTAGTTTTTAGAAATAAGCTTGTCTTTGAAAAATATTTTGTAATTATATCTATATGTATTGTGATGATCTAAACTCTTTTGTGAAAATGTATCTAAATTTTGGTTGCATTTTGTTCAAAATCAGTAGAAAATTATAAGTAAAACTATTTAGCACATTGGATAAAAGGCTTCAGCTTTCAAAGTATATCAGTCAAGGTACAATTAGAAAAGTAAAATCTGTGGGAGAGTGTTTGTGTATTTCTGTGTTGTGTGTATGTATGTTTGTATGTATGTGGGTACAGATTTGTTACCAATAATTGGCTTGCACAATTCTGTGAGTTGGTTAAGCAGTCTCTGTAAGGCTATTGTCTAAACCAGTTTGTAGTCCACACCAGGTACAGAAAGAACAATGTTTGAATAAAGAATACTATGTTGTGCATTACAATATTTCTAAGAAAGAGGGCCATTGCAGTCACTGGGAACTTCAGTTAAGGTGAGATTATAAAGGGCTTTGAATGCACTATTTAAGAACTCACAATATATTGTGTGCAAATAAGAGCCACCTGTGGTTCTGAATAGGAAAGAATGATCAAAGGTGTGTCTTGGGAGGAAGCTTTGGCCTTTAGAATCTGATCAATTGGAAGGAGGTAGAGAAATTAGAGGTAAAAGCCGGGCGTGGTGGCTCATGCCTGTAATCCCAGCACTTTGGGAGTCCGAGGCAGGTGGATCACGAGGTCAGGAAATCGAGACCATCCTGGCTAACACGGTGAAAACCCGTCTCTACTAAAAATCAAAAAATTAGCCAGGCGTGGTGTCAGGTGCCTGTAGTCCCAGCTACTCGGGAGGCTGAGGCAGGAGAATGCATGAACCCAGGAGGCGGAGCTTGCAGTGAGCCAAGATTGCACTACTGCACTCCAGCCTGGGCGACAGAGCAAGACTCCGTATCAAACAAACAAACAAACAAACAAAAAAATTGGAGGTAAAAATTTGAAAAGTACGTAAGTTAGACAAGAGTTAAAAAAGACCTTAAGTTAAAAAAAAAAAAATCAAATAGGAGAAAGCAAAAAAGTGAATCATTTTGAAGAACTAACTTAACTTGCTGACATGCATGAGAAAAATAAAAAATAATTCTGAGATTTCAAAATTTGATAAATTAGAGCACATGGTGACTTTAATGAGTAAGGGATTCAAAAACAGGTAGGAAAGATAAATTATTACATTTTTGGTATATTGAATTTGAGCTTTTGCTGGGACACCTAAGCAAATGGCAGAATTGTATGTGTGAGTCCATTAATACAGAAAAAATGAATGGAAACAGAAACACAAAAAATATGTACTTAAATCCATGGAAAATTGTTTTGTGTTTTCCTGTGAAGAGAGTAAGTAATCGAGAAGTTAAAAACAGTACCAAGGAAGTTTCAATGTTCAATCTGTGTTTATGTTGTTAAATTTTTCAAAACAGACATATATTAAATAATTACATATTGTACATATTAGTGGTCTACATTATATTATATTCATACACAGACACTGAAGAATGCTTAACCAAATTTAAAAAAAAAAATTAGAAACCTCTGGTGTAAAGTAAAAAGAGATCTTGTTTGCAAACAGAACCTTCAAAATGCCCAAACTTAAATTTGACCAAAAGAAGTTACATCAGCTATGGAAATGAGGTAAACCTGGTGACAGGTCATTGCAGAATCAGGAACATCCAGAGTCATAGAATCCAGAGTAGAAAATAATTTTAAGGAGAGAAAGAATATTTTAATTCAGAGCTCTAGAGAAGTAGATACATGGTAGTAGAGTACCATGGACAGAAGCCAGTGAGACTGTTGCAAGGGAAAAAAATGTGGGCAGAAATAGTAAATGCTATACTTTTGAATATCACTTTGAAATATTTTGATGGTGCAGGAAACAATAAATACTGAATATGCCCAATAGCAAAGCAATATTATAGAGAGGCCTTTCTTCATTTTCTATCACTTTAATAATGAAAATCTTGATTTTTGTAATTTTTTTTACAGCATTAGAATAATCATTTAGGCTCTGTTTGCAAACAAGCTTTCTTTTTACTCTATACCAGAGGTTTCCAGTATTTTTTAAATTTGGTTGAGCATTTTGCAGTGAATACAATATAATGTAGACCACTAATATGTACAATATATAATTATTTAATATATGTCTGTTTTGAAAAATTTGACAATATAAACAGACTGAACATTGAAAATTTCTTGGTATTGTTTTTAACTTCTCTGTCAATAATTTAAGAAAATTTGATTTTTACAATTTTTTTTACAGCATTAGAATAATCACTTAGAGGAGAAGGCAGATCAAAAATTAGGTAATTACCTAGAAAACCCCATTAGTTATACTCAAAACTCCTTGATCTGATAAACTACTTCAGTAAAGTTTTAGAATACAAAATCAATTTACAAAAATCAGTAGCATCCCTATTCGCCAACAACATCTAAGCTGTGAGCCAAATCAAGAATGCAATCAAATTCACAATAGCCATGAAAATTATAAAATACCTAGGAATACAACAAACCAGGCAGGTGAAAGATCTCTACAATGAGAAATACAAAATATTGTTCAAAGAAATGAGAGATGACACAAATGGGAAAACATTCCATGCTCATGGATAGGAAGAATCAACATTGGGAAAACGGCCATTCTGCCCAAAGCAACTTACAGATTCAATGCTATTCCTATGAAACTACCAATGACATTCTTCACAGAATTAGAAAAAAATTATTTTAAAATTCATATGGAAAAACAACTACAAAAAGAGTCCAAATAGCCAAGACAATCCTAAGCAAAAAGAACAAAAGTGGAGGCATAACTTTACCTGACTTCAAACTGTACTTCAGGACTACAGTAACCAAAACTGCATGACACTGGTACAAAAAGAGACACATAGATCAATAGAACACAATGGAGAGCCCAGAAATGATGCTACACACCTGCAACCATCAGATCTTCAACAAAGTTGATAAAAACAAGCAATAGGGAAAAAGTTGTCTATTCAAAAAATGGTGCTGGAATAACTCGCTGTTCATATGCAGAAGACTGAAACTGGACTGCTTTATTACACTGTATACAAAAAAAAATTAACTTAAGATGGATTAAAAACTTATATGTAAACCCTAAATCTATCCCTGGAAAAACCCTGGACCATAACCTAGGAAATACCATTCTGGACATAGGACCTGGCAAAGATTTCATGATGAAGATGCCAAAATAAATTGCAACAAAGCAAAAATTGACAAATGGGACCTAATTAAACTAAAGAGCTTCTGCACCGAAAAAGAAGCTATCAACAGAATGATCTAGGGGTGTCCAATCTTTTTGCTTCCCTGGGCCACATTACAATAAGAATTGTCTTGTTTCACATAAAATACACTAACACTAATGATAGCTGATGAGCTTTAAAAAATTGTTTATAAATCTCGTAATGTTTTAGAATGTTTATGAATTTGTATTGGACTGCATTCAAAGCCATCCTGGGCCTCATGAGGCCTGCGGGCTATGGGTCGGAAAAGTTTGGAAAAAACAGACAACCTATAAGACAGGAGAATATATTTGCAAACCATGTTTCTGATAAAAGTCTAATATCCTGACTCCATAAGGAACTTAAATCAACAAGGAAAAGACAAACAACCTCACTAAAAATTGAGTAAAGGACATAAACAGATACTTTTCTAAAGAAGACAAACATGAGGCCAACAAACATGGAAAAATGCTCAACATCACCAAGCATTAGATAAATGCAAACCAAAACCATGATAAGATGCCATCTCACACCAGCCAGAATGGCTATCTTGGCTGGCCACAGTGGATCATGCCTGTAATCCCAGCACTTTGGGAGGCTGACACAGGCAGATCACGAGGTGAGGAGATTGAGACCATCCTGGCAAACGCGGTGAAATCCAGTCTCCATTAAAAAAAAAAAAAAAAATTAGCCAGGCATGGTGGCACACGCCTGTAATCCTAGCTACTCAGGAGGCTGAGCAGGAGAATTGCTTGAGCCCAGGAGGCAAAGGTTGCAGTGAGCCGAGATTGTGCCACTGCACTCCAGCCTGGGAGACAGACTAAGACTCCATCTCAAAAACAAAAAACAAAAACAAAAAAAACTGGCTATCTTTAAAAGGTTAAAAAATAGCAGATGCTGATGAGTTTGCATGGAAAAGGGAATGCTTATACACTGCTGGCGGAAATGTAAATTAATCCAGCCATTGTGGAAAGCAGTTTGGCGATTTCTCAAAGAACTCAAAGCAGAATTACCACTCATCCCAGCAATCCCATTATTAGGTATATACCCAAAGGAATACAAATCGTTCTACCATGAAGACACATGCACATGTATATCTATTGCAGCACTATTCACAACTGCAAAGGCATATAATCAACCTAAATGCCTGTCAAGGGTAGTCTGGATAAAGAAAATGTGGTACATATACACCGTGGAATACTATGCAGCCATAAAAAGGAATGAGCTCACGTTGTTTACAATAACATGGATGGAGCTGGAGGCCATTATCCTAAACAAACTAACACAGCAACAGAAAACCAAATACCATATGTTCTTACTGATAAGTGGGAGCCAAACACTGAGAACATATGGACACAAAGAAGGGAACAACAGACACCAGGGCCTACTTGTGGATGGAGGGAGAGAGGGATGATGAGGATCAAAAAACTACCTGTAGGGTACCACGCTTGCCACTTGAGTGATGAAATAGTCTGTACACCAAACCCTCATGACATGCAATTTAACTATATAACAAACCTGCACATGTACCCTTTTTTAGTTAAATTAAGTTTAACTTTAAAATCTTATTTTTTAAGATAAAATGAAATACTAAAAGTTAAATAATCATCTCTTTCTCTTTATCCATCTTTTTTGTATCCTGTATTTGTTTCTCGTTGCTGCTATAACAAGTTGCAGCAAATGGCATGGCTTAGAATAAAACCAGTTTATCCTCTTACAGTTCTGGAGTTGAAAACCCTGAAGCGGTTCTTACAAGGTTAAAATCAAGGTGTTGGCAAGACTGCCTTTTCCAGGTTCTAGACACTGAGTGCATGTGCTCATGGACATAACTCTTGACCTCTGCTTCCATCCTTACATTTCCTTCTCTGACCCTGACTCTCCTGTGTGCCACTTTAAAAAACCATTTTGGTTATATTCTTCCCACCTGGACAATCTAGAATAATCTTTCTGTGTCAAAATTCTTAATTAGATCTGCCAAATCCCTTTTGCTATGTAAAGTAACATATTCACACGTTTGGGAAATTGGTATGTGGACATCTTTCAGAAGGGCTTATTATTCTGCCTACCACATATTCCAACAAAATCTTTCTATGTAGCTTTGAAATCCAGTGCTTGGACACAAATTTTAGAAAATCTAAGTTTATTTACATAATATGGCAAAATGTTTATCTTCAACAAGATTTTAGGAACCACATTGATGAATGCTTCAAACTGAAAAGAGATGATATACTAGACTTTTAAATTTATAGTCAGTGAGCTAGTTAACACTGAGCTATTACCCATCATTCTGTGAAAGCCATGGAATAGTTCCCAGAGTCAAGCTCTCACTCATCAAGGGAAAACAATCACACATAATATACACCAACGAAGTGGAGCTAAGAAAAACAGGTAATATTACTATTGTAATGACTTTAATTTTCTTAGGCTTAGATCAGTTAACTTTAATACTTCATTAAGGGAGTTGTTTTGCTTTATACAACTTTGAAAGGGAAGAGTTCCTCAATGTAGTTTTTGTTTGTAACATCATAAATGCTACACAGGAATTCTCATTTGTATTCAGTTGGTGTTAAGGCATTTCATACTCTGTTTGCTTGGAAGTATTCCACACACATGATGAATTTATCGATTCAGTTGAACTGATGACTTATCCATATAGTCATCAGCAAATATCAGTCTCATTCTTATACATCATTTTATCCAGATAACATAGCACACATGGCAATATTGATTAATATTCCTTTACACTTAATTTAACCCCAAATATTCCTCCAAAAGTGTAAAGATATGAAATTAACTTATTTTGACAAAAATACTAAAATCCAGAAGATTAATCAGAACCCACTGATTTTCAGTCAGTTTTATAATATCTCAAGCAACATTCCTGACTTTGTCTTCCTTGTATATTCATGAGGGTAGAGTAAGGATGATGAACTGTTGAGAGCTTTTGCCTCTTTGCTGATATTAATCTCAAATGGCCCACATCTGCATGTATTGTACTTTCAGTATGTGTAGGAACATAGAATAATAATAAGAAAAGGAAAAAAATAACAGCAGGAAAATCTTTTTAAAAGTTATATTTTACCTCCACTTAAATATAAATTTGCCCACACACAGTTTAGCTTCAAATTTTAATGTCCTCTGTTCAATTTCAAAGTCAGAAATACTGAATTTTTCTCTTTCATTCCTGAGGCCTGTTGTGAAGGTTAAAGAACTATCATTAATAGGAAATAGAGTTGAATGTTTATTAATGCTGGACTTCAAAATAACCACTGATACCATAGTACACAGCAGGTCTCAAGCAAACTCCACTAACTCATAGTTCTCATTTACACTCCCACATGGACCATTGGAAAATGAGAAAAAGATGTTTGGAGCCTTTTGACAAGTCAGCAGATAGAAAAACAAATAGTTAAAAACTGCCAGTTTTACTAATACTGTCTAGGAATGCAACATGAAAATAATTCTATCCCACTGCACTTGTGGAAAATTTAAAAATATTTCAGGAAAAAAATAAGCCCAGGTAATTACTGTAGAGTTCTACTCACTATTCTGGAAGAACACAGAATGCTACTTATCTTGTCTACTTTATCCCCATTGGTCCATCATTCATGATGTGACTGACTAATGACTTATTGAGCACCGGTGGGAGACAATTTTTACAGCTTTCATTGGGACATATTTGACACATAAGCAGCAAATGTAATGGAATGCTACTGATGACACTAATGATGGAAATTGTGCTGAGTTCCAAAGTCTTCTGCCAGGTCATTCGCTGGGAAAGCTGTGAGGTAGTTAAATTATCTATCAATCCACACTTAATAGTGGATTGTTTTCATTCAACATTTGCACAAAGCATTGATATGCTGCTGATGAATGAGACTGATGGTAATTATAATGACTACTTGATTTTTGTTCTGCCTGCCATTCACCTATCTTAACTGCCAAGGATGCAATAAATTATAAGTACTGTTAAAACTTCTAGTAAGAAAAATGTGGCTTTCTCACTGGGAAAGCACTCTTTATCTGCAGTTCACCTAGAGTGTATATCTGCTGTCTTCATTCTTTGTTACTGTTTTTTTTGGGGGGGGGGATTTCATTTTTAGGTATGCATGTATACAAGTATACAGACTTCATGGGAAATTATATTGCATCCTACATTTTCTATAAGAATATAAAATTTCAGATACTATATCATCCAAAATTTTTGGTCTTTTGCCAAAAAATCTGGGGACAAGTGGCTTACATTCCTGTCTTCTGGAACTTTCTTTTGTCCATAATTTCATTGTCTTTTCTCTAAGCACCAGGAAATACACCAGAGATTATAGAAAAAAAGCAATGAAGAGTGAAGCTCCTGCATACCTTTAAAACCTTGGATATGCATTATTTTCACTCTTACTTTACCTTTACTGTCTCAAACCTTTAGCTAAAGACTGTGACTCTGTGACCCCAGTTACACAGAATGGAGAGTTTTGCTGTCAAAGAATCAGGTAAATTATGATAATTTGTATTGATACCTTACAAAAAATTTTTTAATCAAACCATCTCATTTAGAATTTATTTTTGACAGTTTTATTACTCATCACTGCCAGGCCCAATTTGTGATCAATTACTATTAAGCATATATAGTACTTATCTACCTGTGAAATTATACCTTTGTTGAAATGGGCAAATATTTTATTTGCCAATCTCTATATAGTAGCTAGGAATCACTTGGTAAAGTACAATTTTATTGTGACTAATTTAAGAATGTACATATTATCTTATGCATTTATCTTTCACCATAAATAGCACCATTTATATAATTGTTATAGAAAGCTAATTCACAATTCGATACATTCTAAAATATTGTTGATATGATTGAAGGTACTTTATTTTATTTATTGCATAACTTTCCATTCTTAGAAGTTCCTTATCATACTTTTGGAATTCCTCTGTTTCTTGGTATTTTTTTAACCAAGTCATGTTACTCAATACTGTAGACTGTATTTTCCAAAGATGACCACACAAATATACATCCAATCGTATAGGTTCTTCTTACTTTATGATAGTGACACATTTCTGTCAAAAGGTGAGGGAATGCCCTTCATTCTACTTGAAACTAAACAGAGCATAGTAACTGCTTTACCCAGTAAAATGCGGCAGAAGTAATTTTGCATAATTTATAATGCTAAAAGATAATAACACATTACAAATGGCAATGCAGCTTCTGCCTTTTTCTGTTTCTCTAAGAATACTTGGCATGAACCCAATCAACATGTTGTAAGAATCACAAGATACATGTTGATTCCTTGTGTGTCTCATCAGCCACCAAATTTCTAAGTGAACAAGTCTTCAAACAATTCCCATCCTGAGCCTTCAAGACTCCCAAATGAGGTACAAGCATACTTTGTAGATATTGAGAGTTCAGTTCCAGATCACTTCAAAGTAATGAATATCGCAGTAAAGCAAGTCACACAAAATTTTTGGTTCCCCACTGCATATAAAAATATTGTTTACACTACACTGTAGTCTACAATGTGTGCAACTGAATTACGTCTAAAAAATGTACATACCTTGATTTAAAAATACTTTCTTGCTAAAACATACTTATGACCATCTGAGCCTTTAGAGAGGTATAAACTTTTTATTGGTGGAAGGTCTTGCCTTGATGTTGATGGCTGCTGACTGATCAGAGTGTTGGCTGCTGTGTATTGGAATGGCTGTAGCAATATCTTTAAGACAACAATGGAATTTGTCACATTTACTGACTCTTCTTTTTGTGAAAGATTTCTCCATAGCATTTGCTGCTGTTTGGTAGCATTTGCCCATATTAGAACTTATTTCAAAAATGGAGTCAATTCTTTCAAACCCTGCTGGCTGCTTTATCAACTAAGTTTTTATGTAATAATCTAAATCCTTTGTTGTCATTTCAACAATATTCACAACATTTTCATCAGGAGTAGATTTCATTTTAAGAAACCACTTTATTTACTTGTTATTTAAGAGAAAGTCCTCATCCATTCAAGTTTTATTATGAGATTAGACCAATTCAGTCGCATCTTCAGGCTCCACTTCTAATCCTAGTTCTCTTGCTATTTCTGCCATGTCTGCCATTACTTCATCCACTGAAGTCTTGAACACCTCAAAGTCATCCATGAAGGCTAGAATCAACTTATTCTAAACTCCTGTAAATGTTGATCTTTTGACGCCTTCCCATGAATCACAAATGTCATCTACAATGGAGAATCCTTTCCAGAAAGTTTTTGATTTACTTTGCCCAGACCTATCAGGTAAATCCCTAATTATGGAAGCTATAAACTTATGAAATATATTTCTTAAATAATAAGGCTTGAAAGTCAAAATTACTTCTTGATCCATGGGCTTCAGAATGCATGCTGTTTCAGCAGGCATGAAAACGACATTAAGCTTCTTGTATGTGTTGCGGGAAATCAGGGACCCCGAATGGAGGGACCGACTGGAGGCGAGGCAGAAGAACATAAATTGTGAAGATTTCATGGACATTTATCAGTTCCCAAAATTAATACTTTTATAATTTCTTATGCTGTCTTCCTGTGATCTCTGAGCATAAATTGTGAAGATTTCATGGACATTTATCACTTCCCCAATCAGTACTTTTACAATTTCTTATGCCTGTCTTTAATCTCTTAATCCTTTTATCTTCATAAGCTGAGAATGTACGTCACCTCAGGACCACTATTGTACAAATGGATTGTAAAACGTGTGTTTGAACAATATGAAATCAGTGCACCCTGAAAAGAACAGAATAACAGCAATTTTCAGGGAAAAAAGGAAGATGACCATAAGGTCTGACTGCCAGTGGGGTCGGGCAGAATACAGCCATATTTTAGTTCTTGCAGAAAGCCTATAGACAGATGTGTGAGTTGGAGAAATATCACTGAATTATTTTCCTAGCAAGGAACAAAGCTGGAGAAGTTATGCATTCCTGGGGGTAGGCCTATAGACGGCTGCTCTGGGAGTGTCTGTCTTATGTGGTTGAGATAAGGACTGAAATATGCCCTGGTCTCCTGCAGTACCCTCAGGCTTACTAGGATTGGGAAATTCCAGCCTGGTAAATTCTTGTCAGACCAGTTGTCTGCTCTTGAACCCTGTTTCCTGTTAAGATGTTTATTAAGACAATGCATGCACAGTGGGACATAGACCCTCATCAGTAATTCTAATTTTGCCTTCACCTTGTGATCTCTATGGCCCTTTGAAGCATGTGATCCTTGTGACCTACTCCCTGTTCGTACACCCCCTCCCCTTTTAAAATCCCTAATAAAAACTTGCTGGTTTTGCAGCTCGAGGTCGCCATCACTGTCCTACCAATATGTGATGACACCCCCGGAGGCCCAGCTGTAAAATTTCTCTCTTTGTACTCTTTCTCTTTATTCCTCAGACCAGCCAACACTTAGGGAAAATAGAAAGAACCTATGCTGAAATACTGGGGGCTGGTTCCCCCAATAGTATGTCTCCATCAGAGATTTTAGATGATGACGTGTATTGTCAATGAGCAGTAATATTTTAAAAGGTGTCTTTAAAAGGTGTCAATGAGCAGTAGGTCTCAACGATGGGCTGGATGCAGCTGGAAGCCATTATCTTGAGCAAATTAGTGCAGGAACAGAAAACCAAATACTGTGTGTTGTCACTAATAAGTGGTAGCTAAACACTGGGTACTCATGGACATAAAGAAGGCAACAGTAGACTCTGGGGACTATTAAGGGGGAGAGAGAGGGAGGAGGACACAGATTGAAAAACTAACTGTTGGGTACTATGCTCACTATCTGGGTGATGGGATCATTTGTATCCCAAACCACAGTATTACTCAAAATACCCATGTAACAAATCTGCATGTGTACTCCCTGAATCTAAAAAAAAAGTTGAAATTATTTTAAAAATTCAATAAACCATGCTGCTAACAGGTGTGCTGTCATCCCTTATTGTTTCATTTATACAGCACAGGCAGAGTAGATTTTGCGTTATTCTTAAGGAGCCTAGGATTTTCACAATGGTAAAAGATAATTGGCTTTAACTTAAACTCACCAGCTGCATTAAGTCTGAATGAGTCAGCCAGTTCTTTGAAGCTTTGAAACCAGTCACTGACTTCTCTTCTCTAGCTATGAAAGTCTTAGATGGCATCTTCTTCCAGTAGAAGGCTGTTTCAATTACATTGAAAATCTGTTGTGTAGTGTAGCCATCTCAATCAATTAACTTTGCTTAACTTATCTAGAACTGTGGATAACTTGCTGCATCTTCTCCATCAGCACCTGTGGCTTCACCTTGCATTTTTGTGTTATAGAGATGGCTTCTTTTCTTAACCTCATGAACCAACAATCTCTGCTAGCTTCAAACTTTTCTTCTGCAGTTTCCTCACCTCTCAGCTTTCATAAAAATTGAAGAGAGTTAGTGCCTTGCTCTGAATAAGACTTTGGCTAAAGGGAATGTTGTGGTTGGTTTGATCTTCTAAGCAAGCCACTAAAACTTCCTCTATATCAGCAATAGGCTGTTTTGCCTTTTTGCCATGTTTCTGTTCACTACAGTACCACTTCTAAAATTTTTTCAAGGAATTTTTCTTTGCATTCACAACATGGCTAACTGCCGCAAGAGGCCTAGTTTTTGGCTTCTCTCTACTTTTGACATGTTCTCCTCACTAAGCTTAATTATTTTTAGCTTTTGATTTAAAGTGAGAGATGTGTGACTCTTCTTTTCCCTTGAACACTTAGAGGCCACTGTAGGGTTATTAATTGGCCTAATTTCAATATTGTTTTGTCTCAGGGAATCAGGATGCATAAGGAGAGTGAGGGAGACAGAGAATGACTGGTCGATGAAACAGTTAGAACATATACAACACTTATCAATTAAGTTTGCCATCTTATAAGGATGTGTTTTGCGGAACCTCAAAACAGCTACAATAGTAACATCAAATGTCACTGATCATGGATAACCATAACAAATATAATAATAGTGAAAATGTTTGATATATTGAGAAAATTATCAAAATATGAATCAAAGCAAGACGTGAACACATGCTGTTGGAAAAATGCCACTGATGAACTTGCTGGAGGCAAGGTTATATCAAGCCTTCAATTTATAGGAAGTGTAGTATTTGCTAAGTGCAATAAAAGCAAAGCACAATTCAACAAGATATGCATGTCTTAGGCATTGCGTCGCAGAAGAAAGCAATGTTTACTATTTTCTGTCTGTATTCCTGCTTCATAGAAATTGTTACATCATTACTGTTTAAGTAACTAAACTTAGGGTTAATTAATTATATATTGATCTACCAGAGATTAACTGTCTATTGCTACATAGGTAAGAGTATGGTTCTTCCACACACCTACACATACACAAACACCCACATATGCACAAATAGTGAAATTTGAGTCAGTGATTTTGAGACCAAGTGGAAGGTAGAAATTGAAATGACCTTGCAAATATGTTAGCAAAAATTTGATGACTCTTGAGGATGTTATCAATATCATTATGTAGTGGTAAAAAAATTTAACAAAACTATTATCTGTAATAACAAAAAAAAAAGAAAATCAATCTAAGAAAGTGGATGATATAGCTAAGGGGATTTCCTGGCTGAGTGTTGATTTTGTTGGCTTGCTTCTTCTAAATGCATTTAGTAAAATGCAAAAGCAGAGAGATAAGCTAAAGAATGAATGAATAAACATAAATGAGCTACAGTTTTCTTTGTCCAAAAATGATTTTTTGCCTTAGCATCTCTAGATGGTAAATGATGCTAAAATTATAAAATGGCTTCTGAGCTAATCTCACATCAAAGGCATTGTTAGAAAGTATAATCTAAAGATCAAGCTGAGGACTTGGCTATAAGCACCTTTGTTAAGATCCCAGAAAGTTTCAAGTTTGTGTCTCAAACAAAAATGTATTCCTCTGAGCATCTTAATGGTGCCATTCTACAACAGCCTTATAGAAAGCCCAAAGTACAGAAAAGTATATTCCACCCAAATCTGTATATGTGTTTTTTTTTTTCTTAATGGAGCAAACCCCTGTAAGTTCCATAGAAAACTCATGGAGGTTTTTTTTTTTTTATTTTTTATGTAATTTATAGGTTCACAGACACACAACATTTTAAAGATAATTTTACAGAAACATGACAAGATCAGAATTAAAGATGGAGATAGTATAAAATATAAAGAGGCTTTTGGATTCCAAATAGCAAGCAGAACCAGACAGAGAAAAATACTGAGGCTAAAAACATTGGACATTTCTTATGGAGATGGAGTATGCAAAAGGTATCCAGGAAGTGAGAGTATGTATCAAACAGCTGTGGACAATCATTCCCAGGAAATAAGACTGATTTCTACTCAAGTAATCAGCAGGCATCATGTGCTCAGCTGAATTCCATAATTTGTGTAGACCAGTGACTTCGTGTGTTCCTTCAGTTTTTTCCCTCACTGAATTGTGGTGTTTGGAAATTATGCCATTTCTGCACAACTATTATATATTGGATATGGAGGACATATTTACTTTTCTCTTAATTTCATGAAACTTCAAAATGCACAGAACTATACTTGAAGAGTTGTACTCCAGGAACTGCAGCAGAGGAAATTCATCTGCATCTCAACTTTATATGATGAGATCCTAGACTATAAGCTGATATTACAATGGGAAGAACATTGGGGGTTTATAAGAGATAATTAATTGAGATTATTTGAATTTTTTTAGCCCCCAAAAGCAAACTATAATTACACAATGTATGTCACCCTCCATAATCTTAGAGTGGGATGTTGACAGCACTTGTCAAGAGTTAGGAGCTCTTTGTCCCTTCCCACTAAGCCTGAGCAGAACTGTGCAACTGTCAAAGGGATAGAATGAGGCAGAAGTGATATGGCTTGACTTCCAAAGCTTGAACAGAAAAGGAAATGTTGCTTCTACCTGGCTCTCTTGCTCTCTGACTTGAGATTCTTGCCCCTGGAGCCTAGCTGACATGTAAGGATCACCAGGCCACAATGAGAATCCATGTGTAATTATTCCCACCAACTCTCTACCTAAGGTGCCAGCCTAGAGACAGGGACAACCACCAAATGTGTGAGTGAATGAGCCTACAGTTAGCACTTAGTCACCAAATTCTGAATCCTCCTCCTAAGGCCTCATAAATTGAGAATATTTCTGCCCTGACAACTTGAATTTTTGATCCACAAGCAGCATAAGAGATAATAAGTTCATATTTTTGTTTTAAGTCAGTAATTTAGGGGTTTCTTACACAGCAATAAATTCAAACTAATTCAATGTAGCATGTTGGATTACCAAGAACATGTATCTAAACTAAGACTACTGAATGTCCAGGTCTCCAGTTACTTCCTTTTGTGAACCTTTATATGTTGTTAAATCAAAATTTCTGAATGATATTTCAAAATCTCAAAATAATAATGAGATTTTTTACAAGGAATAGTTTTCTAACAAAGTATACTGAAATATGTAAAGTATATTGAAATATGCTAAAAGATTTGAAGTGTTTCTCTGTTGTCGATTTTCAGAAAAGGGTTCACATTTCCTACAAAGGTAATGCTTTACTTAGGTGCTTTATTAGGCAATTTTTAATTCAAATTTGCATCTTTTTCCCCACAAATATAGCCTTAATTTAAGGTTAGGATAGCATGTTGACCTATAAACATACAGTGGTGTATAAATCAGAGTAGAAACTTTTCAAAAAATAAGGTATAGAAAGAGCAGTAAAAATTAGATAAATTCAAAATGGTTCACCACAAATGTTTCCAGCTGACATAAGGTTCTTATGAATTTATATTACATAGTATGCTACACACTGTTATATTAATGCCCCTTTACATTAAAAATAAACTATAAGGCCTTTAAAATATAAAGATATTGTCATTCATTATTCAAAAATACTGAAAACTATTTTCCAGTGCAGCACTGGTGTTTCAAGAAAAACAAAAGCAAGGTACAGCAATTTGCTAACAAAAATGTGTATGCTTTTGGATAGCAATATTTCACATTGTTAGGCATATCCTCTATTTTCTCAAAAAGCAACATATGATAATTTAAAACAAAATGTTTTCTTTTTAGCAATTACTAATAATAATGACCTTTGGAAATCTTACTGAATAAAATAAAATAATAGAAACTAGAGATTTCCTATATATTTTGTGTGTTAAAATATGCAAGCCCGTCATTGATTTACTTATTTATTTAAATTGATTAGCCTGAGTGCTGTGTTGCAATATAAGTCATGAATTCAGTAATTGTGTACCATGTTTCTTATTACCAAATTATACAGTCAAGTAGAACAATATCAAAGCACTACATGAAGAGTATATAATTATATATATATATACCAAATTACATATGTATGTATGTTTATATTTGTGTGTGTGTGTATGTGTATATATATATATATATATGTATATATATATATATGTATGTATAACAATCTACAAATTAGGTGTTTCTGATTCCTTCTCTTTTCATTTTTCTCCATAAATTCCATTAGTATGTATACACTCTAATGCAGCTCTAATATCTTAGTATCTTAGTGGATGCTTTATACATAGGGATTGAAATTTTGAAATAATTCAGAAATTTGGCCATTTCCCCTTCTAATGACCCATAAATTTCTACCCTGGCCTGAATTCTGCCTGAATTTCTTCTTTATTATAATGCATACCTTGACCACAAGGTTGAGTTGATTATAGAACAGAGAATCATACTTTTATACTGGACAGACATTGAACCTTCAAGTCAGGAACCTCTGGGTTTTAAATACCTAGTTTCCATTGATTACTTCAGGATAATTATGCAATATTTTTAAGCCTCACTGTATTTATCTGCATAGCCAGAAAATAATAGCAAAATAATAGAAAATTTCTGAATTTTGGAGAATTAAATGAATGCATGCAAAATGCATGCCTCATGGTAAGCATGCAATCATTGGTGGCTATTATAATAATTGATAGGAGCTCGTCTCAGCTACTTGGCTAGGGGGAGGTTGAGACGGACAGAGAAGAGTAGTATTCTGCATCAGCTGACCCTTCAATATCAATCTCCAAATATCAAAATTCTATATCTAAGAGCAAGAAATTATTTCAAACATCATTGATTAAACACCTTAGCAGCAGAGCAACTTACTAGATGGGTAGTCACTAATTTTTGCTGGGTAAGGATGACATTTATAATGATTAGGAGTTTTCTAAGTGAGAGGCTGCCATCCTACAGGAACGATAAGAGAAGTTCAATCCATTTATTTGATTAGTATGATGTTTATATCCACCTCAATATGTTGTTCCTTATTTATCCACTCCTACTAGTAACTTCTATTTGGGTTTATTATCTATACAGAACTGGGCCAAACCCCAGAGGGCCTTCAGTTCATTTTCTTTTTAGTTATTTTACTCAAATACATTATTGTTTACCTTAGAGTTTTAAGAATGCTCAGTTTAGTATTTAAGGTTAAAGACACTGCTGCCAGGAAGATGAATCGCATTTTCAAATTCACAGTTCCAGTTTCACAAGGCATTTGGAGTTTCAGACTCATTCACAAGAATGGGAAAATTGGTACAATTCCTCATCAGGGATTTCTAAACAGATAACTGGGTTGTTCTGACCTTGGGCAACTAAAGTTACCATAAGCAATTGGGACATTTTGCTTCTACTTATCATTTTGGGGTCACCAGCTGCTATTGTAAGGGCGATGTGCTTTGGGAATTCAAGCCACAAAATTTGGAGGGGCTATTGGGCAATCCGGGGATGAGCATGAGTGTCCGCCTCCAAGGAATCATTCTTGTGAGCCACTTTGCCAGAGGCTGAGAATTGTAATAGGAGTTGAATAAGAGAGATAATTGGAATGGGAAAAAGGGAAGGAGAAATCAAGTAAAATAAATTACACAAAGTGTTTTATTCTGAAAGTCAAAGTTATATCCTGTGTGTACTTTATTTCCTCTACCTTGCCCTGCTCACTTTTCCATATCACAGATGACACCACATCCCCCAGTCTCACACAGATCTTGTGCTCTGGGCCTCAGAAACATGCTAGACTCTATTGCTCAATGCACAAAGTCAGAGGACAAGCTTTTTTTTTTTTTTAACTTGTCATTTTTCCACAGTAAGAACTCATATAACAAGAACATTTGTGAAAGCCATATTAATATGTTTACTATATTCAGAATTTGATTGTTGTGAATTTTTATCATTTATTGTGTTTCACATTTGAAGAAAATTCTGAAGATTTATTTTTAACAATAAAAATATAGCAGGTTTACTTTTAGAATTCTGAATTTTCTAGTAAAAGGTAATATATCTAAAGGTATCTATCTAATAATATGACTAATTTAGAATTGGCTTCAATGTATTCAAAATTTGACTATTGCAGTGCTTGTATTTTATTTTACTTATATTTTCATGTTTAGTTGCACATAAAGTATTATCATTTTTATTTTAATATTGCCAGATCTTCATATTTTACTGTCACATAGTACTAACTCAAAAATGGTTGTTGAAACAAAACAAAACAAAAAATGGTTGTTGAATAAGTAACATAAAGCAGCAGTTATGTTACCCACAACTGAAAGGAAATTTGAATGATAATCTATTAATATCTTGAAATTTCCTGAAACTATACAGATCTCTCTCTCTTTCTCTTTCTCTGTCTACACATCGATACTTACTAACTAGGATCAAATATAGAATTAAAAAATTTCTCTTTAAAGAAAGAAATTTGGAATGACCAGAAATCATAAATACCCCACTAAGCTATTTTTTTCTGGAAGAGACAAATACTGAATTTTTAAATTATATTTTTATTTTCTGTTTTATAAATTGTTGAGGTGTTCAAATATTTGTTTACATAGAAATACGCTAAGTTATCATCAAATATCTTCATAGGTTCTTGAAAACTGTGACTTTATGCAAAATCACCCACAATAAAACAATTTTGACCATAGGCTAATTGATATAAACAAGCATTAAGTTCATCAGGCATATTTCTAGTCACAAAAACATCTAATATTAAATATTGAATTAATGTCAACTATAAACACATTTTAAAAATGTTAATAAAAGCGAGTGAGATAATACTTTACCCAATTTTTGGTGAATGAAAGAGTGATGGTTGTTGTACTGGTGGTGGGTTAAATCAAGGAATCAAACTTTTCAAACCAAAACTGTAAGGAGCAACTCCTACCGCCATGCTGTTCAAAATCAAACAGTAATAAATATGGTGCAATTAGTGGGCACGTTCCTACCACACCATTTATTGTCATGCGTTTATATGATTATCTATACTTTACAAATTTTTATTTGACCATAATTTGTATTTACCCATTTATTCATTTTCCAACCTGCAGATTCCAGTTCAGGGTGATGGGAAGCCAGAGCCTATCCTGGCAGCTCAGGGTGCAAGGTAGGCACCTGCCCTGGCAAGATGCTATCCATGGCAGGGCACACTCATACTCACACCCACAATCACTCAGACTGAGACCCTATGGACACACCAATGTGCACATCTTTGGGGTGTGGGAGGAAACCTGAGTGCCTGGAGGAAACCCGAGTACCTGGAGGAAACCCATACAGCTATAGGGAGTGTTTGCAAGCTCCACACAGGCGGTGGCCCCATGCCAGAAATTCATTTTTTTCGTGTCATTATAACAAATGATGTTGAAGGAACCAAGCTTATTAGAGGATCTGTGTATTAATGGTTGACATTGCTTTTTTGTAATTAGCCATTATGTAATCTGGGAAATGAGCAAACTTTAATTTATATGTAATATCTTTTCTTTAAGCCATTTTTTATGTATAACCTGAGGTCTGGCCTTAAGTAAGGTAATACTCTAAAGAACTACGATGTGCTGCAAATGACTAAGCTAAAAATGAGAGCTGAGTAGAGATCTCTATTTATTTTATTGCCTGCTCTACTCATGTTACTTTTATGTGGTATTTCAATCAAGTTGAAAATGACCCAGTCAACTCACATCCCTAAGGGGTGCTTTCTACACAATCTGTCTATATAATTCACTAAATAAATAGAGGCACATATCTTAATATTATTGTGTTTGGGGCATTTAGATTTTATTTCATTTATCTTAGTTTTAAGAAAATTTTTAAATGAAATTAATAAAGCTGTTAAAGAGAGAAAATACAAACCTAATGTAAATGAAATCTCAATCATGAGTTAGTAGATACATTTATAGTTTATAATTATTTTTTCTGTGAGTTGGGGATTAGCATATATTTAAATATTTCCTATTTTTAATTGTGTCTTTGGGATCATTGGCCAAACTATGATTTCAAATATATTGGTAAACTGCTATAAAACAACTATCAAATTTGGAGAAATATTTAAAACAGAGATGACTTGACATGATTTTGAATATAATTTAGAATCTTCTTTTTACATTTCCCAAAAAATTTTCTAAAATTGTATATTGTTACTTCATACCACTCTTTTTTTCATGACTTTGGCAGATAACATTTAGAAAATATTGGTCCTTAGGAATTAACCTCATCGACGTTTTTACATATCAGTCTCAAAACCACTTTAGTGCTATACCCAGGCATTCTCATTTCCATTCTCAGAGAATTGTTTGGCATTTAGTTATCCTGTAAAGGAAAGCTGACTGGCTTCAGGTTGATAAATGTGAGTGTGAGTTCAAGTTTACTATTTCGTAATGCTGAGGGTTATTTAAGCCAATCTCGCTAATGTTAACTTTGTACCTTCACATAATTATTTACAATTAAACATAATAAATATATTTTTCTTAAGTGCGAGTGGCTTCCTACAAACATGCTTTCCTTAAGTGAAAATCACCATGACACAAAGATCATGGCTATGTCTAAATGCAGGTCTGGGAGTAAGCCTGTTTAGTTTTTTCAAATTTTCTAAATAAAAACCAGGATGTTTGTGGTAAGACATTGGAATGAAGGCTGAGGATTTGAAAAAGAGGAACAAATTGTATTGAGTTGCAGCTGGAGAAATGGAAGCTTTTTGTGTTTTTGCCTTTCTTGTCTTCTAAATGTTCTGAGATTAGGAATAAATTAAATCACAAAAACTGTCTGTACTAAAACTAAGGGAAGCTTCCAGATCCTATATCCACCCTCTATGCTGTATTTCTTGTTTTCAGCTGCCATGTCTCTTTATGCAATATGACTTTGTACGTAACAGAGTGAATGGAAGTGTTGTACAGCCGTTGGAGGCAAATAGATCCCTACTTGATGTCATAGTATATTATTGACCAGTTATATGGCCTGAGGTGTACCTTTAAACATTCTGAGCCCATTTCCACATTTGTAAAATAAGAATAATAATTCCTAACCAGAGCAGTGACTGAGAAAATATCAGGCTAATAGTAGCAAGCTTAAATATTAAAATTTTTACTTTTGCTATAAATATATCTTGACTCTGTGTTTCTCAGAATCACTTTAAAGTTGTGAGTGGAATTTAGAGCTGTGTAGCTTGGCTTGAAAGCTAATAGTTTAGAAGACTGCTAGAAATAACTCTCACCTGCTTCACTAACTGCAGTGTTGGCAGAGATGAAAAGGTATTTGGGACACTGCTCTGCTAACCTCATAACACTCCCTGACTTCTGATGGTTGAGACATATGGTGCCACACTAACATACCTAAGTTCATTCCGTTTCAAGCCTTTCCTTCACCTGGGGAGAACGGGGCAATATCTGTTATGGTGGCTCATCCTTTCTGGTTCAGTAATTGACAGTGGTGGCTACAGGACTTCAAACTTAATTTCTCTCAAGTGATGCCTTCTGGAGCTTTCCATGTGCCTCAGAGGATGAAGTCAATATAATTAATATTTTTTTCCCACAGAAATTCCTTGCCATTTTCTCATGTTTGCATTCTTTGGCTCCAAAGTGGGAGATGTTAAACTCCAAGTTCATTGAGAAGTTGAATGTTCGTTTATTCTTGTTGGCTACTATGTTGTAATAAGTGATTAAGAAAATATGTGCTTTGCTTTTTCTTTGGCCAAGAGGTAATCTCTGTTAAAATGTGTCAGAAAGGACTAAGCAGGTCAGTCCCATTGCCTGGATATAGTTTCTGGATTAGATCATTTTTTGGCCACTACTCAGTGTCATAGAACAGCAGTTTCCAGAGCTTTGGAATCAAGGAGAAGCCTCTATGACCCTGAATCTTATAAGCAAATAGGTTCTATCAACTATTCCACTGAGTTTGTTTTGTATTTTCAGTTTAAGGTTAAATGATATAAACACATCTATTTCAGGCTTTTCCAAAACCTGGTTCTCTGGCTTTTGAGATAGGACGTTCAAAGACAAGACAGGCTGTGGAAGACGTTGAGGGTATTAATCTGTTTGAGAAAGAAACTGATCTCGACTGATCTTGCCTTACTTGTCTTAAGCTCCAAATGCTGAGCCTATTATATTAGGGGAAGGTGTGTGGGAGAACTGACCTATCTCTATAACTGAGGTAGAAGACAGCGCCTGAACAGAGTTGGTGTTCCACGGGTTTGATGTGTTTTTCTTCATTTAAACTTCACCTCTGTCACATTAAATAAGATCTTCATTTAATCCTTGGAATTAGTCACTAGGATGCATACCAAGTGCAAAATATGTTTGCCTTTTTAACAATAGGAAAGTTAATCTAAAACAATATTTTATTGAAATATGTCAATAAAAACAGTATAACAATACAGTTTAAACCAAGAAGGTAATTCATGATTGGATAAATTATTGGAGTCTTCAAATTACTTATGCAAAAAAAAAAACTTTTAAAAAATTTTAATTTTTTTCAAAACTTTTAAATAAGTTTATATCTAATTTGCGTGAATTTTAATTTGAGAGTATGGAAATATATTAGCTTTTTTGTAATGGGTAGATAGAATATATAATCTTAAGAAAAAAATAGAAATAATTTAATCTGCTTTTCCAGTGTCACATGAATAATATAGAAAATGTTTATACTCCTACCAAAAAAGACCCCACTGTCTTTGAAAAATAGATACAAGTTTTCAGATGTTATAATGCCATGTGACAGATGACTATTCCAGGGCATTAAATAAACGATAATGTGCACAAATCATTTTAGTCATTTAAAAAAAATCAAATAATCTCAATATTAAGGCCCTAACTCTTCAAGGAAAAAAAAATACTTAATTTGTGTTGTTAAATATACACAAACACACACACGAATATATTTGTGTATGAAATTCTTATAGGTAAAATATCTGTAAGTAAAATTTCTTCAATTGAAACACCCTATATATCTTGGATAAACTTTATCCTTGTTCACTGTGATCTTCAATTGCTGATGACTACTAATCTTACTCCCTTTGGACAAGTTATAAATGGTCCATAAAACAATTAATGTCATAAAGTATTCCTCTATTTAGATGCACTAAATAGTGGTAAATCTTATTGTAATGTGTAAAGATAAGAGTATCTTTTTTTCTTAAGGAAGTAATTGCGTAAACTAGTTTGCAATTTCAAAATTTCATGTGTGTTGAGTTATATTTACATAGCTACAAATGTAGATCTTTTAGAGGGTCACTCATGTATTAAACAAAGACACCATAATCACAGAAATATGTCTAAGTGTGTGTGTGTATATGTGTGTGTAAATGTTCTTTTATAGTCAGTAAGTCAGACTCTGCCATATGGTGATCAACTCCATTTACTGAAATTGCATAGATATAGCTAAACATTACCCATCATGATTATAATCGCATGAAATAATCTCCATAAGTGTATTTAGTGTGGTCCTGCACCTGTTTTCTATTCCAATGATTTTCGTCACCCATGAATTAGCTGTGGTCAGAATTTTCCTGCCTCGCAAAAGATGTATGAAATGCAAACTAGTTTCACCATTCTTTTTCAGATGCGACACTGGATAAAAAAAAAATTAAGCCAGATTCTCCATTATCAAGAAACCCCATATGTAATAGTTAACGTTTTCCATTGTAACATAATATGTAGAGTAATTTTGAGGCAGTCTCCACAATTTAACCAATAAAATCTGTGTGGAGACAGAAAAATTATAAAAAATACTGTGACCAATTTTAAGAACCATAAAAAATGCTTATTCCAGTTTCTGCAGTTATATCCATTGTGTAAAAAAGGAGTTTCAGCTAGACTTAAGGAAATCTACCTAAGCTTTTAATTCATAGTTGCAATGGTCATGGTCTGAATGTCTGTGTCTCCCATCCCCAAATTTACTTTTTGGAATCTAATACACACTATGATGGTATTAAAGGGTGGAATATTTGAGGAGTGATTAAGTTATGAGGGTTCCACCTTCATAAATGGGATTTGTGCCCTTAGAAATGAGGCTCTAGGGAGTTCCTTTGCCTTTTTCTGCCATCTGAGGATGCATCATCATGATAAAATCTATGAAATTGAGAATGAGCTCTTACGAGACACCAAATCTGCTGGCATTTTGATCTTGAACTTCCCATCCTCCAGAACTGTGAACAATAAATTTTTGTTGTTAATAAATTACCCAATCTAAGGTATTTTGCCATAGCAGCCCAAACAGACTAAGAAAATACCCTTCTAGGCTTAGCCTCATGACGTCAAATAGAAATTGCACCACATGAAGTTAAACAGACAAGGAAGGCATTATTCAAAACTATTGCAATAGTTTTTGAGTCCTTTATTAATATTGGATTAGTCAACAAACTATCCTTTGATTCAGTGACGATTTGAGTGTATGCATGACACATCAGATTCTGACAACATCACTGGTACATTTGATGGTGAAGGATAATTCTTAAATATTCCTGCCTCTGGGTTTTTGCACCAGGGGTTTTGAACTCATATATTCCAATCACTTTTTCTGATTTCTGTGATCATGATTGATATTTTTTCTTCAGAAATTATGTCACTAAACATAGTTGTAATTGAAACATTAAACTATGCAGCCATACTTCTTTTCCTTATTTCTTATAGGTTTACTCCAGGTTCTGCAGCATTCCTTATTCCATATTACACCTAAAGCCATTGACTTCTCCCTGTCTAAATTTTTCTATAGTGGTTACTCTGAGTCTAACTTAGTAACTATTGCATGACTTACCTTTTTAATTCCTCCTGAGAATGATTTAATTTTAAAAATGTTTCTGATGTTATATGTTACCCAGCCTATGGTATTTTGCTTGGCAGGACAGGTAGACTACTAATTTTGTTTAAAAAGCTATTATGGTAATTTCCTTTGGAAATTAAAAAGTTTATTTGAACATTTGCAGTTTTTAATAATTTTATTTGATTTTTGATGGCATCTAAAAATAAAATTATTGAGAAACCATTGGGGAATCATGTTATATCTGTTTCAAATTTTTTTCTGGTAAAAAAATTCAATGGATAATCTATGGATTTTGTTTTGTTTTGTTTTGTTTTGTTGAGACAGAGTTTTGCTCTTGTTGCCCAGGCTGGAGTGCAATGGTGTGATTTTGGCTCACTACAACTTCCGCCTCCTGGGTTCAAGCAATTCTCCTGCCTCAATCTCTTGAGTAGCTGGGATTACAGGTGACCACCATCACGCTCAGCTAACTTTGCCTTTTTGGTAGGGATGGGGTTTCACAATGTTAGCCAGTCTTGGCCTTGAACTCCTGATCTCAGGTGATCTGCCCAACTTGGCCTCCCAAAGTCCTGGGATTATAGGCATGAGCCACTGCACCCGGCCCAATATATGGATTTTTATATGCTCAAGTGATAGTCAGTTTTTAAAACAACTGATTCCTAACTTATTTAGGAAAGACATACGTGAGAATAGAAAAGTGGCTCTTCTTCCTTGACACTGCATCAGAAAATCTGCAGAGATATAGAGGAAAACAGATTTGCTTTCTAATACATTAATTTGTACTTACGAGACTAAATGCTGATAACTAAAATAAAAACAAACAAAAATCAAAATCAAAATCAAAAACAAAACCCCAAAACTTAAAGAGAGCCTTTGAGAACTGAGATATTCCAGGGACAAATGTGGATTTGCCGACAAGTATGTGGATTTACTATTACATGTAGTGGAAGAAGAGGAAGATTATCAACTGAATTTTAATGTAATGGCAAATAGACATCAGCAATTTCCTAACCCATTTATATTTGTGGAACTTTCTGGCTTCTCTGATAAATTCTATCTTGCCATCCTCCTCACTCTAGGCAAAGCTCATTTCTGCTAACTTTTCCTTCTATGTTATCTATTCATGTGTATAAAAATAGTGTGCCCTAAAGTTTAAAATTGTGTATAATTGAGCTGTGTTCAACTCCTCTTTTCAGTGCTTACTTTACATTCTTTCAATATTAATTAAAAGTTCTCTTTAAAAAAATTAAGATAGTAAACTAAACAAAGTAGCAAACTATATTTTTCTTTCATACATCAGTTCAGGGTCTTTCAGCCTCTCAATCATTGACTTTTGGGGCAGGATTATTCTTTGTTGTGAGGGATACTCCTGTGAATTGTTAGCCTCTACTCAATAGTTTCTAGTAACATATTTTGTTGAAGACCAAAAATATTTCCAGACATGGTCACATAACTGCTGGAGGAAAAACTGATTCTTGCTCGAGCATGACTGTGTTGTCTTTATTTGCTTTTAATATAAATTAATAATTATTACAATTACCCCTCACCAAGGGGGATTTATTCAAATTAAGGTACTATTAACTTTACCAGCACTATATAAAATAGTCAAATACTTTCTTTTTTGGGAACATAGTAAAATAATACAGGCTTCCAACAGACTGGAGAGATCTAAGCACATAAACCTTAATGATCTCCAAAGGTCAGCTTCCATTTTTGCCAAATGCTAGTCTCTATTTTAAACATTGTGTTTTATGATGCTAGCTCATATCATTTGAAGTCATATTCCATCTGTAGTAAGTCTATATCCAAATATCACGATAAAAATTTCCAAATCATCATGTTTAGATCTTTCTGACCATAGCAATAGTCAATCAACTGGCACACAAAGAATCACATTAGTTTATTGCCAAGCCTCTTGGATCATTTGAACAGTGGAAATCCTTGGACCAGGGTATGACTGGTATATTACTTTTTCAGTTGCTTTAGACAATCCTTTCAGGGATTCAATTAATGGAGCAGGAGATATTGCTGTTCCTAAGAAAGCTGAAACAATCACAGAAGGGTTTACTCAGCCCAGAATAAGGAATCTTAGTATTGAAAGGAATCTTCGAAATTATTTAGTCATCTTTTCCCAGTATTGAATCTTCATAAAGATAATTTACTCAGCATTGACTGGAATATAGCCAGACATGATTTTTAAAAATCCCAGGTCATAATGAAATGAATATCACTGAATTAAAAGTATTACCTGTTTCTCATAGATTACACATTCAAATATCTTATTCATCTTCAATACTAAAGTATTTTCAATATTCAGCAAACACATTATTATTCAGACTTGACTGCTTTTTCAGCCTTGAGTCATTTTGGTGATATAGAAATATGAAGACAATAATGTTGAAGAAGTACCTTATGTCTTCCCATCACAAAAACATACCAGAATGCTTTTAATGAAATACTTGAAAAAGCTGGTATATAAAACAAGTTTGTCTTACCCTGAACCTTCTCTGCAAAACAAATCTAAACAAGACTGATAAATACATCCACTTAAAGCATTTTTAAGTCTGTCTATAGTATTGTTAAATGAAAAAAGTTCATAAACATATTTTGAGAGTGTTCAAGTATATTTTGTCTGATATCAAAAGTATACATTAAAAGATAAAACCCTGTCACCGAAAGTCCTTACTCATCAACTACTGATAATTCCAGCTTTGTCAAGAACACTTAACTAATAAAGAAAAAAGCATAGCTCAAAGAAGTTCAATAAATTTTTATGCTACTTGTGGATATGCTTAACAAACTAAATAAAGTTAAAATATTTTATTAATATCTTTGAAATAGCCATTATGATATGCCTGAAAAATGGTGAATAGCTTTGAAGAAATGTATGGGGTAAATGGATATGTGGAATTTCAAGTGACAAGTATTTCTAGAAAAATAAAAACAAAATTGCCTTAATTATTATTATTATTTTTCATTTTACCTTTTATTACGTTGCTTTATTGCAATCTCTAGGATCTCTGTTATCATACAATGGAAGTATTAATAGTGACCATCCTTGGTCTCAGGAACAGTGTTGTCAATACCTCAATGTTCTTTGCACATTTTATCAGGTAATGTAAGTTCCTTGTATCGCTATGTCTTCCTCAACCAATAAAAGGTGGTGACATGTTCATCAAGTTTTTCTGTCTTGTTGATCATACGATGTTTCTTCTTTCCTCTTTTAATGTTGTAAATTATACAACAAATTTTAAAATAATAAATCACCATTTATTTATGGAATAAGCCTTTTTATCATCATGTATTATTTTATATACTTTTTAATTTCAAATTTTATTCTAGATATAGGAAGTACATGTGCAGATTTGTTACATAGTAATACTGTATGATGCTGAGGTTTGGAGTGTGGATCTTTCACTCAGGTAGTAAACTACCTGATAGATAGTTTAACGCCCCCCACCACACTTCACCCTTTAGTAGTCCACAGTGTCTAGTGTTTCCATATTTATGTCTATATATGCTCAATGTTAATGACACAAGATTCTTTTGGTACCGCTTCACCAGCCAGAAATTCCTGCAGCTGCCATTACCTCTGCCCAGGGCCTGGCTGGTAACCCCTGGGCTTGCTCCGTCTGCTCGGTCTGGCAGGCTGCACTCAGCTGCGCTACCAGCCTGGATCCCGCGCGTGCACGGGGATTCCACAGCTGGCCGTGGCTGAGCCAGGCATACCTCAGGAGGTTTTTGCATTGTGCACTGGCGTCTAGAGGAGGGGAAACAGTGGCACCCGAAAACAGAGATGCCAGCAACTGCGGAGCCCCAAGGGGTGTTAACAGCTTTTCCTCGGGGAGTCCTGAGGTCTGAGCCACCAGGGAATGCCACAGCTCCCTTGCTCTCATTCCCACCGCCCATGGCTTGGCTAATAGGGGCGTGTTATAACTCTGGCTCGGGAAGTCCCGAGGTCTGGACCCTCTTCACTCCCATAGTCCGGCAAATGGGAGTGTGTCACAGCGCTTTTCATTCATGCTGTCCACAGCTTGAGAAGCCAGACAGGAGTATGTTACAGCCCTTTTTCGCTCCTGCCGTTCAGCGGTTCCGAGTACTTGTCCACAACCAAGAAGAAAGGAGCTATGTGGACACTGGAGAGTGAGCAAGGGAGAGAAGAATTTTATTAAGCAACAGAAAAGCTCTCAACAATAAGAGGGGACCCAAAGTGGGTAGCTCTCTGTGTGAGAGCAGACCCCAAAGTGGGTAGCCGCCTGTGAGGCTGAGTCTGGGGTTTTTGTAGGTTTGGAATGAGGAGGCGTGGGCTGTAGCTAACCTTGGGAAAGGTAACATTCTATTGGTTAAAAAATGTTATTCAGAAAGAGCCAATTGGGAAAGAGTGGGCAAACAGGAATAGAAGTTCTCACTCTGGTTGTGGACTCTATCAGGAACCAGCAGCTCGGTTTTCAGGCTCTAAATTGTCCTTTGGTTTGAATGCCAGGTTTCACTGGGTACCCGCCCCTGTCTGCCTAGGAATTTGTCTGTCTCTTACCTCTATCATTAACTCCTACTTATAAGTGAGAACATGTGGTATTTGGTTTTCTGTTCCTGCATTAGTTTGCTTAGGATTATGGCTTCCAGCTCCAACCATGTTGCTGCAAAATACATGATTTTACTTTTTATGACTGCATAGTATTCCATGGTGTATATGTACTACATTTCTTTTATCCAATCTAAGAATGATAGGCACCTGTGTTGATTTTATGTCTTTGCTATTGTAAATAGCACAGCAATTAACGTAACGAATGCATGTGTCTTTTTGGTTAGATAATTTATTTTCCTTTAGGTATAGGCCCAGTAATGGGATTGCTGGTTTGAATGGTAGCTCTAAGTTCTTTGCTTGATTTATTAAAATGTAATTAAGAAGTTTTGCATTCATGTTCATGAGAGATATTCATAAGGATTTTTTTTGAGTTCTGTATTATGCTTGTCAACTTCTGATGTAAACGTTATGTTGGTTACATAAAATTAGTTACTTGCTAAAATCTGAAAAAAAAAATTGTAAGATTGATGTTATTTCTTTTTAAAAATATAGAAGATATCTATTAGAAACCCTTTGGACCTGGAATTTTCTAATTGTTTATTAAATAATGAATTCATTTTTATAAAATACATCGTGTCAGATTTCCCATTCCTTTTCCATAAGATTTAGCATTTCTGAGGAATTACTCTATACAGACAAATTATTGGCAAAAAAAACTGATAAATAAATTTATTTTTTCCCATTCATTTTGGTGGTGATTATTTGGATTCTTTTTTTGATCAGATTTTATAATTTATCAATTTGATAAACATATTAGCATTGTCATTTTCTCTATTGCATTTTGTTGCTTTTTCACTAGTGTCTTCTATTTTACTTTTTTTCCTTTATGGTTTTTGTTTGGTTGATTTTCTTTTTGTAGCTTTTTGAGATGTGAATATAGTGCGTACATTTATTCAAAATTATAAAATTAAAAATATTAGAGATCTAACTAGCTAAATTTTTCAGTTCATTAAGGGAAGAGTAATTCTTTGGACTTTATTTTATTTTTTTTTTTTTGAGATGGAGTCTCGCTCTGTCGCCCAGGCTGGAGTGCGGTGGCGCGATCTCGGCTCACTGCAAGCTCTGCCTCCCGGGTTCACGCCATTCTCCTGCCTCAGCCTCCTGAGTAGCTGGGACTACAGGCGACCGCCACCACGCCTGGCTAAATTTTTTGTATTTTTTTAGTGGAGATGGGGTTTCACCGTGTTAGCCAGGATGGTCTCCATCTCCTGACCTCTTGATCTGTCCGCCTCGGTCGGCCGAAGTGCTGGGATTACAGGCGTGAGCCACCGCGCCCGGCCAGGGAAGAGTAATTCTTGAAAAATATGTATGTTACTTCACCAAGCTTCCACAGATTACAATTAGCATAGCCATTATGAAAAGTACTTTATCAAAATATTAAAGCTTTTCATATTTTGGTTAAGCAACATATGAAATAGAATAATTTTCTCATTCCATGTGAGAAATGTTAAAAAGATCATTGAAGATAGGACTTATCTAAGTTTCCATGGAGTCTATACTCCTGATCTGAAGTGTAAAATAGATGCAATGCTTAACAAAACTATATGGAGAAATATCAAACATCTGGGTTTGAGTTTATAAATCAAGGCCTATATTACAAAAGTGTGAATCATGGCTCAATTTAGAAAAAAACATGTAAAAGTTAAAAAAAAAGAATTATAGCTCTGCGCATAATTCTTTATTGACTAGCTGATGAGATAGTGTGAAAATGCCGTGAAAGCTCTGGGTGAAAATAACTAAGTATCTTTAAATAGAAAGATACCATCAAGCAAGTAGAAGATTCCTTTTCCTTGAAGTTTAAACACTTTTTTTCCGATTGGAAAGAAAAATGAAGAAAGAGATGTCAAATGGCATAGCTCTCATACAGAGGCAATGTTCATGTTTTAATTCTTACTTTTAGTTCTTTGCAAAAAATACATGTATACTTTTTAAAATTATATGACATACACACATTGTAAATAGGATATAGATTGGGAGTAATTTCCCTGAAATTATTTGAGGAAAATTATGATTATACTCTTAAGATAATAGTTAATAACATCATCTATGATAGCAAACCATAAAACTGATTAAAATGACATGAGAGATGTACATAGTTAGAACCTGTGTAAATTAGTTATTTTTAAAATATATATTTTATATAATACTAAGCAATGAGAGACTCATGTTTATTTAGAGAAACCCATATTGTGAGTGATGTTTGAGGAAATGTTTGATTAGGAGCAACAGCACATCTTTGAAAGAAATGAACAGATCTTAAAAAAGTGGAGGCAAAACAACCAGCTGCTAGTCCTGCTGTGAATTGCCCAGTAACATTCATATACTGGTTCCAACAAAGCGTGCAGTTCTACTCTGACTTTAGTGCTTTGCATTACATAAATAAGTACAATTATCAACATACAGATAATCTGAATTACCTATCAATTCATTAACATTAATTCAAAATAAGAAATGTATTGCTGATCCTATATGCATATGCATACCTAATCTTATGCTTCCTCATGATAATAAACACAATGTTACCTCAAATTGTTATGAACTTAAAAGGCACCATTTGTGCCATGTCAGCTCTCTTGGTTATATGTCACACTAACAATGAATATGAACATGTATTCTGGAATTATAGGCCAGGGTTCAAAGGCAAGTTTGCCTTTTACTAGCTTTTTTATCTTAGGCAAGTTCCTAACACTTTGGTCAACTTTTGTAACATCTCTATTTTAAAATTATTTTCGTATCTGTAAAGATTAGCCTAATTATAGAAGGTGGTTTTTAGAGCTAGTGTAAGGATCAAATAACACACTAATTGACAAATTTGATAAGAGTTCAATAAGTATTAAATTTTTTTATGGACTCCCTTAAATGACTTCATACATTCGTAAGAATCTATATCATGCAATACATAATAACTGCTTATTATTTGATAGTGTTTTGTGGTTGAAAACAGTAGTTATTGAGTGAAACTGCCTAGGTTTGAATCTTGGCTCTGCCAGTGTTTAAGTAGTTTTGAGCACATTTAGCATTACTATGGTGATTAAATAACAATCATTTATAAAATTTTTAGAACGGTGTCTTGAGCATAAAATAATACCTAATAAATATTAAAACTTAATAAAACGGCAGGGCGCAGTGGCTCACGCCTGTAATCCCAGCACTTTGGGAGGCCGAAGCTGGGGGATCACAAGGTCCGGAGATCGAGACCATCCTGGCTAACACGGTGAAACCCAGTCTCTACTAAAAATACAAAAAATTAGCTGGACTTGGTGGCAGGCGCCTGTAGTCTCAGCTACTCGGAAGGCTGAGGCAGGAGAATGGCGTGAACCCGGGAGGCAGAGCTTGCAGTGAGCCGAGATCGCGCCACTGCACTCCAGCCTGGGCGACAGAGAGAGACTATGTCTCAAAAAAACAAAACAAAACAAACAAAAAAACTTAATAAATTATTATGAAATCACAATATTAATATAATAATATGGATAATAATTATAATAACTTAGAAACAAATTCAACATTTAAACTTGAGAAGACATTTCTCTTTTAAATATCCTTCGTTTTAAGTGAGAGAGATGGAGGGGAAAAAGTCACCCTTGCCATAATGCGCAACAATTCTGTCTACTGTATCAGATCTGTTGCACACACTCTGTATTAAGACAATCGAGCATCACCCATTAAAATGTCTCAATCAATTATGGCTTATACCATATGGGCTCACTTTTAAAACAAGATAAAATAGCAAAGTGTATTGTATAAGAACAAATTAGGAGATAGGATTTTCCCTATCATTAAGTTGGTCTTATTCATTTGATTTTACATATACCTTCTTGAGTGAGAAAGATAAAAATGTAGTTGTAAGTGTGATTAAAGGAGATTTTACCCCTATTGCTGATGCAAACCCATGGAAGCAAGTGTCAAATGTGAATTTAACATTTCTCATTGACTGTGGTAGAAAAAATACATAAGTATCTATCATACTTATAGACTTTTATCCATGGTATATGTAGATATCAGAAAGAAGTATTAAGAATCTTCCTTTTAAGTAGAATAAATATATTAGGTTGTACAGTACAATAAGCCATTTCTTCTATATTATTATAATTTCTAAATGTTGAATAAACAGTACTTAAACACCTTCAAGGATTCTAAAAAAATGACTTAAACAATTATCAAATTTCCCATGTATATTTTTCTAAACAGCTATTTAAATCTCACATTAAATAATAATTGCAGGCCCAGTGTGGTGGCTCACCCCTGTAATTCTACTTTGGGAGGCTAAGTTTGGTGGATCACTTGAGGTCAAGAGTTTGAGATGAGCCTGGCCACTGTGGTGAAACCCTATCTCTACTAAAAATACAAAAATTAGCTGGGCGTGGTGGTTTGCACCTGTCATCCCAGCTACTCTGGAGGCTGGGGCACAAGAATCAATTGAACCTAGGATGTTAACCTAGCTGAGATCGTGCCACTGCACTCTAGCCTGGGCCACATAGCAAGACTCTGTCTCAAAATAAATAAATACATAATAATTGTAATAGAAGTAACAGTTACAATCATTAAAAATGGCATTTCTATAATAGAAGACTTAAGGACATTATAAAGTACTGGTTGAGATTTTCACTTTTTAATTCCCTTAAGACATTTGTTGTATTCCTCAAACTTCTCTCTGCAAATTCATTTTCATATATTCAAATTTCTGATTTTAACAAAGAAACAATGTGTGTATACTACTTAGTAATTTTAAAACTTAGATTATAGCATGCAACTGTGTATTGTTTGGATTTGCAATGCTTCAATTTTAATACTTCATTAGATTTCTTTTATTCAGATCTATAAGTATCTCAGAATAGTATACATTGCAAGTATTTAACACTTGGCATTAATCATTAAAATTTGAAAAAAACTCATTTTATCCTTAATACATTTCCAGAAAATTATGTACATGTATGTAATATGTCTTATACTTTGTTTCATGGAGTACAGCTATTTACAAACAAAATAAGTATACTTTTTCTATAAGAATGAGCTAAAGCAAATTTTATAAAATATTATCAATTTCATGTGTATATTGGTTACACAATCTGATGTTTCAAGGAAATCTGTATTTGAGAAAGATGACTTTATTTAAATTAAGGAATTGACTGTAATAATGCTGGATTTCTTGCCAATTTGTGATATTGGAATATACCTAAAAATTATGCCTTACTTTTAGAAAATTAAATGATACAAAGTACTGTGACTTTGAATGTACAGTATACTAAAATTTGTCATGATTTTTGTTTTGCTAAGAATAATTCTTGTGTTAAACTTTACACACAATTTATTTCAGGTAATATTGCTTTCTAAATTTTTTCAGTCCAGCCAAATCTCAGTCACTTATTTTGAATGAGAAAGCTACAGCACAGAACTAAGAGCAACAGTAACTAGTAACATAATTGATCATAATTTCCAAATTTGTCTACCACTTTTATTCATTTTGACCTTTTGGATAACTAGCAAGGTGAATGGTTATATCTATCCCCCCTCTCTCTCTCTGTCTCTCTCTCTCTCTTTTTTTCTCTCATATATCTATGTAGATATAGAAAAAGATAGATAAAATGAGAGTCTCTAAGAGAAAAGAGATTAATTATGTCTTATTGCTAATATATTTCCTAATAGCCTTCTGCTTTCTCAATATCTGCTTAGTCCAAACATTTAAATGTTCTGATTTACAGCACTACAGAAATTTTGTTTTCCCCTTTATATATTCATTATATATTTTTATTGTAATATATTCTATCATATATTTTCTTTAATATCATTAAGTCTTGTAGGATATTCAATTCAGTTATATTTTTTCTTGCTAGTAGAAATAGAAATAAGACCACCATCAATACACAAATATGTGTTTTATCATTCGTCTTAAATGTACTTAAGATTAGTATGAAAATAAGAACTTATGAGATATATATATACACATATAGTATGTATCTAAACAGACATGCCTTCTTTCTTGTCTTTTCATTCCAAAATAAAATTTAGATGAAAAAAATATTTTCAAAACACAATTTAAATTGTTGTGAGAAAGGCTATCATGTATGTTTAAATTAGGCAAATGAAAATTGAAAACCTAAGTATCAAATATGTTACAAAACTTTATTGAAGTTTAATTGTGTAAGAGATCCATGTCAGATGTATTTATCAACTCATTAAATATGTTTTAATTCTATGCTTATAAATTTAAGAAATAGATTTTCTTTCTCATGTTGGATCCTAGGGGAAATCACAAAGTAATAAGATAGTGTTTGAAGAAAACTTAATTTAAGAAATTAAATTATCAAATACAATAAAGTTCACACAAAGTGACATTTAACCAATACAACATAGTATTTAACATATTATGTGGTTACCATAAATTAATTCTACTCTGATTATTTTATTAATTTATCTTGTTCAGTAAAATAAAAACAACATACCACAGAGCTGCTAAAACCTTTGTCACTGATTAATAAATAATTCCGCTAGGTTGCAATTTTTACATAACCATCTACCTGTTATAAGTATTGCAGTTAGATTTTGTAGGCACATGGGTGCATCATAAGAATTTGGAAAATAAATGGTAACTTTGAAATCTGAAAAGGCATTTATTATTTTGCCCAAGGTATATTCATTTCATTTCTTTTCTGTCCTTTCTGTGTATTCCAAACATATTGTTACAGGAGAAATATTTCTACTTTTTGAAACGTATTTTAATTTAAATATTAGGTTAAACTAAAGGAGAACTCAAAATTGAACTTTTCTTCATTTTCATAAACCAGACATTTAATTTTTAATTTTGACATATGTGTCAAAAATAGCCTTAAGTACTTTAGTTCAACATATATTTATCGAATAACTACTGTGTTTCAAGCAATGTTTTAAACACTGGAGATGCAAAACTTAATGAGCCATATTCTTTACACTGTTGAGAACTAACATCTATGTAAAGAAACAAACACGTAAAGAGATAATTGGAATATGGATATGCTAAGACAATATTTTGCAAAGTAATTTAAAGTACTAGAGTGATGCACAGGTAGGAGAGTATGAATGAAATTAAAGAAGTTGGAAATAATATGAATATGAAGGATGGAAAAAATTCCCTATGACTAGAGTCAGAAGCTAAAGGAAGAATAGGCAGGTAAGATAGTGGAAGATATTCTTTTTAATGATGGAAATTTTTGAAAAGTAGATTGTGGTACTATTAACTTATATAAGCTATGTAAGAGAAATAATAGTGTAGGTGAGAACAGATATTTAAACTTTTGAAAAGTTATTTAATGAATATAACTGAAAAATACCAGAAGTGATACTCAGTTGAAATTTTACTATTGGAAATGTTCTAGGGGGATTAATTTGCCCTAAAAAAATAAATATGAACTCATCAGTGTATGAAGGAGTTTCACATGTCTTTTCCACTTACTTCTCAAAATATGCCTATAAGTTAAGCACCAACCCCTTTATTTGATAGATGAGAATGAATATTTAAAAATTAAACGGTATACCTGAAATCATACACCAGTGTGTTTCAATGAGGCTTTCCCTCCTGGTTTCTGATTCCAATCTTATATTATCCTCACCAAGACCTCTCCAGATACAGAGAGACAATGGATTATTTTATAAAGTTACTGGGATAATTAAAATATTTATTTACTAACACTTTATGATTTTATTTTATTTAAATACATTTACATCTAGAGAGGACCCCAATGTTAGCACATCTCCATGCTGTGGTTGAAGATATGCTAAATATTACTTCATGTTCTGTTGCTAATGGGTAATAGCATGATCCTAGCTACAAAGTTGAGTGAAGTATTTTCTTACCTTTGAGCAAAAAAATATTGTAAGATGTATCAACGCCCTTAGGTATAAAAGCAGGCCCATTTCCTTCAGTTTAAGCCCTAAATATAATCAAGCATTTTAAAAACAAAATAAAATCAAACCACATGAATGTATATGAGCCAGGTTTTCCCCAGAGCCTATGCACACAGCTTCAGTGTCCTTTACATCTGCTTACATCTGTGTTTCCTGTCTCTGGTGAACTGCAAAAATGTAGGAACTCGTGCACATTTAACCTTGGTAGATATGGAAATGTTGAATTGGGGTATGGAGCTACAGGGAAAAGGCAGTCACTATTTTGTCACCATGTAGTGATCTAAAATAATTACCATTGTGATATCAATAGCAGTTTCTTATATAAATGCTATGTTTGAAGCATTTTTATTTTCTCAAATATTATACCCTTATTAGCACATAAAGTTGCCTCTTTGTGTAAAATTTTACTGTTTGTTTTGTTCCTTTAATGAAGTCTCCTGGAAAATTCATTGTTGTTTTGGTAAATTTAAAGTAAGTATTAAGAACAAATTGGAACGATGATTTTAAAAAAGACTCCAAAAAGACAAACTTGATTTTCATTTCTCTAACCTTTGCAGCTCAGGTTTGGGCATTCTTTGATACGTAAATTATTTTTATAAAAAGATGAGCTTCCATTCTTCCTTTCTGCTTTCCTTCCTTCATTTTTTTTTTTTTTAACATTCTTTTGTTTTAAATTCTAAAGCCTCTGTAAGGTTAAATCTCATCAGCTTATTTGGCATATCATGCAAAATATATTATTGCTAGACACACTTTTTGTGTGTATGTCTGAGAAGCCTTCTCTCATAATTAAACTTGTTCTTTAATCTATTTATTATGGCTGTACCTAATTAGTATATAAGAACAGATATAGTGTATTAGTGCAGAGTACTGATACTGTCTTGAAACAACAGAGGGAACCATTTATGAGTACTTTGATTTTTTCATAGACAAAGAAAGAGGAGCAACTTCCAAGGACAGAATAACAAAAGTGAATCTCAGGACTAATATCTTTTGTTAATCAGTGTAGAAGTAAAAAGTCAAACAAATTTTATGATAAAATTTTAACTTGGAAACTAAATAATAAAACAGACTTGACATTGAAAGTGACCTATATTGTATTTAAACTTCTCCACTTCCTAGGACAGTGAACCTTGTGCCAAACAAGTAGACCTTAAGCACAGAATGATCTTATTTTTCACATTATAATATTTTTTACTAATATTATCATTGATTTGACATGCTCTTGGTGACAATACCTAATTTATTTTGAAACTCAAATGACATTAATGGAGAACATAAGAGTTTGATGTTTACCAAAATGGATCATAGGTTAAAACAAAGTTGAGATGTGCTCATTTGAACATACATTGGGACTTTAATTATAGAATGATTATAAAAACTTGAATGCAGTAATATCGTTCTCAGCTGGTTTACTTAGAAGGATGCATATTTTGTATGAAATTCATTAGTCAATGACCTTGAATGTACATAGCTCCAAAAAGGTAGGGGAACTCTGGGATCCTTTTCTGAAATCCCTACATACCATTGTTTTATCACATATTCATCTCTTTCCAAAGAAAAAAGTTAATTTTTCTTTTTCTTTTTAAAATATATAATACATTTTTATTTCTAAAATTAGTTAGAATTAATTAATATAATTGTGTAATTCATCTTTCAAAATTTTAGAATTTTAATTGATTTTCAGAATTTCTGGAATGGTGCTTGATTGATTTTATAAGGTTTGAATCACATTGGTGGATTGTTAAATTATAAATTATATTGGACACATTTACTTATATTTTGAAATTTGAACTATTTTTCTGGTATAAGTATTTTATTCTGAGGCATTATGCTTCAGGGTCAAAACAACGACCTGGTTTCATGTTGTTGAAATAGCAAGGCACAACACAACTCACTTTCAATGGCTATCATTTGTTTTCCATCAGCAAGCTAAGTGGCAACTGTGAGTAATGAAGAGGGGAAAGCGGGTAGAAAGTTTCTTCTCCATGCCTAGACCACCATTCATTCCCAGCTAATGCACTTATGGGTCCCAGCTGATGCATTTATGGGACATGTGTTCTATCATTTTCCCAAAGTCTGCACAAAAAGATGTAGCCACTGCACGGTTCATGCGACAGTCCCCAGGTCAGTTCAGTGCACAGAGAGAGATTCAGATGGTTGACTCTTATATCCTATTTGGAAGCCTGAGTGCTTTGGATAAACCTCGTGTTTTTGATTTACAGTTGCCTCAGCCCTATTATAATTGGTTATACCTAAAGTTGCACAGGACACTTCATTAGTTTTACAATTTAACTATTTTTATTGTTTTTTCATCAATACATTTATGGTCTGGCTAGTACTTTCCGAAATGTTTAAAACTTTAGGCAACAGAAAGTGCTTATCTCTTGGGCAAGGTAGCCACTTGCTGGTATTTGGGAGCACCAAATTTCTTACAGTGGCTTATCAATAATTTAAGCACACTATATATCAAACATACATAATTTTAGCATATATTAAATTATTTTTAAATGCATAATTTGACCTATGATTCTTTGAATTCATGTTTTTCAAAAAGTCACAATAATGCAGAAAATGTAAGTAAAAAGCATTATACTATAAGTTAAAGTAATGCTTGAGGGATGCTTATATTAAGGCTATTTTTCCAAAAGCTTACCCTTTCTGGTTTACTGATTCCAAAAGATTTTAGTTATTCAGACCTTTTCCTTGTAACATCCCAGATTTTAAATTTCCTCATTTCTGTTACTTTGCTGTATTGATGAAACTTCAATTCTCAGAAAATAAATGAATGAATCAATCCTTTCATGTGGGTTTTTTTCTCTCTTACTTTTTTAATGTGGTATATTTATTTTATTTATATAAATCCATAATAGTATGCTTTATATATGTGTTTGGAATAAACATTGAAGTTAATTTTAGCCTGAGCTTTCCATATTTTACAATGAGGATTGATATACTACAGATTAAAAATGATTTCTTTAGCTGTTTTGAACGTTCTTAAATATCTGTGGCTAAAATAGTTTCATTTATTCTAACTCATCAATTGTTCATTTGTCAGATGAACTTTTTCTGCTTGGATTTTTTAATAAACAGTTAATTATTTGATTTTTATGTGTAGGAAGTATATCCTATATGTGCTAAAGTAAATAATTTGTCTCTGTTTTTATCTTTCATCATTTAATCATTTGTAGGTAATTTAATTAGTCTTTTCAATATTGTAACCTTTAATATGAACTAAAATCAACCACAGAGATTATAAAATATGAATAAATATGAGTTTGAGTCATTGATATTAAACTTACTAACAAAAATATTCTGAAACAAAGATTATGAATAAAAGAAGTAACAATGTCTGCTGTTTATTGAGATATCAGTGAGGATAATATTTACTTTTTTCATTTATCAGCTAAGCTATTGTGTAAGAAATCTCTGACAATTCAGACATTTCAAAAAATTAAGGGGGAATAAAACAGGACAATGTCTAATATTTCACTGATACATTCAATGAAGGATACAATATTAAGCTGCATATTTAATATATTTGTGATATATTTATCACCAGTCTGTCAAAGACTCTTCAGTTTATTTAGTTTAAAATGGTACCTCATACATTTGACATGGGAAAATAAAAGCCCTCTCTGAAAAAGAAATTTAACAGCAATAAATAGCAGATGGCCTGCAACCAAAGCAAAAATAGACAAATGGGATCACATCAAGCTAAAAATATATGCACAGCAAAGGAAACAATCAGTAGAGTGAACAGATAACACACACACAGAATGGGAGCTAGAAAACATACAAGAATTAAGAAGTGTGGCAAATAGCTGGAGGATACAAAGACAACGTAAAAAATGTTATATTTTTATCTACAAACAACTGTCACTTTCTAATTCTAAAAAGTAGAAAGTAAAATTTATTTTTAAACAATATATTGAATGTATTCCCAGCAATTTGGGAAGCCGAAGCAGGCAGATCATTTGAAGTCAGGAGTTCGAGATCAACTTGGGCAACATGGTAAAACCCCATCTCTACTAAAAATATAACAATTAGCTGGACATAGTGGTTCACACCTGTAATCCCAGCTACTTGAGAGGTGAGGCAGGAGAATTGCTTGAACCTGGGAGACGGACGTTGCCGTGAGCCAAGATTTTGCCACTGCGCTCCAGCTGAGTGACAGAGTGAGACTCCATCTCAAAAAAAAAAAAGAAAAAGAAAAAGAAAAAAATAAACAATATACTTTTAAAAGCAATTTAAATTATTAAGTACCAGGTGATAAATCTAACAAAAGCATGTAAGACATGAAGAAGAAAGTTATAACATAGATGGATTTTTATTAGAAAAGTGTTGAGTATGTTTACAGATTGAAATACTTCATAGTATAAAGATGTAGTTTCTTCCCCAAATGATTCCATGTGTTCAAACAAATTTTAAAATAATAATAATATTTTTTAAAATGGAACATAAGCTGGTTATAAGTATATTTGGAAATTGGAAAGACTAAGATTAGGCACAATACTCTTGAAGAAAACTTTTAAAGGATTTTCTCCACCACATGTCAGGACCTATGAAGCTTTAGTGTTTAGGACTCCTAGGTACTGCCAGAGTAGAGAAAGAAACTGAAGGAATCAAATAAAGAACTCAGAAACAAGACTACATACTTCTAGGGACAATATGTAAATGAGGTTTGCAAATTAACAAGGAAAGAACAGACATTCTCATGCACAATACTAGGATATTTGGGTAGTAAATAAACAAGAAAGTTGGGATCTTTCTTTCTACAATATACCGTATTTAATTCCAAAGAGAATAAATGCTGAGATTTAAAAGACAACCTATCAAGCTTTAGAGAATAGGAATGATTACTATCTTCATAAACTTAGAGTAAAAATATGTATATATTAAAACAAAATATAAAAATTATTAAGAAAATGATTGCTTTTGACTTTATAAAAATTGAGAATTTTTGCTTATCAAAATTATTAAACACAATTAGAAAAAATATTTTCCACTCTTAAAATCAACAAATGAAAAAAAATTCAGTGTATATAAACTAACTCTACAAATTAATAAGAAAGAAAACAAACTAATCAAAAGAAATTATCAGCAAAATATTGGCATTTTAAAAGAGAAAATACATAGGCACAATTTTAAATGGTATCTAATATCAAACTTAATACAGATTATTAATGACAAAAATGAAAATTGGTAACACCAGTGTTTGTGATAATATGGAACAGAAACAAACTTTATACACTTTTAAGAGAAGAAATGCTGTAACTGATGTGGTGTGATGGTTAATACTGAGTGTCAACTTGATTGGATTGAACGATGCAAAGTATCGATCCTGGGTGTGTCCGTGAGGGTGTTGCCAAACGAGATTAACATTTGAGTCAGTTAATTTGTAGGGAAAGGCAGACCCACCCTAAATCTTGGTGGGCACCATCTAATCAGTTGCCAGCAAGGCTAGAATATAAAGCAGGCAGAAAAACATGAAAGGATTAAACTGACCTAGCCTCCCAGCCTACCTCTTTCTCCTGTACTGGGTGCTTCCTGCCTTGAACATTGGACTCCAAGTTTTTCAGTTCTGGGACTCGGACTGGCTCTACTTGCACCTCAGCTTGCAGACAGCCTATTGTGGGACCTTGTGATTGTATGAGTTAATACTTAATAAACTCCCCTGTTTACTCCTGATTCACTGCTTATAAAAGGCAAGGAGTTTAGTGCATCTATACATAATACCTTGACAATATGTGAAGAACCAAGGAACATAATGAAGCTGGTTAGTTGCTCCTAAGTTCAGTGGACAAAGTGATGAAAGAAATAATAAACTCAGAGATTCTAACTCCCAGCTTCGAAAGCAGACACGGAGCCTCAGATCTGCTAAGATTGCCCTGAGTGAGAGTCTTATCGCTTGTAGAGAAAGAGCTGAAATTGTGGAAAAACAGACACAAGCTCTTATCATATGAGTGGCTGACTTACAATGAAAGGTGCATCCACAGCCATGTCAGGTGTCTACTGTTAAAGTGAGGATATTGATTGGAAAAGAATGGGACCCTGCAATTTGGAATAGGGATGTGTGGGAGGACCCTGATGAAGCCGGGGACACTGAGTTTGAAAACTCTGATGAACATTTTTCACCAGAAGAAACAGCTTCCCCATCCCCAGTAATGGGAACATTCCCTCCCTGACCCATGCTGCCATCAGCCTTTCTACCTTTGTCTGAAGAGATAAACCCTGCACTAAGGCAACAGTAACACCCTCACCTGAGGCAGTTGCCAGGCAAGATAATGTTAATTCTCCTCAGGAGCCACCCCCAAAACCCCTGTTTGCTTCTAGACCTATAACTAGATTAAAATCCTGGCGGGCTCCTAGAGGTGAGGTTGAGAGTATGACCCAAGAGAAGATGTGCAACACTCAAAAATAACTGCTTGAGTTTTCTAATTTATATAAGCAGAAATCTGGAGAATAGGCATGGGAATGAATATTAAGGGTGTGGGATAATTGTGGAAGGAACATAAAGTTGGGTTAGGAATTTATTGATTTGGGTGCACTAGGTAGAGACTCTGCATTTAATCTTGCAGCTCAGGGATTTAAAAAAGATTCTGACAGTTTATTTGCTTGGTTAGCTGAAATAAGGATGAAAAGACAGCCCACTGTGAATGAGTTGGAAATGCCTGATCTCCCTTGGTTTAATGTAGAGGAAGGGATCTAAGGGCTTAGGGAAATTGGGATGCTGGAGTGAATTAGTCACTTAAGACCTACTAGTCCCAGCTGAAAGGGTCCAGAGGATATACCCTTGATCAATGCCTTGCAAAATAGATTTATAAGGGTAGCATCTGCATTTTTGAAGGACCCTGTAATTGCTCTTTTCTGTATGTCAGATCTAACAGTGGAAACCACAGTCACTCAACTACAAAATTTAAATACAATGGGAATAATTGGATCCTGAGGTGGCAGGGGCCAAGTGGCATCACTCAACCATCAAAAGCAAGGTGGCCGTAGCTACAGTAATAGACAGCAGAGGCAAATGGCAATCAGAATAGTCTGAGTCGTATAGCACTCTGGCATTACCTAATTAATCAAAGTGTTTCTAGAAGTGAAATTGATAGGAAGCCTACTGCATTCCTATTTAATTTATATAAGCAGAAAACTTCTAGGTCAAATGGACAAAAGACTAATTTGAATTATTAAAAAAAAACATGGCCAGTCAATAAATTTCCAGACTTGAGCCATTTTACAAACCCAGAACCCCTTAAGTGAAGGGGAAGCCGGCTCACCTTGAAGAAGGACCCCACTACTCTACTGATAATTTATGCAGTGAATCTTTCACCTATCCTTCCCCAAGGAAACCTCCAGCCTTTTATCAGAGTAACTGTGCACTGGGGAAAGGGAAATGATCAGACGTTTCAGGGACTACTGGACACTGGATCTGAGCTGACATTGATTCCAGGGGACACAAAACGTCATTGTGGTCCTCCAGTTGAAGTAGGGGCTTATGGAGGTCAGGTAATTAATGGAATTTTAGCTCAGGTCTGACTTACAGCGGGTCCAGTGGGTCGCTGTACTCATTCTATGGTCATTTCCCCAGGGCCAAAATGCATAATTGGCAGAGACATACTTAGCAGCTAGCAGAACCCCCACATTGGCTCCCTAACTGGTAGGGTAAGGGCTATTATTGGGGGAAAGGTCAAATAGAAGCCATTACATCTGCCTCTACATAGAAAATCAAAAGTAAATCAAAAACAATACCACATCCCTGGAGGGATTGCAGAGATTAGTGCCACCACCAAGGTCTTGAAAGATGAAGGGGTGGTGATTCCCACCATATCCCCATTCAACTACCCCATTTGGCTTGTGCTGAAGACAGATGGATCTTGGAGAATAACAGCAGATTATTGTAAGCTTAACCAAGTGGTGACTCCAATTGTATCTGCTGTACCAGATAGTTTTATTGTTTGAGCAAATCAACAAATCTCCTGGTATCTGGTATTGACTAGGCAAATGCCTTTTTCTCCATTTCTGTCCACAAGGCCCACCAGAAGTAATTTGTGTTCAGCTGGAAAGGTCAGAAGTATACCGTTACTGTCCTACCTCAGGGGTACATCAACTCTCTGACTTTGTGTCATAAGCTTAGTAAGAGAGAGCTTGATCACTTTTCACTTCCCCAAGATTATCACACCAAGGTAATTGACCAATGTAATGGTCCAATACATTGATGACATTATGCTGACTGGATGCAGTGAGCAAGAACTAGGAAATACATTGGACTTATTGGTGTGATATATGCATGCCACAGGATGGGAAAGAAATCAGACTAAAATTCAGGGAACTTCTACCTCAGTAAAATTTCCAATGGTCCAGTGGTGCGGGATCTGTCAAGATATTTATTCTAAGGTAAAGGATAAGTTGCTGCATTTGGCCCCTACTACAACCAAGAAAGAGGCACAATGCCTACTGGGCTTATTTAGATTTTGGAAGCAACACATTCCTCATTTGGGCGTGTTACTCCAGCCCATTTATCAAGTGACCCAAAAGGCTGCCAGTTTTGAGTGGGGTCCAGAACAGGAGAAGGTTCTGTAACAGACTTAGGCTGCTGTGCAAGCTGCTTTGCCATTTGGGCCATATGATACAGCAGATCCAATGGTGCTTGAGGTGTCAATGGCAGATAGGGATGCTGTTTGGAGCCTTTGGCAGGCGCCTACAGGTAAATTAGAGCAAAGGCCTCCAGGATTTTGTAGCAAAGCCCTGCCATCTCCTGCAGATAAGTACTCTCCTTTTGAAAGACAGCTCTTGGCATGTTACTAGGCTTTGGTGTAAACTGAACGTTTGACTATGGGTCAACAAGTCACCATGTAACCTAACTGCCTATCATGAACTGGGTGCTTTCTGACCTATCCAGCCATAAAGTGGGTTGTGCACAGCGGCATTCTATCATCAAATGGAAGTGATGTATACATGATCAGCCTTGAGCAGGTCCTGAAGGTACAGGTAAGTTACATGAGGAAGTGGTCAAATGCCCATGGTCTCTATTCCTGCCATCCTCCTTCTCTCCCCCAGCCAGCATTCATGGCTTTATGGAGAGTTCCCTATTAACAGATGACAGAGGAAGAGAAGACTTGGGCCTGGTTCACATACGGTTCTGCACGTTATGTAGGTACCACCCAAAAGTGGACAGCTGCAGCACTGCAGCCCCTTTCTAGGACATGCCTGAAGGACAGCGCTGAAGGGACATCTTCCCCATAGGAAGAACTTCAGGTTGTATACTTTTCATGGAAGGAGAAACGGAGAGATGTGCGATTATATACTGATTCATGGGCTGTAGCCAATGGTTTAGCTGGATGGTCAAGGACTTGGAAAATGCAGGATTGGAAAATTGGTGACAAAGAAATTTGGGGAAAAGATAAGTGGATGGACCTTTCTGAGTGGTCAAAAACTGTGAAGATATTTGTATTCCATGTAAATGCTCATCAATGGGTGACCTCAGCAGAGGAGTTTACTAATCAAGTGGATAGGATGACCTGTTCTGTGGACACCACTCAGCCTCTTTCCCAAGCCACCCCTGTCATCGCCCGATGGGCCCATGAACAAAGTGGCCATGGTGGCAGTGATGGAGGTTTTGCATGAACTCAGCAACATGGACTTGCACTTACCAAGGCTGACCTGGCTATGGCCACTGCTGAGTGCCCAATTTGACAGCAGCAGAGACCAACACTGAGCCCTCGATGTGGCACCATTCCTCAGGGTGGATAGCCAGCTAGCAGGTCGATTATATTGGATCTCTTCCATCATGGAAAGGACAGAGATTTGTCCTCACTGGAATAGACACTTTCTCTGTATATGGGTTTGCCTATCCTGAATGCAATGCTTCTGCCAATACTGCCATTCATGGACTCACAGAATGCCTTATCCACCATTGCGGTACTCCACACAGCATTGCCTCTAACCAAGGCACTCACTTTACAGCTAAAAAATTGTGGCAGTGGGCTTATGCTCATGGAATTCACTGGTCTTACCATGTTCCCCATCATCCTAAAGCAGCTGGAATGATAGAATGGTGCAATGGCCTTTTGAAGTCACAATTACAATGGCAACTAGGTGACGATACTTTGCAGGCCTGGGGCAAAGTTCTCCAGAAGGCCATGTATGCTCTGAATCACCGTCCCATACATGGTACTGTTTCTCCCATAGCCAGGATTCACGGGTCCAGGAATGAAGGGGTGGAAGGGCACCACTCATAATCACCCCTAGTGATACAATAACAAAATTTTTGCCCCCTGTTACCACGACGTTATGTTCTGCTGGCCTAGAGGTCTTAGTTCCAGAGGGAGAAACGCTGCCACCAGGAGACACAATAATGATTCCATTAGACTGGTGTTAAGATTGCCACCTGGACACTTTGTGCTTCTCCTATTTTTAGTCAATAGGCTAAGGAGAGAGTTATAGTGTGGACAAGGCTGATTGACCCAGACTATCAAGATGAAATCAGTCTATTACTCCACAATGGAGGTAAGGAAGAGTATGGATATAGGAGATCCATTAGGTCATCTCTTAGTATTAACAAGCCCTGTGATTAAGTTCAAGGGGAAACTGCAACAGCCTAATCCAGGCCGGACTACAAATGGCCCAGACCCTTCAGTAATGAAGATTTGGATCACTCCACCAGGGAAAAAACCACGACCTGCTGAGGTGCTTGCTGAAGGCAAAGGGAATACAGAATATGTAGAAGGTAGTCATCCTTACCATCTATGGCAATGTGACTAGCTGCAGAAATAAGTACAGTAATTGTCATGAGTATTTCCTCTTTCTTTTGTTAAAAACATGTTTGTGCATGTATACACTTGCACTAAGAAAATATCTTCATTTTATTTCCTTTTTCCTTTATCATGTGACATAAGATTTATTTACTTCACATCAGCATTTACATATTGTTAACTTTATGTAATAGTATTTGGGTTGGGGATTAATGTGTTTCCGGTTGTACAAAGGATAGTTGTATTATGTTAGATGTAACTACTACCTTATTATTGTCTTTATTTGAAGATTATGTATGATCTCAGGAGATGTGTATGGGTTCAAGTTGACAAAGGATGGACTTGTGATGGTTAATACTGAGTGTCAGCTTGATTGAGGGTTTCTCCCCTTCGTAGACCATATATGATAACTTTCTTATATTGCTATGGCATTTTTACACTGTCATGGCCCTGGTGGGAGTGTCTTTTAGCATGCTAATAAATTACAATTAGCATATAATGAGCAGTGAGGACAACCAGGGGTCACTCTCATTGCCATCTTGGTTTTGGGGTTTTATCCAGCTTCTTTACTGCAACCTGTTTTATCAGCAAGGTCCTTATGACGTGTACCTTGTGCCAACCTCCATGCTGTTCCTGTGACTTAGAATGCCTAACCTCCTGGGAATGCAGCCCAGGAGGTCTCAGCCTCATTTTACCCAGCTCCTATTCATGATGGAGTTGCTCTGGTTCAAACACCTCTGACAATTCCTGCACCCCCAATATATTGTAGAACTATTTATAATACCTAAGATATGGTAACAACCTAAATGTCCATCAAACGATGAAACATTTCTTTTAAAAAGGTGGTATATATACAAACTGGAATACAATTCAAACATAAAAAAGAATAAAATCCTCTCATTCACAGAAACATGGATCAGACTGGAGGACTTATATTAAGCAAAATAGGTCAGGCACAGAAAGACAAATATGCATGTTCTCATTCATACTTGAGAGCAAAACAAAAAACAAAACAAAACAAAAAACCCACTTGTCTTTATTGGAGGTTTTTTGCATATAAATCAATTTTAATTAACCTCAAGTGACTGCTGACTTGTAGATAAAAATAAAAGAGAAGCCCTCTACATGGTCTTGGTTTTATAAATAGGATAATAATTTTTTAAATAACTGTTAATTTAGTAGCTATCAAAATCATTATTCTGCCAAAAAAAAAAGCCTGATGTAATGAATGAAAACTTTTGTAGAACAAGTCTTTCTCTAATGAATAATTTTTTTTTTTTTTTTGAGATGGAATCTCACTCTGTCGGCCAGTCTGGAGTGCAGTAGCATGATCTCAGCTCACTGCAACCTCTGCCTCCTGGGTTCAAGCGATTCTTCTGCCTCCTGAGTAGCTGGGAATACAGGTGTGTGCCACCACACCTGGCTAATTTTTGTATGTTTAGCAGAGACATAGTTTCACCATATGGGCCAGGCTGGTCTCAAACTCCTGACCTCGTGATCTGCCCACCTCAGCCTCCCAAAGTGCTGGGATTACAGGCATGAACCACCACACCTGGCCTTCTAATGAATATTTTTATACAAGAGATCTTAAACACTCTGCAAGGCTTTTTCCTTCCCTCCCTCCCTCCCTTCCTTCCTTTCTTCCTTCCTCCCTCCCTCCTTCCTTTCTCAACTCAGAAGTGTTATCATATAAATAAAATAAATATAAGCAGTGTAATAGTATTATCTTCCACATCTCAAGGTTTAAGCCATTCTTGTAAAAATTAATGATAGAATAAGGCTTATTGTAAGAATCCAAATGTACTTATACAAGTGCTTATTTTCATACCACATCTTAATACATGTGTAGTGTCAAAAATGTTCTTCAGTCACAATCATAATTTTTATTGTAGACAAGAAGGTAATAGATTCTTCCATAGTGTCATATCAATGGCTTTTGAAAACCTAATAAACAGAGCTGGTTTCATCTCCGTGCCCTCTACTATGTTGAAGTAGAAAGATAATATGATTTACTGAAGGTATGCTAGGATGTCTTTGACAATTTTAACAACATTAGATTGTATCAACCAACTTTGATTTTGAGCTTTTTATGTATAAATCTTTTTGGCATGAACTATTCTTTATTTCATAAATATGAGATAAGTTTTAAACATGTACTGACTAAAATGTTACCCGCTCCTTCTTCAAACAAAATTATTGCTGAAAGTTTTTGTTATTCTCATTAGACTTTTTGCTTAATGGCCAAAGCAACCTTACCATTCCCCTCAGCTTGAACAAACTTTACGTTGTTTTTTTTTTTTTTTTTTTTCATGCATCTAGGCTTCTAACCTCTCTTTGCTTACAGTTTTTACTTTAGAAAGCTTGTAATTGTAAATTTTTCCTGTGCCCTTTGAGATATATGTAAATCTTTCTGAAAGCCTCTTGCCAGTTTTATAGCCAAGAATGTCTTTATCAAGGACCGTGGAGCCATTCTTTTGAAATGCAATCTTCATAGAAAATAGTATTCCTATATCTTTGTTTCTGTGGGAGGGAAGAAACCCTAAGTACAGTGAGTGCCTTGCTCCGTGTTCTAAAACCACCTCGTGTTATGAAGATAAGCAAAATATCTGCACATCTGACGTAACAGTCACTTCTTGAATTGACTTTTGTAGAGGAGAATTTCTTCCTGAAGATGTGTCTATGGTAATGACTGGGAAAGGTGCTTTAGCTTTGATTCTGGATGCATGCAGCAGTATAGTCTGTGATTTTTGGCTGTGAACAGCATAGTGGTATCAGTAATCTCTGCAGTGGTTGGCTACATTTTTTAGTGGAAGCTATGGTGAAAATTGTCAGGCCTCTGAGCCCAAGCCAAGCCATCGCATCCCCTGTGACTTGCACGTATATGCCCAGATGGCCTGAAGTAACTGAAGAATCACAAAAGAAGTGAATATGCCCTGCCCCACCTTAACTGATGACATTCCACCACAAAAGAAGTGTAAATGGCCGGTCCTTGCCTTAAGTGATGATATTACCTTGTGAAAGTCCTTTTCCTGGCTCATCCTGGCTCAAAAAGCACCCCCACTGAGCACCTTGCGACCCCCCACTCCTGCCTGCCAGAAAACAACCCCCCTTTGACTGTAATTTTCCTTTACCTACCCAAATCCTATAAAATGGCCCCACCCCTATCTCCCTTTGCTGACTCTCTTTTCGGACTCAGCCCACCTGCACCCAGGTGATTAAAAGCTTTATTGCTCACACAAAGCCTGTTTGGTGGTCTCTTCACATGGACGTGCATGAAATTTGGTGCCGTGACTCAGATCGGGGGACCTCCCTTGGGAGATCAATCCCCTGTCCTCCTGTTGTTTGCTCCATGAGAAAGATCCACCTACGACCTCAGGTCCTCAGACTGACCAGCCCAAGGAACATCTCACCAATTTTAAATCAGGTAAGCGGCCTCTTCTTACTCTCTTCTCCAACCTCTCTCACTGTCCCTCAACCATTTTCTCCTTTCCACTCTTCAATCTCTCCCTTCTCTTAATTTCAATTCCCTTCATTTTCTGGGAGAGACAAAGGAGACACGTTTTATCCGTGGACCCAAAACTCCAGCACCGGTCACGGACTAGGAAGGCAGACTTCCCTTGGTGTTTAATCATTGCAAGGACACCTCTCTGATTATTCATCCACATTTCAAAGGTGTCAGACCACGCAGGGATGCCTGCCGTGGTCCTTCACCCTTAGCGACAAGTCCCGCTTTTCTGGGAAAGGGGCAAGTACCCCAACCCCTTCTCTCCTTGTCTCTACCCCTTCTCTGCTTTTCTGGGGGAGGGGCAAGTACCCCTCAACCCCTTCTCCTTCAACCTTAGTGGCAAGTCCCGCTTTTCTGGGGGAGGGGCAAGTACCCCTCAACCCCTTCTCCTTCACTCTTAGTGGCAAGTCCCACTTTTCTAGAGGAGGGGGCAAGTACCCCAACCTCATATCTCTGTGCTCCAATCCCTTATTTCCATGCCGCGACCCCTTATTTCCGTGCCCCGACCCCTTATTTCCATGCCCCGACCCCTTATTTCCATGCCCCATCCCTTATTTCTATGCCTCAACCTCTTATCTCTGTGCCCCAACCCCTTTTCCCACTTTTCTGGAAGGTAAGAACCCCCAAACCCCTTCCCTCCATTTCTCTACTCTCTCTTTTCTCTAGGCTTGCTTCCTTCACTATAGGCAACTTTCCACCCTCCATTCCTCCTTCTACTCCCTTGGCCTGTGTTCTCAAAAACTTAAAACCTCTTCAACTCACATCTGACCTAAAACCTAAATGCCTTATTTTCTTCTGCAATGCCGCTTGACCCCAGTACAAACTTGACAGTAGTTCCAAATAGCCAGAAAATGGCACTTTGAATTTTTCCATCCTGCAAGATCTAAATAATTCTTGTCATAAAATAGGTAAACGGTCTGAGGTGCCTGACGTCCAGGCATTCTTTTACACATTAGTCACTTCCTAGTCTCTGTGCCCAGTGCAACTCGTCCCAAATCTTCCTTCTTTCCCTCCCACCTGTCCCCTCAGTACCAACCCCAAGCATTGCTGAGTCTTTCTAATCTTCCTTTTCTGCAGACCCATCTGACCTCTCCCTTCCTCCCCAGGCTGCTCCTTGCCAGGCTGAGCTAGGTCCCAATTCTTCCTCAGCCTCTGCTCCTCCATGCTATAATCTTTTTATCACCTCCCCTCCTCACACTGGGTCCTGCTTACAGTTTCGTTACGTGACTAGCCCTCCCCATCCTGCCCAGCAATTTACTCTTAAAAAAGTGGCTGGAGCTAAAGGCATAGTCAAGGTTAATGCTCCTTTTTCTTTATCCCAAATCAGATAGGGTTTAGGCTCTTTTTCATCAAATATAAAAACCCAGCCCAGTTCATGACTTGTTTGGCAACAACCCTGAGACACTTTACAGCCCTAGACCCTAAAACGTCAAAAGGCCGTCTTATTCTCAAAATACATTTTATTACCCAATCTGCTCCCGACATTAAATAAAACTCCAAAAATTAAATTCCGGCCCTCAAACCCCACAACAGGATTTAATTAACCTCGCCTTCAAGGTGTATAATAATAGAAAATAGTTGCAATTCCTTGCCTCCACTGTGAGACAAACCCCAGCCACATCTCCAGCACACAAGAACTTCCAAACGCCTGAACCGCAGCGGCCACGCGTTCCTCCAGAACCTCCTCCCACAGGAGCTTGCTACATGTGCCGGGAATCTGGCCACTGGGCCAAGGAATGCCTGCAGCCCAGGATTCCTCCTAAGCCGCGTCCCATCTGTGTGGGACCCCACTGAAAATCGGACTGTTCAACTCACCTGGCAGCCACTCCCAGAGCCCCTGGAACTCTGGCCCAAGCCTCTCTGACTGACTCCTTCCCAGATCTTCTCGGCTTAGCGGCTGAAGACTGACACTGCCGGATCACCTCGGAAGCCCCCTAGAACGTCACTGACGCCGAGCTTCAGGTAACTCTCACAGTGGAAGGTAAGCCCGTCCCCTTCTTAATCAATACGGAGGCTACCCACTCCACATTACCCTCTTTTCAAGGGCCTGTTTCCCTTGCCTCCATAACTGTTGTGGGTATTGATGGCCAAGCTTCTAAACCTCTTAAAACTCCCCAACTCTGGTGCCAACTTAGACAATACTCTTTTAAGCACTCCTTTGTAGTTATCCCCACCTGCCCAGTTCCCTGATTAGGCTGAGACACTTTAACTAAATTATCTGCTTCCCTGACTATTCCTGGACTACAGCTGTATCTCATTGCCGCCCTTCTTCCCAATCCAAAGCCTCCTTTGCGTCCTCCTCTTGTATTCCCCCACCTTAACCCACAAGTATAAGATACCTCTACTCCCTCCTTGGGGACTGATCATGCACCCCTTACCATCTCATTAAAACCTAATCACCCTTACCCCACTCAACGCCAATATCCCATCCCGCAGCATGCTTTAAAAAGATTAAAGCCTGTTATCACTCGCCTGCTACAGCATAGTCTTTTAAAGCCTATAAACTCTCCTTACAATTCCCCCATTTTACCTGTCCTAAAACCAGACAAGCCTTACAAGTTAGTTCAGGACCTGCACATTATCAATCAAATTGTTTTGCCTATCCACCCTGTGGTGCCCAACCCGTACACTCTTTTGTCCTGAATACCTTCCTCCACAACTCACTATTCCCTGCTTGATCTTAAAGACGCTTTTTTCACTATTCCCCTGCACCCCTCGTCCCAGCCTCTCTTTGCTTTCATTTGGACTGACCTTGACACCATCAAGCTCAGCAAACTACCTAGGCTGTACTGCCGCAAAGCTTCACAGACAGCCCCCATTACTTCAATCAAGCCCAAATTTCTTCCTCATCTGTTACCTATCTCGGCATAATTCTCATAAAAACACACGTGCTCTCCCTGCCAATCGTGTCTGACTGATCTCTCAAACCCCAGCACCTCCTACAAAACAACAACTCCTTTCCTTCCTAGGCATGGTTAGCGCAGTCAGAATTCTTACACAAGAGCCAGGACCACACCCTGTAGCCTTTCTGTCCAAACAACTTGACCTTACTGTTTTAGCCTAGCCCTCATGTCTGCATGCAGTGGCTGCCGCTGCTTTAATACTTTTAGAGGCCCTCAAAATCACAAACTATGCTCAACTCACTCTCTACAGTTCTCATAACTTCCAAAATCTATTTTCTTCCTCATACCTGACGCATATACTTTCTGCTTCCCGGCTCCTTCAGCTGTACACTCTTTGTTGAGTCTCCCACAATTACTGTTGTTCCTGGCCCAGACTTCAATCCGGCCTCCCACATTATTCCTGATACCACACCTGACCCCCATGACTGTATCTCTCTGATCCACCTGACATTCACCCCATTTCCCCAAATTTCCTTCTTTCCTGTTCCTCACCCTGATCACGCTTGATTTATTGATGGCGGTTCCACCAGGCCTAATCGCCACACACCAGCAAAGGCAGTTTATACTATAGTACAAGCCACTAGCCTGCCTCTTAGAACATCTCATTTCCTTTCCATCATGGGAATCTATCCTCAAGGAAATAACTTCTCAGTGTTCCATCTGCTATTCTACTACTCCTCAGGGATTATTCAGGCCTCCTCCCTTCCCTACACATCAAGCTCAAGGATTTGCCCCACCCAGGACTGGCAAATTAGCTTTACTCAACATGCCCTGAGACCGATAACTAAAAAAACCTCTTAGTCTAGGTAGATACTTTCACTGGATAGGTAGAGGCCTTTCCTACAGGTCTGAGAAGGCCCCCGCAGTCATTTCTTCCATTCTGTCAGACATAATTCCTCAGTTTAGCCTTCCCACCTCAATACAGTCTGATAACAGACGAGCCTTTATTAGTCAAATCAGCCAAGCAGTTTTTCAGGCTCTTAGTATTCAGTGAAACCTTTATATCCCTTATGGTCCTCCGTCTTCAAGAAAAGTAGAATGGACTAAAGGTCTTTTAAAAACACACCTCACCAAGCTCAGCCACCAACTTAAAAAGGACTGGACAATACTTTTACCACTTTCCCTTCTCAGAATTCAGGCCTGTCCTCGGAATGCTACAGGGTACAGCCCATTTAAGCTCCTGTATAGATGCTCCTTTTTATTAGGCCCCAGTCTCATTCCAGACACCAGACCAACTTAGACTGTGCCCCAAAAAAACTTGTCATCCCTACTATCTTCTGTCTAGTCATACTCCTATTCACCATTCTCAACGACTCATACATGCCTTGCTCTGGTTTACACTGCCGGTTTACACTGTTTTTCCAAGCCATCACAGCTGATATCTCCTGGTGCTATCCCCAAACTGTCACTTTTAACTCTTGAAGTAAATAAATAATCTTTGCTGGCAGGACTATGCCGAATCTCCTTAAGCACTCTCTAATCAGATATCCTGAGTCGTCCCAATTCTCAGACCTTTTATACCTGTTTTTCTCCTTCTGTTATTCCATTTAGTTTCTCAATTCATCCAAAACCGTATCTAGGCCATCACCAATCACTCTATATGACAAATGTTTCTTCTAACATCCCCACAATATCACCCCTTACCACAAGACCTCCCTTCAGCTTAATCTCTCCCACTCTAGGTTCCCACGCCGCCCCTAATCCCGCTTGAAGCAGCCCTGAGAAACATCGTCCATTCTCTCTCCATATCACCCCCCAAAAATTTTCGCTGCCCCAACACTTCAACACTTTTTTGTTTTATTTTTCTTATTAATATAAGAAGGCAGGAATGTCAGGCCTCTGAGCCCGAGCCAAGCCATCACGTCCCCTGTGACTTGCACATATACGCCCAGGTGGCCTAAAGTAACTGAAGAATCACAAAAGAAGTGAAAATGCCCTGCCCCACCTTAACTGATGACATTCCACCACAAAAGAAGTGTAAATGGCTGGTCCTTGCCTTAAGTGATGACATTACCTTGTGAAAGTCCTTTTCCTGGCTCATCCTGGTTCAAAAAGCACCCCCACTGAGCACCTTGCAACCCCCACTCCTGCCTGCCAGAGAACAACCCCCCTTTGACTGTAATTTTCCTTTACCTACCCAAATCCTATAAAACGGCCCCACCCCTATCTCCCTTTGCTGACTCTCTTTTCGGACTCAGCCCACCTGCACCCAGGTGATTAAAAGCTTTATTGCTCACACAAAGCCTGTTTGGTGGTCTCTTCACAGGGACACGCATGAAAAAAATGTGCTGGGAACAGGAGATACCAGGTAGTTCTGCCCTCAGGGCCCACTCATGGCAGGTAGTGGTAAGCCAAGCATTCTGGACCTTGGGCCACCAGGTGGCATATGCAAGCACAGTTTTAGTGAGTGCAGGTGGGCAAATTCTTGAGACTCCAGGCAGTCTTCCTGTATGCTGGCAGTGGGAGTGGTAAGCCAGATCCGTGGGTGAGTCCTTAGGCCCTTAAGCCGAATGTATGGCCTGGATTATGGTAGTAGTGATGGCAGGATAATTTTGGGGCTCTCATGTGGCACTCACTAATGTTAGCTGTTGGTATGATGGGCTGAGCAAGCTGGTCCCCAGGTTCCTTGGTTGTGCATGTGCATGGATGTAGTTGATGGTATTGATGACAGGCTATATGGGCTCACCTTCAGGATTCCAGAAGTAGGGTACAGATGCTAGAGGTGGTAGAAGGGGTTGGGTAATCCCCAGGTCCCTGGGAGGGGTGCTCATGCTTTGGGTGGGGGAAGCAATGGTGACAGGTCTGGTGGGCCTGATCTCAGGGCATCAGGGTGTGCAGAGCTCCAGGAGGTAGTAGGCAGGGCAGGCAGTCTGTGGTGTTGGTTGTGGAGAGCCTGACCTCTGGGCTGGTGCTAGAGTGTGGTGATCCTGCTGTTGAGTATGGGTGGGGTTGCTATCAGTGGTCCCCTGCAGGGAGCTCTCAGGTTCTGAGGGGTGTACACTTTCAACTCTGGCAGTAGCAGTGTCCACAGTGGTGTGTGTGAAGAGCCTGCACTCATGACATGCACTAGAGCACAGAGGCCATGCTTTTGAAGGGGGCAGGGTTGCTATTCAGAGCCCCAAACAGGCACTTCTCAGTTTCTGGGTAGTGTTTGCTTTGTCTCCTGGCTGCAGTCAGTGACTGCTATCATGTTCAAAGGGGTCAGATGGATCCTGCCTTTCTGGGTGTGAACTCAAGCACAGAGGCTGTGTTGTTGGTGGGAATGGGGTTACTATTTGCATCCTCAGACAGGCAGCTGTCAGGCTCACTCACTTTGGCTCCCCGTGGCAGCAGCACTATTGTGATATGCAGAAAGGGGAAGGGATCCATTTTCACATGAGCCCAAGTACTGAGAACATACTGCTAATAGGGATGTGGTTACTGTTTACATACCCAGACTCTCAGATTTAAGGTTTGCTTGCTTTGGCTTTCAGAGGCAGCAGTGGCTGCAGCAGTGTGGAGAGTTGGGGAAGGGATCTTGACCTCTGTGCATAAGCTAGAGCACAAAGGCCATGCTGCTAGTTAGGGCAGGGTGGTTCCCTGCCCTAATGGTACCAGGTACCATTGGTATCATTATACCAGGCAGGGAGCTCTTGGGTTCTGCCAAGCACATGCACTGGTTCCCTTTGTCTCAGGAGAAGCCTCCTTGATGTACTGCGCTATCATTTCCTTGAGGAGTTGTACTCCCTGTGGGTTAGAGTGCTGGGGACCCCACAACACCATCGGGTCCAGCCACCATTGTGCCACTGAAGCCCTCCAGGTGGATGCCAGGGAATTCTACTGGGGGTTCACAGGGTGTGAAGATGTGGAATTGTTGGTTCTCAGAAGAGGATGCAGTCTGGTGGAAGCTGGACTCTGGCCATAGTGCCCTACTGCAGCTGCTTATGTCTTGCTATGTGATGTGGTGCAAGTTTCCCGCTTGCAGCAATGCCCTGGCAGGCCTCTAGATCACCACGCTGTAGAGTCCCCACCTATGCTAATCTCAGAGCTGTATAGATGGAAGAGGTCTCCTGTGGTTAGGATTGCAGTAGTCTAAGGTAAGACTGTGTACCCCTAACGGCTCACACTGACCCTTTCCCTATAATAGGGAGCCGTTCCAGGATCCCAGCTGGTCCTGGCTGAGCTAGCTGCTAGCTTCCTCTCCTTCTGTGCCTCAGGTGTTTCCTGTGACTTCTCTCTTAAACTCTAGTGTTCTTTCCTAGATAAATTCTGTTCAATTCTATTCAGTGTGTGATTATCTATTAACAGTTTTACTTCTTTCTGGGGAGGAAGAGTGTCTGATGTCTCTAGTTAGCATCTTAAAACCTCTCTCCAATATGTGGTTCTATTGTCCACATGTCTGCTATCCTATAGGAAGATGCTCTGACATTTGTCTTTATTTTGATATCCCTCATGAGTTTTTGAAGTGGTTTTATAAAGTCATATCAAGGAATGGATATAGACAAAAAAGGAAATGCTATTTTTAATTGATTGATAGAATAATTATTGAAATACATTCTTCTTAAAATGGAACTTTAAGGGCATCTTAGCATGTGTCAAGAAACAAATAAGAGGGAGAACAGGGGGAGGGTGATGAGGAGATGTTAGTCAATGGATAAAAAATTTCAGTTAGATGAGAAGAATAAGTTCTATTGTAAAATATAGTGACTATAGTTAATGACAATGTATTGTACTTTTCAAAATTACTAAGAGTAGATTTTAAGTGTTTTCATCATAAATAAATGGTAAGTATGTGCGGTAATACACTATTAATTACCTCAATTTAGCCATTTCACTATGTATATATTTCAAAACAGCCTGTTGTAGAAATATATATAATTTTTGTCTATTAAAAATAAATTAAAAATAGAAACAAATGAGCAGTTAGTTGAAAAGAAACTAAACATCCTCATGAGATAGTAACTAAGTTTATGACTCAGCAGGAGCATTTTATTTTTTATAAATGCACCTTTGGTTAACAAAGAAAGCAAAAAGAACACTGATATTAACATGTAAATGAAAAATTAGCATAAAAAGTTGATATTTCTTCAAATTTTCCTGAGGTGATTTTTATCTGTTCTAAGACTTACAATTATTTGATAAGACTTTTAAAATTACTTACTAAATGCAATTTTAATATGTAAAAGTAATTTTTCAGCAAAATATTAACATATATTAAAGAGATAAAATACACTGATTAGTTTCTCAGTTTATCATTTTGTCACTTTGGAAGTAAGGCTATATTCACGTACTATGTGCTAGCCATTTGTAGGGAAATGCTAACAAATGACCACCTGAGTAATTTTCAGTTGTCTCAACTTTTAAACAAAAATTGGAGAACTTATAAAATGGCACAGAGGATTTGTTAAAAATACAGCATTCAAGTATTATACATATTAGGTCCTAAATACAGTTAATTTATGATGGCGCAATTTCATTATATAAATGGTAGTCCTGAATGGAATATGTTATATCCACTTATGTACAAATTATATATTTTCTCATGTAATTAAAGAAAGTTAATCACAGTGTATATCACTTGCAAATGGGTTAAAACAAACGGGGACTTCATGTGTAATGAATATAGCCAAGTATAATATTCAAATAAATTTTATAACAACATATGTAATAATATGCTGCTAATGTTCTTTTTATGTTTTTAAAGGTTTTCTTTGTTTTATTAATATAAAAATGATTAAATATACCCAGGCAACTTATGAAATTATACATTTTTGTAAAAAGTGTTTACAGGTAAAAAATGACTGGGAAAAGTTGATCTAGATAAGAAAATTATATAGTGGTAAAATATTACTTGAGTATTTTCTGTGTAAAGTGTTATGGTTTTATTTTCATTGTTGTAATTGTGTGTAATCCACACAATTTTTTTCTGGCATTAGAAAGGCAGAGATTACAACGAATGTGACAATGATTACTTGCTAGAGTGTTCGCTGATGAGATATAAATAGGTTCTATGTTGGAAGTACAGCTGCAGAGGAGATCAATAAAATTGTTGTATGGAATTTGTAATACAAATTAATTTGTACCAATGGTCACATTAATTATTCTATTTAACACATTCAAATATATTCTATTTCAGTAGTGTGCCTCTGTAACATTCTCAACACAAAAATACAACTTTGAACAATATCTTGCCTTTTCATATTTTATATTAAAACAGAATAACATTGTTCTGCCGTTTTGACCCTTCCAAGATTTCTCACAGATAACTGAGAGGATTGAGAAACAGCTAGGTTCCGAGTAAAAAGGGTTTAATGAATGTTGCAGTAGGGTAATTTTCATGGAAATGACATTTTTTTGAAGCCTAGAAAATGTAACAAAAAGAGAAAAGGAAACAGCCTATCTTCATGCTGATGACAATGTTTATAATGAGCCTGAATAATAGAAATTTAACCAGCTCCTGAAGTATTATAATCTGCTTTTGATTTCTATGGGAACTTTGCAAGTAGATATAGGTATAACAAAAGAGATTTTATTTGAAACTCTTCAATTAAACTAAGAATTGATAGAAAACAGTTCATATTTTATATTGAGTTAACCATGTATATGATCATTACTAATGAGGCAAATCTTTTGATACCTTCATATTCCATTCTCAAATAGAGAACAATAAATGTAATATTTTTCAGACAATTCTCTCTCACAACATGTTCTCACTCTCCATCTGTATGTACATGTGTATGTATATATGTATTTTTGCACAGATAGATGTACAGATAGACATACCACTCTTAGAAGAGGCAGTGGTGTTGGGAGACTGAGGAAGGCTAATTCATACAAACTATGTGTCTGGGAGAAACATGTAATATTTCAAACATTTCCAAAAGTTAAAATCTTTTACTGGCATGTATTTCAGAATATTATTAATAATTATTAGGTTGTATTAAGAAGCTTGAGATATGCTGAGTTTTTAAGTAATTGTTTTTGCTCAGCAAAGAGATTTTCCTGAATTTCCTAAATTTAAAACCTATGTTTCATTGTCAATTTTTTTTCAGGCATTATGTATTATGATAGATAAGCTGAAGCATGTTAATTTGTGCTCCAGATTAAAAAGTCTCAGTGCTACAGATTAAAGTGTCCCAGTTGATATGATAACATTCTTTAAATCATCTTTAGCTAGTACTACACACACAAACACACATACTATATTGTATTCAAAGGTGAAAATCCTTGTATCTTAAACTAAAATAAAAATAAAGAATTTTGTTGTCATAAAAGCCTGTATCCCAGTGTTTAAGGCACTCACCTGCTGTGCAAGACATCTCTTTTGGACATGTCCTATTATTAAAAGCCTTCATAAGGCTTTAAAGACTAAGAAAAGATCAATCAGTTTCATTTTTGTTTTTCAGTAAGCAGAGAAACGATTGGAAGCTCTAGTCCATCAGTGTGCTGTTGACACTAAGCCCAACATTGCCTTTGATCAGATGATGTTTTGCCAGCCTTTTTTGTGTCTTACTTTTAGGGACGTGGATTAAAACAAACTGCCCAACTTTCAGTCCAAACAAGAAAGAACCCTGATAGGCAGGAGGAATCATCTGGAGCATGTTAAAGAGCAGTCTTTCTCAGTTATTTTTTAGTCTTTGCTACTGATTCCTATAGTCTAATACTTGATTATTCACAGTACTTATCAATTAACACCACTGGTTAAAACGCAGTTTTATGACTTATGATTTCCATGTAGATTTGAAAGAAAACCCAGAGGAGTAACACTAAGAATATTGTGTTCTGCCAATTAAAAACAAAATATCTAATCAGAAAATTAATAGCCTCAGAATTTGATATCCAGGAGAAGAATTGGGAGATCCTGCTATGTTTTGCTCTGAGGGTCAAGTGAAAACAATAAAATGTAAGCCTTTGACTCAGTATGTGAGTTGATGATAAAGAGTGGACTGTGCTATGAATTTTGTACTGAAATGCTCTGAAATATGTTTACTGAGATCTAATTCTCTCTCACTTTTTCTCTACTCTTATTTGAATCACTGGATGCAAGGGATTACTTGTTTTCTTCATTTTCTCTCTCACTTTTTCCTCTGTCATGTAAAAATAATGATTGGGTAACTGCAAATACAAACTCACCTTTGTTGGCTCCTTTGCCTCTTCTTGGTAACTGTAAATGACTTATATTCTGATTCTTACTTGGCTATTACTATAATTGTGACTTTGAGTAAAAAACTTAACCTTAAAAACTTAGTTTTACCATTTGAAGAATGAAAAATTAGATAAGATGATGCCCAGTGACTCTTTGCCTCACATTTTAGTACAGTTTATTCATTTCTGTTTGATTTCATATGATGTCTCTTTGTGTGACTTTTTACAAAGAAACTACTAAGACTTTGAAATTGGATTGAAATTAAAGACAATTTCAATCCAGTCTTCTCCAGCCCATACTCTTGAGAAGATTTAGATGATTACAAAATGTTGGTTTTTCACTGACCAAGATGGCCTCAATGTTTCCCTTAGCTGGCCTGCTCTTTATACTGACCTTTTCCTAACTATGGAGTCCATCCATCTTTTCATTAGAAGATTTACTTTAGTAAACTTGCAAGAGTAAATTCTTTATCTGCCTTTTTCAAATGCATGTAAGTTTTCTTTCAGCCTCTTGCTACTTTGATAATCCAAAAAATGCTTTTTTCAAGTACATGGAAACCATTTCTTTGAAATGTGAACATCTAAGGAAAAACATCTGTATTAGTCTTTTTTCAAGTTGCTGATAAAGACTGAGAAATTTACAAAAGAAAGAGGTTTAATGGACTCACTGTTTCATGTGGCTGGGGATGCCTTAGTCAAGTTGAAATGTATGTCTCACATGGCAGCAGATGAGATGAGAGCTTGCTCAGGGAAACTCCCCTTTATAAAACCATCAGATCTCATGAGACTTATTCACTATCATGAGAACAGCATGGGAAAGACCTGCCTCCATGATTCAATTACTTCCCACCGGGTCCCTTCCACAACACATTGGAATTGTGGGAGCTACATTTCAAGATAAGATTTGGATAGGGACACAGCCAAACCATATCAGCATCCTTATCTCCCAGTCCCGGTGGACACCACTTAGTAAACACAGATGGCCAAATTGCAGAGAAAACCATTTTCAAAATGAGCAATAACTCAGTGTACTTCACCTATCCCATTGATTAACCTCTCTAAATTCTCTAGTACTTTCCCACAAGTTCACCCTAGTGCTTTACCTCCCACTCCCCCAAAACTTCATTTCAACAGTATTAAGTCCAATCTGTCTTCTCTACTGCTGTAGCCTGAATAAAGTCTAATTTGCCCATTTAAGTTTGAAGCAATTTTTGCTTCAATACCCTTTATCTTTGTGTGAAAATTTTGCCTGGTCTTGGAAGACTGGGGAAAAAGCTATTCTTATTTTTTCAGTTATTGCCTCAAGCATCTGTCTTCAAATTTCTAGAAAATCCTTTTTGTATACCCTGTACTCATATTCCCAAATTTTGGTCACTTTTGTTTTTGAATACTGCCATTACCTCCATCCTTATTAGGTGAAACATTGTTACTCTATCAAATTCTTGATCAAACAATGCCTACACCATGAAATATGATTTTCCTTATTTCTTTACTTAGAAATGATCTTCCATTGTCTGAATTCCTATTGTATATTTTATACTTCCTTCATGACTTAGCATTATGTCCTTTATATGCATAAGTATAAATATAACTATAACTTTTACATTATATGATCAGTGTTATTTAGATTTTTTAAATTAATGATTTTGGTTTTATGTTTGTGTCTTTCTTTTGCAAGAGCCTAACTTATTTTTATACCAGTGGTTCTCAAAGTGTTATTGTGAGAATCTCTTAGAAAAGCATATTCGGGGATCTAGCTCAATAGTCCAGTATCAAAAACTCTGGGGTGAGGCCCTGCAATGTGTATGTTAACAAGCCATTCAGGTGATTTTCATATATGTGGAGTTTGAGAACTATTGTTTATTTTTCTCACTGTCTTGCACTTCATAAGAGATAAAAGTGTTTCTAAATACAGAAAATGTATTCAAACATTCAAACATATCCAAGCAACATACATATGTATTTCACTTAAAATTAATGTTTATTTTAATTATATTATTTTTTTCTAGAAAACTCACTTGTTCTCTAGAATATGTATTATAGCTCAAAGTGTCACTAAAGATCATCTAACAATCAGTTTTCATTTTTGTAAATGAAGTGAGGATATACTGGGAGAAATTGAATAAAACATGATGTACTCTAATAAATTACATTGAGATTGAAATTTTTATTTTCCAAAGCCCAGTCCAACGTAATTTTAAAACAACATATTGTGGTTAATGTGTGGTTATTTCACTCTAAATATTAGATCCCCACTCTCCAACAGAATTTTTTGTAATAATAAAAATTTTCTACATCTTAATAGTCTCAAAATAATTGGACACTTGAAATGTGGCTAGTGCAACCACAACAAAAATCAACTCTTAATTTGATTTAATTTTAAATAATTAAATTTAAACAGCCACAATTGAATATTGGTTACTATCTAAGTGTAATTCTGGAGTTTTTAGATAATATATTAACAAAATGTACTAAAGTTGATCCAATATATATAATTAATTTTAATAATTATGTAATTATAAAACAAAGCATATTTGATTTTTAAAAAATTCTCCTCCCTTATTAGATAATAATTTACAGGCAAAATAATTATTATCAAGAGATAATATTGATAAGGACTTGTGCTGGGTTAATTAACTTCTTCAACTAATTAAACTTCATGTTACTACCAGCTAGAAGACAGGGACAATAGAGAAACCAAGAGAGAAGAGGTGCCAGAATTCTATTCTACTCTAAGTAATAACCTGGATTTATTATTACAATTAGCTAAGGTAGTCACTTATATGGAGTCAAATGGGAATAAAGTGAGTAGAGATATTATGGTATATTATAAATAGTATAATAGAATATGTATTATTTTAAAATGCTAGCTAAAAAACTTTACTAAAACTTAATTGCTATTTGTTGGAATATATATTTATATATTTTTAAGGTCTATCAAGGAGCTGTAATACTTATACAGAATATTGGTTTCATCAAGGTAGTTGACATGATGACACATCTGAAACCATTTTAGAGTAATATGGCCAGAGAAATGGTTTAAACACATAATTTTGCAGGAAGTCTTTAATTTTTCCAAATAAAGTGCTAAATACAGTAAAATATTTGAGAGAGGCAGAAATCAGAGCTCTTCCAGTTGAAGAGAATGAAGTTCTCCCCATTTAGTGTTCCTTGGTTTCATCTCCTAACACCCTAGAGGCTTCAAAATCTCAGATATAATTTGAAAAATCTCATGGCAATAATTTAGTTTACATGTCTATTTGAATTCAGGTTTAAGAGTGATTTTTTTTTAAATTTCATCAAATTTTAGGAAGTACCTTCTGCCTCTCCTACCATTTTCATCTTGACAGAAAATATCTTTATTTGCTTTTCAGGTTACTCAATCCCAGGGGAAATACTTAATTCCCTAACGACAAAATCACCAAACAGAATTGTCTTTTAAAACTATAAAAACAGTGAAAAGCCATTTTTTAAATAAATAAAGTTTTATTGCAACATAGTCACATTTATTCATTTATATACCATCCATGGCTGGTTTTGACTGTGAAGATAGTATTTAATGTCTGTAACAGAAATCTTTATGCCGACAGGAATAAACCACTTACCATCTGTCTGTTTAAAAATAATAATAGTAATAATAATAATAACAAAGTTTGCCAATACCTGGTCTCAACTAAAAAATACAAAGTGCAAATTAAATGAAGAATTTTAGCTACCCACATTTTGACAGGTCAGTAGGTTAAAGACAGGTCAAAACATACGCAGCAGTTAAACTGAAAAACATATTAAAATTTTGGTTATCTCTAAAGTCAATATGATTCAAATATTGTAATGTCCCCATTCAAAATGCACAGATAATTTAAAAATTATATTACTTTGATTAACTTTCTCAATCAAGAAAGCCTCCTTTGGTAGAGACCAGGGGTTGGCAAGCTAAAGGCTGGAGGGCCAAATCTGGTTTGCAGCCTGTTTTTATACAGCCTTTAAGCCATATAAAACATTTTAAAAGATTATACAGAATACAAACAAAGAATATATTACAGAAACTGCATATGACTGGCAAAAAGCTAAAATGTTTACAATATAATCCTGTACTGAAAAAGTTTGTTCACCTCAAGGTAAAACTATCTTTGTCAATGGTGCTCTGTACTAAACAAATCAGATTATGAAAAAAATGAAAAAAACAAATGTATACATAAACAAAGCAAAAACTAGCTTAAGAGTTCTCTTAAAATAACATTAGTTGATGGAACTACAGATGTATATTTTGGAAGAGACCATTTAGGGTAACGGAGCATTTGAAGATCTCTCCTGAAGACTTTTGTTGTTATTATTTTGTTGTTCTGAAGAGCTAGATTAGAGAGCAGAAACAAAGGTATGGAAATCACAAATATGCAGTCTTCACCACAATATAAGAAATAATGTTCTAAAATTACTCAGTCATACTTATAAATCACAGAAAGTTATCTATTAGTAAAATGGTCAAACCGAGTAAAATAGCGTAACACTGTAAAATACTTCACTTAGAGTGAAATAGGATTAAGGACCCAAACGCACATCTATCATATTTTTCATTTTCAAGAACACCACATTTTCAAGACAGTCTTTTATTGTTATTGCATCCTATTATTGTTTTTCACTGCACTATCTTTGTTTACTCAGTGCAAATATTAATATATTTTTTGAACTTTTAAAATTTTGTATGCTTTTATTTTTATCTATGTGATTTGGCTTCCAGCTTTCACATGAGAAGCTTTATCTGAAATGTCTATTAAATCTCTACTTTTTCTTATATTTGATCACTCAAAAGTTAGTTGGAAGCCTTGTACATATAAATAGAGCTTGTCTTCTCTAGAGGTTGATATAGCTGTGATGCTTTGAAATCCAGAATGCTGGTACTTTTAAGTCTTTTTCCTTGTGTTCTTAAGATATCTCCAGAAGACTCTTCCAGCCTTTGCATGAAAAGTGTAGATCTGTCTTCCAAAAGTCCCTTAGTTGAAGGCTAGAGGTTTCAATACTTAGTATATGGAATGAAACTTTTGGTAGCTGGTCTAGTCTTCCCCTAACATTAGGAATTCCTGAGAATTTAGCCCTTAGTTGAACCCCAATGCAATATTAATTCAAGGACTAAGTACTTTATTCTAAATCCAAGATAAATGAGGATTGTGTTAAAGTTAAGTACCAATCTAAGGAGTTTTGCCTGCTTAAAGATAGTATTTATTAAGGAACATGTAACTAATAAAGAGTCTATAATTGATGAGTAAGATATGCAGCTCCACCTAGGAATGGGAGCTTGTTATGTATCTTTCAGGGAGCATACGAGTAGCAAGCTCTAAAACCTGAAGGAACTCTTAAGGCTGATGGCTTCAATCCAAAGGAAGGCACACTCTGCCTTCTCTCCTGTGCGTTCTAGTGCAGTGTGATGGAGACATTCGGAAGACATGTCAGGGAGGCATAAGGATTGTACCATGCTGTTACAGAGCATGCTGTGTTGCTACCTATATTGTATACTTTTTCAACACTAAGTAAGTGTTTTGGCATTGCTTATTTAATCCTATGGGTTTGTTTGTGAATTCAAATCCAGAATCCCTGCTTGTTGGAGCAGTGTGAAGATTGCTGGATATAAACTTTCATCTACTTCTCTCATTTACTGTATGATAATGTCTCACTCCTGCCTGCCTTAAATTTAGGCCTTTATTGCATTATTCCAGTATCCCTTTCTTTTGCATTTTTCAGAAAATACAGCTGTAGGCTTCTGCCAGGTTTGCTATGGACAGTCACTAGTTCCGCAGAGTGGCAGAAAAGATAGGGTTGCTCAATCTTTTCTTAGATGGTTTAACAAGTGCCTTGTTTTAGTTTCACATTCACTACCCCACTTTCAGAGGCAGCTAACATTGCAAGTTCCTGAGTCTTTGAGAAAACTCATTAAATTGAGTTCTTTCTTAGTATTTCACTGTGCTGGTTTAGCATTCAGTTATCTTGCCTCTTCTAAGTTACCACTTGTCCACCAGCTTTCCAGCTACCAATATTGTATTCTCGATCTTTTTTTCTTCCACTTTTGTTGATTTTACATTTATGTTGAAAAAATATTTTTTTATTATTATTATTATTTTTTTTTTTTTTTTTTGAGACAGGGTCTTGCTCTGTCACCCAGGCCGGAGTGCACCCAGGCATGATCTTGGCTCACTGCAACCTTTGCCTCCCAGGTTCAAGCAATTATCCTGCCTCAGCCTCCCGAGTAGCTGGCACTACAGGCATGCACCACCATGCCCAGCTAATATTTGTATTTTTGGTAGAGATGGGGTTTCACCATGTTGGCAGGCTGGTCTTGAACTTCTGACCTCAAGTGATCTGCCCGCCTCAGCCTCTCAAAGTGCTGTGATTATAGGAGTGAGTCACCAAGCCTGGCTTACTGTTGAAAAAATATTTTAAGTATCATTTTGGAGTACATATTCCACATGCATTTGCCCCATGACTCTTTATGGCAAGGTAGTAAAGTCTATGGGCTTTTCAAAATAATGTTCTTAATTCATGAAATAAATTATATAGAAATGCAACAGAAAGCAGTTGCATTGAAAAGAAGTTATAAACATATTTTTAAACTATTTTTGATATAACAACAAATATATCTCCACTCATGCCTTAAGTAAAAATGTTAAGTTCATACCTAATATCTATCATAATTTCAAAGTATTGATCAATATAATCAAAATTCCTACTTATCTGCATTCCTACTTGTCTAAATTATGACATGAAACTGCCTATGATTTTTAATGATAATAGAAGCTATAAATATTGCTAACATTACTGGAGCTCGTTGCTTCCACATCTTGAAGGAAAGATAATTTTCACTCAAAAGTTACTGTAAATAGATATATAAAATACAAGATTGTATCCATTCAAGTTCATGTACTCTAGTTATGAACCCCTGATTTAGAGGGATCTCAGAGATATAGCAACTAAATCTGTGTTTCGGTGTTCTACCTTAAACTGGAAGTATCCTTATATTCCTTAAATCCGTTAAAAGAAAAAAATGCTTAAGATAATTCACAGTCACTGTATGTGATGTTTCACCAATCTTATAAGGAAAAAATGCACAATATAAATATATTTAATAGGTAATATGAGTTATTTTGTATGGGTTCATGCAAGCAGAAGGCTACTAGAATAAAGATGCAGTGCTGATATTTAAACTAAATTAAAATATATTCTTGCTATTAAAAAATGTCATGCTCCAGTTGTTGAGGTAAGTGGGATGAGAGAAGATAACATGTTTTGAGGTTGTCATTACTCACAGTGTGGAACTTCTAATGTAATACAATGGAACAGACAGAGTATGATTTTCTGGTGCATGGGCATTTCCAAATATGTAAAAGAAGGAGCTTCTCTGAACATTTTCTTTGTGGTTTTGAGAACAAAATTTTCCTGAGCTCACATACTGTAAGACTGTATCTTTATCTTTGTCTACCACACTATTTATATGGTTACATATGTATATGTTATTTCTATATTTTATTTTTGTATCTTAATCAAATACACTTAACTAAATATATTTATATTAAAAATAAGTGTCCAAAATGCCATATTAAAGCCTATAGGAACTTATTAGGATAGAAAAAGTTCCATATGGACTCTGGTTCAGCTAAAATATAATATACTACTTTCTCTCTGCTTCTCTTGGCTAAGTACAACTAAAACCTTAGAAATAATGCAACAGGCAACCAAAGAACAACTTCAGAGTAGTGTGAGGAAGTTGCACAGTTTTGTCACCCTAGAGCTGGAAGAACAACTCAGCAGGGTGTCTTCTGTCACTCCAAGCAACAAAAAGAGAAGACTCTGGCTCCGCATTGTCTATAATCACCAACCCAGCAACAAAGGCAGCCCAGATCATTTAATTTATCCCTTGGAGCAAATGGGAGCCTCTCTGGCAACAGGCAAGTGTGACACAGCAGGCCTTGGTAGAAAAAGAAAAAAAGAAAAGCAAGCAAGAAAGAAAAAATGTGCATAGACAAACTATTGATGTTTTTCTACTGCGTCCCTGAAGGATAGTGGGGGTAACCAGATGGCATTGGCAAGCGAGATCTTGCCAAAACAATTGGCCATTAATTCTCTTGGGTCTGAAAAATGCAACCTGCATTCAGAGAAACCAGGGTGACCAAGAAGCACTGCTAAGGAGGATCATAGCACAGCAAGCACCTACCAGGGAAGTGCTCTTCACGCCCCATATCAGGCAGTAGGGCCTCCCAAAGTGCTGGGATTACAGGCGTGAGCCATCGCTCCCGGCCCGAGATGTCTTTAATATAACCTGACTCTGGATTAAAACTGAATACATTTACAAATGTATATACATCTCAACTTTTGACCTAAAGAGATAAAATTGAAAATGGCACTGATGTAATGAATGAAAAAATTAAAAAATGTGTCGATCTCAACAACTTATAATTAAATTAAAATTCTTATACAATATTATATTATTGGAGAATCCCAATCCCTAGGGCTTGTAAGTATAATTTCCTGTATACTATTACTGTTTCTGTAATCAAAAGAAGGGTAATCATCTAAATGTTTAAGATTGACAGCAAATAATTCATCCTCTTTGTAAGCAATGAAGCAAATTTCTATTTCTAAGAACAGGAATGTGTCCTTTGAGATTCCAAAGCAAGGTATATGTCAAATTTGACATACCTAAAAACAGATGCCAGTATTAAAAGGAATTAGAAAAACAGGGAGACTATGATACTAAATGCAAAGATAGAAATTAGAGAAAAGGAGAGGAAAATGACAGTTGCAAGGTAGAGGCATTGTAACAGTAATAAACATTCTTCTTCCAGAAGAAAAAAAACAACCCTCTGGAAAGTGCTGCCTGCACTGAAGATATTGTAGCCATTTGGTGGTAGGTAGGAGAGAGTGGGCGGCTCACCAGGTTCCTCTGCTATGAAGTTGTAAAGGTGGGATATTTTTGGAAACTGTGAGAAAATTTCTTTTTTAGCTGTACTGTTCATACTGTTAATCTTCTAAAGAAATCCAACTGTTATTTCTCTTACTGCCAACACACTTAATTATTGTTGTACAGAGCAAAACAATGATGAGATCCGAACAAAACAGATGGCTCAGCATTGCCAGAAAACTTATGTTTTTACGATGCATTTTTATGATACCAAAGAAAATACAATTTTATTGAAAATGTCCAAGACAAATGAGTGTACTTTCACAATACATTGTAGTGACTAAAGCACTTTAACATCATTTTATATTTCTTCCACAGTGCTTTTCTAAGTACTTTGTAAAATCATAAAAGGTACACAAATCATTTCTAAAAGGTGGCATAATTAAGAATACTTACTTTATGAGTTTAGTCAACTTTATTCGATAATGCTCCTTTGTATAGTTGCATGCTATATTGGAAAATCAACCTTCAAGATGGGATATTAATTAAATTAGCTTGGACTTTATGACACATGGCTTTTTGTATGCACTGATTGCATTTGCGCTGTTAATTTTTAAAATATGAATTAACCAATTAAATGGAGAAGATTGACATATAAATTGATAATATAAATTTAATAACAAAAGTGAAGTCAGAGGTAAGACTTAGGGAGCATAATGATTGGGACACTAATGTCAGAATACAGGAACAAGAAAGAATTTCATCTCTATATGATGACATATTTATATTTCACAGAGAAATGGAGGTGTTATCAAGGCAAAGATTTGGTAAAAAAAAAAATTCAGTCCTTATCTAGTTTAGATAAAGCTGAGGATATAAGTGGTGTTCAGTCAATGTTAGGGCCTTGTTTGACATGTATATATTAAATATATAAATGTGTATAGAGGAGTAAATGAAATCAGAACAGACCAAATGTTGTCAGTAGTGATATATGCATGCTTGCATGATCAGTAAACAAATACATGAATAAAAGCATATTATGTATATTAATATATGTTAAAGCATAGCTGACTAAATGGAAACATTTTAATTTTATTTTCAAATTAAAAAAATGTTATTTTTTAAGAGATTAAAAAACTAAAGCACATTTAGCCTTTTTTGGAAGTTATTCTTGTATTAAAATTAGAAAGATTTCAATACAAAGATTTAGACTCTTATCCAGCCACTGAAAAAGCTAGGAAGCTAGGAGACATGTTCAGTGTTAAGATGAGGAATCTGAAACTCAGAAAATTTTCCTAAGGACACATAGGTAGTTAGGTCAGATTTGTCGCTTGCCAAGCAATTTGTTTTCCACTCTAATATTGTTTCCATTAAATTATAAAAGTAAAAATCTATCTCTACAGAAAATAAGTTTTTCTTTAAATATGCGGTACTCATTTTAGGTCCTTTTTATGCATGTAGAGTGGGATTTTAAATAATGTATCTGTTCAAACAGATCATTAGATTGATAAATAGGAGTTTTACATCTAATTACATAAGCCTTCCATTAGAAAACCTATTTATAAAACCACATGATATACTTTAATCTAAAGTTAACATTGATAGGTTAAAAATTGAATTGCTTCTTTTTAAGCAAATGCTTTTATTAGGATTTTTCTGTGCTTATTTGAAATCCTTACACTCAAAGTACTGTGCATATTAATTAAAACATATGAGACTGAGTTTCTTCCTAAATAGATACAGAAGACTAGTAAGTGGAATTTAATTTACTTTCTTCAATTTTTATTGGTTGATTTAGATTTTATGTTCAACAATAAGTAATGCTGTTGAGTAAAAACACATTCATTATTAATCATTTTAAATCTTAATATAAAGATCTTCTGCACATTTTAATGAAACTATCATGTGCTAATTACTAATACAGTGTTAAGTTCATCAAGCAATTTATTTCAAAAATACTTTTCAAAATCTGTCTGTCAAAGACATCGTATTTATTTTTATTTTATTTTTTTACTTTTTGCTTCCTCCCCATCACCTCTCCCATTAGGGAAATTTCCCATAGTTGGCCACTCTAATATGTTTCTCAGGCATTGTTAAATATCCTTGAAAATATTAATACTGTGGAATATATATATATATATCTGTGTTTTAATACATATTAATGTTAGAAATTGCATTTAATTATTCAATTATTTCTAACATTAATGATAAAATTTGCATTAAATTTTTTACTTATTTTACTCTACACAGTTTTCAAAATCTATTCATGCTGCCAGTAGCTTACTTCAGGACTTGTGTGTATTTTACACACACCAGAAGCACCCAACATATTGCTCCTATCCATGTCCTTGATGATGGATATCTGGGTTGCCCCTACCTCACTGCTACCACAGATAAGACTATAATAACACCTGGTTTCTCATAGGGAAAAAAGGATTTTTAAGTTCACTAAGTATGGTCAGATTGGTCTTCAGATTGGATGAGCTTAAGTATGGCATGATGGTGTCCATGTCCCCATAGACATTGATATTATCTTACTTTTACATCTAGGCATTCTAAAGCATATTTACTAGATCTTATGGCTGTTTAAAGTTACACTTTAAAAGTTACACTTCTGTGAAGGCTAATGAAGTTGAGCAGCTAAGTTAACATTTGTGTGTATCTATCTATATATGTGTGTGTGTACAGATTTATATAGATACATTTATTAATTAAAAAACCTAAAAATAAAATCAAAGATCTTTTTCTGGGTATTGGATTTCTGAACTACTCTTGTTAATATATAGAAGTACCTATATTGCCCAGTTGCCTTTAGATTTTACATATATCTTTTCTAGAATGGGACACACTTGCTAACTCCATCTATAGGCCAGACATGATGGGCCATGCCTGTAATCCCAGCACCTTGGGAGGCCAAGGCAGGAGGATTGCTTGAGTCCAGGAGTTTGAGACAAGCTTGGGCAACATAGTGAGACCCTGTCTCAAAAACAACAACAACAAATTAAAAACTAGCTGGGTGTGATTTTGGGTGTCTGTATTGCCAGCTACTCAGGAGGCTGAGGTGGGAGCATTGCTTGAGCCAGGCAGTTGAAGAAAACTCCTTCTGTAATGTTACACTAAGCAGATAAAATTACTTTTAACAAATTCAGATTCATAGAATTTTACCTCATTGTTGCTTCTTTTAGATCTCTTTTTGAAAGAACTAATCCCCATAAGGTGACAAAGATAATTTTCTATTTTTTTCTATCATGTTTTAAATTTGTCTTTCCTAGTTAGGCCTTCTATCAACTTGGAGGATATGTTTGTATATTATTTAAAAATGCATTTATAACAGTCCAAGTATTGGGCATAAAATTTAAAAATTTTATGTCAGTTTTAAAATAATGTCCTCACTGATTTGTAATGCTTCTCTGATCACACATTGTGTTCTTATATACAGAAAATATCTCTTGCTGAACCATTAATTGTACTGTACTGTCCACCTTTCAAGTCCTTTCTCAGTATCACCTATTTTCCTGTGCTTTTTTTTGTTTACGTATTTTTGTGTGTGATTTTATTAACATGTTTTTTTTACATCTTAACATTTGTAAATATTCCCTGTTCATTTTTTTAATTCCCAATTTTCATAGCTATTGTGAACCTTTTTTTGAAATCTGTTTATAAAATTTTTAAATTAAAAATTAATTAGATGTTTAATCAAAATTGAATTGGATTTCTAAATTACTTTGAGAGAATGTGGCATTTTTCCATGTTAATTCATTCCACAAAATGAGAATAACTATTTCTGTATCCTGTTCTTTTAAATTTTTAATCATACTCTAAAATTGTCTCAGCAGAGGTACTCATATTTAAATAATTACATATCCAGAAGCATTGCATTTAAATGCAAAAGATAATTTATTAAAGTTCTCTCTCTCGATATTGGTCACAAATACAGTCAACTTTTAGATTATATTATTCGACCACTCTGTATCATGCATACTTTGTGTGTTTGACCTATAACATTTCCTTTCTTTGGTTCATACGTTCCAAATAAATATTTTTCCACCCCATTATTTTAAACTTTTAAAGAAATTCTTGTATATAAATGTTTTTTTGCGGGGAGGATAATTGACTTTTTCTTTCTTTTTTCTGTCTGGCTAAACTGTTTTTTCTATAGTTGCTTATCTTATTTCCCTACACTCCTTTTTGTAAGATCTAGATTTATTTTAAATAGTTCAACAAGAGTTTTCAAAACTTGAGTATACTCAATTAAATGGATGAAAATAATTGTTATATCAACTCATTTTGCCTATCTAATATTGTATCTTCCATTCACCAACCTTTAAAAAGTGTTTTCTTCTTTCCCCATTCTCTACTTTATAGATCAAAATTTTTATGCTTATTTACATTTTATACATTATATTTTATTATTCTGGTGGCTATTTCTATCATATTACCTATACTTGCATTTATTCCCTCCTTTTTCTTAAATATCTCTATCTTACATTTACGCCACCTTCAATAATAAGAATGAGATGCTTTTATTGATTTCTGTTCTGCCCCCGTACTTTCTCTAATATTTTTATATTTTTGTACAATATTTATTCTCAATATTTAAAGATTTAGATTATTTTTATTGCTTTTTTTAGACGAGAACTTAGTATTCCTTTTTGTTTTCCATACATCTGCTGAAGTACTGTTGTAGTCAGTGTCCAATCAGAAAAGCAGATACTGATTATGGTGACTTAAACAGATGAATTTAAATTTGGAAATTAAGTACAAATGTAATGGAAGTGCAGATAGAGAAAAATGGAGCAAGTGTCTAAGTAAATGCAGGAAGCAGTGGCTACTCTAGGAAAATTACATTACTGAGTTCCTTAGATGCCTCTGCTGGGGAAACTTTTGAAACACTCAAGATTGTTAATGAGTTTATAACCAAGCTGTGTGAGTGAACCATAAGCCAGACACCTGCAAGGAAGTCTAGAAGATGTAGTTTGCTAACTTCTAACCCTAGCAATATACTGGAGACTATAAAAGAGCAAGCATGGTGCTGAGAAAAAAGAATCAAGTATTTGGCCCAGGTATATTTGTATGGGTATTTTCAAAGACGATCTTCAGGTGGTACATATTCTGAAGACTTGAATGCTTAAGATTTTTTTTTATTTTTCCAGCACATTTGAGCGGCAATTTTATTGGGTAAAAAATCTTGGTCTGTGTCTTTTTATTCAATACACTGGGAATATTAAGCCATCTTCTTAGTCTTTAAATATTGCTATTCAGAAATTTGATGCCAGTATACTTTTTGTTGCTCTGTAAATATACATTATCTATAAAATCTATAGAATATCATTTTTTTAATTATGATGCAATGTAATTTATCTATGATGTGTTTAAATTTACTTATTCTTTCTCTGGTACCATTTGGATACTTTATGTTTACTTTTATTTGGAGATCTCATATTTTAACTTATATTTAGACCGTTCTGATACCTTCAAGTTATTCTGCAATTCAATTTTATTCTCTCATTTTTTTTCTCATGTTATATGTACTTTAAGCATTTTGACATCTACATTCCAAATCTGCTAAGTTTTTTCCTTATTTTACCATCTTTCTTTACCGTTCTGATAATGCCTGGTTTGAATTACTTCCAGCTTAGTGACTTCATCTCTATAAAAATACCTTTTGCTACTGAACACATATTGGTGACTTGGTTGCTCTTTTACCTAGTTAACTTAGTTGTCAGTAGTATATACTCTATTTTCTTTTTTTTTGTTATTATACTTTAAGTTTTAGGGTACATGTGCACAACGTGCAGGTTTGTTACCTTTGTATACACGTGCCATGTTGGTGTGCTGCACCCAGTAACTCGTCATTTAACATTGGGTATATCTCCTAATGCTATCCCTCCCCGCTCCTCCCACCTGACAACAGGCCCTGGTGTGTGATGTTCCCCTTCCTGTGTCCATGTGTTTTCATTGTTCAATTCCCGCCTATGAGTGAGAACATGCAGTGTTTGCTTTTTTGTCCTTGTGATAGTTTGCTGAGAATGATGGTTTCCAGCTTCATCCATGTCCCTGCAAAGGATATGAACTCATCTTTTTTTATGCTGCATAGTATTCCATGGTGTATATGTGCCACGTTTTCTTAATCTAGTCTATCATTGTTGGACATTTGGGTTGGTTCTAAGTCTTTGCTATTGTGAATAGTGCCGCAATAAACATACGTGTGCATGTGTCTTTATAGCAGCATGATTTACAATCCTTTGGGTGTATACCCAGTAATGGGATGGCTGAGTGAAATGGTATTTCTAGTTCTAGATCCCTGAGGAATTGCCACACTGACTTCCACAATGGTTGAACGAGTTTACAGTCCCAGCAACAGTGTAAAAGTGTTCCTATTTCTCCACATCCTCTCCAACACCTGTTGTTTCCTGACTTTTTAGTGATCACCATTCTAACTGGTGTAAGATGGTATCCCCTTGTGGTTTTGATTTGCATTTCTCTGATGGCCAGTGATGATGAGCATTTTTTCATGTGTCTTTTGGCTGCATAAATGTCTTCTTTTGAGAAGTGTCTGTTCATAACCTTTGCCCACTTGTTGATGGGGTTGTTTTTTTCTTGTAAATTTGTTTGAGTTCATTTATACCATATTTTCTTTACAACTACTCATTCCACCTTACATTTCCAATATCATACACTGTCTTTTCACTTTATTGTATTTATTATGCTTACTGAAATTATTGTTCTGTCTATGCCACTTAGTCTGTTTTTCCCTGTTTTTTCATGTTTGTATTGTATGCTTTTTAAATTTTATAACATTTGTGCTCCTCATGGTATTCCACTGAGAACATCAGCTACTTTTACTCAATGTTATTTGGGTAAGGTATCCCAGTCCCTAGCCTGAACATGCCTATTTAGGTGAGAAAGAGAGAGAAAGAGGACAGAGAAAGAAAGAAAGAAAGAAAAGAAAGAAAGAAAGAAAGAAAGAAAGAAAGAAAGAAAGAAAGAAAGAAAGAAAGAAAGAGAGAGTAAGGAGGGAGGGAGGGAGGGAAGGAAAGAAAGAAAGAAAGAAAGAAAGAAAGAAAGAAAGAAAGAAAGAAAGAAAGAGAAAGAAAGAAAGAAAGAGAAAGAAAGACAGACAGACAGAAAGAAAGAAAGAAAGAAAGAGAAAGAAAGAAAGAAGGAAGGAAAAAAGAAAGAGAGAGAAAGAGAGAAAGAAAGAAAGAAAGAGAGAGAAAGAGAAAGAAAGAGAGAGAGAAAGAGAAAGAAAGAGAGAGAGAGAAAGAAAGAAAGAGAAAGAAAAGAAAGAAAAGACACTGGAAAACAGATATACCTTGAGGTGAGAGTCACTGATGTTAAAATCAAGACTCATCTATACCCTGCTTTCACAGTCCTAAATCTACCCATCTGGCCTTTTGTGAATTATCTGTGTCTGTAACATTAATTTAACGACTGCCTTTTCCCAAGTGATGCATCTGGGACAGGTTAGGGTGGGGGCAATTACAAATGTCTCCATGACTCCAACAGTTGTTAAGGGCTCCCTACTCTCACTGTGCTTCAGTGATGCCATGATGCCACTATCTACTAGAGCTTTGGTTTTACTGTCCCATTGTGGAGACAGGATGCACAATATATACATTTTTTAATTTTCTATTTTAGATAATTTTTATTACTATAACATTGTATTTCTGGCCGGGTGCGGTGGCTCACGCCTGTAATCCCAGCACTTTGGGGCGTGGTGGTGGGCGCCTGTAGTCCCAGCTACTTGGGAGGCTGAGGCAAGAGAATGGCATGAACCCTGGAGGCGGAGCTTGCAGTGAGCCGAGATCGCGCCACTGCACTCCAGCCTGGGTGACAGAGCGAGACTCTGTCTCAAAAAAAAAAAAAAAAACAAAAAAAAACAAAACAAAAAAAAAAACAAAAAAAAAACTTATTATTTCCACCATTTGAATTACGTTTGTTACTTTTTCTTCAACTTGTTTGTATAACTTTGAAATCTAGAAAGCAAAAGCTAAAAAACTAACAAGGAAGCAACAAACAAGCAAAAACTGTAAGGATATCCCAGGGTTATGAGTGGCTTACTGAACTTTATAATATCTACTTTATTACTCTTAGTCTCAAAATTCTTAAATAATGGATTAATTCAAATTATTGGAGAAATACAACTCAAACTGGATGATTGAGTAGAGGTCTTCCAGACACATCTGTTTAAAACAAAAGAATTCTCTCTTAAAATGAGATCAGACTGCATTTGACTGGCTTGAAGTTTTAGTATTGTTAATTTAAAATTGTTAAAGATAATTTTTATCTTAGTTTTCTTACTTTTTCCTCAGAAACTTTTTATTAAAAATAAAGAAACTGGTGATGCACAGTAGAAACTCATGCAAACACTTTAGCTTGTTAATAGTGTGTGTGAGTAGATGAGAGAATAACTTGCTGTGGAATAAATTCCAGAACAATAATACAAAAATGAAAAGGAGAAGAAAGAGTGGACAAGAAAAACTGACTCCTTGCTTCCATTCCTACAGGGAGATCACACATAAAGAAACTCTCCTTTCCTTCCAACTGGTGGGGTTCCTCATGTGATGGATGTCTCCAATTCCAAGCAATATTACAGCTAGCAGTTCAGTACCTCTCTGCTCAGCAGTGAAGGTAATGCGATGTGTTTTCAACAGGCACTGCAGGGGAACTGAGATTTTTCTTTTTATATATCATTTATAAATTGATGCTGTAACTTCACCAAACAGTAGCCTTTTAAAACTTAATGAGAATGAAAAATTGTGTGTATGTTCACATGTATATATGTGTGTGTAAGAGTGAGTTTATGTTTAACATTTGATGTTCCTAGGAAGTTTAGGGGAGCAACAGTTCAAGCACTTGAATATATTTTTATGCTTTGTTTCTTATTTCTTTGTAAATATACCTTTATCTTTAATTTGTATATTGATAATAGAAATGCAGGACAAATGATTTTTTAAAATATTTCTTTGTTTGAAATTGTAAAGCATCATTGCATTGTAAGTTTAATGTTTTAAGTACTCTGGTCTATTGCCTAGGATTGCTAGATTTTAACAAATAAAACTACTGGCATCTAGGTAATTCTGAATTTCAGATAAAAGTGAATACATTTTTAATACAAGTATGTCCCACTTATTGCATGGAAAAGCTTGTACTAAAAAATTATTTGTGGTTTATCTAAAATTTAAATTTAGCTGGGAAATCCTATATTTTATCTGGCAACGCTGATATTGTCTACTCCACATTTAATTGTCATAAAGTCTCATTTTAGGTAAAATATAAGTTATTTCGGTGTTCACATATGAATACAGAACAAATATGTAGGTAGATTAAATATATTCTTGAGCCTGGGAAAGCTGTCTTTTTTTTTTTTTCTTTCTCTTTATTTTAGTAAAGTCAAGCAGTGAACAATGTTCCATAAAGGTCAATTGGCAACTGTACCATCTGCTCTGGGTCCCTAGAATAAATCTCCTGCTGGGGCACTGATATACATGAGCACATGTTGTTTTCACAAAGACCAAAATCTTATATTGTATTCTTGTTTGATCCCCGCTGTGGATGCCAGCTTAGCAGTGTCAGTAATGGTGTTTGTGCCTGAATTCTGGACCTTCATTACACAGATTGCTGCCAGTCCCAGAAATAAAGACTCCACTAGATTAAAGAAACATGAAATAAAATGCTGGACTCCATGTGTAGTGGAAAAATGGGTAATGTGCTCCAATTATTTTAGCAGACCTGTTTACACATGCCCCAGGTTCCCAAAGGGTTGGCTGCTAACATCCCCCACTGCATCTTTCTCTGGAGAATTGCCCTGGGAAGAGAGAAATGCCAAGACGGTTTTATGTCTCCTATTATCTTCAGCTATCCACAGACAATGAGCGATTGATAATAGGTGGCAAAATATCTTATCTCAATGAAGGACAACTCTGTGATGTAACTAATACTCTTGAATTCCCTGTGAAATCAGGCTGATTTTAACTTTAGGTAAAACTACGCATTTCCTTGGCTTTTTCTCTTGCTTTGTCTTCACAAGTTTCACCAGAGAGCGCTCTGTCTATAAATTACCTACACATAAATCTCCATCTAAAATTCTGTTTTAGGGAGCCTCAAACCACTATACTATCCTATTGTCACAAAGGAAATTATGTATGTAGACAAAATTAAATGAGTGGGTGAAATCATATAAAAATAAGTATTCCTAATCAGTAATAACTATACTTCCTAAGCACAACACATGTGTTTCTGTTTCTCATGGTACAACACAACAGATTTGTAGGCCAGAAGAAAATCCCAGAATTATTGTCACTGTGATTGATCTGGTAGCCTACAAATGGCTGAGTTAATGACGTTGGTTGTAGAAAGAGTAAAAGACAAATCTAACCTTTTTTACTGCCTTAAGCCTTTCTCTCCTTTGTAGTATTTTACTTAATGAAACAGCACTAAGCTTTAAACTGCAGTTGACCTATGTTTGTTTTTCTGTTGACAGAACCCTTGATAGAGATAACCATAGGAATAGCATGCTATTGTTCTCAGTCCAAGGATAGGATAAACCACTCTCATGGTGTTAAATGTACACTGTAGGAGATATGTGTTACCCATGGATATAGTTTACTAGAAAAAAATTGTACTTACTTACAAGTACTGACTTCCCAACATGTAGGAGAACATTAATGAATAGCATATTGCAGAGTCACAGACATGAACATCCCTTCCCTGATGTACCTAGTAAACAAACGATGAAAACACAAGAATCCAGTAAGGGAAATCTCCACTGAGATTCCAATTCTGTTGAAAAAGGAGGCACTGTTTTCCATAGTAAGATGAATTTATAAAAGCAAAATTGGGAGTATGTGATAACAGTGTCCTCATAGGAAGGCAAAGGAAGAGAATGAAGGCTGGGTACCTTCACTTAAGAATTTAGAAAAACAAGGATCAAGTTATAAGATTAAATTTAAACACTCTTTTATGTACAAGATGTTGATAAGTAAATTTTTGTCCAAGATTTGAAAAGGGCTCAAATATATAATTACTTTCTTTTGATAAAAATGAGTTGCCTCCTCATTATCCTTTTATGAAAACTCATGGATGACAATCTATTGTACTGGCATTTTAAATTAAGTTACATGTCTTTTGCTTTTGAATCTTATCTGCATCCAAATAAGTAAATTGCATATTTGAGGGTTCATTTCTTAATAATTTAATCTAGCACCACTTGACAAAATGATTGAATCTATTATAAGACACTTTAATGTTTTAGAAGTATCTCTTATCTGCTGAAAAATAATATATTCACTTATTAAACTATACAATACTGATATATTTTAACATTTATGTTGAAAATACCTGTATTCATTTGTTCTTGCACTGCTATAAAGAACTACCTGAGACTGGGTAATTTATGAAGAAAAGAGGTTTAATAAGCTCACAGTTCCCTGGGCTATACAGGCTGCTGTTTCTGTGGAGGACGCAGGAAACTTACAATCATGGCAGAAGGCAAAGGGGAAGAAAGTACATGTTCACATAGGTGACAGGAAAGAGAAATCATGAAGAGGGAAGTGCTACACACTTTTAAACAAGCAGATCTCTTTAAAACTGACTCACTATCACAAGAACAGTAAGGGGGAAGTCTGTCCCTATAATCCAATCACCTGCCAACAGACTGCTCCTCCCACACTGAGGTTTACAATTCGACATGAGCTTTGGGTGGGGACAGAGAGCCAAACCATATCATTTCACGCCTGGCCCCTCCCAAATCTCACGTCCTTCTCACATTTCAAAACACAATTATGTCTTCCTAACAATAATACCCCAAAGTCTTAACTTATTCTAACATTAATTCAAAAGTCCAAGTCAAAGTCTCATCTGAGACAGGACAAGTCCCTTCTGCCTATGAGCCTGTAAAACAAAAAATAAGTTAGTTACTTCCAAGATGCAATAGGGGTAAAGGCATTGTGTAAATAGACCCATTCCAAGAGGGAGCAATCAGTCAAAACAAAAAAGCTATATAGGCCACATGCATGTCTGAAACCCAGCAAGGTAGTTATTAAATCTTAAAGCTCCAAAATAAGCATTTTTGACTCCATGTCTCACATCCAGGCCTCTTAGACACAATGGGTAGGCTCCCAAAGTCTCCCACTTGGGCATCTCTGCCTCTGTGGCTTTGCTAGGTATAACACCCATGGCTGCTTTCATGTGCTGGCTTTGAGTACCTGTGGCTTTACCAGGTACATGGTACAAGCTGTCAGTGGACTTACAATTCCAGGGTCTAGAGGATGGTAGTCCTCTTTTCACAGCTCCACTAGGCAGTACCCCAGTGGGGAATCTGTGAGAGGACTCCAACCCCACATTTCCCCTCCGCACTGCTCTAATAGGGGTTCTTCATGAGGGATCCATCCCTGCAGCAGGTGAATACCTGGACATCCAGGTGTTTCCATACATCCTCTGAAATCTCAGCAGAGGCTCCTCAGCCTTAACTCTTGCCCTCTGCACTTCTCAGGATTAACTCTACATGGAAGCCACCTAGGCATGGGTCTTGCACCCTCTGAAGCAACAGCCTGGGATTTATCTGGGGCCCTTGTAGCTATAGCTGAAGCTGGAGTGTCTGGGATGCATGGTGCTGTGTCCTGAGGCTGCACAGAATAGCAGGACACTGGGCCTGGCTCATGAAACCATTTTTCCCTCCTGGGCCTCCAGGCCTGTAATAGGAAGGCCTGCTGCAAAGATCTCTAAAATGCCTTGGAGATATTTTCCCCATGGTCTTGGCTAGTAAGATTTGACTCTTCCTTACTTATGCAAATTTCTGCAGCTGGCTTGAATTCCTCCCCACAAAATGGGTTTTCTTTTCTACCACATGGCCAGGCTGCAAATTTTCCAAATTTTTATGCTCACGAATGTAAGCATATACTATTAGTACCAGGCAGGCTACCTCTTGAATGCTCTGCTGCTTAGGAATTTCTTTCACCAGATATTCTAAATCATCTCTCTCAAGCTCAAAGTCACACAGATCTCTAGGGCAGGGGCAAAAATGCCATGAATGTCTTTGCTAAAGCATAGCAAGAGAGACCTTTACTCCAGTTCCCAATAAGCTCCTCATCTCCATCTGAGATCTTTTCAGCCTGGACTTTGCTGTCCATATCACTATCAGCATTTTAGTCAGAAAAATTTAACAAGTCTCTAGGAAGTTCCAAACTTTCCCTCATCTTCCTGTCTTCTTCTGAGCCCTTCAAACTGTTCCAACCTCTGCCTGTTACCCAGTTCCAAAGTCACTTCCACACTTTCAGGTATCTTTACAGCAATGCCCCATTTCTCTGGTACCAATTTTCTGTGTTAGTTCATTCTCAAACTGCTATAAAAAACTACCTGAGACTGGGTAATTTGTAAGAAAAAGATGAATCAGTTTATACTTCTGCAGTCTCTATAGGGTTCTGCTTCTGGGGAGGCCTCAGGAAACTTACAATCATGACAAAAGGTGAATAGGAAGCAAGCACATGGCTTGCAGGAGAGAGAGAGATAGTGAGGAGGGAAGTGTTACACACTGTTAAACAACCAGATCTCTTGATAACTAACTTACTATCACAAGCACAAGTCTGCACCCATGATCCAATCACCTCCCACCAGGCCTCTCCTACAACTTTAGGGGTTACAATTTCACATGAGAGTTGGGTGAGGACACAGAGCCAAACCATATCAATACCTTTTCTTCTATGACAACAAAAATCTCATTGCAAGATAATATGTTAAAAGTGTGTGTGTGGGGGGGCTTATTTTTGTTTTATTTTGTTTTTTAGTTAAACCCAAAGCACTCAGAGAATAATTGTTTCCAGATATTTGTGTTCTTGCAGGTTTTCAAATATAGTTACTGACTTCTTGATTGGGTAAATATGACATGAATGACACTGTAACTCACTTTCAAAACCTTTTTAATCAGTATTTTCTAAGGATACTGCTTGGAAATAAATTATAACAATAAAATATTTAAAAATTCATTTTGTTAAAGGTATTAACCTTAAGAGAATACTGCAATATATAACAAAAAGGAAAACTAGATAAAAGTCATAGAACCTTGAAGAAAACAGCTACAATAGATAAAAATCTCAGCAATACTAAAAGATTACATGACTTCTCAGTTGTGGATAATTGCATTCTGTATTGTGTCTCTGAGCTCATTGTGATATGCTATATATGTACATATTTGTTTGGTGTTTCTTTAATTTTTGGACAGAAAAATTGGTGAATCCCTGGAGACTAGAAACTCAGCAGGGCAATTAACTTTTACCTATGTAACTGAACACTATGCAGTGCTAATATCCATGTCAGCCAATTTCTGATGGCAAACCCACTATGCAATGGCTACACCTTCACCAACTTGGGCTGTGGAAACACATAGGGATTCAGCAGGACCAAATAATCTTTCTTTTTACATTAACGATAATTATGCTAGATAATTATGTCATTCAACTAAGAAAAGAAAAAATAGCTCAGAGCAGTCTGAGCTATGTGAAGTATGGAAAATTCATCAGGCCCAGAGAGACATGAGTATGAGGATTTGTTCACCCCTCCTTCTACCACTCATGCCTGGGGGCAACTGTTTAAAGGCATTTTGTTTTTGACTAGTTGCCTCACTCACCATTATCTTCATGCTTCTGAATTTGTGATACAAAGAATAATATATAGTCAATCAACATCTTGTGTTATTTTGATGTGAATTCTTGGTAAACAACCTAGGAACTTTCCCTTTAAAGACCTATTTGTTAACTGCTGCTAACTGGAGTTTTTATATTCAGGGCAACTTGTATCTATGCTCCTGGTTGCAGTCCTCAAACTTGGCCCAAATAAGCTCTCTACCTGTATTCATTTTGCCTCACTCTTTTCCATTAGGTCGACATACCCTAGAAATCTGTTAACCATCAGTATCTCTCTTCACTACAAACACATTCCTGAACTCATTCAATGTGCGGAAATATTATAAATAGGGTTAGGTTTGGAATTCTGTGGGATCTGCTGAGTGTGCCATGCACACTATACTTCATGCAAGACAGAATAAAATGGAGTTACAAAGGCCAACTCTTCCTAAAAGATTTTTTTTTTTTTTTTTGTCCAAGAATCCTGTGTCATTTAAAGGCAACTAAAATTTTCTGAAACTTATTCTAACAACCGTTGATCAAGATCCAATGCCCTTCAGATGAGCCTCAAGTGTCTGGCCTGTTCTAACAGAACCATTTTTTCCTTAGTGTCTCTTGTTATCAACATTTTGTCTTAAAAATTTGAGTTTCAAATGGTGTTGGGTAATTACTACTAATAATTTCCCATCACTTCTTTATAAATATTGGGAGTCCTACTTTTTTCAGATTTTTTTCTTTTGGATAAAATATGTATATATGTAAACACATTTGTGTCAACAGTTCCCATAATACAAAATAAAATAAAGTGCATAACTATAGAATACTCCAGCTCAAAGGAACACACATTCCAAATCTTCTTGGTTCAGACTACAACTTTACTGTCCAAATAAGATTTATGACTCCACTTGGGACTTGCATTACTGAGCAGTCAGGGAACTTTCCTCAGGAAGGGGAACGTGTATCTAAGTCACGACAGAGTTCTGACAGATTTTCTCCTAGAAAGGATGGTAAGATTGAGAGTTACCTTAAATCCCCTTAAGACTCTTTTGATGGGAACCAGTGAAGCAAGTTTAAGGTAATGTCATTTTCTGCTGCTTTATCAGTACTATCTAAGATAAATTTCACCTTCTAAGCTGCAATATATCAGCATTTTTAGTGACTGTGCAACAAATTTTTCCAAATAGAAAGTTGTTCAAAGTGCTTTACTGAAACTAATTGTTTTTCTGGTATTGTAAAAGACAGGTAAGCTGCAATTCTCTCAGTATGATTAAAATAATTTTTAAATTAAAAAAAACAACATTAAGGAGACCCAGGTTGCCTGATTTTTAAGAAATATATTCTGCTACAGTGATATATTCTGAGACTGAAAAGCTAAGCTCTTTAAATATTAAGTGTACAATATTCTTCATACTAGATTTATAAAACTGTACTTCACGTGCTACTACTGAGTTCTCCCTGCATATGGTTCATGTTAATTATTTGCTTTAATAAAGGTTAGGAGACAATGTTTTAGAAGTAAAATCTAACATAAGAAACAGTTCTTTTATCCTTTTCTGCATTTATTTTCTTTTATTATTTATCCTTACGGTTTTGTTCTTTTATGCTTTTCAACTGGCTATGACAATGGTACAGAATGTTAAAAAGGCATGTCTTGGTTCAATGTCAGATAATAATAACCTTCTCTGGTAATGATCAACATAGAAGCTAAATACTAACTATTTTCAAATTTTCCTTTTTGACTTTGCTGGAGGAAATAAGATATCAATGTAAAAGTCTCTTTTAATATTCATGCACACAATGATATGAATATGCAAAACTCCTCCTGCTCCTAGTACAGAACAACAAATAGCATAAAAGGAGTCTTACCTTGGATTTCACCCTTATCTTTTCTGAAGTGTAGGGGTATTTCAAAGTAACGTATTCTCCTGTGTATGATATATCTAGCTCAATTCCAAAATCTGTGACAATGGCTAAATGCATTTGAATAAGTAATAGATAGTACATTAACCTTCACAGCAAATGTTCTCATTTTGTGAGTTTAATCATAATGGGCTTTTTCAAACACTGAATATCTCTGCTTTACAATTAGTTTCCTTCAGAGGTATTTAAATATATGTTTGTTCCTGCTTCCTTTTTTGTTTTAATATAAGAATGGTAATCATGAAACATTTTCTAACCACCCTGACTCCATTTCTGTTTAGTAATTTTTTTAACAGTATTGCAACCAGTCCTAACATGTTTCCCAAAATAGGTCATATATCACAATTTTTATTAATAATTATTCTTTCAAGGTGAACTATTTCTTCCCCAGAATCAATTTTGCCACTGTGGACTGCAATGAGGGTTACAGAAGATAGGGTTATGTCACACTCAATATTGCAAAATTGAAGTTAAAATATTACATTGAATCATTATCTTCCCTACATATACTCCAAAATACTCTTTGATAACCAGGCTATTTCATCTTCCTCTTATGCTTCTTCTTCTTTTTTTTTTTAAATTAGTTAGTCTCCCAGACCAATTGATATTAGCCTTTCCATATTTTGGAACTCTCCCAGAAATTTTTACTAAAATCTGTACGGCTTGATTTTTGTAGTCAGGATTCTGCTAGTACTAGTGACCAAAATTCAACTCCATGCAGGAAAAAAAAAAAAAAAAAATAACTTAATTGGCTACGATCACCTGGAAATCCCCAAAATAGAACTGTGTTCAGGCACAAATAGACCCTACTATTGAAAAATGTCATGGTGATTTTTCACTTTAGGTTTTGCTCTTTGGCTTGCCTGGCTTGGGTGTTTCCTATAGTGGAAAGAATTACTCCTCCTGTCAGGAAATATGATCATTGGCAAGATCAACAGGAGGTTAATGTGTATGTATATCTATGAATTTTAAAGCCTAGTGCTATAATAACAAATTAATTACCTATAAAGACAGAAATTTGACTTGCAATATTCAATTACATTTTATAAGAAAATGATTGATATGGTTTGGCTCTGTGTCCCCACCCAAATCTCATCTCAAATTGTAATCCCCATGTGTCAATTGACAGATCTGATGGGTGGTGATTGGATCATGGGGGTGGTTTCCCCCATGCTGTTCTCATGATAGTGAGCAAGTACTCACAAGATCTGATGTGTTTAAAATGTGCTTGGCAGTTCCCCACTGTGCTCTTCTGTCTTGCCTGCTGCCATATAAGACATGCCTTGCTTCCCCTTCACCTCCCACTTGCCACCATGATTGCAAGTTTCCTGAGGCTTCCCCAGGCATGCGGAACTGTGAGTGAATTAAACCTCTTTCCTTTATAAATTATGCAGTTTGGATATTATCTTTAATACAGTGTGACAACAAACTAATACAAGGATATTTTAGTTTGTTTTCTTAGGTCTTGAAGAAAAATCAGTTTAACAGATTTTTAGACAAGATTTTATCGGTCATAAGGAAAAATCCTACCATTTTCTCCTTTTTCTCAGTATTTTAAATTGTCATTAAGTTGAAAAATAAGTACTTACCAATTTTATGACTCTATATAATGATCATGGTCATTAAAATACTTCTACATATGAATATGAATATGAATCAATGGCCTGTTTTGTACAAGGAGAAAACAGAAAACGTGCACCATAATTACATTCTCTCTCTTTACATCTTAATCTTAATTATCATATTTCTCCTAAACCTTTATTGATGTATAAACTTATTGATTTCACCTTGTTTTTTTGTCTTCCTTCCTTGCTTTCTTCTATTCTTTGTTTCTTTTACTTCTTTTTAGATGAATACCAGACTATGGCCTCCCATTTCTGAACTCATATAATCTTGAGTGATTATAAATTAAGATAATAATGAGAAAAATATAAATAGATGAAAGAAAGTCATGAAGAGATCACTGTTTTGGGGTTTATTAAATGAGACAGCTTCACTTGAAATAAAAAAATTAATTTAATTTTGTAATTGATGACAAAACAGGTCAGCAATTAAAATCTACCATATAGATTGCTTCAGTTCAATTAATTTGTTTTCTTTTATCCCTATTTTTTTCTTTTGAGACTGAGTCTTGCTCTGTTGCCCAGGCTGGAGTGCAATGGCATGATCTCGGCTCACTGCAATCTCTGCCTCCCAGGTTCAAGCAATTCTCCTGCCTCAGCCTCCCGAGTAGCTGGGACTACAGGCGCCCGCCACCACACCTGGCTAATTTTTGTATTTTTAGTAGAAACAGGGTTTCACCATGTTGACCAGTCTGGTCTCGAACTCCTGACCTCAGGTGATCAGCCCGCCTTGGCCTCCAGAGGTGCTGGAATTACAGGTGTGAGCCATCACACCTGGCCCCCTATATTCTTATAAAGAGAAATATACATCTAATTATTTCATTAAATTCAGGTATAATTTTTTGGTAATAACTCCATAGATGTTACAAGTCACCTTATGTTGCAACACCTCAAATATTACATAGTATCAGAATCTCAATGTTAATGATGCTAATGTATGATCACTTGATTAAAATGGTGGCTCAAGTTGTCTCTAATGTAAATGGACTTTTTTTTTGTACTTAGAAAGTAATCTCTGCTCTAACATACATTGAAGGGATGTGAACTATGTTTTTCTCTGGATTTTTCCATATTAATTCCAGTGGCTATTTTGTGTGAAATTTTATAGTCATAACTTTCTAGTCTAATCATTTCTTTTATATGATTAGCTGACGATCTTTTTTAAGCAAGTGATATCCTACATCAAATATGATCTTTCTTAAATGCGGAATGCATGCTTATTTCCTCCAACAATGAATCTTCTGAGTAAACATGTGGTGTCATAGATGCGTCAAATGGTTTAAAATGAGTCTTTATTAGCCCATTTTTGGATATTACTATAGACTCATTGGTTTATATTTTTAAATATTTTACAATACATTAGACTTATCTAATGCTTAAATATGTGTTTTGAGTACCAAGAATCTTGCCTCTGGATCCTTTTTAAACCTTCTTTCATCTGAGCCTTCCTTGTTCTCTAGGCCAAGGTGCTAAAGGCTTTTCTGGAACTCTTATGGCCCAGAACTGGCATAAACCATTTATCCTAGCAATGTTAGATCTTATTAGGGGAAAATTATACTATGAAACAAAATCTGTAAACTACACGTATTTATTTCTATTGGGGTATTTTTGCATCTAAACCTCGTCCATGAAAAAGGTTTGGAAAAAAATACACCTTTTAAAATTCACAGACAATTAGACAGATAAATAAAGCAATTTAAAATTAAATTGAGTATGTAGAAATTATTTAATTTGTTATCTGTAGTCCTTTTAACATATACCAATTTATGTGATCATTAATAACATGAATAGATTTACTTATCATGTCATGCAACATCACTTATGAAGTGTTTATTAAACTATAATTAAAATATCAATAATAAAAGACTGCTGAGAAAACTTTAGAATTTCTTTGTAGTTTTTTTCTTCACCCTTATATTCCATTAGGGATATACAGTAAGATCATATTGTTTAAAAATCACTTGAGAAGACTTGTATGCTTTTCTGTGTGTTTAGATCACCATTCTGATACATATCAATCAGATGTCACCCTCTCTTGCCAGTTAATAAACAGAATCCTTTCTTATGTCACTCTTGAGAGCATTTAACCTAGAAAAATTCTAATTACTCAAAAAATGTTTTCCTTAGAGGTTTGCTACTATACAAAATTACAGAATCCCATCAAGAAGACTATCATTCTCATTTATTAGCTGAAGTCCTATTATACTTATTAAGTGATTTCTGATTTAATAGAAACATAAATTCAGAACAATTAAGTTTAGTGATGTCCTTTCTGTAATAGAGTTTTTCAATCTGTACTGTTCAGGTTCAGCCATCTTTTATTTTAGCGAATGAGCCAATATACTGCACTTTCTTTCATGTGATTGCCTTGTGGTAATCTGTTTTCCTTCTTTGTTGCAGTTTGACTGCCTTTAACATCTTCTTTGTCTAATAATTGCCTTTAATATGCAAATATTTTTATAAACACATTTGTCAAAAGTTAAAGTAGATGTTAGGTGTAAAATTACAAACACACTGTCACTCTAGGAAGCTGGCACAAAAGAGAGTTGGGATGGAATGTGTACTTAAGCTATGATTTTTACTATTAGAAAAATATATAAGAGTATGAAAAAGCTGAAATATGACTCAATAACATTCTAATTAAATTTAGATCAAACTGATTAATAATTATGCAATAAAGTTTCCTTCTAATGTACAGACACAGACATACACATATATCCAGGTGTTCTGGAAAATACATGAGGCAAGACTCTACAGAAATTATGCTGAAAGAAAATAAAGCAAAATATGATTACTGACTAAGTCTAGGTAGGGTGATTTATTTGTACTTTTAAAAATTCTATTTATATGTGTTTTCTGTAACCTTTGCAGTAGGTACATATTACTTAATAATACAAAGGGGTTATTAATTGACCAATTAAGACAAAGTCACTTTGTTAGCAATGTTAAAATGCAAGGATAATGAATGACTAAAATAACAATTACACTATTTTAATTTCTCAGACACTGTTGCAATACTAATATATAAAAAGAAAAGACACTGTCAAGTGAGCTAGTACAACTAAAAAAGAGAATTCTAAAGAACCACTAATATAATAACTGTTTTGTTCTACCTAATGGTTTTAACCTACCTATGTTTGAGTTTTTAAAATATTTATCTGACTACTGTGGTCTGAATGTTTAAGTCTCCTCAAGTGCATAAATTGAAATCCTCATCTTCATCCCCAAGGTAATGGTTTTAGGAGCTGGAGCCTTTGGTTAGGTTATGCGGCAGAACTTTCATGAATTAGATTAGTACTTTTATAAAAGAGGCTTGAGAGGGACCCCTGGCACCTTCTGTCATGTGAGGTTAGAGCGAAGAGAAGGCTGTCAATGAGGAAGTGGGCCCTCAACCATACACCAAATCTACCAGGACCTTGATCTTGGACTTCCCAGACTCCAGAACTGCTTTGAATCCACCAGTCTATAATACTCTCTTACGGTGATTCAAAGAAAATAAGATATTATTATTCAGTTTCTTTAATCATAGACAATACAGTTAAAGTATATTTGTTGTTAGAATCATAGAACCTGAACATTTACCACCATATTTTTTCATAATAATAATCATCATTTGAATAGAAAATTTTGAAGTATTAATTTTAAAACTAATTTTTTGTCTTTTTATCTTGAAAGATATGATTTAAAAAGTTAACTACAAGGAAGAAATTAAAAGAAAAATAATAGGTTCCACACTGAGCACTGTCTCTTCACTAGAGCAAATCCTTGTTACGATGAGCAAAATTTTCATTAATTTTCCATTATAATAAAAAGAGCTAATTTATTCATTATGTTTACAAGAGAATGTTAATTAAGACACATAGCTCAATTTGAGGCTTTTTGCTGTTAAATTGTACATGTAGTCTTCTCTCAGTCTTCTATCTTTGAAGTTATGTTAATGTTCTACTTAATGTTTTAACTCAATTGAGATAATCTATCTATCTAATGGCTCTTTCTATCTCTTCCCATTCTTTCTTTCTTCATACTTATTTCAATTATTTTTCAGGTTTTCATACAATCACAACGATTTCTCCTAAGCTTGTCTTCTAATCCATGAATAAGGGATATCTTTCCATTTATTTAGGCCTTCTTTAATTTTTCTCAGTGATGTTTTGTAGCTTTCAGAATGCATGTTTTACACTCTTATAGATAAATTTATCACTGAGTATTGTATTCTTTTTGATTATCTTATAAATAAAATTATGTTTTACATTTTATTTTTTGATTGTTTACTGCTTTTGTATGGAAATACAATTGATTTTTCTATATTGTATATTCTACTGAGAGAGGAGGCAGTTAGAAGCCAGCTAGGCAGCTAGAGAGGGAGGGTCTCAGGAGAGGAAATACATCTGTGGAACCGCACCTGCACCACCCTTGTAGTTAGTGAAAAGAAATGTAGCTAAGAACTTTCTCTAGCTAGGATGTTTGCTCGGAAGGGACTGTCCCAACCTAGGTGCAGGGACAATAAATGAACTGAAATGTCTTTAACTTAACCCAGATAATTCCTCATTATAATATCATTAACATGACATTAGTTTTGTGGTTTTAGTTCCCTGTGGGTTTCATTTAGGTACTCATAATCATGGGTAATAACCAAGATGGGGTAGCTATAGCCAATCCCAGGCATGTGCAAATGCAGCACTCTTATGGGGGAACTTTACCTGTCCTCTTAGTATAGAACCCACAGAGGACTTACTTGTCTTTGCCACATAAAAGACCCAGAATTCAGCCCCACTTCTGGCAACTCTCTTTGGGTCCCCTCTCACTGCTGAGAGCTTTTCTGTTGCTTAATAAATCCTACGCTGCCTTACTCACTCTCCGGTGTCTGCGTGTCTTATTGTTCTTGGTTGTGGAACAAGAACTCAGACCTAGCCGAACTAAGGAGTACGGAGACTCAACCTTGTTGAGAATATTAGTTCCAAATTTTTGTTGGATTTCTTAGAATTTTTTTATAAGAAAACTTATCATCTGAAATAAAGCTAGTTTTAGTTTATCCTTTCTAATCTAAATACCTGCTATTTCTTTCACTTGCCTAATTGTTGTGGCTAAAACCTCTAGTGCAATGTTAAATACAAGTGGTAAAAGAGGACATCCTTTTCTTGTTTCTTATCTTAGAGGAAAGCCTTTAGCCTTTCACATTAAGTATGAGGTTATGGATGATTTTGTTTATGGATGCCCTTTATGATGTTGAACATTCCAAATTAGTTGAGTGTTTTGTCTAAAAATGGATACTAAGTCTCAAATGCTTATTATGTTTCTGTGAGATAATGTGATTGATAAATACCTTTATTATATCAATATGATACATTGATTTCTGTATGTAAAATCAAACGAATTGCTGGGATAAATCATACTTGGTCATGATATGTAATTCTTTTGATATGCTGCTGGATTAGATTTGCTAGTATTTTGTTAAGGGCTGTTTGTGTATATATTTACAAGAGATCATGGTCTGCAGTTTTAACTTCTTGGAATGTCTTTGATTTTATTATCAGGCTAATGCTGCCCTCACAGAATTAATTATAAAATAGCTCATTTTTTTCTAGTTTTTGAATGAGTTTATGAAGACTTGTTATTAATACTTTTTGAATGTTTAGTAGCATTCAGCAGTGACACTACCTGGTTTGGACTTTTTATACGGAAAGTATTAAAACTATTAATTCAATTTTATTGTTGTATTTGTGTTATTATTGCCTATTTCTTCTTGAGTAAGCTTTAGTAATGTACATCTTTCTATGGATTTTTATACATTTCAATTAACATCTAATTTTCTGTTTTATAATTACTCATAGTATTCACATATACTTCTTTTCTTTTAGGTAAAGTCAGTAGTGATTAACTCACCTAAATATAAAGGATGTCTTTTATTTATTATTTTAGTAATTTGAGTCTTATTTCTCTCTCTCTCTCTGGATTATGTTTATCTATTTTGCTGATTTTTTTCAAGAAGCCAATTATTGATTTTTAAAAGCTATTCTCTAGCAGTTTTTCCTAATCTCCATTTAATATTCATCTTGCTCCTGTTATCATCTTTATTATTTCATTATATCTGGTGACTTGAGGTTTAGTTTGTCATTGTATTTTCCAGTCTCTTAAGTTGGAATGTTATTTTGTATATTTTAGATACCTTTTAAATGTGGGCATTTACAGATATAATGTTTATATATTTTTCTTTGTATTCCCTCTTACTAACTTGTGTAGTTTTCTTCCACCAATACAACTTGGTCTAACTTGTCTTCATTAGGATGTAAGTTGTCAAACACATATTGTATATGTTATTGCCTTAGCATACAAATATATGCACATTGTTATATACAATTGCTTTTTAAATAAGTTAAGAAGAAAAATAAGAAATATGCAATCAGAATGTCTTCTACAATTATCTACACAACTATCTTTTATGTAACTCTTTGACCTTCTATGTGGATTCTATGTGGATTATCATCTAGAATCACTTGCATTTCTATGTTGATTCAGATTATCATCCGGTGTCACTTGCTTTGGACTCAAATAATTATTTTTAATATGACATACCCAGTAGCAGTGAAAACTCTTAGTTGCTGTTATCAGATGTAAGATTCTATTCTGACAGGAATTTTGTCTGTCATCTTTTTGCATTTGTCATACCACTGCCTTTTGGACTCCATTGTTTCTGTGAGAAATCAGCTGTTACTTTAAAGTTCGTTGTATGTGACAAGGCATTTGTCATTTGCTGCTTTCAAGATTTTCTGTTTCTCTTTGTCTTTCATATTTTCACTATAAAGTGTGCCTTGTGGATCACTTTATGATATCCCCCTTGGAGTTACTTGAGCAGCTTGACTGTACACATCAAAGTTTTCAGGAAATTTGGAAGTTTTCAGCCTTTAGTTATTTAATGGATTAGGAATAGCACTTCAAACTCTTTTGTTCTGTTAAGTACAACATTTTGACCACTTCAAAGACAGTGTGTTGCTTGATTTATATTTCTGTGTATGAGTCACACTTTCCTGTGTTCTTTTTCAATGTCTCTTGATTTTTCATTAGAAACTATTTGTTATGTCTTCTTTGTTTCTTTATGATTTTAATAGATTCTTTCAGTGCAGTGTCCATCCTTTGCAATATCAAGCCAATGATGTTGCGCCTCAGACGTTGCACCACCTTCCTGATACCCCATACGTTGTGGATGACTTTTTGCCTGGTTAGACTTTTGTAGTATTACAGCCAGTTATTTTTCTCTAATGATTATTAGTTGATTGCTGTGTTGTCTTTGACAATGCCCTGGTGCATAAAATGTTATACAACTGTTCAATTAAGTCAATCTCCTTTGCAGAGGTAGTCTTTGGGCCTTACTCCAATGCTAGGAAGGTTCTTTTTAACTGCATTTCCTTTCATTTTCTCTGATAAACAGCTGGCTAGTCTATAATTTCTCTTGGTGCTCTTAGGGACCTGTCAGTCTCCTCTTAATTACTTACCACCAACATCTCCATTTTCTGACTATGTCCTTAGGCTTGGAGTTTCCCAAGATCTGCTCCAAATGAAGTTAATTACTATATGAAAAAATGCAGATTTATTTGCAATTATGGCCTAATGCTCCACTTGGGAAGAACCAATGTGGTACTGCCCCAGAACTGGGTGCATGGACAGTGGCCCCTTTGTCTCAGTGATGCTGATACTCTGAAAGCAGGGTACTGACATGGATGATAACCCAGTTACTTGACTTGCTCTTCCAAACATAGAAAAACTGCCATATGAGCAAGTTGCGATAGGGATTCATCTCTGGGATTCTCAACCTACCACAGCTGGTATAGTCTTTCACACTAGGAGTAGGGTCTGGGTAGATGAAAGCAGACTGCTCTGCTGTATCCTGCTCTGCTTGCCTGGAATAAAGCTGCAGCACAAATCTGGGGAAGGAGATAAGAAATTCTTGTTTTCTTCTTTCACCAGAAATAAACTATTATATTGGCAGCTGCTGGAGACAGAAAGCCCTGTCTTCAGACTTATACCTACCCAAAGTATAGCTTCCATCACACTGCCAGAGAAGGAAGGAAGTGGCTCAACACTCACACACTCTAATTGTTTTTACGAGATTTAGTAAGAACAAATGAATATTTTATCATCAAAGTTTCATTATTGAACAAATATTCTTCATTTGTTGTTTGCTTATAGGACAATTTCAGAAATGTATTATTAATTTTCAGAAGTTAGTAGTTGTTTCACTGGAGAGAGCGTTCATGAAAAACCGTCCTCTGCCATTCTGGAAGTGCTTCTCTCCAAATTACATTTAATACATTATTTTCTGAGGCAATGAGTTAGTCTAAGTACAGGCATACCTTGTTTTATTGTGCTTCATTTTATTGTGCTTGGAAGAGTGTCCACTTTTACAAATTAAAGTCTCATGGAAACCCTGCATTGAGCAACTCTATCAGTGCCATTTTTCAAACAGCATATGCTCACTTTATTAGCGTGTTTTGTTTTTTTTTAACCAACAAAGTATGTTTTTATTTAAAGTATCTATTTTCCATTATACAAAATGTTATTGCATACTTAATAGACTACGGTAAGTATAAACATAACTTTTATGTACACCGAGATACCAAAAAAATTAATGTGACTCACTTTATTATGTTAACTTTATTGTGGTAGTCCAGAACTGAACCTGAAATATCTCTGAGGCATACTTGTATCTTGTATTTTGATGCCATATGTACGTGTTATTCAATGCTAATGTTATATGTTTGCTGTGGCCACCTGGGCAAGTAAAGCACAATAATCTTATCCTTTTTGTTACTTAATTTTTAATAAAAACAATTATAAAGATATTGGTATCATTCCTTCAACAACATTGGTGTCAATAATAAATAAAATAAAACACATATTTTCCTACTGTGTCTTGAAAGAAGAAAATAAAATTTAGTTACCTAGTCTAGAATTTTCTTCATTAAAGTAAATGTATTTTTCTTCCTCCAGGAAATCTAATGGAAACTTAGAAAAAGAATGAAAACTCTATCCCTAGTTTTCTAAGGAACACATATGGCACAGAGACAGGACTGGCAGCAAACAAAGATAAATGAAGAGTCACCCTCAGTGAAATCCTGACTGCTGCTTTAAGTTCTCTACCACATTTTGGATTTTAGTGTTAGGATTATTTCTGAAGGAGTCTTCTGAACCTCATGTTACTTACAGGAAAAACAATAGAATTTGATTTACATAAATGTCCTTCTCAAACCCTTTGATCAATGGTGCTCAAGTTCCATTTTATCTGTATACCCATAGTTATTCAATTGTTTAACTCATTTTCTGAGCAACCAAGTTCTCAGTGCAGAGAACTCAATTATGTTGTTTGCTTTTCTGATCCACCATCTTCTGTGTGCACTCATGATAGGATGAACATGGGATGAAATCATATTTGTAATGAATTATAGAATGATCCCTGAAGGTAGAGTACTTGTAATTATATTTATATATCTTTTGTGGTTCATATCTCATAAGCGATAGATCCATGCTTATCATGTTAATCGTGTTATTCATTGGATTTAGGATCTGACTTGCCTCCACCGGAGACTGCTTCCAAGTCTGATTTTTGCAAGTCACTGAACATTTCTTCCTGGTCGTAAAATATTCATTATTTCAACTAATAGTAATATGGTTTTCTTTCTAATGTATTCATAGCCCATAGCTTTTTGAGCTCTAGACAGACTGATTTGAACCTTTTAAGCAATAAATGAGAAGAATCATTTTTTGAAATAGATAATATTATTTTATTTAGAATAACAACATGCCACTTGGGGAGATATTTTTTGTATATCTAATTGCCACTTGGGGAGTTTTTTTTTTGTATATCTAAAAGTTCTCACCAGAATATACTTTATACAGAACTATTGCAAACAAACTTGGAATCATAAAATTTCGAGGCATACTTTGTGGAAATATACCATAAATTGTGTAAATATCTGAGTATAAAGTGGAGCTGTTTCGAGACTGACTGTATTTAAGTAATGGAGATGCATATAAAACTTAGATTTTAAATATTTTATTAATCTTGGCATAGTGCATCCTAATTAGGCAGGAAAAGACCTGGAGGGATGGAAAGGTATTCCCACACCTTCTTCTCATGCATATTGTCTTTAGTCATTACTTACAATTATTATTTTTTGTTTGGTGGTTTTTGGTTTCAAAGGGATAATTACTTAAAAGGAAAGATACTGACTAAAATATTTGCTTTGTGTTAGTTTAATTTAATGATCTAATATTTGTGTTATTTTATCCATGAAAGCAATACTTCTGCCTGCAAGTATCTAAACCAGTCATATATTTCTACCTCACCTTCTTTGGTAAACAGGCCTTCATTATTTTATTCTTGATCAGTTGAAATTTAAACTGAAATAAAATACACTTATTCAAAATATTTAAATTATATAAAAACAAAAATATTTAGAAAGACTGAGATCATTTATAGTATCCTTAGTTTTTCTCTAGAGGGTTTAGCAGCAGGTTGCTTCTAATTCGGACTTTATGTAATTATAAAATTCTGAAAAAAATGTTAACTAGAAACTATCTTGTGTTTATGTTTAATTACTTTAATAATAATTGTTGTGCTTCATTCATTATTGAGGAAAAATTGTAAGCCTTCTTTCCTAGTTCTCACATTATTTTACCAACTACGGGGCATTATGGCAATCATACCCTACTGAGGTTGAGTATTAAAAAATAAATATTTAAAATTAAAATACAGCTTGTCACATAGAATGAGCACCTGATGCCATTTATGAGGAACAGGTGGATGTTTATTCAGGCATGTTTTATGTACCAGCAGGAATTATTTCAATTAAATATCAATGTCACTGCCTTTAGAGAAGACTGAAACAAGAGCAAAGGATACACATACACACAGACACACACACAGGCATGTAGGTGACACAGGAACTTAAGGTATCTGAACTGAACCAGATTTACAAAAAAGATTGGTTCAATTTGTCTAGATTGCCTAAAGGAAGAGGTAGTTGCCTCTAAAATAGATCAAGAGATTTTGATCTTTGTTGTTGCATTGAAATGTGCGATTCTGCAGGTGCTATTATTCTTTGAAACTTTCTTTGGGTGAATTGAACATAATATTCTTAGGTGGGTTGGGAAATAAAAATGACTAGGAAAAACATGTGTCTTTGCATTCAGTATATAGTGTCTTGAATTAGCAAGTTATCTAAGTTGTGTTAATGGAGAAAAATACGCAAGATAAATATTTGGGTTATCACAAAGGCAAATATTCCTAATTAGTGAGAGTGAGGGAGGAGAAGGAGACAGAGAAAAAATATGAATAACTTATTCAAATATACTTCTATTTTTAAAATACTCCAAGATATTGTGATCTGTAAATGTGTATATATGTTTTCACATCAATTATTGCAACTTAATATGGGAAAAATTAAGGCTTGTTTTAATACCAAAATACCACTCAACAACACAGTACATGAGCAGCTGTTCACACTGAATGATGTAGATAATTAATCTAATTTTCCCTGTGCTTCATTTTGTGTTCTATTAGTTTTCTTATTCAAACTTTCAAGTCACAAATCTGATTTAAAACCTCTTAACTGGTCTAATGCATAATGTGTTCTCTCTGCATTCAGTGTCTAGCAGTAAGCCGCAAAGCTGGAATACTAATTTGTTTTGGAATGTGAAAAACACTCAATAATCAAATAATAAAATCCTGGATCCACCATTTCTTAATGACACGACCAAATGAGTCCAATGCCTTGAAATGTGAGCATAAGTTAAAAAATAGAACAAAGAAGAATATAACAATGTGAATGAAGAAAGGAGAACCATGCTAACAAGAACACCATATTCAATATATTTGGTCTCTATTCAAAATGGTCCCAATTCAGAATACAAGATTTTTAAATGAGCAAGACAAATTTTGATTAACAATATTAATGTTGCTATTTTAATATTTGCTACTCTCTATCTTCTCTCTCTTTTCCTATTTCTCTCTTCTTCTGTCAACACACTCATGATTATCTGAATTTACATTTAATATTCGAAAATTATTTTCTGTAGTCTCTTTGAAAAAGTCTGTATTGATTTTTCAAAACAAAAGAGCTTTGTTCCCTTTTCTTTTCTTGCAATGTTTGTACCTCCTTTGGCAAAATAAAGTTTATTTCCATACTTTCTCTTGAATTCAAGTAAATAAAAAAACACACACACACATTTCCTAAAATGAAGAAATAGGTTATGTCAGAAAAATTAACCATGTACTGAGTGATTAAACTATTTTGTGTAGAAATGTCATTTCTATTTTGTTTAAATGTAATGCAATTTACCAGACCATAAAGAACTCCTTAGATGAAATGGCTGTTTTCCAGGCAATGCTACTCTGCTGCTGATTGCAATATATTCTGACATCTATGACAGTTTTATAATTCTTCTATTCTGTGCTCTGAAGTGTCCCTACTTTGCTGAAGGTTTTCTCCTGGGAAAAGGCACTACAGTTTTGTGGACTGAAAGGACAATAAACAGTTTGATGGGAAAACAATATCACTTTAGTCTTGTTGCTAATTTATTTTATAATGTAGAAAAATATTTCAAAAGACTTTTACATTAAAATTTAGCGGACATTTTGTTGTTTATGTGAATACCTTAACCGAAACAATGGGAAGAAAATCATGACGAAATAAATAAGGATGCACCATAACTTTGATAGCTCTTCTGTCCAGTGCAAAATATGTTAGAACAAGTTATATTATGAGAACTATGCTCAAAATACTGATATCACCATGGGTCTTACTGCAATACTTTTAATAAAGAAGATCTTAGACTAAACAACATAAATGTATGATTGGGACAGTAGTTTGAGTAGTTTATTGTCATGTTGAAGGATTTTCTTATAATATATTCTCTTAGCGCATGTTTAATAAATAATATCTAGATCACATTTTAAAAAATTCTATGAATTTTCCAGTGACAAGTACAATATTTCCATTACAATAAATGCAGCAATACCAAAAATAAATTTTTATTTAAAATATATTATATTAAATAACAATAAGAGAACATTCACAGAAGAGCAAAATGTGGCCTATAATTTCTAATGGACAGAATTACAAAAAAAGAGTTTATAATGTTATCAAAAAATGAATCAAATAATGTTATCAAAAAAGATCAAAAAAGAAAAAATGGGTGTGTGCATGACACGTGTTTGTATATTCAGTATTGAAATAAGTTATAAAAAATTTTGGAATGTGCAAATACACAAATATTATTGTGATCTTAATGTATAGATCAATGGAAAATATTTTAGTTAGATTGGTATTTAATTTGAAAAAAGCTATTTCAAATGAAATTTTAAAATTCATAATTATTTAATAGTGACTTAATTGTATTCCAAAATAATGGTGCAGTAAATTTAAAGAACATGAAACATTAGATTGATAACTTTTTTATTACCGAAGTCTGAATTTTTAAAAATAAATTTTAAAAATGAAAAGTAGCCACAATCGATTATTTGAAAGAAGAATTATTTTTCATGCAAAATTAACTGACTGCGTGGAGCTCAGAATAAAAAGAAATACTAATGTAAGTGCACATTTGTTTAGTGATCTGTAACTTTCAAATTTTATATCTACTATTGTATCCCCCTTACATGAAATATTTATATAAACAAACGTGTTTTTAGATTAGTAACAAAATTATTTTCTTGTGGGCAGTACATATAATTTGTAGGCAGGAAATATAAATTGATAAAGAAGAAAAGTCAATTTTAGTAAAATTGCAAGTATATAAATATTGTAACTGTTGGATATTCCTGTTAATTTGCATTTTTTCAAATTATAGCCTGTTCTCTTATATTTTTTTAAAAGACTGGAAAATGGCCTAACAGCACCAGTTTTTCTAGCATTGACTTGTTTAAAGATCTAAGACAGGAAATCATAGCATTCCCATAATCTACCAGATGCATTACAAATTCTTATACAGTAAAAATTCTTGTCTGCTAGTTCCATAATTCTATCATCTGTGTTATACAGATCTGTGGGTCTGTTTTAATTTGCTGTTTGTGTTATTTTTTGGTTAGAGATCACATCCTCCTGCTTTTTGCCTTTACAATAGCATTTGATTAGATACTGGACACAAATTATACCTATTGTACAATCTCTGTAGATGTAATGCTAGAAGACACAACACTTATTTAACCATAATATTCAGGGTGTGCCTAGCTCTGTAAGTTGAGGAATTAATTGAAAAAGAAGGAGAAAGAAATATTTTGGAGTAATGAAAGTATTTTATGACTTAATTTTGTTGGTGGTTATCTGGGCGTATGAATTTGTCAAAATTTTTAAAAGATGTAGACATTCAAGCCACAGGTGTTTTACCATATGTGAAATATATATAAACAGAGTTTAGAAAAAATACACACACACATATACACATACAGTTGCATACTTTTGACCTTAAGTCATCTTGTTTTAGAAGGCAGAGTAGCATGTCAGAAGATCCCAGGCCTTGAAGTCATATGTAACAGGGTTCAAATCAACCCTTACATTTGTAAAAGTTAATCACCATCTTCAAGTCTCTGTTACCTCATCTAAAATGTTGAGAATGATGACTACATCTCAGACTGATTGTGAATAATAATTTTATGTAGAACATATATCACATAAGATATACTCTGAAGTATCATCTCCCTTCTCTCTTTTTGGTATACATTCTGATTCTCAGGTGTGATTTAAGTGATAGCAACCATCTACTGATAAGAATGTGAATTACCAGTCAAAATTATGCATTTCTCCATAAATGTAGCATTATATTTAAATTATGTTTTAATTAGTAAACTTAATATTTATATATGCCAAAGCTAGAGTTAAAAGAAAAAAAATACTTCTCAATCTTAGTATGTGTTTGATATTGACCTTTCCTGTAGGGTTAACTGTGGCTCTAATTTTGGGGGTTCAGGATGTTAGTTTACAACTGAGACTTTATTGGCTAATGCTAAACTGTCTTCTGGTTATGCATTCATAGTTATAAACTAGTTCTTAGTTTGTCTCTTCAATATTATATCTCAGAGTGGTTTCCAAAGACTTCTACTGTTCAAAACAAAATCGATGCAGAAAATATAGGCAAACAGGAAAAACACATGTGAGAGTGTGTGCTGGAAGCTCATAATGAAGTATTCATTGAAATCTGCAATTGCTGCAGTCTTTAACATTTGAACAAAGTTTAAGAAGTTATTTAACTATTCCATATAAATTGGATATATTTAGATTTTCATTTTCTTAGGCTATCCCATTTTCCAATAAAAATCATCACTGTGACCCTTCTTGCATCATTAACTGACATCTAAAATTCATCTGCTGGTGCTATAATAAACAGCCTAGGGAAAGGCTATATGGGAATGCATAGCACATTAAGTAAGCATCTGAACACAGAGAACTAATAATTTTATTTTATACTTTCCTAGACAGCAAATTGTTTAAAAGAAATAAACAAGTTTAAAGGGAGTTAATGAAAACTGTATCTACAAAAGAAATATACTATAAAATACATATCAACAATTTTATTATGCAACATCTTTTTATCTCTACCTATGATTCCCTAAATTATTTCTCAGCAGACTCTCTCTAAAGATGTAAATAAAATAAATAAAAATCCCAAGTAAAATCGTACATTTATTTTCTTATTAATCTCTCATAAATATGCAAAGGCGTATGGCTAGTAAAGATTCATTTTTTCATTCATAATTTTATTAAGACTAGCAAATAGCCACTGGGCTAACTTAATACTAAATACTAACTTAATACTAAAAAGAAGCCAAATGAAATAAACTATTAAAAGTAAATAATTAAACCTGGTGTTTAAATAAGCAATGTGAAAACATACATCTCCAAGTTTATGTATATAAAAGTGTTTAAAATGTTTTATTATCATGTATAGAATATAAGAACATAAGTATAGGACATAAACAAGAGACAATGCTTAATCATTTTCTATAATATGTAACCATTTAAATATGAAAATCTAGAAATCTTACGCATTATCACCATTCTTGTATATCTCTGTGTGTGTGTTCCTTTATCAGTCACAGTTTTCAAGTACTTGTCATTTTCCATGACAATTTGTCTGACATCTTGTAAAAATATGCTGAGAAAACACTGAAAAGAGTTTCAAAATGGATTGTTTACTTTTACTTATAATAAAATAAGTTTATTTAACTTAATTATGAATGGATTTGATATTCACTATTTTGACATTGTGAATAAAATAACACAAATGAGAAAGAAACCATATGCTTAAAATGCTTATTGGTTCATGTGGTAGGAACTTTGAATGCAAAATATGAAACAAGATCCAAAGGGGAAATAAGCATACATTTAAGAAAGTACTGTATCAGTGGCTTACCCATACTAATATCTTTGAGAATAAATACATATTCAACAACTTAGTAAAATTTTTGTTAATTTTAGAAAATTTGAATAGTTTCACATGTACTTACAAAACCAGCTAATATTTATTTATTTATTTAATACTTATACATTTATTACTTATAACAGGAAACAGGCTTTCAAAATGAAGGGAGCAAGGTGACTAAACATGTCAGAAGTGCACAGGGCAGGCTATACAGGAGAGAATATCAGGAGCAGTATAGAACCACACAAGTGCAAGGAGACATCTCTGCCACAGTGGAGAGTCACTGTCTCTACGGAGAGCCTAAGCCCTCTTTTAAAGACTTCCAACTGATCTAGTCAGGTCAGCCAAAGATAATCCCTCCCAACTGATTAATTCAAATACTCCCAAGATAATCCCCTAACTTAAAGTAAACTAATTAGAGAATTTAATTATGTCAAAATTCCTTTCCATTAGTAGTATAATGTAACCTAATCATGGAAGTAAAAATCTATCATGTCCTACCTATATACAGTTGAGGGGTGTATAAAGGGCATGTTTACAGGTCGTAGGAAGCTGGGGTGTCATTTTAGAATTTTGTTACAGAAGAATGCAAAGATGGTTAAGCTGTAGAAAACCAATCAATGTAATTAACTCTGTTATTGACCCAAAATAGAAAAAAATTATCAAATGTTTCATTATTTTTAAGCATTTGATATATTTTGTAATAAAAAGAAACTTTCCTAATTTGATAGATAGTGCCAATTGTTACCTGGAATATAAAAAGTGCTTGTAGTAGTGTACTATAGAGAAACCATTCTAGACAGTGCCTGGAAGACCTTAGTCAATGTAAGCAGAAGGAAAATTTCTAAGTCTGAAATCTCACTTTTGTACGTGTTTCAGGTAAATTCTCAAACAAATCCATAATACAATATAATGATGTTCATTCTTATTGTTTATTTGTTTTTGTTTGGTTTGGTTTTTTTGGAGGTAGCAGGGAGTGAAGGCTGTGTATTTATTCATCACAGGGGAAACAGGTAAGTAAAATTATATATGAATGTAACAGAAGTAACAGCACAATGCTAAGTCTTACCTTAAAAATTACCAGTGATAAAAGTAAGAAAATAATATAGCAGAGTATAACTTATACAATTAAAAATTCATTTATTTAAAGAACACTGCATATTTTATGAGAATTCATACAGATCAGAATAAACAATACATATTAACTATATCAGACAAGAAGAAAGAAATTATGAAATACTATATAAAAAACTAAGAAAATCTGAAGATGGTATGAGCATTTGTAAAAATAATGCATACATATTTGTTCATTAATTATTACAAATGTACCATACTCATATAAAATGTTAATAATAGGGAAAACTGCATGTGGAGTATATAAAAACTCTTTGTACTCTTTTTGCAACTTTTCTATGTATCTGTTTTTCCTTTAATTATTAAAAAGTAAAAAAACAAACCCCACAACTTTATTTATGTCTATTTCTGAAACCAACACAGGCAATCTTAATAGAAGGTATACTTCATCACAGTAACATAACAGTAACATTAATATTGAACTACTTTATTTGGTGCTATATGGGATCTTAATTATTTTGAGTCAATATCTACTTATTTTGATACCCTTATATTTATTTCCTTAAGCTATATATATATATATATATGTATATTTACGCATTTTAATCCCATTTTAGAAAACAGGAAAATGAGATCCAACTGATTAAATGATTCACAAAAGATAAATACAGCTTCCTAAGTGAAATGCTATGACTAGGTGACAGGTGAGCCAAGTTGTTGATTAACTTTGGACAGTGGGACATCTGGGCTGAATCTGGAGCACCAATAATCAGCAGACCACCCCAAAGTGTGACCTACCATTATTTTTATTTATTATGTGTTCCATATTGTGTGTTCCATAATAAGAAAAAGAATTATAAGAATTTCACTATATCAGCCTACCTTCATGTTCACATAAAACATTAAGAACAAACAAAAAACAAGCAAAACTTCCTTGAGTCCAGTGTTTATATAAAGGACACCTATAATATGACTGCTGTATACTGCTTGCAAAAATAACTGTTGACATAAATAGAAACACTTTTTAAATGGCTTATGATTGCTATCCTTGGTACCTGCATGGTATCCAAATTGTCTGTCTATGCTTCAGGAATTCTCTATTTTTGAAGCAGGTAATGAATTTTAATTTACAAGTTGAATGCTGGTTACCAAGGCTCCCTTGCAGCTATGGTAATGAATTGAGGCTTGGATAATCAGATGCAGCTGATGGAGAAACAAAAGCCAGTGGTGCAGAGACATAAAAACCACATACATTTTCTAGAATTAATATGTATATTTGCATTGTCTAGTGCTCCGTGTCAGGGGTCTGTGGGGCAAAATGCAGCTTGTCACCAGAGATGAAGGTGGTCCTAGTTTTATTAACAAATGTTGTTGCAAGATACAAAGTAAGGATTTTCACTATTAGTCTCATTTTTTCGCCGGACTTTGGGTTGTTAAAGGAATGGAGGTAACAAACATGATTGGACATAAGAGAAGATATAATACAACAAAAGTTTCTCTATTAGAATGGGGAAGTTACGTAGTTAGTGGGGTATCTGCCCCTGCGTTTCTGATTGCATAATGGTTTCTGCCTTCTTCATGTGACTTTTGAAGCCTCATAAGGGTCACAGCAAGTAGAATTCTCACATGCAATCTTTACTGTATCATCAGTATTCTTCTATTATGAGAAATCTTTTTCTTTTCCATGTATCTGAATGAATTTTCTAATGATGAAAGCATGTTTTAATAATAAAATCTTTCAAGCCAGTGATGATTCAAATGCTTAATATTTGATCTTGTCAGCATGCCAGAATGTTTTAAAAAATGAAAAGTACATTTCAGATCATTATAGAAGAGGTTTTAGGTTGATGGCATGATATTTTATCTTCAAATGGAGGAAATGCCCAAGAGTAAGCAATTTTCAAAATGTATAGCCCAACAAAGATTGGAGCATATGAAAGAATTGTTACACTGAACTATGATGAATAGTGTCTAGCTATTCTGATTAATGGACTGTTCAGAAAGATGTGCATCTGGGAGCATTGAGTTTAAAATTAAATTTGAGGAATTCCTAAGTTCTAATTTCATATCTTCAAACAGTAAGACTGTAATTTATGCAAGCTTTGGTAGACTTTTTTAAGCAGTATTTAAGATGAGCAGTGTCAATTTCACAGGAGAATAACAGTGAATTTACTGTGGGCTCATTACCTCATAGAGGCACCTGAAAAAGGAAAAAAAAGTCATCTGCTTTTTTGGCATTCCATAAATACAGTATTTTTTAAATTGACTTATTTTTGTCCACTTACAAGTGCTTCTTATGTATAAGCACTATTTCATATCACAGTGTATGCTTGCCAAAATAGCTAAAAATTTGGCATCATTCATTAATTTTCTACAATTCACGAACTGGGTTTGATATTATTTGAATTTAACATTTTTCAAAAAATACGTTCATATAGTCTTAGTTCTATTTATTTTTTACATGTGTTAATATTTGCAAACAAAAATAAAAAGTCAAGAGATATTTGCTTAAAATTAATGTTATGGAACTCTTAAAATGTAGTGTAAAAAATAAAAAATTACATAAGTATATGTAATATTTTGCTTAAGAAACTACAAATAGATTAAAATAATGTGTAACCAATTGACTTATGAAGCAAAGGAAGGAATTAATGGAATCAAAAGCAACAACAGTAACAAACATCTATAATGACACTTTGTGAGTTAAAGATTCATTTTTTATGAAGAAATAAGATAGTTACATTCTTAATTAAATTCTAATTGAGACAAAATTATTATTTAATGTAAAAAGGACACTCTTGCAAATGAAATTTAAAATAAAAAAGTAAATATTATCTACTTCATTATTTATTAAAAGTTGAGTTATTGAATAAGTATTTTATGTTCTAGTAGAGCTATAATCAAATAACAAAAATATGATGAGAAAAACACAAATGACATACATAATTGAATACATATATACATTCATAGATACATTAAAATGCTCATATTGTTTAATAGAGATTTATGGAAAAATTTTTACATTTACTAACCACCCAAAATGATTTAGTTAATAGTTTAATAGAAAAACAATCCCCCAAATAATTGTATTAAATTAAAAAAAGAAATAACGAGTAGCTTCTGGGAAGATAGTGGCAATATCTTCAGCACAGGTTTTACTCTCTGCAAACCCTGTCTTAAAAACAAAGTGATTAAGCAAGTAGCAAAACATGGATTCCAAGGCAGTGTTAACATTAAATTTGGTGACCAGTCATCTAAAGTAACTCCCCAAAAGAGCATGTTGGAACATGTAGCTGAAAGATATGCATGTTATCTATGTCTACACAAAGCAGAGCAGAGGGAAGTTTAAGAGTCCCTGATAGACCAGAAAACAGGAAACCCCAAAATGTGGAATCAGTACTAGTTTTGTCCATTCCAATAACATCAGAAAGTAGAGTTTGCAATGGGGACAAATGAAGCGGAAGCAGTCTAGCTCCTGTCATCTCTTGAATTGTGCTGCTGAAACTCTGTTTCAGCACAGGAATCCAGAGTAAAGAGAAAGTAGTGGGCAGAAAAATAATTGAGCATGACAGGGAGCATGGAAATGAAGGGAAGAGTAAGACAAGAAAAAAAAGTGGAGGAGGATAATAAAGCCAGGGAATCTGAAAAGCCAAGTTACTAAATATTTTTCAGAACAATATTTTTTTAAATGACAGAAGAGGGTACTCTGTAAAACTAGAAAGGCTATTTTGAAAATTCTTCATTCTGAACACTCAGGAATGTTATTTTTACAGGAAAAAATGAACAACAACAGTATTGTGGTCAAAGCCCATAAAATGTGTTTATAACAAAAATAGAGGGACAGAGTTGCTTTCCTACAGAATATGAGAGCATGCTGGAAACATATCTCACAGAACAGATTTTAAAATGTTAACTTTATTGTAAATGAGTAAATATGTTAATAAAATGATAAAAGGTATGAAAGAACAGAAGAAATAGAATTAGAAAAAAATTAAGAATAAGATAATAGACTTCAGGATAGAATTATATCAAATACCTATACTTAGAAAAAGTCATCAACAAAGTTTAATTTATTATTTATGCCTGACACACATTTTATAATTATATGATATCTTCATACATGGTCTCTATGCTGGCTCATTGACTACTGAGGTGACTATTGCTGCCAGCGACTGTTGAAATTTTATGGACTAGACTGATAATTATTTTTCCTCATTATAAGCAATTGTGATTTTGACTATCTTCTTTACATTGCTTCTCAGTGTCATTGAATAGAAATGAAGAACACAATGTGGGCATACTAATTTCCGTACAATCCAAATGATAAATCAGCAGCATACCATTTTACCAGAGATTTCTAGCTCCCCTTCTCATCAATTATATTGAAGTCGTCATGAACCAGGTCTATGTAAGTCTGTAAAGAGTATTGGTTTGTTGCAACAAATCGCATGCATCCATCTTTAAAGACCAAATAAAAAGGATATTTTGACTGAAATATTGTTTAAAACTTAATATTTAAATCTTAAATTTTGTGTTTTATTTTTATAGTGTGATCATATAACAATAATTTTTATAGGTACAAGTCCAAAACTTACATAAGTTTTTACAGATCTTTGTAATAATTTCTTTGCTATCGTGTAACAAAAATATAGGTATACATCCTTTGATTGTGCTTTGCTTTATTGTACTTTGCAAATATTGCACTTTTACAAATTGAATGTTTGCAGCAACCTTGAGTCGAGCAAGTCTGTGAGTGTCATTTTTTCAAGTGCATGCACACACTTCATGTCTCTGTCACATTTTGGTAATTCTCATAATATTTTAAACTTTTCACTATTATTGTAACTGTTATGGTGAACTATGATAAGTGATCCTGATGTTACTATTGTAATTGTTCTATTTTTGTTTGCTTGTTTGAGATGGGATCTTGCTCTGTCACTCAGAGTTGGAGTGCAGTGGCACAATCATAGCTCATTGCAACACTGAACTCCTGGACCTCAATGATCCTTCTGTATCAGCCTCCCAAGTAGCCATGAATACAAGTATGCAACACCATGCCCAGCTAATTAATATTTTTTTTTTTTTGGTAGAAACTAGGTCTTGTTATGTCGCCAAGGCTGGTCTCCTACTCCTGGTCTCAAGTGATCCTCCCACCTCTGCCTCCCAATGCACTGGAGTTACAGGCATGAGCCACTGTGCTCAGCCTGTAATTGTTTTAGGACTGTACAAATCATGCCCATATAAGATGGTGAGCATAATCAATAAATATTGTGTGTGTTCTGACTGCTCCTCTGACTAGCCATTCCCTCTTCTGTCTCCCTCTCCTAGGATATCTCTATTTTCTGATATATAACAATATTAAAATTAGGCCAATTAATAACCTTACAAATGGCCTCTAAGTGTTCAAGTGCAAGAAAGAGTTGCATGCCTCTTACTTTAAATTAAAAGCTGGAAATGATTAAGCTTAGTCAGGAAGGCACATTAAAAGCCAAGATAGGCTAAAAGCAAGACCTCTTTCACCAAACAGTTAGCAAAGCTGTGAATACAAAGAAAGAGTTCTTGAAGAAAATAAAAAGTACTACTCCAGTGAGCACACAAGAATCATTAAAAAGTGAAATAGCCATATTGCTGTTAGAGAGAAAGTTCTAGTGATCTGGATAGATCACACAAGCCACAACACTCCCCTAAGCCAAAGCTTTACCCAGAGTAAGGTCCTAATTTTCTTCAAGTCTACGAAAGCTAAAATAGATGAGGAAGCTGCAGAAGAAAAATTTGACGCTAGCAGATATGGGTTAATGAGGTTTAATAAAAGAAGACTTCTGTATAATATAAAAGTGCAAGGTAAAGCAGTAAGCGATGATATAGAAGCTGCAGCAAGTTATCCAGAACATCTAGTTAAGATAATTAATGAAGGTGGCTACACTAAACAGATTTTTCAATGTATATCAAATAGCCTTCTATTGGAAGAAGATGCCATCTAGGAATTTTATAGCTAGAGAGGAGAAGTCAACGGCTTCAAAGGACAGGCTGACTCTCTCCTTTAGAGCTATCACAGCTGGTGGGTTTAAGTTAAAGCCAATTATCATTTACCACTCTGAAAATCCTAGGCCCCTTAAAAATTATTCTAAACCTACTCTGCCTGTGCTTTAAAAATGAAACAACAAAGCCTGGATGACAGCACCTCTGTTTACCATATGGTTTATTAAATATTTTCAGAACACTGTTGAGATCTATTGCTCGAAAAAAAATTCTGTAAAAATGCTATTACTCATTGACAATACACCTGGTCACTCAAGATCTCTAATGGAGATGTACAAGAATAATAATGTTGTTTTCATGCTTACTGACACAATAACCATTCTGTAGCCCATGAATCAGGGAGTAATTTTGACTTTCAAGTGTTATAATTTAAGAAACACATTTGGTAAGGCTATAGCTGCTAGAGGTAGTGATTCTTCTGATGGATCTAGAGAAAATAAATTGAAAATATTCTGGAAATAATTCACCATTCTAAATGTCATTAAGAACATCTGTGATTCATGGGAGGAGGTCAAAATATCAACATTGACAGGAGTTTGGAAGAAGTTGATTCCAGCTCTCATGGATGGATTTCAGAGGTTCAAGATTTCAGTGGAGGAAGTAACTACAGATGTCACAGCAGTAGCAAGAGAACTGTAATTGGAAGTGGAGCCTGAAGATATGACTGAATTGCTGCAATCTCATGTTAAAATTTGAAAAGACAAGTTGTTTCTTATGATGAGCAAAGACGCTGACATTTTGAGCAAAGAAGGTGATTTCTCATTGTGAAGATGTTGTAAACATTGTAGGAATGACAACACAGGATTTAGAATATTTCATAAATTTATTTGATAAAGCAGAAGCAGAGTTTGAGAGAATTGACTCTAGTTTTTAAGTAAGTTCTAATTAAGTTCTGTGAGTAAAATGCTATCAAAATTCACTGGATGCTACAGAGAAATATTTCATTAAAGGATCAATCCATGTAGCAAACACCATTGTTGTCTTAAGAAATGACCACAATCAGCCCAATCTTCAATAATCACCACCCTGATCAGTCAGTAGTCATAACACTGAGGCAAGACTCTCCACCAGCAAAAAGGTTATGCTTCACTGAAGGTCCAGATGATTGTCAGACTTTTCTTTTGTTTAACAATACAAAGTATTTTTATTTTTTTATTTTTGCTGCATGGCTTTATTTTATTTTATTTTATTTTTTATTATTATACTTTAAGTTTTAGGGTACATGTGCACAATGTGCAGGTTTGTTACATATGTATACATGTGCCATGTTGGTGTGCTGCACCATCAACTCCTCATTTAGCATTAGGTATATCGCCCAATGCTATCCCTCCCCCCTCCCCCCACCCCACAACAGTCCCCAGAGTGTGATGTTCCCCTTCCTGTGTCCATGTGTTCTCATTGTTCAATTCCCACCTATGAGTGAGAACATGCGGTGTTTGGTTTTTTGTCCTTGCGATAGTTTGCTGAGAATGATGGTTTCCAGCTTCATCCATGTCCCTACAAAGGACATGAACTCATCATTTTTTATGGCTGCATAGTATTCCATGGTGTATATGTGCCACATTTTCTTAATCCAGTCTATCATTGTTGGACATTTGGGTTGGTTCCAAGTCTTTGCTATTGTGAATAGTGCCACAATAAACATACGTGTGCATGTGTCTTTATAGCAGCATGATTTACAATCCTTTGGGTATATACCCAGTAATGGGATGGCTGGGTCAAATGATATTTCTAGTTCTAGATCCCTGAGGAATCTCCACACTGACTTCCACAATGGTTGAACTAGTTTACAGTCCCAACAACCGTGTAAAAGTGTTCCTATTTCTCCACATCCTCTCCAGCACTTGTTATTTCCTGACTTTTTAATGATCACCATTCTAATTGGTGTGAGATGGTATCTCATTGTGGTTTTGATTTGCATTTCTCTGATGGCCAGTGATGATGAGCATTTTTTCATGTGTTTTTTGGCTGCATAGATGTCTTCTTTTGAGAAGTGTCTGTTCATATCCTTTGCCCACTTTTTGATGGGGTTGTTTGTTTTTTTCTTGTAAATTTGTTTGAGTTCATTGTAGATTCTGGATATTAGTCCTTTGTCAGATGAGTAGATTGCAAAAATTTTCTCCCATTCTGTGGGTTGCCTGTTCACTCTGATGGTGGTTTCTTTTGCTGTGAAGAAGCTCTTTAGTTTAATTAGATCCCATTTGTCAATTTTGGCTTTTGTTGACATTGCTTTTGGTGTTTTAGACATGAAGTCCTTGCCCATGCCTATGTCCTGAATGGTATTGCCTAGGTTTTCTTCTAGGGTTTTTATGGTTTTAGGTCTAACATTTAAGTCTTTAATCCATCTTGAATTAATTTTTGTATAAGGTGTAAGGAAGGGATCCAGTTTCAGCTTTCTACATATGGCTAGCCAGTTTTCCCAGCACCATTTATTAAATAGGGAATCAAATTGTCCCTGTTTGCAGATGACATGATTGTATATCTAGAAAATCCCATCATCTCAGCCCAAAATCTCCTTAAGCTGATAAGCAACTTCAGCAAAGTCTCAGGATATAAAATCGATGTGCAAAAATCACAAGCATTCTTATACACCAATAACAGACAAACAGAGAGCCAAATCATGAATGAACTCCCATTCACAATTGCTTCAAAGAGTATAAAATACCTAGGAATCCAACTTACAAGGGATGTGAAGGACCTCTTCAAGGAGAACTACAAACCACTGCTCAATGAAATAAAAGAGGATACAAACAAATGGAAGAACATTCCATGCTCATGGGTAGGAAGAATCAATATCGTGAAAATGGCCATACTGCCCGAGGTAATTTATAGATTCAATGCCATGCCCATCAAGCTACCAATGGCTTTCTTCACAGAATTGGAAAGAACTACTTTAAAGTTCATATGGAACCAAAAAAGAGCCCACATTGCCAAGTCAATCCTAAGCCAAAAGAACAAAGCTGGAGGCATCACGCTACCTAACTTCAAATTATACTACAAGGCTGCAGTAACCAAAACAGCATGGTACTGGTTCCAAAACAGAGATATAGACCAATGGAACAGAACAGAGCCCTCAGAAATACAAAGTATTTTTAATTAAGGTATGTACATGGCTTTTTACACATAATGCTTTTGGATACTTAATGGACTGCATGACTTTTCTATGCACTGGGAAACCAGCAAATATTTGTGACTGACTTCATTGCAATACTGATTTTACCATGGAGGACTGGAACTGAAAACACAATATCTTCAAGGTATGCCTGTACAGAAGAAAGATGAAGTACTCTCATAGCAGCCACTTAAATTGACACAATAGTGTGCACTGGCTTCAAACTTCTAGCTAACTTATTATGGTTTAAGAAGTGATATTGATATTGAAATATTAATAATAATATTGAAATATTAGTAAGTCAGAATCATTGCATATTTATTGTAATTTGGGTAATTATTTAGGTATGATTCCAAATAAATATATTTATAGAAATTATATTGCCTTCCTTAGTACAACCCACTAACTTTATACTTATGTTAGATTTCCTTAGTTATAGATATCTGTTTAAGAATATCAGACTTTTTGTTAAGCTTTTTTGTGCAATTTAGGAAGTGTGACTTCTGTCTGCTTCATGTTCCAACTTCATTTTTTTCTAATAAATTATTCATCAATAAGTATTTGCTAAAAAAAGAAAGAAAAAAGAAATTACTGTATGAAAATGTGGTTAGTTTTAATGTTTTGAAGGCATATGGGCTGATGACATTTTTTTCCCTAACACAAGGGGAAAAGCAGCACACATAATCAATGGGTTTACTTTGTTTTAAATCTGTTGCCTATGTGTAATTTTTGGAGGGAACATAATATATTTATTATAAAATCATCCAGTTACTCTGTTCATACTGCACAAACTTTATGTGCTGCTGCTAACATTACTACAAATCTCTTTCATACAAGCTAAGCCAACATAAATTTTGAAGGAAATTATATATTTTTATTTTAAGTCTATTTTACAGTCTTCAAAATGCAATGAGGTTAAAGTGACATATTTTCGTTGTTAATCTCAGAGTTTTTCTGTTTTATTTAGACTACAGAAACCTTGGAATACAAATTAGTTTTATTGAAAAATATAAAAATTTAGAAAGCATTATGCATAATTCAACTATAGTTCTGATGAAAGCTAAGTAAAAGGAAGTGTACATCATCTTTGGTCAAATCTCAAAGCATTAACTGTTGCTTTAGAAGTATGTAAAGATGGGACACGAAGATGGCAACAATAGACACTGGGGACCAGACACTGGAGACCACTAGAGGGCAGAAGGGGGGAGGGGGCAAGGGTTGAATAACTACTGAATACTATATTTACTACCTGGTGACAGTATCATTTGTATCCTAAACCTCAGCATCACACAAAGTACTCATGTAACAAACCTACACATGTACCCCAAAATCTAAAACAGAAATTGAGATTATATATATATAAACCAGAAATAGCTGTATAACTGGCAATCTGGTTTTTGTTTTTTTTTTTACTCTAGGTTTATTACAACACTTGAAGAGAGGCAAGAAACAAGAAATCATACTGATTTTTTTCATATGTTTAAGATTTTAGTTACCATTATTAGAAATACCTTAGATAACACACTCTGAAAGAGGAGATTTGGTACATCTTGCATGATTCAAATACTGAAACTTTTGGAAACAAGGATTTATAGAGAAACTGTGTGAAGTTACCCTTTAGGTTGGGATATTCAAAATGAAAGGGACCATGTGGGTTAAATCCTGATAACTACTGAGGTAGATACTTTGATTATCTCTCTCATTCTTTTCTACATAGGAAGTTTAGAAAGCTAAAATCATTCTTTTTTTTTTTTTTCCAGAATCTCTTATACCTGACAGAAGTCATGCCAGTTAGAGATACTTGTGCAAGGCTTGGATAACAAAAGTGAAACAGAAACTCCTCCTTGTTTATGGCAGCTGATACACAAATCCCCAAAATGAAAGCATTTACAGCAGCTAGAAGATCTGTTCCTCAGGAGAGTCACGTGTGTGCTGGGTGTGAGGCAGTCTGGACAATGGTTGCAATGGAGCAATAACAAGAGGGGCCCCTGACATCCAGATGGCAAGCCCAGAGATCAGATCTTGAAACATATATTCAGTATTTGCTCCTTTATTTCTGATCCTGTCCTTCAAAATACTTTAAACTTTATTGTATTTAATTCCCTATAGCTTAAAATACAGAGGATGGTTTTTGTTTGTATTAAACCTTTACTGACAAAACCACCATTCTTATCATTGCATTTATAAAGTGCTAGACTGTACTTTCTTTAAGTAGCATTTCTTTTTACAATTATATATAAACACTATCATGTAGTACATGAACAGAATTAAATAAAATGCAAATTATTGTTTGACAGAATTGAGGAGTTATTTGATATTATGTAAAAAAACAAAAAAGATTTATCAAAGTGGAATTTGTGAATTTTTTTTATGTGAGTTTCAACTAGGTTGTGTCTGAATCATTTAAGATCAGCTTCACACTAATCTGGCTTAGGAAATGGTAACCATAACAAAAATAGCAAACAACTAGTGCAAATCTTTACATTTGAAAAGCAATTTGCCTTACATTATTAAACTTAAATGTCAAAGTTAGAGACAGAAAATACTATTTGTGGTCACCATTAAATACTTTAAGCAGCTGGTTCTGAAATTTTAAGAGGTATGCTTAGTAATGTGTGGCATCACTAATGGATCATCTTGGAAATGTTCGGGGATTTTAAGTTAATTATAAACAATAATGCTTTTACTCTCTGCATTAGTCCATTCGCATGCTGCTAATAAAGACATACCTAGACTGGGTAATTTATAAAGGAAGGAGGTTTAATAGACTCACAGTTCCACATGGCTGGAGAGGCCTCACAATCATGGCAGAAGATGAAGGAAGAGCAAAAAGACATCCTACATGGCAGCAGGCAAGAGAGCATGTGCAGGGAAACTTCCCTTTATAAAACCATTGGATCTCATGAGACTTATTCACTATCAAGAGAACAGCATGGGAAACTACTGACCCCATGATTCAATTACATCCCACTGGGTACCTCCCATGGCATTTGGAAATTGTGGAGAGCTACAATTCAAGATAAGATTTGAGTGGCATCAGAGCCAAACCATATCACTCTTTTAATGACTACTGGTAAATCACACATGCAAAGCACTTTTTTGTTGCTATTATGTGATATTTAACAATTCCAATTTTATAAATTTATCCCTTGGGAAAGGTCCACATAGGAAAAACAGATTAAGTTGATTTTCAAATAGAACTGACCAAAAACAAAATGCAATTGTTTAACAAAAACAATAAAATAAAATGCATTACTAAGTCAATGAAATATATAAACATTCATTTTGTAAAAATAAAAGTAAGCACTTTTGTTTTAGCTAACTGTCTATTTTTTGTTTTTATTTATCCTCAGTTGTCCAGCATTTTTCCTCAAAAGTAAACTCATTTTGTGTGTGCTGACATACATTATATAGCCTAAATTTCCTTGGTATAAGAGTACATTCGCTTGTTTTCCAATATTCTGAAATATATTTGCTATTCTAAGGAAATGTTAATTGGGCATTGAACAATAGTAAGTTTGTGGAACTTTCTAAGACAAATAAGTTTGTGTTAAAAAGCTTGTGGGAGAAAAATTTAAAAGGTCCTATGAATAAACTGGACAACAAGAAGCAAAGAGATTATCAAATAATCTATCACATTGAATCAATGCAGTGTTAGTCCCATAATTTGAATAGGAAATGACGTATTATGTGTATAATAATAATTATAATGTAATGAATTTCTCTCTGCAATTCTCTCCCTCTGAGATGAGTCAATGGACTTTTTTTTACATAATGAAATCTTTATATCTTTTCAGTATTGGAGTACAAAGTAAATAAATAATAAAAAGTGAATAGCCATGTGGCACATAAGTGAGCAACAGTAGAAAAGCATATGTATCAAACTTTTAGTAACATGGGTTTAGATAATCTTTTAAAAAATTTAGCTCAAATGAAATAGGAAGAAATGTAAAGTAATTACTTTAAATATCATATGTAATTACAGTTGACCCTTGAACAACATGAGTTTGTTCTCTTAGGTCCATTTATATGTTTATTTTTTTTAAACAATAAATGATACACTGAGTGTGCCTGCCTCTCCTGCCTCCCCTTCCACCTCTTCCACCTCTTCCAACTCTGCCACCCCTGGGACAGCCAGACCAACCCCTCTGCTTACTCCTAAGCCTGTTCAACATGAAAACAAGAATGAAGACTTTCAGGATGATTCACTTCCACTTAATGAAATACTAATTATACTTTATCTTCCTTATAATTTTCTTAACAACATTTTCTTTTCTCTAGCTTACTTTATTGTAAGAATACAGTATGTAATACATATAACATGCAAAATACGTGTTAATAAACTGTTTATGTTATTGATAAGTCTTCCAGTTAATAGTAGGCTATTAGTAGTTCAGTTTTGGGGAAGTCAAAAGTAATACCTGAATTTTCTGCTGGATAGGGGATCAGAACCCCTATTCCTATGTTGTTCAAGGTCAACTGTACACATGATTCTGATTTTAAGCAACGTGATTTTCCAAGAAAAATTCAAATTATGTTATAATATTTGTATTTATTGTTAAAAATTATATGGAATTTGATACAAAAAAGTGATAAAACAAGATATATGTTATCATTTATTTCTACTTTCTGCTGAATTAAGGAAAGTTATTGGTAAATTCATATGCTATTCTTTAAGACTTTAACAAAAATAAAGCTAATCTTTAACTAGATTTTTGAAAGAAAACTTTTAACCAATTTGTTTGGAAAGAATTTTCCCAATCATAATAGAATATGTAAACCATGAAGACATAATTAAAATATAAAGACTATGCATTATCTGTATGTCTTCTGATATACTGTCTTCAAATGCTCTTTCTAGGTGTGGTACAAATGAAATAGAATGAACGCTATGATGCATCATCTTTTAATGTCATTAAAATATTCTCAACTTTATAATTGTATTTAATTATATTTTAGTGCTATAAACATGTCAAAAAGTGAACTTAGACACATCACACACAAACAAACACATTAAATCATTTTTCCTACATGTGAAAATGAGCTTAGAAAAAGAATTAGAGAGAATTGCAGAGAAATAATAAGAAAACATTGAGGTGCAAGAAAAAGAAAGGAAGTAAAAACAGCATCAGTCTATTTTTAAGCAGTAGTTCTTATCTATACACAAATAAACACATTATTCTTTTTGGTTAAAATGTGGAGATTTGTGTAAGCAATTCAAGACTTATTAAATAATTATGTGACCTTAGATATGCTATGAAAGGTAACATTTATAATGGATAAAGTAGCCATGTTGTACACGTAAAACTGTTACTTTTTTGCTTAATTAGGAGATATATATTTATAGCAATATTAAAAACAACTTGAGAATTATATTTCTCAAAAATTTCTCCTGAAATAGTATCAAGCTGTACAGTATATGCTAATAAAAAATATTTATGCCTTTGGGCTAAGGAAGCCTTATTGCTCATGGAACAGATGAATAGACTAAAAATGTTCACCATTCAGCTTAACTAGAATTAGATTGTTATGGTTTGGCTCTGTCCCCACCCAAATCTCATCTCAAATTGTAATCCCCACTTTTTGAGGGAGAGCCCTGATGGGAGGCAAATGGGTCATGGGGATGGTTTCCCCCATGCTGTTCTTGTGATAGTGAGAGAGTTCTCATGAGATCTAATGGTTTTAAAAGTGTTTGCCAGCTCTCCCTTTTCTCTTTCTCCTGCTGCCTTGTAAGACATGTCTTGCCTCCCCTTCACCTTCCACCATGATTGTAAATTTCCTGAGGCTTTCCAGGCATGCAAAACTGTGAGTCAATTAAACAGCTTTTGTTTATAAATTACCCAGTCTCAGGTAGTATCTTTACAGCAGTGTGAGAATGCACTAATACACAGATAACACAAGCCAATGTAATAGAAAATGGCATATCCTAATATCAGAAATTTATATTTATCTTCCATTTCACTTTTTTTAATGAATAAAGTATATTTAGTTGGTGTTGTTTTCTATTCTTTTTAAAAATACATATTGCTGATATATTGTTTAAAATTGAAAATTAAAAAATGTATACATTTATATATCATATAAATATGTGAGAGTGTATTATATATATATTTGCACACTATGTTCATTTTTTCATTTTTCATATGTCATAAAGATTGGCTCATCTCAGAAATTTCACAGCTCTTTTTGTCCCTTTAGTGCTGCATAGTATTCTAGGATATAAATCTATATTGGTGGTCTGCAAAAGGTCACAGGGGGTCTGCTAGTAAATATTTTAGGCTATGTGGATAAAACAGTCTCTGTCACAGCTGGTCAACAATGCAACCAGACAACATGCAAATAAATGGGTGTGGCCATGTTCCAATAACATGTTATTTATAAAAACAGGCAGTTCTTAGGTTCTTAGTTGTCCCACTATGATTTACACAATTAGTTTCAAGGTTTTATTTTTGATAGATTAGATCTTTCTGAATAATTTACTGTTACAAGCAAATGTGCAGTAAATATCTTTATGAACACATCATATCTATACATATAGTTTTATTCACACATATATTAAAATAATTTTGGAGATGTGTCAATGTTTCTTTTATAGAGAATCATCAGTTTACAGCCCAAGCACCAATATATGCAAGGATGTTGTTTTCATTTTTGCCTGTCAGGCACATGAAAAATTGTATCTAATTATATTTTATACATACAGTTTTCTTTCGATCAGTGTAATTAAACATAAGTGTATTTTTTGGTGCCATTATCATTTGTTATACCTTATATTATACATCTATATCCTTTTCTTATTTTTCTCAACATAATTTAACATTATCTTGTATAGTTCCAAAAATATCTTCTTGGATATTTTATCAAACGTAAGTTTAATTTAGATTAGTTTATAAAAATTACATTTTAACAGTCTTCCTAATGGATGGCCATTAGTTGTTGGAAAATTCTCCAAGTGGGTTAAAGTCAAGTTTTTGCACTTTGCCTGGAAGGACAGTGGTCAGACATGTGTTTACATTGTTGCTAATGGTTTTACCAGTTTCCTAGGAATTAGAAATTACAAAATTGTTGACAAAAGTAACTGGTCTAATAAATAAGTAGAATAACTTGCTTGCTATTCAGCTATGGATACAGAGAGAAGGTAACAGCTTGTATGGTGGAAAAGCTATAAAGCAAAAAGTGGTATATTCTATGAACTAGTGACTGTTATGTGTGCTCTGTCACACTAAGATCAAATAAAAAATTAAATCAATAAATAAAAGTAAGAGTGCTTCATTTCATCATTACACTATTACATTTTCATAACATGTTCCAAAAATGTGGACATTTCTTATTTGGAGTTCTTAGATCATAACAGACCGATACTTCTACTTCAGAACAATATCCCTCTTAAACATGAAGTTGTGACTTGCTTTGCTCATTTTCTGCTTTTCATGCCTGTCCTGAAATAGTAAAATTAGAGGGTCAATAAACTGACTTCAGTTATTGATCCGTATGATCAAGGGGGAATAGCTCTAATAATATGCTTTTTCTTTTTACAAATAAAGAAACTCAAGCTGTTCAAATTAACTAAAAACTATTCTACAGAAGCGATTTCATATTTTAATAAATAATGTGCGTCATAAATGATAAGTGAGCCAAATTATATCTCAGTTTAAAGACTCAGAATTGCAGTCACCTGCCTAACATAGATCAATGATAAATATAAAATTTATCTGACTCTCAGTTCAATAATTTCCAGTTTATGCTCAGCTTCACCTAGGATTCAATTAATGTCATATGTTTTTAGAATTGATGCAAATGCTGAATTGTCATCCAGAATTTTTCAGTTTTATTTTACAAAATCTAACATAATATGTTTGGTTAAAATTGTGAGCAGAATTTTCTGTCACTTTTTTATTGCTTAAGAGTATAGGAAGGACTAAATAGTATCTTATTTAATATAAATATTTTATAAAACATGATTTTTAAAATCATTTAAATAGAAAACAAATGATATTAAAAACAAATATTTGTTAGGACATTTTATAGTGTGGCTCTGTATCATATCAGATTTACACATGTTTACTTGACTAAAAATAGGTTAAGCACCACTGTTTAGGAAATAATTAATTTTCTTAATATAGTTGAATAAAACAGTTTAGGCATTATAAATAATGCAATTTAGGAACATAAATAGTCACTTTTCCTTTTTTAACATACAGCATTTAGTATTAAATGACATTTGTTTCATCTGGAGCACACAAGGGTAAATGTTGGGAAAACAGTGCAATTTAAATAGGGGCATACTTATTGTGACAAATTGTGTACTATAAACCTTTACATTTGACATGTATTAAATGTTAAGACTGGTGAGTAACTATATATTAGTGACTTTAGCTGCACTGTACCTAAAATGATTAAATGCTTTCTGAATTAATTTAGGGGAAGTCTGGCTAGTACTCATCTCAAAATGAAAGAGAATAGAAAAATATAAAGAAAAAGATGAGTAATTTAGGCAGGTATGTTCTATAATTGTATTTATATCATTGGTGTCAATATATATATCCATTATAAATCCATTTTTTCAAAAATCTGTTGATTCTGAAAATTATTTTAATAAATTTCAAAACTTCTAGAAATAAAGCAATAGCTTGTTAAAAAATTATCTAGCTGAGAAATTTAGAAAGGCTGAGATAGAAATACTTATGTACCTCTGTTCGATGCCATTGAGAAGAAAAATAGAATAGAAATGAAGAAAGGTAAGAAAGATATCCACAGCTCTGCCTTCCTTTCTTGAATATATTTTCTGATAATAAATTCAGGGCTGAGAGAATGAGAAGCTGAACAAAAAGCAGAGTCTAAGTGACTAAAAGTATTAGGGACACTTTCATTATTCTCAACAGAATGGGGAAACAAAAGTGGAGTTCAGGCCCGAAAGGAGGAAGAAGCCTCAGTAAAAAACCAGGTTTGTAGTTCAACCCCAAAGGGCTACAGCTTAGAAGCAAAGACAAACCAGAAATGAACTAATCCTCACAAAAATTAAAGTGTAGATTTATATCAGTTCAATCTCTGATTGGATTGAGGTGATCTGTCTCTATAATTTATGTCAAGGTCCGAAGTAAATTCTGTTAGGAATAATAAAACATCATCTCGAGTTTCAATGGTTTATCTACATGTTTCAAACACAATGTCAGGCAGTCAAAAAAAAAACTACTAGGCATGGTAGCGGACAAAAACTCATGATCGGAGCTGGGACTCTTGCAGAATCAAGTAAATTCTCAATGTACCATAATTCCCACAGTTAACCAGTGTAAATAAAACTGACCCAATAGTCCCACAGTTTCCTTCCTTCCTTCCTTCCTTCCTTTCTTCCTTCCTTCTTTCCTTCCTTCCTTCCCTCCTTCCCTCCCTCTCTCCCTCTCTTTCTCTCTCTTCTTTCTTTTTTCTTTCTTTCTTTACTTTTTCTCTCTCCCTCCCTCCCTTCTTTCTTTTCTTTCTGTTTCTTTTCTTTTCCCTTCCTTCTTTTTCTTTCTTTCTTTCTTTCTTTCTTTCTTTCTTTCTTTCTTTCTTTCTTTCTTTCTTCCTTTTTTCTTTCTTTCTTTCTTTCTTTCTTTCTTTCTTTCTTTCTTTCTTTCTTTCTTTCTTTCTTCTTTCCTTCTTTTATAGAAATTGACCCTTCTCATCTTAAAGCTTAAATCTTATAATTTTTTATCTGAGTTCATGAGGAAATGACTTTCAGGCCTCTTACAAAAAGTATCAAAGAACTGAAACTCATCAGATCTCCACATCCAGACAAGAGATGCTGGACCCTTCATTCATCATGATTGCTTCCCTGCCTCTCCCTAGTTCTTGTTTTCTTATTCACTGTACATTTCTTCCCGGTTATATAAAGCCTAGTTTTGGTCAGTCAGGGAGACTGATTTGAGACTGAGTACCCGATTAAAGCCGTCGTCCTTGGCAGTACTTGTCCTTTCAGTGATTGGCTTCCTGTTCAGTGAGCAGCAGAGCCTGGACTGAAACACCGGTTTTTCGGTAACATGAACTCTGGAATAAACATGGACGCAACTGCTAAAAGTGATTTCTAAAAGCAATAGGATTTTGGGCGGGAGGGAGTGAACACAGAAAAAAAAAGATACCATGAATGTTTTTTTCCCATTTTTCCAATATTTTGTTTGAGTACAGGTTATGATAAATATGCACCAGGTATATAAAGTTTGATTGCCCAATCAGTCTTTCTGGACTGGTAAACCTAATAGAGTTTGGAAAAACTAGACCCACTGGAAATTAAGGAGGTAATCACATGAAAAAAAGAGAGCAAAAGTGAAGGAGCCTCAAATTCTATGCATAAACTTTTCCTACTCTCTGGCTGACCCTGGAACCCACATGTGCAAGGCAAACTCAAAGCATATCAGCTAAGCAATTTGAAAACCCATTCAAAAGATATAACTACTGTTTTAGTCAAATCAGGATATAAGTTAATATCATTTAATATAAAATATAATCAGAGGATAACCAAAAAAAGTTACTCTCTCAAGAGAAAAGACAATTAATAGAGATGAACGTTGTAGCAATTCAAATATTGAAAACTACAAAAAAATTTAAAGCAGTTTTATTATTATGTTTGTGAGAAAAAAAGTACATAAATAAATAAAAAAGAGAAAGCCTAATGATAGTTATAGAACTGAAAGAAAAAATATTATTCTCTTGAAAAGCTTAATAGCAATGTATACATTTTAGAAGAAAAATTTAATGGATTTGATGACAATAGCCTGCAACATAATCACTCTGAAGAATAAAGAGAAAAATCAGTTGCTGAAACATAAACAACATGAACAGAAACTCAGGTATATGTGAGGCAGGAAGATAATCTATATGTAATTAGTGTCCTGAAAAAGAAAAGAAACAGAATGAGGCAGAAAAGTATTTTTAAAAACTCTAGCCCCAAATGTCCCAAATTTTCCAAAGTTGGTGATCAGATTAAATAATTGCCTTATTTTTCTGTGCTGCTATAATGAAATACCACAGACTAGGTAACATATAAAGAACAAATATTTATTCTTACAGTTCTTGAGCCGAAGACTTTCCAAGATTAAGGTGCTGGCATGTGATGAGGACTCTCTTGCTCCATTTTCACATAGCACAAAGTAGAAGGTACAAAAACAAACAAATTCTGTGTCTTATATGGCAGAAGATCAGAAGAGAGTGAACTTACTCTCAGAAGCCCTTTTTATCGTGGTATTAATCCATTCATGAGAGGAGAGCCTTCATGATCAAAACATCTCTCAAAGGTCCGACCTTTCAACACTGTTTGATGGAGGATTCAGTTTCTAACACAAGGATTTTAGGGGACATATTCAAACCATAGCATAAGCAAACATCAAGTAAAACTAATATGAAAAAGAAAAAGCCATGCCTTAGCACATCATTGGCAAAAGGCTGAAAAGTAAAGACAAAAATTTGACAGCAATTGGAGAAACATAATAAAAACAGGGGAGTAAAAATTCCCAATGAATTTCCCAATAAAGACTTAAAGACAGCAGTGAAACAAAAATAATAAAAGCCATAAAACCTTAATTCCATATCCACCAAAAATATCACTCAAGATGAAATCAAAAGGAAGACATTTTCAGAATTAAATTAAAAGCGCTAGAAGTATTTGTTGCCAGTAGACCTCCACAAAAGGAAATGCTAAAGGATGTTTTTCAGACTGAAAGAAGTGATAGCAGATGGAAATCTGGATCTACAGGAAGGAATAGAAAGCACTAAAAATGGTAAATGTCTGGGTAAATATGAAGAAAAAACACTTTTATCTTTTTTTTCCTTCTTTTTTAAAAGCATAAAACTTCTTAAAACAAAAGAATAAAATAGTTGCTGGTGGGATTTACAGCTAGAAGAGTAAATGATCATAATACACTTTTAAATTTTCTATGTTAATACTAGCAGACTGTGGATAGCTCAGTAGCATATATTGAAATCCCTAGATTTCAGTGAAATTAAAACATTGAAAATAGAAATATTTAGTATAAGAGTAAAAGACTCTAAAGATTTTTGAGTGTACAAAAGGACTTGTTCATTTCAGAGATATAGTATGTTCATGGATTTGAAGACAATATTGTTAAAGTGACGAATCCCTATAATTTTATAAATTAATTGAATTTTAATCTTATTAGAATTTTATAAATGACAAGCTGAATTTTATAAATGACAAGCTGAATATGAAATCTACATGAAAATTAAAATAATGCAAAATAGTCAAAATCATCTTCTAAAAGCAGAATAAAGTTGAAGGATGAAAAATACATGACATCAAGACCAACTATAATGCTACAGTCCTTAAGACCAGGTAATTCTGTCATAAGAGGTAACACATTAATCAGTGGAGTAGAAAACAGAGTGCAGAAAAAGATACACATTATTACTGTCATTTGATTTTTGACAAAGATGCCAAAGCAACCAATCGTGAAGGTAAGGTGTTTTCAACAAGTGAACAGGAATTACCGTATATCAATAATGGGAAAAAATGAACATAAACCTCTACCTCACACTATATTATAAAAGAATTAATGTGTATCACAGACCTCAGAGTAAAATTAGAATCCTTAGAGAATTTTATCTCCTTCAACTTCAGGGGTACATGTGCAGAATGTGCAGGTTTGTTACATAGGTGAACATGCACCATGGTGATTTACTGCACAGATCATCCCATCACCCAGGAATTAAGCACTGAACCTATTACCTATTCTTCCTAATGCTCTCCCTCCCCCCAACCTCCCACAGGTGACCAGTCTGTGTTGTTCCCCACAACATGTCCATGTTTTCTTATCAATTGGCTCCCACTTATAAGCGAGAAAATGCATTGATTGGTTTTCTGTTCTTGTGTTAGTTAGCTGAGAATAATGGCTTCCAGCTCCACTCCATCCATGTCCTTGCAAAAGACATGATCTTGTTCCTTTTTATGGCTGCATGGTATTCCATGGTGTATATGTAGCATATTCTCTTTATTCAGTGTATAATTGATGGGCATTTAGGTTGATTTCATGACTTTGCTATTGTAAACAGTCCCACAGTGAACATACAGGTACGTGTATCTTTATAACATAATAAATTATATTCCTTTGGGTATATACCCAGTAATGGGATTGCTGGGTCAAATGGTAGTTTTGCCTCTAGGTCTTTGAGAAGTTGCCACAATGTCTTCCACAATGGTTGAACTAATGTACACTCCCACCAACAGTGTGAAAGTGCTTCTTTTTCTGCACAACCTCACCAGCATGTGTTGTTTTTTGACTTTTTAGTAATAACCATTTCGATTGGCATGGGATGAGTCTCATTGTGGTTTTGATTTGCATTTTGTAATGATTAGTTATGTTGAGCTTTTTTTTTTTTTTTATGTTCTTTGGCCGCATGTATGTTTTCTTTCGAGAAGTGTCTGTTCATGAACTTTGCTCACTTTTTCATAGGGTTGCTTGTTTTTTTCTTGTAAATTTAACTTCTTTGTAGATTCTGGATATTAGACATTTTTCAGATGGATAGCTTGCAAAATTTTTCTCCCATTTTTTATGTTGTCTGTTCACTCTGGTGATTGTTTCTTTTGCTGTGCAGAAGCTCTTTAGTTTAATTAGATCCTATTTGTCAATTTTTGCTTTTGTTGCAATTGATTTTGTATTTTTGTCATGAAATCTTTGCCCCCTACCTCTAGAAAACCCCATCATCTCAGCCTAAAAGCTTCCTAAGCTGATAAGCAACTTCAGCAAAGTTTCAGGATATAAAATTAATGTGCAAAAATTTCTAGCATTCCTATACATCAACAATAGGCAAGCAGAGAGCTAAATCATGAATGAACTCCTATTCACAATTGCTACAAAAATAATAGAATATCTAGAAATAAAGCTAAAAAGGGAAGTGAAGGACATCTTCAAGGAGGACTACAAACTATTGCTCAGAGAAACCAGAGAGAATACAAACTAATGGAAAAACATTCCATGCACATGGATAGGAAGAATAATATTGTGATATTTTTATATTCAATGTTACTCCCATTAAGCTACCTTTGACATTCTTCACAGAATTAAAAAAAAATTAAAAATTCATATGGAACCAAAAAAGAGCCCAAATAGCCAAGTCAATCCTAAGCAAAAAGAACAAAGCTGAAGGCATCTTGCTACTTGACTTCAAACTATACTACAAGGCTACAGTAGCCAAAACAGCATGGTACTGGTATAAAAGCAGACACATAGACCAATGGAACAGAATAGAGAACCCAGAAATAATACTGCATATCTGCAGACATCTGATCTACAACAAACCTGACCAAAACAAGCAATGAGGAAAGGATACCCTATTTCATAAATGATACTGGGAGAACTGGCTAGTCATATGCAGAAATTAAAACTGGAACCTTCCCTTACAGTATATACAAAAATTAAACCAAGATGAATTAAAGAGTTAAATGTAAAACCCAAAAGTATGAAATACATAGAAGAAATCCTAAAGCATTTGTTAAAAAACTTAGTACAATATCTTCGTGTTTTGGGGTGGGCAAATGCATCTTAAGAGAGAGAAAGTAACATACACAAAATTGAAAATTGAGAAACAGAATTTCATTAAAGTTAAAAGTTTTGATCATCAACAAACATCATTAAGTAAATGAATAGGCAAGTCACATACTCAGAGAATTATTTTTTTATTCTGTATCTCACAGAGTTGGTATTTGGCTTAAGGAAAGAATGTCCCCAGCTCAAGAAAAAGAAAAAGGGAAAATATCCAATAAAAATGGGCAAAAAGTTAGAGTTACCTACATAAATGAAGACTCATGAAAGGCCAATAAGTGTATGAAGAATTTATCAAAATTTTCCATTAGGGCAATGCAAATTAAAATTATTAAGGAAGTTTCACTACACATATACCAGAATGGCTAAAATTGAAAACACTGGAGAAAACAAATGTTGGTGAAGATATAACACAATCAAAAGTCTCAAACACTGTCTTTGGGAATATAAAACATACAATCATCTTGAAAAAAGTTCTGGATACTTTCATATCTTTTAAGTTTGTTTTTGCAGAATTTTTGAAAAATTTTATAATAGATGGGTGAAACAGAAAAAGTAAAAACAAGCAATTGTAAAATTCATTGGAAGTTGAGATTTTCAAGTTATATAAGGAGTTAAAGTCAGGTAAAGAGTTTTAAATAATTGTGGTTAAATGTATAGGAAATTAGATAACCAGATAAAGAATTCAGGCAGAGTATTAGAAACTTTGAGATAAAAGCCAAATGCAAAGACTGAAAAATACATAGCAAATTAAGTCATAAAATGAGTCTAATGGTAGATTAAACACAGAAAATGGAGTAATCTGAAGGATAGATAAGATGAAATAAATCAGTTGGGAGAAAAAAGTATGGGAAATACAGACAGTCATAGCTAACAAAGAGACATAAGGTCTAATTTACAAGTAAATTGAGAAATAGAAAATGCAGTAAAAACACTGAATTTTTCATCCACAAAATAGATATAACACTACATAATCATTATACATTTTAGATATAACACATGCAAAATGACTAAAATTAGTGAACACTGAATAAAAACCGGTGATTTTAAGAGTGCTAAGTATTAGTGATGGTAAAATTGTCATTAGTATTCAAGATTATAGCCTGAGCATAATTTGCTAGTAATATCATGTTTTGATGTTTTAACTATGTGTATTATTATCTCTATCTCTATCTCTGCCTCTTCCTCTATATCTCTATATTTTATTGACATTGGAGTCATAATTTACCTCTCTTTTTATACCTAAGACATTAGCAGGTGTTAATGCAGACTTTAAATAAACATTGGTAGAACTCTTGGCATGATATATCAAAGATGAATATGCATGTTCTATTCAACAGCAATTTCAATCCTAAGTGAACCCCTAAAGAGTATACAAGAGTGTTCATTGCAGCATAATCTCTTTTCTTTTTTTTTTTTAGATGAAGTCTCACTCTTGTCCCCCAGGCTGGAGTGCAATGGCGTGATCTCGGCTCACTGCAACCTCCGCCTCCCATGTTCAAGTGATTCTCCTGCCTCAGCCTCCCGAGTAGCTGGGATTACATGTGCCTGCCACCACGCCTGGCTAATTTTTGTATTTTTAGTAGAGACGGGGTTTCACCATGTTGGCCAGTCTGGTCTCGAACTCCTGACCTCAGGTGATCTGCCTGCCTCGACCTCCCAAAGTACTGCGATTACAGGTGTGAACTGCCGCACCCAGCCCATTGCAGCATAATTTCTAATGGCAACAAACTGGAAAAAGAAATTAAAATATCTATTAGTAGAATTGGTAAATTAAAAAATAGATAAATAAATTACCCTGTATTAATAAATTGAATGCTAAACAGCAATGAAAATCAACCATATCTCGAGTGAACAAAAAAGGCATATTTGCCGAATACAATATATAGAATAGAAGTTAGGTAAGAATTAATACATGCAATATGATTTTAGTTATGTAAAATTAAAAAATAAGCCTATATAAAATATAATCTATGTTGTTATAAATTATTATAATGTTTACCTTACAGGTTTGTGACTGTGAGTGACTTATGAATGTATTTTTCAGTACAGCTAATGCTCTATTTCTTCAGTCATATTGAGATTAAATAGTTGCGTTTTAATTGTAATCATTCAGATTCCTTGAGCTGTACAGTTAAGATATACTGTTTGTATGTTACAATTCAATACAACTTAACTAAAACCATTTTAGCATAGTGTACATTTTTATGTATATGAAGTGGTAGTTTCATAAAACACAGATAACATTTGTTTTTCTAATCTTCAATTTGTACAATACTTAATAAATGGAGCTATTACTAGTAGGCCAATTAACATATTGTATGCATTATTCAATTGTATCTCAAGGCATATTTGTGAGAAATCCTGACAAAAGCAATGATAATTATGAGATAACAGGTATGTCCATTTATATACCTAGAGGAACAGAGAGCGAGCCAGTTTCTTTTGCTCCTATCTGCTATGTATAACAATAAATTTTGGAAATATTGTAAAATGCAATAGTAGAAAATCTCTGAAAAACTGGTAACTGGAAGGTAATCTTGTTTGGGGTCCCCAGGACTGGAGAAACAATATAGTAGAAGGATGTATTAAGTCTACTGACCCAACATAAGAGGGTGACTCAAACCCAGTGTTTTTCCAATCCCCAGCCTAACAACAGAAGTCGGCCCAGGTAGGCTTATTGTTCTGTTAGGTCAAACAGGAGTTCCCCCCAAAAGATGAGGGAACTCTGGCACTGTAGGCAAGGTGATCTATTGGAAGATCTGCTAACGATAGGCAATTAGGGGGCCAGGCACGGTGGCTTACGCCTGTAATCCCAGCACTTTGGGAGGCCGAGGTGGGCGGATCACGAGGTCCGGATATCAAGACCAACCTGGCTAACACTCTACTAAAAATACAAAAAAAAATAGCCGGGTGTGGTGGCGGGCGCCTGTAGTCCCAGCTACTCAGGAGGCCGAGGCAGGAGAATGGCGTGAACCCGGGAGGCAGAGCTTGCAGTGAGCCGAGATACTGCCACTGGACTCCAGCCTGGGCGACAGAGCGAGACTCCATCTCAAAACAAAACAAAACAAAACAAACAAACAAAAAGAACCATAGGCAATTAGGGAAAGCACCATGCTTCACCATTGGCTTTAAGATTCTTCTTCCATCAACATTGCCCTCTCTACTGCATACTGATTTGGAACAGTGGGTGGAAACACCAAGAAGGATCCTGAAATGATAAAGGGACCCCAAAATGCTGGGACTGCCCGTGGGCAATGGCATAAATGACGTCAGCACAACAATGAGCACTGGTCATAGCTCCTTATGAGTATGAGCCATCTTTCCTTCACTGGGAGATATAAAGGTCATTAGCAGCACTGTTAGGAAGAGCCCTGCCACAATAAGTGGTCAGGCCCAAGAAGTTCTTTGTCCTTGTGGGCTTGGGACATCTGTCCCCACTGGGAGGCATGAGGGTAGCCAGACAACTCTGACAGGAGAGAACCCAGCATAACAAGCGATCCCACTGTCAAATTCTGTCTCAGTACACCTAAACTGCCACAGCCTACCAAGAGATACCTATTTGCTTGGAGTACCTGTATAGCGGATTCTTTCATGACAATTACTGGTCCAGGGAAGCCCCTTCATTTTCACAGGCCTGATTCCCTTCCCCTCTAATATAAACTCAGTGGCCCAGCCTGGGAAACTCCATTTGACCCCTCAGCCACCACCTGCAGGGACCAAAGGGAGCCTCATCAACACCAGATAAATCAAACCACTGAAAAAACACTGCCAAAAAAAAAAAAAAAAAAAAAGATCTCACTGGATGGGTTTAATAGTATAATAGAGATGATTGAAAACAGAATAGGTGAACTTGAGATCAACAGCATTTACCCAATCTGAACTACATAGAGAAGATAGACTGAGAAAAAAGAACAGAACCTCTAAGGCATTTGGGGATAACAAAAGACTCAACTTTGTATCATTCTACTCCCAGAGAGAATAAACATAATTAAGGTGAAACAGTATTAAAAGTAATAATGGCTGAAAACTTATAAAATTTGGCGAAAGAGCTACATACATATCCAAGAAGCTTAGTAAACTCGAAGTATAATAAATGTAAAGAAACCCATACCAAGACACAGCATATCTAACATTTGAAAATAAGAAGGAAATAAAATATTTTGAAAGTAGCCAGAGTGAAATAACACATTACCTATAAGGGGAACACCAATTTAACCGACAGCAGATTTCTCATCTGAACCATATTGGCAGGGAGGAAGTAGCACATTTTTCACAAGCCGTAACAAAATTTCCATCAGTAGTGAATGCTGTATTTGACAAAACTATACTTCAGGAATGAAAAGCATAGTTTAACAATCTACTGTTTATAATAAACTAATCTCAAACCCAACAACATAGTTTGATAGAAAAATATGGATAAAAATATAACATGTAAACAGTAATCAAGAAAAAACATGGCTATATTAATATTGAGTAAACAAAATGACTAGAGACAAATAAGACATTAAATAATGATCAAATGATCAAACCACCAAGAAGACACATGATCCTAAATGCAGTAACCAAATAACAAAGTCTTAAACTACTAGATGCAAAAACTGATAGAGCTAAAAAGAGGAACAGATAAATTTACAATTTTTCTGGGAATATTAATAACTCCCTCACTTCACTTTGTCAGTAACTGAAAAAAAACTATTAGAAAATCAGCAAGAATACAGATCTTAACAACACAATCCTTCAACAAAAACTAACAGATGTATATAGAAAAATTCCACCCAATAATAGCACTCCTGGAACTTTACCAAAATAAAGTTTCTGTGTATTACATCAACATAACTTTGGAATTCCATTTCGATATATGCATAGTGTTTTTAGGGCATCTCTTCATGGAGCTTTTTGGAGGGAGTTGCTCTAGGTATTCCACTACATGTACATATCACAATCTACTGGTGTTCTCTTTTTACTATTTAAGTATAAAAACTTTTTCTCTCTTTACGTCTCTTCACTTCCCTCATTTTATAATATACTTGTCTCAAATATTCCCTCTACATACACTTAGGAGCACATTAGAGAGTTTGTAATTTTGCTTTAACTGTCAAACTTAATTTAGAGAAATCAAGAGGAAAAGCAATGCCTATTTTACGTACCCATATTTTTGCTTATTGTATTCCTTTTTCCATGTCTCAAGATTCTGTTTTTAAGCCTTTCTTTCAGTTTAGCCCACTTTCTTTGGCCATTATTTTATGGTAGATTTCTTGGCCATAATTTTTTTTTAGTTTTTCTTCATGTGAGAATGTCTTAATTTTCCTTTAATTCCCCCAAAGGTATCTTCACTGGGCATAAGACTGAAAAAACAGTTCTTTCCTTTTGGTACATGAGAAGTATTGTTTATTTGTTATTTCTGGCATCCATGGTTTCTAATGAGGAATATGTGTACTGTTTCATTTAACTTGTTTTTCCACTATAGATAAATACTTTTTTCCCTTTCTGGATGCTTTTAAGGTGTATTCTTTTGCTTTAGTTTTCAGGAATTATGATGTGTCTTGGTGCAGATTTATTTGGCTTTATCTTGTTTGAAGGTAGCTCAGTTTCTTTAATTTGTAAGTTTATGTCTCTTGCCAAATTTGGAGAATTTTCATCCATTATTTCTTTAAGTCTTTTTATAGCTCCTCCCTCTTTTGCCTCTTTCCAGATATTCAATTACATGGTATTAAATCTTTCATTATTGTGTCAAAGGCTACTGAGATTTGTTCATATTTTCCAGTCATATTATCCAGATTGCAAAAATTCTATTGTTCCATCTTTCAGTTCACTGTTTTTTTTTCTTTGTTGCTATCATTGTTATTTTCCACAACCTCCATTTTGCTGCTGAGCCCATCCTCAGATTTTAATTTTAATTATTGCACTTTTCAGTTCTAATATTTCCATTTGGTTCTTCTTTACATCTTCAATTTCTTTGAAGATGCTGTGTTTTCATTTTTTTAATATGTTCACAATTGCTCATTGAATAATTTTTATATTGACTGCTTTAAAGCCCTTCTCATATATTTCTAACATCTCAGTCATGTCAGCATTGACATAAATGTACTTATTTTTTAAAATGTAATTTGGAGCCCAGGCACGGTGACTCACGTCTGTAATTCCAGTACTCTGGGAGGCAGAAGTGAGAGGATCGCTCGACCACAGGAAAAAAAGACTGCAGTGAGCTGTGAACGTGCCACTGCACTGCAGCCTGGGCAGCAGAGCAAGACACCGTCTCAAAAACAAAACAAAAAATATCTAATTTGGAATCTTCTAGTTCTTGGTATAATGATTGATTTTTCAACTGAAGCCTAAACATTTTTTATTATGTTATTCGATTCTGGATCCTATTTAAATTTTGTCTTTTAACTGATCTTTTCTGACACGGTTCTGGCAGCGGAGAACATTGCCTTGTTACTGCCAAATGGTGGCAGAAAGCCAGATTCTCCACATAATCTCTATTAACCCCTGGGGTGAGGCATTGTTCCTTGTGATTGCTGGGCTAGGATAAGATAGGAGTCATGACCATATAGATCTTTGGAATATGTTGCACTTTTTTAAAGTCCTTATAGGTATCTCATTTTCCAGATTTTTTTTTTTTTTTGCAAGCCTCTTGTTTGCCCTAATTAGAATATTCAACTCAAGCAGCTGTGATGTTAAACAATTGCCATTAATTTTTTTTTGTTTCGAATGCCCTGGCTAAGGGTTTGTTGTTGTTGTTGTTGTTGTTTTTGAGGACATAGTCTCGCTCTGTCGCCCAGGCTGGAGTGCAGTGGCTTGATCTCGGCTCACTACAACCTCCACCTCCCGGGTTCAAGCGATTCTCCTGCTTCAGCCTCCTGAGTAGCTGGGATTACAGGCACTCCCTACCACTCCCACCTAATTTTTGTGTTTTTAGTAGAGACAGGATTTCACCATGTTGGTCAGGCTGGTCTCAAACTCCTGACCTCGCGATCTGCCCGCCTCGGCCTCCCGAAGTGCTGGGGTTACAGGTGTGAGCCACTGCGCCAGCCCTGGCTATGGGCTTTTAAGTGAGAGAGCTCTGATGCCTATACAAACAAACGCTGTGAATTAAGAGTTTTCCAGGAAACTGCCAGACAGGCCAAATAGTGACAATCTTTAAAGATGGAGATTCTTTGACAACCTGCATAGCCATTCTGGCCTCTCTAATGGCAGTTAGGTTGCTGGTTTGGACAGCTCTTATGGTTGTGAAGTTGCTGGATTCAAGGCTACAGTAGAGCTGGGGGTACAGAGATGGAAATAGGGCAAGTTAAAACTGCACAAAGCTGCTGTCTTTACAAAAATTCGGTCATGTTTCTTGGATAGCCACCTTTTCAATTAGCCTTTGGTTGATTTCCAGAGTTCTGAAAAAGTCCATTTAAGTTTTTGTATTAGTGTTCTCCTTGTTTTTATGGAGGTGCATATTTTCTCAGGTCTTTAATCTGCCATTCCAATGTTGTCAAGGTAGTTGTTTTAAACTGCCGAAGTTTGGGCATGTTTGTTTTGTAGCGATAGATAACCCAGAAAAGCTTTGAGTGGTAGGGAAGTAAAGTAGAAAAATGAAGCATAATGCATTTTAAAGCCTACATATATTAGTATGGCCTAGAAAAAAAAAAATAGCTTCTGAAATCTACTATTCCTTTCTGGATTCTGATTACTTAGCATTAGTTTAATATTTTTCTGACACTGTAGAGTCTTCTTCTTTATTGAGCAGTAGACTTTATTAGCCAATATTCTACTCCATACAATTAATAAAGAATTTATATCAAAAATTGCTTCTTTGATTAGTATGAAATAAAAAGATGCTCCTTTGTTGATTAAATTTATTGTTGTTTTAATTCTGTTTTACCCCTTAGGCCACTATCAATGTCAAATTTGTTTTAGCCAAGAGGCATGACTACAGTGTTTCATCATGAAATATACATGGTTATAAATTATGAAAAAAGTTACCAACAACTCATGTAAAATTTATATATTTCTATTTAAGGCATAGCCTTATAACATATGTAGCATTATCTTCCCAAATTTAGTAACTTTGCTTGTTTTATATAAAACAAAAACAGACTTATGATAAAAATAAAAATACATTATTCAATAACTTCATTCATCTATAAAATAGGCTAGTTCCAGAATCAGGTATTATTATAGATTATAATCTATTTGTTGCTTTGTTTTTATACAGTAACAGAGTAATATACCTTTTTTTGGACAAACTACTATACTTGTCTTAGATGGAGGGAACAAAAATGCTAGGAAGTAAATTAACTAACATTAAATTTTGTGCTCATCACAACTTCATATACATATATATGTATATACAACTGTCCCTGTAACTATGACCCAAGCCATTCTCTAATATATACAATTTTAAAATATCGTACCCCATAAATATGTATGATTATTATTTGTCAATTAAGAAAAAAAAACTAAAGACAGAGTAGAGTGAAATGCAAAAACCATAGAAGAAAAACTAATCTTTCTTTTCAATGATATTATCTAAAAATATTAGCCAATCCACAGTGTGGGATAAAATATTTGAAGGAAATACATGCATATATAGTCACATACACATATATATATATACGTGTATATATATATGTATGTGTGTAAATATACGTATATATGTGTATGTATTTAATATACATGAAAAACAACATTTATCCAGAATATATATTTGAAATTGCTAGAATTCAATAATAAAAAAATTACAAAAGAGACAAAATATCTGTATTGACCTCAAAACGGAAGATAAAGGACTCTAAACACATACAAAAATATTTAGAATTATATCAGGGAAATGCAAGTTAAACTTCCATGAGCTAACACTATTCTTCTACTAGAATGACTAAATTTAAAAATTGACTATAGCAATTGTTGGTGAGGGTATATAATGACCAGAACTATCCCAGTATTGCTGATAAGAATGGGGACATTGCATATTGAAAGTGGCTCTCAGTTTCCTACAAATTTAAACAGACACCTACCATATGATCCAGCACTTTTATTTATAAGAATCACTATTGTCAAATGGAAATCTATATTCACACAAAGACTAGTACTAAGAATGCACATAGCAGCTGTATGTCTAAGAGACTCAAACTGGAAGCCACTCAAATGCCCATCAACAGGAAATTTGATAACGTCGATAGATACATACTTAACAATAAAATGAACTAAACTACTGATACATATAAAACTTGGATGAATCTCACAATAAAAAAAATCAGACAAATGAGCACATTTATAAGAAATTTATGTTTCCATTTATATGAAAATTCAGAATGGGAAAAACTATTCTTCCTAGGAAAAACAAGCTTAGTTTACTTTGTGGGGAAACTGACAGATAAAAGCAATGAAGAAACTTCCTGGGGTGACGTAAATGTTCTGTATCTTAAAAGAAATGTAGATTACATGTATGTATTCATTTGTCAAAAGTTATTGATTGTGAGCTTAGTATTTTTATTTCTATGTAAAATTTACCTTAAAAAAATCAGTAAATATTTTAAACTAGCTTATGTATTTGTTTTTCATAGTAATATGGGCTAGAAATTATGAAACTATCTCCTGTATCCTAGATTGAGCAAAGGAGTGAATGTATTGACAAAAGGGACTTGTAGTTTCTTTCTAACAGGGAAGAAAATTATAAATATTCAGTGGGGAAAGTTGAGAATGCATTTTGTGGCTTTGAGTTGGAAATGGGAGTATCAGTAAAAACAAGTGGTGCATGGGAAAAGGCAGAAAAAGGGAGAGAGGAAAAAGTCCTGTCTTCTATGAGAGACTAGAAGCAATGTCACATCAGCGACAATGAGCATATTTAACACTCAGACTTCAGTTTCTAAATAACAACCTCCATTGAAAAAAGCCAGAGATCTTGAAGGAAATACTGATTTCAGAGTCACAAAATGTCAAAAATAAGCCTAAAATATTTTGTTTCAGAAAGCAAGACAGTCCTCAAAGAATTAGGGTACCTGGTGATAAAGCACAGGAGGTAGTTTGAAATGGCTCCTGCTGGTTGAGAATTTTATCATGAAAACAAATAGCAACATTTTGTGATTATCATTGAATAAAGTGAGAATCCATAACATCACTTGCATAAATCAATGAGTTAATGAACAATAAATAAATGAAGATAAAATTCTTCCTTGTAAAATGGTAAATAATAAACACAAAAGATTTGAAGGAGTTATAAAAATATCAATGGATGCTGTGAAATTGTAGTAAGAAACAGAATTTAAGACTCTCTCAGTACCTTCCAACAAATTATTTGTTAACAAAAAGATAATTAGTAATGGTAGAGTCAGAAATCCTGGTAGGCACAACCATTAACAAATGTTTAAATGTAATAATGGGATAAACTGCTATTATATGCCTCTTGATATAATGAACTTAGACACAATGTTACTTTTGTGCAAAAATGTATGACATTACCTAATCAAATCATGAGGAAACATCAAAAAATTTAAATGGAAAGATATTTCTACAAAATAATTGGCCTGTACTTCAAAAAACTCACAATGCAAGGCTATGGAATTGATCTAGATAAAGTAAACCAAACAATGAAATATAAAAAACGATCTTGAATTCAATCCCTTATTGGGGAAGAAAATTACCATAAGGAACATTGAAGATATTTGATGACGTTTGAAAAAAGACTGTGAATTAGATGGTAATATTGTTTCAACATTGCTTTCTGATTTTCATAACCGCTTAGTAGAGTACACAAGAGAATGTTCTTACTCTTAAGAAATAGACACTATTTAGGGTTAAAGAGTACACATATCTTTAAATTATTTGCAAATGGATTACAATAATATGCATGTATATGTAAATATATAAAGATAGTCTGATAAAGGAAAACAGAGAAAATATAAACAAAGGGTGAATCAGAGTGAAGGATATATAAGCATTCCATGTAAGGAATTCTTGAAATTTTCTATAAGTTCGAATTATATCAAATTGAAATTTTCAAAATAGAAGAAAATGTTAGAAACTGAATTCATGAGAAAAGAAGGAAGCTGAAATAATAGAATCACTGAAGCAGCTTCTAAGTGTGGAGATATCTATTTTTAACTGTGGTGGTGCTTTAAAGTGTTCATTGTACAATGTTTCACAACTGTCATATGTATTTCTTACACTATATATTATATCACATATTACACATTAAAATTTGAGGTATTTACAGAATACTACTCAGCCTTTTTAAAAAGCAGGAAATTCCATCGTTTGTAATGTGGATGAAACTGAAGGACATTATGCCTTCAGTTTATATGAAATATGCCAGATACAAGAAGACAAATATTGAATGATCTCTTACTTATATGCGAAATATAAAAATTCAAACTCATAGGAGGATAGGGAGGGATCAGGGAGGTGAATAGGGAGAGGAGATACATTGGTCAAAGGGTACAAAGTTTCAGTTAGACAGAAGGATAAGTTCTGGTGGTCTGTTGCGCAGCACGGTAATTATAGTTAGTAATAATGTACTGCACATTTCAAAATAGCTTTAAAAAGTAGATTTTAAACATTTTCACCGTACACAAGTAGCAACTGAAGCAATTTTTATGTTAATTGGCCTGATTTGATCATTCCACAATGTATACATGCATTGAACTATCACTGTACCCCATAAATTTATAATTATTGTTTGTCAATTAAAAGTAAAATAAAACTTTAAAAAAATTAAAAAATAGGTGTATGAAAAATTCAAATGGAACAATAGCTAGATCCATAATTTGAAACTTCTTGTCAATGACCTTTATTTCATTGTTTACCACAGCAAAAAGCTACTCTAAGACATCAGTAGCAGAAAATAAAAATAGAAAATGAGTCATTAATTTCAAACTATAGATTATAAAGGAAACTGACATTTCTGCCCAGAGGCAGCGATATTTTGAGGTTTAAAAATCACTACCAGTATCACAGACATCAGGTGTCTTTTCTGGGACAGCACATTAGCTTCCCAAGGACAAGATTTTACTTATCCAAATATAAAAGACTTTTGTATTAGCTTACATCTTGGTTTTAGTTCCTCAGTTCTTTTTTTTAATCAGTGCAGATCATTTGTATTTGTTTTTATTTTTATAGTTCATTATCATTCAACTTCACTGAGCAGTTTATAATGGCAGTGAAAAAAGGAGACTTTCACTTTATAACTCACCTTAATCAACTGATAAATAACTATGAAGTTACTGGCCATTTTATGTTATCGAGAATACTAGAGCACTTTCAGATTGTTGAGAAATGAAAACAAACCTGGAGTTAATCTACTTATATCCGGATTTGAACACTGATTATTTTAAAATTTTGTTTGGAGCTATTCTAGACATTCTTTCTGTGGGGTAAAAAGGTTTTCAGCAATCATTGCTTGATAAAACTTCACAGGTGTATGAGTCTGCCTTGTTTGTGGCTTATAAAGAATTATTAATGTTCAAAAGTTTTGTTTTATAAAATTTGTAATTAACTTCTCATCAGAATCTGGACTTTATTGATTGATATAACCAAAATAAAAGAAGTAATTTTATTTCCTTGCTGCTGAGGTAGTCATTTGAACATCAGAGATGTTATACATATATGCATGATTAGACACATTGCTAGTAATTAAATCTAAATTTTGGTGAGTAGTTATCTTAGAACTAATTTAATTTTAGTGAAAAAGAAGACAAAAAAATTTTCTTAAATAAAGAAAGGAGGAGCAGGAGTGAGAAAGAAAACCACACTTTCAAATTCTGTAAATACTACACAAAGCTGCTGAAAGCAAGTGCTTGCTGTTCCACTCTTAACCCTATAATAATCAGGTTATTCCACCTGAATTAGCACATCTCTCTCCCCATTTTGGGCCCCATATAGCTAAAAAGCATGTTGAAAACTTACTAATACCAGTAGGTTGCAAATTTCATTAGCTAACTTTAAGAAACATAGTAGTATAACTACATGTAAAAGTAAAATAGAGGGTATTGAAAGTTTACCTCGAGTGTCCCATAAACATTCCAATATTAGAAATGTAAACAGATGTTTTAAACAGTATTTACAATATGATTGCAAATACCTTATGCTTTCTTATAAATGGGAACCTATATAGAAGGTAAGACATCCAATTTAAATTGCCAGGATTGTTTATTTTAAATCAAAAAGCTTATGGTTTGTTTGTTTTATCCATTATTTTGTCTTACTATTTTTAGGTCTGAACCATGCTAAGAAACAGGAAACAATAGAACATGCCTTGTGTTTCATGTAAGAAAAGATGTTAATTGTGGTAATTTTACTTAGAATCAGAATTAATGAAGAGAATCAATAGTTATGCAGTCTTTATAATCATCCCAATAATGACTGATATAAAATATCACCTAATTTCAAAATTACCTTACTTTTTTTAACTCATTGAAGCTAACAATCACATGATACAACAAAACACATGTGTCTTAACTATCAGTTAATACAATGACAGTAATCAGGTCAACGGTCAGACTCAAAGAACTAATATCTGTGCTGAGATTGCAATTAGAGTCCAACAAATATATGTTGCTTTGTAATTATCCCTGTGCCAAGTCCTCCCTTTCTTCTTCCTTTCCTTCCTCCCTCCCTCTCTCCTTCTCTTCCTTCCTTCCTTTCTCTTCACTTACATTATTCTTATGGTACCCAATTACGTATAAGTGCTATAAGTGCTACACAAATTGACCTTAATTATATGAATAAGTCAATGAAACACATCATTCAATTAAGTGATAAAACCACGTTTAATGGGAAACAAAACAAAACAGGAAAATGGTCTAAACCTGATTTTCAATTGGCCTAGAAATTGTTAGATTTTCTCAGAGTAAAAACACAAAATTTTATCTCAAAGGAAATGCATGATATCACTGTATTAACATGAAAAAACTAGAAAAAGAATGAATAAGAAACAAGAGCATTTGCGTAACTACATTGTATATTCACTATGTATATTTACTACATATTTATACATTACTACAATACTGAATAATACATCATTATATGTGAAATGTTTACTTTTATTGGTAAATAAACTTTTTTAAATGTTCAGGTTTGTGTGTGTGTGGTGTTTAAATATTTATTTATTTATTCAGCAAACTTTCTTCCTTCTCTACGGGTATGTTAAGGTATTAAGTATTTAGTATGGTATAATATAGTGTAGTACAGTAACATACAGTAAATTTATAGTTCAATTCCCAAAATGCTTCCAGCAATATGAGTGGCAAAAGTCTAGAGTTTACCCAGTAGCCTTCTCAACAATTAAATTCTGTAGGAGTGCCTGAAAAGCCAAGGAAAAATCCCCAGATTCTCAGTCATTATCAGAACTGCTTCTGCACTGGCGCAGAGCTTCCATGTTCATTTCTCATAATGTCCTTTTGCTTTGTTGAGCCTGGTCCTAAAGCAAATGGGTTCCCATTATTGTAGACACCAATAACCTTTTTACCCCTGTGCTCATTACAATGAGCCTCTATGTCATTACACTTGATCTCTAAATACCAGAGATTTACTGCTCTTCTCTTTCTTGATGTGTTCTTTCCAAGACAGACTTCCATATTCTAGCCCCCACTATAAAGCACAGTTTTTCTAAAACACTGCTTTACAATGTGTGGGTTATAAGATATTAATAGGCGTGGAATCAATTTTGTGGATCATTATCAGAAATTTTAGTTAAAATACAGGTATCAAATAGAAAATAGTGCATTACAATAATTAAGAGTAAGATTATTTTGTGAAGATTTGGGGTGCTAATTTTTTTTTCTAAAGTCCTGTGGCATACTCAAATCAAGTAAAAATAAAAATTCAATAATCAATAGGTCAATGAAAATATTAAAAGAAAAATTAAAAGGTAAATTTAAAATGAATGTGAAAAGAAACACAACATATGAAAACATAGAGGGCATAGGAAAATCAGCTCTAAATGTAAAGCTTATAGCAATGAACACCTACATCAAAAAACAAAAAAAGAAAATTCTCAAATAAGCAACCTAATGTTATACCTCAAAGAACTAGAAAAATACAAAAAGAAATTAAGCCCACAGTTAGGAGAAGGAAGGAAATAAAGGTCAGATGAGAAATAAATGAAATAGGGACTTGAAAAACAATAGAAAAGATAAACAAGAGGTTTTTATTTTGAAAAGATAACCAGATTGACAAACCATTAGCTAGCTTACCTAAGGAAATAAGAGAGAAGATACAAATAAAATAAGAAATAAGAAAGGAAATATTATAACTTATACAACAGAAATATAAAGGATCATAAGAGATTTTTATGAATAGTCATACACCAAAAAATTGGGTAACTTAGAAGAAATGAGTAACTTCCTTGACATACAATCTACCAAGATTGAATTACAAAGAATTAGAACACCTGAGCAGACCAATAACAAGTAAGGATTGTTGAAACAATAATAAGAAGTTCTCCATCAAAGATAAACCCAGGCCCTGATAGCTTCACTGCTGAGTTCTATAAAAATTCTGAAGAATGAATACCAATTATTCTCAAACTCTTCCAGGCCATTTAAGATGTGAGAATACTTCCAGACTCATTTTATGAGACCATCATTACCTTGATAGCAATGTCAGGCAAGGATGCTAAAAATAAGACAACTCCAGGCCAATATTCCTGATGCATGTAGATGCAAAGGATCTCAACAAAAGCTAGCAAAGATAATTCAACAGCATATTAAACAGGTCACTCACCATGACCAAGTGGCATTTATTCCAGAGATGTAAATATGGTACAGCATATGCACATCAGTAAGTGTGATATACTGCATTAACAGAAGGAAGGACCAAAACTATATGATTAGTTCAACAGATCTAGAAAAAGCATTTATAAACATTCAGCATGCTTTTATACAAAAACTCTCAACAAATTAAGCATACAACAAATGTTCCTCAACACAATGAAGACTATGCATGACAAATCCACAGCTACCACTATATTCTATGGGGAAAAGCTGAAAGCTTTTCCTCTAAGATCTGAAACAGACAAGGATGCCCATTCTCACCACTCCTGTTCAACAGAGTACTGGAAGTCCTAGCCAGAGCAGTATGGCAAAAGAAAAAAATAAATGCATCCTATTTGAAAAGAAAGAAGTTAAATATTCTCTGTTTAAAGACATTATCGGCTGTGCGCAATGACTCATGCCTGTATTCTCAGCACTTTGGGAGGCCAAGGTGGGTGGATCACTTGAGGCTGGGAGTTCGAGACCAGCCTGGCCAACATGGTGAAACCCCGTCTCTACTAAAAATACAATAATTAGCTGGGCCTGGTGGTGCATGCCTGTAGTCCCAGCTACTTGGGAGGCCAAGGCAGGAGAATCAGTTGAACCAGGGAGGTGGAGGTTGTGATGACCCAAGATTGCACCACTGCACTCTAGCCTGGGAGACAGAGCAAGACTCCATCTCAAAAAATAAAATAAAATAAAACAAAATAAAATAAAATAAAAATAATTAGAAAAATAAAGGCAATATGAACTTATATATAGAAAAACCTATAAGACTAAAACCAAAAACTGTTGGAACTAATGATCGAATTCAATTAAGTTACAGGATACAAAATCAATATGCAAAAATCAATAGCACTTTTATACACTATGAATCATCTGAAAAATAAATTTTAATATCCCACCTACAACAGCTACAAAAGTAAACTACTAAAGAAGAAATTTAACCAAGAAGATGAAAGATCTCAACAACAAAAACTATAAAACGTTGATGATAGAAATTAAAGAAGACACTAATGAATAAAAAATATTCTGTGTTCATTGACTGGAAGAGTTAATATTGTTAAAATGACCGTGCTACCTAAGGAAACCTTTAGACTGAATGTAATCCCTATCAAAGTACCAATGATATTTTTCACAGAAATAGAAAAAAAATTCTAAAATTTATATGTAATCATAAAAGAGTCCAAATAGCAAAAGCAATCTAAAGCAAAAATTAAGAGTAACAAAGCTGGAGGCATTATCCTAACTTATTTTAAAATATACTGCAAAGCAGCCAGGCATGGTAGCCTGTAATTCCAACACTTTGGGAGGCCGAGGCAGGTTAATCACTTGAGGGCAGGAGTTTGAGACCAGCCTGGCCAACATGGTGAAACCCCATCTCTACTAAAAATACAAAAATTAGCCAGGTGTCATGGCACACACCTGTAATCCCAGCTACTCTGGAGGCTGAGACAGGAGAATTTGCTTGAACCCAGGAGGCGAGGCTGCAGTGAGCCAAGATGGTGCCACTGCACTCAAGCCTGGGCAACAGAGAGAGACTCGGATTATATGTAATATATATGTATATACACACACACACACACACACACACACAACAAAGCTATTTTCATATACTACTCAAATATACCACGGATCTAATATGAAAATAGAATTGTTTCATAAGAACAGAGAGGTAGACCAATGGAACAGACTAGAGAACCAAGAAGTAAAACCAGGCTTTTAAATTATTATTATTATTTTTTGTTTAACTAGGTTATTGAGGAACAGGTGGTGTTTGGCTACATGGATAAGTTCTTTAGTGATGATTTCTGAGATCTTGGTGCACCCCATAACCCAAGCAGTGCACACTGTACCCAATATGTAGTCATTTATCCATCAGCTCCCTCCCATCCTTTCCCTCAAGTTCCCAAAATCTATCGCATTATACTTACCCCTTTGCATTTTCGTAGCTTAGCTCCCACTTATGAGTTAAGATGAAGTTTGGTTTTCCATTCCTGAGTTACTTCACTTAAAATAATGATCTTCAATTCCATCCATGTTACTGTGAATGCCATTATTTCATTTCTTTTTATGGCTGAGTAGTGTTCCATGGTGTATGTATACCACATTTCATTATCCAGTCATTGACAGATGGGCATTTGGGCTGGTTCCATATTTTTGCAATTGCAAATTGTGCTGTTAATGACATACATGTGCAAGTATCTTTTTCCTATAATGACATCTTTTCCTCTGGGTAGATACCCAGTAGTGGGACTGATGGATCAAATGGTAGATCTACTCTTAGTTCTTTAAGGAATCTTTACATTGTTCTCCATAGTGGTTATACTAGTTTACATTTCCATAGTGGTTATACTAGTTTACATTTCCACCAACAGTGTAAAAGTGTTCCTCTTTCACCACATCCATGCCAACCTCTATTACTTTTTGATTTTTTGACTAAGTATGGCCAACTAACTTTTGACAAAGGTGCCAAGGGCACACAATGGGGAAAGGACAGTCTCTTCAATAAATAGTGCTGGAAAAAACAGATAACATATGCAGAAAAATGAAACTAGACTCATATCTCTCACCATATACAAAAATCCAACGAAAATAGATTAAAGACTGATTTTTATATAGCCCCCAAAGCACAAAAATAAAATAGACAATTGGATTACATTGAATTAAAAAACCTGTACATCAAAGAAAACAGTCAACAGAGTTAAGAGACAACCTACAGAGTATAAGAAAATATTTGTAAATTGTACATCTGATAAGGAGTTGATATCCAAATATATAAGGGACCCAAACATAATAAGAAATTCAATAATAAAATCCAAGTAATTCAGTTTCAAAATGGTCAAAGGATCTGAATAGATATTTCTCAAAAGAAGACATACAAATGAACAACAGGTGTGTTAAAAAATGCTCAACATCACTAATTATCAGAGAAATGTAAATCAGATATTATGTCACACCTTTTAGAATGGGTATTTATCAAGAAGACAAAAGTTAAGGATTGGTGAGGATATGGAGAAAATATTGGACACTGTTGCTGAGAATGTAAATTAATACATTATGTAAAGCAGTAGGGAGGTTTCTTAAAAAAGAATTAAATATTAAAATTACCATATGATGCAGCATTCCCACTACTGAATATATATCCAAAATAAATGCATAAGTATGTCAAAGAGATATCTGCACTGCCATGTTCATTGCTGCATTAATGACAATAACTAAGATATGGTATCAATCTAGGTGTCCATTAACAGATGAATGGATAAAGAAAATGTGATATGCACAATGAAATACTATTCAGTCATGAAAAAGAAGAAAACCTCGTCATTTACAATAACATGAATGAACCTACAACACATTATGTTAAGTGAAATAAACTAGGAGTAGAAAGACAAATATTACATAATCTCATTCATATGTGGAATCTAAAAAAGTTGATCTCATAGAAGTAGAGATTAGAATGGTGGGTACCAGAGGCTGGAGTGGTTGGCAGAAGAAGAAGTTTGGGAGATATTGGTCAAGGATTAAAAAATTCAGTTTGGAGGAAAAAGTTCAAGGGATATATTATACAACAGTGTTATTGTAGTTAATATATTTTACTCTTGAAAAAATGCAAAGGGAATAAAGTGCTCTTAGTATGGAAACCATAACTATGTAAGGTGATGCATATGTTAAGTACCTAGATATAGTCATTACACAATGTATATGTACTTCAAAAGTCATGTAATACAGAATACATATAATTTTATCTGTCAATTTCAAAAAAAAAGAGAATGAAGCCAATTCACATTTACTGACCACTTTATATTGATATTTTAATGTAATCATGAAGAATCTATGTATTAGGACTTTATTAATCCTATCTTATTCTTTGAGATAACAGAAACTAAGACATTTGAAATATCGCCCCAGGTCACAGTACTAATTGGTGACAGATCTGGGACTCAATTCTTTCCCAAACCAAACAATGTTCCTAGGCTCAAACAGCAGCCACATTGCCCTAGAACTCTACATGACAGTAAAGAATTTTGACAAGTGTTCAGTGACAGAAAACTGCCCTAAGTATCTGGAAGGTTTTTTCATCTTTCCAAAAGTAGGACTAACCAAGTGTCATTTCTGACCTAAACACACTCTATAACACAAAGCTACACTGTTAAAAAGTTGGGTTATATACCAAAGTTTATAATATGTTAATAATGTGTCTAAACTGTGGAATGTTCTCTTTTTTAATAGTTTTTCATAATTTCTAATTCTTCTAAAATTAATATTTATAAATAAGTAGAAGATAAATGAAACAATGTTTGCTCTCTAAGGTCTAGTGGGATTGTTGTTTTTTCTTTGTTTTTTTCCTAAGAAGAAATACGGCAGTAACATTGTAACAAAGGAAATAAACAGAGCTTAATTGTATCAACGGGAAAACCGGCTGCAACCCACAAACCCAGTGGCAATCATTTTGCCTGGCAAAAAGCTCTCCTAGGCATGTGATATCCATTTCCATTACATTCTGAAGAAAATCCTTGCTTAAAGTGATACTGTTTAGCTTTCAGATCTAGACAGATCCCATAATGATGCTGATTGACATCAGTGATTTAGACAGCTTTATCACTTTGAGTCATCTTCATGTCAGAAACTGTCTGCCACTGGAATAATTCCACTAGTGACAAATGACAAAATCTTCTATTTAGATGGTGATGTGGAAAATTTGTAGTCAATAATTTGAAAAAAAAAAACTTATAGAACATCCTGTGCCAGATACTGTTTTAAATGCAGAAGAATTCTGCTTAATTTCCTCCTCTAAATTGTCTGTAAAGAAGTTTTGCTGTTGTTGTTGATATTATTCAGGACTTAACTATAATTTAAATAATTAAAAATATTTTTTAAAATAGCAGAACAAGATTTTATCAATGTATTAGTCCATTTCTATACTGCTATGAAAAAACACATGAGACTGGGTAATTTACAAAGAAAAAGAGGTTGAATGGAGTCACAGTTCCACATGGTTGGGGAGGCCTCACAATCATGGTGGAAGGTGAAGGAGGAGCAAAGACACGTCTTACATGACGGCAGCCAAGAGAGCATACGCAGGAGAACTGCCTTTTATAAAACCATCAGATCTTATGAGACTTATTCACTATCACAAGAACAGCATGAGGAAAACCTGCCCCCATGATTCAATTACCTTCCACCAGGTCCCTCCCATGGCATGTGGGGATTATGGTAACTAGAATTCAAGGTGAGATTTGGGTGGGGACACAGCTAAACCATATCAATTAATAAACATAATACTAACATGCTTACAATATTCCAAATATAAATAAAAAGGAAAAAGAAAATAAAACACCAAAGTGATTTTTAAAAATAAATAAAATTCAGAAAAGACTAGAGATACCAGTAATTGTGAGATGAAAAAGTATTGAATAAAGAATTGAGAATAGGGACAATCAAAAGTTATACTAGTTACATTCTACTCCTGCCTATTCATTCTTTATTTCTTATTACATTGAAATGGGTGATAACAGCTATTACTTCTTTGAGGAATATACCATTAACTCCTTATCATATTTTAAAATGTATGTGCACAAATGTCTCTGAAATGAATAATAATAACACACATTTACTTAGTGTTGTTAAGCACTTTTCTAACCACTTTGCAAGCATTAATATTTTTCTACTTAATAATAGTTCTCAGATTATTCTTTTGGCATTCAGGGTAAAGTGTGTGTGTGCGTGTGTGTTTTATGCAGATGTGCTATACTCAAAGCCAGAAATATGCTCATATATTATCAATAAATTCTATGTATGATGTGTATTAACTAAAATGTAGTAAAATTTTATTTTAAAAGTTAAAACTTAAAAATAAATTTTCAAAATAAGAAGAATGTTAAAGGGAGTTTTTAGCACTTCTAAATCTTGAAGCACTAGGTACTTAAAGTTTTAATTCTTTTATTAAAAATACCAAACAAATACAACTAACTAGGGAGGTGAAAGCTCTCTATAAGAACTACAAAACACTGCACAAAGAAATAAGAGATTACAAAAACAAATGGAATAACATCCCATTTCTCATGAATAGGAAGAATCACTATCATAAAAATGGCTATACTGCTCAACGCAATTTGTAGATTCAATACTATTTCTATTAAACTAGCATTGACATTCTTCACAGAACTAGAAAAAATTATTTTAAAATTTATATGGAACCAAAATACAGCCCAAATAGCCAAGTCAATCCTAAGCAAAAAACACAAAGCTGGAGGGATCATGCTACCCAACTCCAACTATACCACAGGGATATAGTAACCAAAACAGAATGGTACTGGTAAAAAAAAAACAGACAGATTAATGGAAAAGAATAGAGAACTCAGAAATAAGGCCACACACCTGCAACTACCTGATCTTTGACAAACCTGAGAAAAACAAGCAACGGAGAAAGGATTCCCTATTCAATAAATAGTGCTGGGATAACTGGCTTGCCATATGCAGAAGATTAAAATTAGACCTCTTCCTTAAACCATACACAAAAAATAACTCAAGATGGATTAAAGACCTAAATGTAAAACTCAAAACTATAAAAATCCTGGAAGAGAACCTTGGCAATATCATTCAGGCCATAGGCATGGGCAAAGATTTCATGACAAAGGTGCCAAAAGCAATTGTGCCAAAAGCAATTTCAACAAAAGCAAAAATGGAATAATGTGATCTAATTAGGCTAAAGAGCTTCTGCACTACAAAGGAAACTCAATAGAATGAGCGGATGACCTAGAGAATGGGATAAGATTTTTGCAAACTATGCATCTGGCAAAGATCTAATATCCAACATCTATAAAGAACTTAAATTTACAAGAAAAAAAAAAACACAACCCTATAAAAAAGTGGTCAAAGGACATGAACAGACACTTCTGAAAAGAAAACATTCATGCAGCCAACAATCATATGACAAAAAGTTTCCACAGCACTGATTATTAAAGAAATGCAAATCAAAACCCCGATGAGATACCATCTCATACCAGTCAGAATGGCCATTATTAAAAAGTCAAAAAGCCAAAAACTTACAGATCCTGGTGAGGTTGTGGAGAAAAAAGAATGCTTATACACTGTTGGTTGGAGTGTAAATTAGTTCAGTCATTGTGGAAGACAGTGTGGTGATTCCTCAAGACCTAAAGAGAGAACTATCATTTGACCCAGCAATCCAATACTAGGTATATACCCAAAGGAATATAAATCGTTCTAATATAAAGATACATGCATGTGTATGTTCACTGCAGCACTATTCACAATAGCAAAAACATGGAATCAACCTAAATGCCCATCAATGATAGATTGAATAAAGGAAGTGTGGTACACATACCATAAAATACTATGCAGCCATATAAAAGAACAGAATAATGTCTTCTGCAGCAACATGGATAGAACTGAAGGCCATTATCCTTAGCAAACTAACATGAAAACAGAAAACCACGTATCTCATGTTCTCACTTACGAGTGATGGGTACTGGTCTTATACCTGTGTGATGAAACAATCTGTACAACAAATCCCCATGACAAAAGTTTACCTGTATAACAAAACTGCACATGTGCCCCAGAAATGTAAAATTTTAAAAAATACAATACAGCATAATTATAAATGTTATTTTTGCAAATAAAAGTTTTATGTAAGATATATAGCTATATAATAATAATCATCTCATAACTTGTATTTATAATACTAATTATGAGAGTTGAAAAATATTAACCAACTAGCAGGAAATTAATGGCAGCTGTTATAGACATTTAAAAATGCAAAGCAAAAGAATGAAACTGAAAGAAAGGAAAAAAAACACTCAGAGAACTTACTAGAGAATACTATCGTATTCTTATCTGCCAAACTCAGGGAATACTATTGTATTCTCATCTGTCAAAAAAAGTGAAGCTGAAAAGAAATGTTCACTATCTGCATACTACTAATTTGTGAACAACAGGTCAAGAATTAAAATTGATAAATTGTAACTGACATTGAAGGTTTAACCACTGCAAGCTAAATAACGAAGTCCCTGAGAAAATTGGAATACTATAGACCTCTCGGCAAGAAAGATTTCCATTAGAAAAACAGAGCTCATTATCTAGAAAGGTTAAAAAATCTAATTCTCCTTTTTTTATTTGTATAGAATAATAATAGGCATTTTTAAATTGTAAAGACAAGCCTGGTAAAAATTTTCTGACTGCCATCAGTATTTATAAATATAATGATTTCTTGTCTCTCTGATATTGAGTATTTAGAAACACTAAAAACTAGTAAGCCTTAAATTTGATAGTTCCTTATTTATATGAAATACTTTTTGTCATAATCTCCTAAATAGCTAGTTAAAATCATTGCAGAAAAAAAATACAAACATAAACACAGATCAAATCATTAACCACAATCCTACTAAATAACACTTTCTAACCCAAATTAGAGCATTATTTTCATCAATCAAAAATGTGCTAGATTTTTACCAGGCGCCAAGGTTGTAGATACGCTAGGTGACCCTACTTCAGCTATTGTTTTAGGGAATTTTCCCTGTCCATGTAGGGGGAAAAAAAACAAGGGATTGGGCAAAGAGAGAGAGAATGGTTTTACAAAGCTCTGGCTATCTGAATGTGTCTGGTTAAACTAATGCTTTCATTTCTGAAAATATCTTACCCATTCAGAAGAGAGTAGAAAGAATATTCACCCTGCATTTTTCTTATTTCTCAAGTTATGTAGTATGCATCACCTAAAATAGATTTGTCTGGTGGGTGTGAGTAAAATGTAGATTACTGGATTCCACATCATTCACATGAATCGAAGTCTGACTGAAGGTCCCAGGGATCTACTTTTGTTTTTTGCTTTTTGTTTTGAGACAGAGTCTCACTCTGTCACCCAGGCTGGAGTGCAGTGGCAAGATCTTGGCTCACTGCAACCTCCACCTCCTGGGTTCAAGTGATTCTCCTGCCATAGCCTCCTGAAGAGCTGGGACTACAGATGCACATCACCATACCTGGCTATTTTTTGTATTTTTAGTAGAGATGGGGTTTCACCGTGTTGAACAGGCTGGTCTTGAACTCCTGACCTCAAGTAATCAATCTGCCTCAGCCTCCCAAAATGCTGGGATTACAGACTTGGGCCACCGTGCCCAGCCACCAGGGATCTATGTTTAAAACAAATACTCCAAGTGACGGTTATGAGCATTGATTAGAGAAACACTGGTGAAGTATGACTGAAGGCTACATATATGTTACTCCAATAAGAGAGAGAAGACAGAAAGGAAATTTCCAAATTAAATTTCAGATAAAATTATAGTTTGGTCCATTTCATTATCTTGAATAAACAGAGTTAAGGAATAACCATTTGCATATTTGAACACATAAATGTATTATATTTAACTTTATTTTTTGGTGACCAAAGACTTAAAAAGGAATTGTCAAAATCATAGCTCATTTTCTCTAAAATTGCAATTAATTTTTATGTGAAATCAAGATAATCTTTACTTAAAATATATTGCATTTGTTTTCATTAGTGAAGAATTTCATGGGTTTTTTTCCCCAAATGTGTGGATAATATTTTGTGCTTATCATATTTAGACATATTGTTTTTAGAGGTTTCTGAGCCCTTGGGTTGAAACTGCTCTAAAGTAAATTGGACTTTCTATTTATCCTTCAAATAGGTGTGTCATATGTATCCTTTCTGTTTTTTGCTAGACGATGCTAGCTTCATATCTAACTCTACCATCTCTTCTTCCTGGTACAGGGCTAGACCACATTTCTCCCATTTCATTATATTCAGGTACATCAATGTGACTAAATTATAGCATATGGGATCTTAGTGAGTGGTATGTTTCACTTCTGGGGTTGATTTGTTAAAGTTTTTTATACAAACAACCCCATGATCTTCCCCTTTTTAATTGGATAAATAGGAATCAATATCTAGGATGACCTTGCAAACCAGGTGTTAAAACCTAGGACATCAGATGACTGTGGAGAAGAGCAACGTCCTGTCATATGCCTCCACTGAATACTGTCAAATAAGCAATAAATACTCTCCTTTTCTTAAGACTTTATATACTTGAGAACATATTTATTATGCCTATTCCATTTATATAAACAAATATAATTATTAGACATTCATGGATTAGATAAGATTTTATTTTAAATAGTGTTAAGCCATTTTTGCATCACCATAAAGAAATACCTGAGACTAGGAAATTTAAAAAGAAAAGAGCACTGTATCGCGGTTCTGCAAGTTTTACAGGAAGTGTGGTGCCAGCATCTGCTTCTGACAAGGGCCTCAGAAAGTTTCCAGTGATGGCAGAAGGTGAAGGAAAAGCAGGTGTGTCACATGGTGACAGCGGGAGTGAGAAACAGAAGGGAGGATGTACTAGGCTCTTTAAACAACCAGCTTTCATGTGAACTAATAGAAAGAGAACTCACTCATTATAAGGAGGGCACTAAGCCATTCATGAGGGATCCTCCCTATCCAAACACTTCCCACTGGGCCCCACTTCCAACATAGGGGATTACCTTTCCATATACGATTTGCAGGGGACAAATATCTAAACCATATCAATGGTCTTATATTAAAATATATTCCCTAGATTGATTGATGTTGACAAAATAGTGGACATAGAGAAATTAAGGATAATGAAACCATAATAAAGAGTTTTTGCTTTATTCAGAAACATGTGGAGATTTGAAAAATGCATTGACCTAAAGTATACAATAAAAACAAGCTGGAGAAACTGCAAGCCTGCAGCTTTTCTTGAACATATCAGATTTCTGAGATTGCAGGTAATATGCAATCTAAAATGAGACTGGCACCTGCAAGGAGAAATGAGACAAAATTACTCACTTACCCAAGGCAAGATTCACCAGGAAACCAGTCAAAATAATTCAAGTAAGGTGACTGGCAAGTAAGTAGAGACTGAATATTCACTGATAAGAGAAGATGAAGCTCTTGGGGCCTGAAAATATAAGGGAAGTCTATATTCCTTTGTAGTCTCTCTTCACAAAACCCACCACATTGACAAAAAATATTGACAGAGCCCTCAAAAAGTCTCCCTTATGGATAAAATTGGGGAGAATAAAAGAAGGTGCTGTGGTATAGACATGTAATCCTACTGAGACTTTTCTTCCGTATCTCTCCAGTAGGACAAATATTTGACCTGTGGGGTAAAGGACAACACCAACTGTAACCGCTAGGACATTGGCGAAAATCCATTGCAACAGGAGAAAGGGAACAGGAAATAGTACCTCTACTCCCAGAGAAGGAGTAGATATAGGTGTGGCTCAGAAGTACTGAGAATGTTGCACCATGAGACTCAATGACACTATGCTTGCCTATGGCTAAGACTTAATCAGAAAAACAGAATATAGTCTACCCCACCACACATGTAACTAGGCTAACAAATGTCCAGCAGTAAGTAAATTTTAACAGTCTGACCCTTTCAAAAGTGCAGGACAGAAAGGATATTGAATCTCACTTTGGAGTAGACATGAAAAAAATGAACAACAGAAACCTCTGGCAAACCAGGCCACATCCTAAGCACAAGGCATTGGTAAGGGAATTTGAAACCTCTGAGGTACTGAGGTCCACCATAGGAACAAGAAACCTCAAACCCAGCACAGCTGCTAGTTATATTAACTTATTCCTCATAAAGACCTGGGAGAAGAAAAGACATGGCTATTATCAGATATATAAACATATTCACCCCAGTCTCTACTGTCATATACAAAATGTCGAATTTTTAACAAAGAAGTGTGAGCCACATTAAACATAAAAAAAAAACGCAATACCAAGAGACAAAGCAATCAAATGACACAGATGTTAAAATTGTCGGACAATAAGACATTCTGGGGCATATCATATTCAAACTTCTAGATGCAACTAGAAATAGGAAATTTTAAATGCAAACGGGGAAAGAGAGTCATCTCATATAAAGAATCTCTGATAAGAATTAGAGCAGTTGTCCTTTCAGAAACCATACAAGCCAGAAGACAATAAATTGACATGTGTAAAGTGCTGAAAGAAATTAAAGACAGAAATAGAATGATAAAACTTGTTCATGTACCAGAAGACTCAATATGAGTAAGACAGCAGTACTCCCCAAGTTGATGTGCAAATTCTGTGTAATTCCTCTCAAAATACCAGCTGAATTTTCTGCAGAATTTGACAAGTTACTCCTAAAATTAAAATGTAAATGAAGCATCCCAGAATAGCCAAAATAATCTTGGAAAGTAAGAGCAAAGCTGGGGACTCACATTTCTGATTTCAAAACCTGTTACAAAAGCTGCAGTTATCAACCTTATCTTCTAATGGCACAGGGATAGGCATATTGGTTAATGGAATGGAATCAAAAGTCCAGAAATAAATTCATATTTCTGTGGTCAACTGATTTTCTAGAAAATTTGTATCTCTGTGGTCAACTGATTTTCTAGAAGGATGCCAACATCTTTCCTTGGTGAAAGTATAGTCTTTTCAAGTAGTGGTGCTCGAACATTGGATATTCACAGTTAAAGAATGAAGTTGTACTTCTCTTTTATACCACTTAAAAATGAAATCAAACTAAATCAAAGACTAGATTGCAAGATCTCACACTGTAAAACTCTCCAAAAAGGTATAAATCATTATAGATTTGCATTAGGCAATGGTTTCTAAGATATGACACAAATAACAAGCAACTGAAAAAATAGATAGTTTGGACTTCAAGTTAAATGTTTCTGTGATTCAATGGACACAATTAAGAAAGTTTTTTTTACAAAATGAAAGAAAACATCTGTAAATTATAAATCTAGAATATATAAAGAATTCTTACAATTTAAAAACAAAACAACTACCTGGTTACAGAATGGGCAAAGGGCTAGGCATTACTAGACATTACTCCAAAGAATTCACTAAGTATTACTCCAAAGAATACTAATGGTGAAGAAGCACATGAGAAGGTGCTCAAAGTCATTAGTCCTTAGTCATTGGAAAAATGCAAACCAGAATCATGATGAGAACAACCTTACTCTCACCATGATAGCTATATATTTTTTAAGTGTTGGCAAAGATGTGGGAAAATTAGAACTAAACATTGCTGATGAAAATGTAAACTTACGGACCTGCTTTGGAAAGCAGTTTATAATTTCTCAGTAAGGTAAACATAGAGTTTTCATATGAGCCAGCAATTCCATTTCTAGGTATATACCAAAGAGAACTGAAAACATTCTTCACATATAAGCTTATACTAGAAAGTTTATGGCAGAATTATTCATAATAGCAAAAATGTGAAAATAACCCTAATTTAAATTAACTCTATTTTGTTCCATTGGTCTGTGTGTCTGTTTTTATGCCAGTACCATGATGTTTTTTGTTGAGAATTTTGTTAGCTAGTATTTTGTTGAAAAATTTGCATCTATGTTCATTAGTAATATTTGCCTGTAGTTTTCTTTTTTGGTTTACCCTTGTTTAGTTTTGGTGTCAATGTATTGCTGGCCTCATAATATGAGTTGAAATACTTCCTCTTCATTTTTTTTGACATTTGCATATAATTGGTATAAGTTCTTTAAATATTTGGTACAATTCAGCAGTGAAGTCATCAGGACCCAGGTTTTTCTTTGACACTTTATCACAGCTTTGACTTTATTTCTCATTATTTCTTTGTTGAGGTTTTATATTTCTTCATGGTTTAATCTTGGTAGAATGTATTGTTGAGGAATATATCTATTTTTTCTAGGTTTTAATTTACTGGCATATAATTGTTCATAATAGCCTGTGATAATTCTTTGTACTTCTGTTGTCTCAGTTGTTATGTCTCCTTTTTTTTTCTAATTTTACCTGTTTATGTCTTCTATTTTTTCTTAGTCTGGCTAAAGGTTTGTTGATTTTGTTTATCTTTCCCCCAAAATCAACTTTTCATTTCATTTATTTGTATTTTTTTTTTAGTTTCAATTTTATTTATTTTTGCTCTAGTCTTGTTATTTCTTCCCTTCTATTACTTCAGGCTCTGCTTATTCTTTTCTCCTTCCTCCAAGTGCATCACTGAGTTTTTTTGAAGCCTTCATACTTTTTTTATGTAGTTGTTTATTGCTTTAAACTTCTCTCAGTACTGATTTTGCTGTATCCTGGAGATTTTGTTATCTTTCCATTTTCATTTGTTTTAAGATATTTTTAAATTTTATTTTTAATTTCTTCATAAACCTATTTATTGTTTAGGAGCATATCATTTAATGTCTGAGTGTTTGTGGAGTTTCTAAGGTTCCTATTGTTATTGATTGCTCGTTTTATTCCATTGATGTCAGAAGTTATACTTGTTATAATGTCTAATTTTTTGACTTGAGGTTGTTTTGTGGCCTAGCATATGTTTTATTCCAGAAAATGTTCCATGTGCTAATAAGAAGAATTTGTATTCTGCAGCAGTAGGGTGGAAGGGTTTATAAATGTCAATTAGGCCTATGTAGTCTAGGGTGTAGCTTAACTTTAAATTTTTGTTGATTTTCTGTCTAGATGATCTCTCCATTAATGACAGTGGGGTGCTGAAGTCCACTACTATTATTATATTGCAATCCATCTCTTTCTACATCTACTAATGTTTGCCTTATATGCTTGGGTGCTTAGATGTTAGGTGCACACCTATTTATAATTGTGATATCTTCTTAATTGAACCTTTTATCATTATATAGTGACTTTTCTTTGTATCTCTTTACAATCTTTGACCTGTAGTCCATTTTATCTGATATAAATATAGCTACTCCTGCTTATTTTGGTTTTCATTTTTATGGAATATTTTTGTTATCCCCTCACTTTTATTCCATGTGTGTCTTTATAGGTTAAGTGGCTGTCTGGTAGGCAGCATATACTTGGATCTTGTTTCTTTCTTTATTCATTCATCTATGTCTTAAAATTGGACAAGTGAGTCTATTTACATTCAGTGTTATTATTGATAGTTAAGCACTTACTACTGCCATTTTGTTGCTTGTTTTCTGGTTGTTTTATAACTCTTCTCTTCCTTTATCTTCTTTATTGTTTCCTTTGTGACTAAGTGGTTGTCTCTGGCAGTATGTTTCAATTCATTGATTTTTATTCTTAGTGAATATGTTATAGATTTTTCTATTGTGGTCACCATGAATCTTACAAAAAAACTTACAAATATAACAAGTTATTTTTAAGAGACGATGACATGTCTTTGATCACACAAAGAGAATAGACACAAAAAATAAGCTAAAAAATCTCAATTTTTAAATCAATTTTCCTCATATTTTGGCTTCTTATTTCAATTTATAAAATTTTATAAATTGTTCTATCTCTTCACTGGTTGCTGTAGCTATTATTGTTTTTAATGTATTTGTCATTTAGACTTTATTACAGTTTTGTGTAAATTGCACAACAAAATTACAGTATGATGGTATTATAGTATTTTGAGCTTCTCTGTGTACTTACTTTTATCAATGGGTTTTATACCTTCAAATATATTCTTTCTGCAGTAATTTTTTTCCTTTCAGATTGAGGGACTACCCTTAGCATATCTTGTAAGATGGGTCTGGTAGTAGTAAATTCTCCGTCTTTGTTTCTTTTGGAAAGATCTTTCTCACTTCTTCATGTTTGAAGGAAACTTTTGCTAGATACAGTATTCTTAGATGACACGGCTCTCTTCCCTTCCCTTCCCTTCCCTTCTCTTCCCTTTTCTTTTCATTTAGCTCTTGGAAAAAGTCATCCCTCTCCCTCCTGGCCTGTATGGTTTCTGTTAAGAAGTCTGTTGCACGATGAATTAGTGCTTCTTTATACATTATTTGTTTTCTTTATTTTGCTTCTTTTAGGATTCTCTCTTGGTTCTTGACTTTTGAGAGTTTAATTATTATATGCTTTGGTGTAGTCTGATTTGTGTTGATTTTTTTATGTTATCTGGCCTTCCTGTGTCTGAATTTCCATCTCTTTCTTAAGTTTTGTAAAGTTTTCTGTTATTATTTCTTTGAATAAGCTACTACCCTGTGTGCACGCCTAATTCCCAATAATTCTTAAATTTGGTCTTTTGAAGTAATTTTCTACATCTTGTAGATGAACTTTAATTATTTTCATTTTCTTTCTACTCATTATATATTTTCAAAAGGCCTGTATTTGAGCTTACTGATTCTTTCCTCTCCTTGATCCATTCTACTGTTGATAGCCCCCAGTGAACTTCTCAGCTCAGCAAATGTATTTCTGAATTCCAGGATTTCTGTTTAATGTTTGTATTGTTATTTTGATCTCTTTATTAAAATTCTCTGATATTTTTCTGATTTTCTTTTTTATGCTACCTTGGGGATCACTGAGTTTCCTTAAAACTGCTATTTTGAATTCTTGACAAGAGAGCTCATGTGCTGCCATCTCCCTAGGGTCAGTCATTCGTTCCTTGTTTTTTTTTTTTTCTGTTTGGAAAGGCCATGGTTCCCTGTTTGCTATTGTTTCTTGTGGGTGTATGCCTATGTCTTTGCATTAGAGGATTAGTTATTTATTCTAGTCTTCTCTGTCTGGCTTGTTTTGTTTTATATTGTCTATATTTGGTTAGACATTCCTTTTAATTTACTTGTTGGCTTTCTTTCTTTTTTTTTAATTTCTTACTAGGTCATCTCTTTTTCACTACCAGATGGTGCCTTAAGCCCAGATTTCCGATCAGCTCTAGCAAATAATTAGAGCACTGCTTGTCCTGAATGGTGGAGGTCCCAAACAGATATCTCAGCTGTATGTGAAAGCTGGCAAGGTGTTCATGCAAAGAGGACCTGTGGCACCTACCTCCTACAGCCTTCTGCTGTTAAGTGACCACTTTGATCAAGTGTCTTCTTTTGTTGAGTCATGAGGCAGAGTTTCCTGGGCTGGAGATTGTAGTCTCATCTATGCCCTTTGTCGCTGGCTGTCTTCATGGAACGTGGACAAGGAATATTCAACAAAATATCCTGTATCTGGACTCATTAAAAAGTTTACAAATTTAATAGAATATAAATAATGCAATTAATGCACAGTAGGTTCTCAGACCATAAAAGGTTAAAATAGAATTCAATATGAAAAAGTTCTAAAATATTTGGAGAAAAATACACTTTTTAATAACATAGAAAAAATAACACAAAGAAAATACCTGAAAAAATTAAATTATATTTTGAATGTAGTGGGATAAACAACACAGTATATAAAATCTGTAGGATGCATCTAACATAGTACTCAGTGAAAAATTTATAGCATTGAATGCCCATATTAGTGAAGAAGAAAGATCTTAGTGAAGTCAGTAACCTGGATTTCCACTTTACAAATCAAAAGAAAACAGGACAATTTATACCTAAAGCAAGCAGAAAGAAAGAAGCAATTTTAACAGCACAAATCAATGGAATTAAAAACAGAAAAAAATTAGAGAAAATTAATGAAACCAGATGCAGAGAATAGACAAAAGCTACTAACACTCAATCAAGATAATTCTATTAAATAACTTAAATTTGTAATTATAACCCATCAAAAAAGAAAACAATAGACCCAAGTGGTTTTTTGGGCAAATTCTACAAATACTTAAGGAGAAAATATTACCAAAGTGACACCACCTCTTCCTGAAAAAAAAAGAGGAATCAGCTTCCAAGTCATTGTATGAGATCAGTATTATCTGAACACCCAAATCAGATAAATACAATAAAGGTGAACTACAGAAGAATAACCTTCATGAATATAAATATAAAATAATTAACAAAATATATCCATAATAATTGAACAGAAACTACATCATGATCAAATGAGATTTATCATACGATAGTATAACTGGTTCAACAATGAAAAAGCAATAGAGAGTATTTACCACATTAACAGTTTAAAAAAGAAAATAATAATCTCAATAAACTCAGAAAAAACATTTGACAAAATTCAACATTTATTAATTATGTATATTTGCATTTGATTGATACCCATTAATGGTATTCTGAATAAATAAAACTGCTTATTAAAATTATGACAATGGAAGAAAAAGCAAATAAACAATAGCTTCTGCAAAGTCTAATTGTAAAAAGAGATGAAATGTAAAGGCTAACACTGATTGCAGAGTACATATAAAATAAAGCCATGTCTTAGTAAAAATGTACTGTGAGTAAATAAATTAATTAATTTAATTAAGCCACAGAAGTCAAGATAAGGGAAATATTTTAGAGCATGGGTAATCAAGAGTAATGTTTCAGATGTCTTTAATAGTGACAGCTGAGGGAAAATATACTTGAAAATTTTAAAATCCACAAAGATGCTCATAATACCATTTCAATTGAACCTATAAAACACAGAAGACTAAATCAATTATAAAACAAGACATAGAACAAAATGTAGAGTTTGTTCTATAATAGTTAAGTGATCTTAATGTTGATTAAAGTTTTTATTTTTATTTTTTAATTTATTATTTTCAAAATAAAGATGTTGATGCGTATTTGAAGGCAGGTGTAATACAGCTAATTTGGAGATTGGCAGCAAGTGAAGACTCTTGAAAATGTGGGTGAACTTGAGAGTAATATTAAATAAGGAAAATACATGAACATACACAGTCAATCCTTTCTATCTGTTGGTTCTGGATCTATGGATGCAACCAACTGTGGGGTCAAAAATATTCAGAACAGTTACAGATGGTTTTTGGCCATTTTTCTCTAAGCAATACAGTATAACAACTTTTTTACATAACATTTACATTGCATTCGGTATTATAAGTTATTTATAGATGTCTTAAGACAATGTGTGTAGATATATATATTACTTTATTTATAAAGTATATATATAAAGTATATAAAGTATATAAGTATATAAAATATAAAGTATATAAAGTATAAATATAAAGTATAAAGTATTTATAAAGTATAAAATAATATATATATTATTTTATTTAAGAAACTTGGGTATCTTCAAATGTTGGTATCTGCTGTGTGTGTATACTTGTGTGTGTGTATATACACATATACACATACACGTACACATATAGTGAGAGGAAGAGGGAAAAAGGATAAATAGCTGATAAGTTTAATTTTATTAAATCTATGAGGAGGCAGGACGGGGCAGATGCCAGGCTCTTTTTAACAATCAGTTCTTGTGGGGACTAATAAAGTGAGAATTCACTCACCTTCTAGGAAGGGCATCAATCTATTCATGAGGAATCTACTCCCATGACACAAAGGCCCACTTTTTATTTTATTTTTTAATGTTTTTTGAGACTGAGTCTCGCTCTGTTTCCCAGGCTAGAGTGCAGTGGCGCGATCTCGGCTCACTGCAAGCTCTGCATCCCAGGTTCACGCCATTCTCCTGCCTCAGCCTCCCGAGTAGCTGGGACTACAGGTGCCCACCACCACGCCCAGCTAATTTTTTTTTTTTTTTTTTTTTTGAGACGGAGTCCCGCTTTGTCACCCAGGCTGGAGTGCAGTAGCACATTCTCGGCTCACTGCAAGCTCTGCCTCCCGGGTTCACGCCATTCTCCTGCCTCAGCCTTCTGAGTAGCTGGGACTGCAGGCGCCCGCCACGACGCCCGGCTAATTTTTTGTATTTTTTAGTAGAGACAGGGTTTCACCGTGTTAGCCAGGATGGTCTCCATCTCCTGACCTCGTGATCCACCCACCTCGGCCTCCCAAAGTGCTGGGATTACAGGCGTGAGCCACGGCACCCAGCCCCGGCTAATTTTTTTGTATTTTTAGTAGAGATGGGGTTTCACCGTGTTAGCCAGGATGGTCTCGATCTCCTGACCTTGTGATCCTCCCGCCTCGGCCTGTCAAAGTGCTGGGATCACAAGCATGAGCCACCACACCAGACCCCCAAACACCCACTTTTAAGCCCTGTTTCCAACACTGGGGGTCAAATTTCTACATGAAGTCTGGTGGGGACAAATATTCAAACTATAGCATATGATAAATATAATATATTTCAAAAGCAGTGGGGTTTTGTTTAAAAATATGGATTTGTTCTGTAGTAGATCCTTCATCAGGTTTCATAAAGTTTCGCAGTAGTGACCCATACCTCAAAGAATAATATAGAAAAATAAACTACATAATCTAATCTATTTTTTTTTCAGTGAAAGAAGGCTTAGGAAATAGATGTGCAGCACCTTGATTTCTATAGAAATTAATTTAGGAAACAATTTTAGAGCTACCTAGTAAAAGAGAAAATATCTCTACTATAAGCATAGGTTTTAGGACTCAGACAAAGCAGTGTACATTTTGAATGATATATTTTTGAGACAGAGAAATTTCACTAACACACTCTCTGTCATGTCTGAATATCCACTCAATGCTGAATTAAATAAAATTGAATAAAATATAGTGAATTAATTTTTTTAGTAGAGATACTTGCAGTGAAATTTATGTTGATAGTGAATTAAGTGGAATCAATGCTCTGTTTTATAAAACAGTAGTATATTTACCCTAAAGTTAACTGATGTTTTCTATAGTAAAAGAACACACAAAAATCTTAGTATATAAACTATGTCTCTGTATCATAATACTCAGAAAACTAGACTCATATTTTAAATGAACACATAAAAGTGCATAACGTATACTCAGAAAACATTTTGTTTTACATCCAATTAAACATTAAAAGCAAGCTTTTCTCTTACCTTCTCTATTGGAACTTACCCTTTGCCTGATTATAATAGTGATGAGATTATTTAACACCATCCTCACAACTCTGGTACATTCTAGCCTTAGCTTAGCAACAGTCATAATGAGGTGTGATTAAGATAATATTGGACTGCACCACCAACATGACAACCCACAGCTTTAAATTATCTTACCTAATCAATGCACCAGCAAGGGAGCAGAGGCTGTACAATGTCATCTAACTGTTTCACGAATGTTTCATGCGGTTGTGGTAAATCATTCTTCTCTTGCTAAAACATTACCTTGTTAGTGCACACACCATTCTGTAGCCTTTCTTGGGGAATTCATTTCATTGACTTCAGTTATGATTGAGCAAAGGTGTATTGATTCAGACCCCAAAGGTTTAAGGTAATAACTTTTCATAGACCTAATAACTAATTGCATTGCCCCAATTCATCAGAGTGTACCACTAATCCTTTATAAGAAAGATTTATTCATAGAATATAACGGACATCATTTTTACTCTGGCACAAATTCAAAGCTATAGATCTAGACAACTGCGGTGTTTGAGTTCCCTATAATAGCATGAATTATCTGTCAAATCATTATCACACTTACGGACACTCTTGGCTACCCACTTCAAGTGTTGGCAGTCTATATTCTATATTAACAAAACACAGATTCCGTCTGCTTTTAATTGAAATAGCTATAAATTAATTAGTTAAAACAATCACAACAAAAATGCTTAGATATAAGCCTATAGATAATGTAAAATTCTTAAACAAATCTGAAAAAAAGTTATTTCTCAAGGTCTCTTAGATAAAACAAAACACAACATATACAACAACAACAAATAACTTTATCCTAAATCTTACTTCATTCTGGATTGAGCTCAGTCAGAAAGATTAACATAATGTTTGGAATTGTCCCAATTTTTAGGAACAGAAATGTTGAAAAAAGAAAGTCCAATTTTATCATTTATATCAAGGTCATTTTGTTAACCTTCTCAATAGCTGAAGTAACAAACTCCAAACCTCAGTGTCTTAAAACAGCACGGATATATTTTGCGCTTATGCTACCTAGCCAGTGAGACTTGCCTAAGACTGCCCCCAAATTCTGCTTCTCTAAGTAGCCACCACAATTAGGTTACTTATAATAATTTCTAACCAATTAAACAGGACAGTTTTGTTTTCTCAATTTTCCCAATACATTTTTTTTATCATCTTACAAACTTTTCCTTGTTTTCTTCTACAAGCCTGTAACCATTTCTTCAGAATGCATGCAGGTTGTGAGTAAAATGGAATGGACCTATTTACCACTCATCTTCTGCCATTAATTTCCTGCTACTGCAGAGTGGCCGTTTATAAAGCTACAGTTTTCTAAATAATCAGCACTATTCTTCCTGGGGTTGCCAAAAGTAGCCTTTGAATTCAAAGACCATCTAGCAAAATCTTGCTTAGCTGTGAAAATAAGCCTGAGGATGCTCCACCAAGCATACAGCCAACTAGCTAAATCATTTACTATAATCCACAACAAAGTTGCTTTTAAATAGAAAAGGAACTGAGTTGGAAACTTTTCCTCATGAGCAACAGTAGCAGCAAGGCAAGGGCAAATAAATGAAAGAGATATGCACACTAGTTCATAGAACCAAAGCAGTGAGAACATTGTGATGTGTTACAATGTACTGCTAGTGCTCAATTTCGAAGTATGTATATTGGAATATTGCCTGAAAATACTATTATTATCTAAAATCTACTTATGTGTTACTTCACTAGCACTAAGAATTATTGATATCATTGAAAACGACAGTATAAATAGTAACTTATCCACTGAAATGCCTAAGCATGAGGCTTTCTCGCTTGTGCAGGCTTGCCATACAATTGATATAAAACTGATCTTCATAGTTGACAGATTTTTTAAAGAAGAAAGGTTCAGTTCCATTTTCAGCAAATGGAGGAATATAAAAATCATGATCCACCAAGGAAGTGCAAATACAATCATGTGATTGATAAAATAAACCCTTTTTTAAGAAAAGTGTTCTAAGCCACCTTTGCTATCTGACAATGTTATTTGTGGGCAGGTGCAAAACAGAGTATGACAAGCCTTATATAAAGTAACACAAAAGATCATTAAAAGAGATGCATTTACTGTTGGAGAGGAAATATAAAACATGAATAAAATATAGATTTTGAATCAGAAAGCCTATGTTAAAATCATAGGCTTTCCACTAACCAGGAAGCAATTTCATGTAAATAACTCCAACTTAATTTCATGTAAATAACTCCAAGCCTTAGGGTCTTCATCTGATAAATGGGGTAATAGAATCTTGTTTGTTGCATGTGAATGTTTAGTAAAACACTATAATGTTCACAATATTGACTAATGAAAAGTCAGGTCTATTTATAATAGAACATTATAACAGACTGGTGTCTTAACTAGGAATCAGTAAATCTTGTTTTATCCCAGTTAGCATATGAATTCAATATTTTGACTTGTTCACTTATCTCCAAATTTTTCATTTTTCCAATCTATAAACTGAGAGAAGAGGACATGTGGATGACAACATTCATTCATTCATTCATTCGACTCTTTTACTGAGCATATTCTATAGGCCAAGCATAAGGCACAATGGATACAAAAATGAATAAAGCAAAAATCCTTTCCCCTATAAACACAGACTATCTAGTGGGGGAGTCAGAGAAGTACAATGCAGCAGGGTAATCACCTTCACAAAGTACTGCTGGCACACAGTGAAGAGATCAACTAAAACTAAAACTTCTAGGAAAAGCCAAAGCTTACTTAATTTATGAATCTATGTATACCGAAAAATACATACATACACACACACACGCACACACACACACACACACATATGTATATAAAATGTAGCTGATGAAGAAGGAAGTGAAATTAAAGAAGGAAAAACAAAAAACTAAGTCAGAAATGAGTGTCTGATCCTGAATTAACAGGGGACTAGTGAGCTCAGTGCCATCACTGCTGAGGTGAGCAAGCCCAATCCAGCCTGGAGGTCTCATTTAAAAGGCAATGTGGACAGCCTTATCAAAATTTCTGGATATGAGCTTCGAGTGAAATTTTGGATAGCTATTCATGAAGGATTTTGTAAAAATGGACATATAATAAAATTAAAACAGAATCTTGGGAAGTGAAGAGGAAGGGATATAGTGAGTGACAGTGTTCTCCACCTCACCAATGTTTGAAAGGAACTCTGGGGATTTGATCAAATATCAGGAATCTGTAAGACAAAGTGGAAACTTGCTAAGTGTTTGAGAGAAAAGCTGTGGTCAGAAGAACACGCTGAAAGCAAGGAGACTAAATCGACCTCTGATATTGCTAGGCAGATAAGCAGCCTTATATTTTCAGGTCACACTGTGTTCCTAGAATAGCAGATATAGAAATGAAGATTCATCCTGGAGGTGCTGACATGGTTATCAGTGACTAAGTAGGGCAAGACTGTGAACACCAACAAAAATGATAAAATCGTAGCTCTACTTTTCAAAAGATTCTTAACCCTAGACTTTCTTATAGACCATTGACTTTTATCTCTTCCCCAAAAAGACTACTTGTAACTGAAACAATTTACTTTATCTCAGAAATAATATGTTTAAGATAAGGGATAGGCAAGATAATTGCATTACTGATGAACTTGCTATTCTATCAGGAATTTATAAGGTTTGACTTGTAAATCTGTTCTAAATAGGAACTTGCTTAAAATCCAGCTTGACACTTTTTCTTTATTCACTTCATCAGCTACAAATCAAAATCAAGACATAGATTTTCTCTATCATCTTAGATTTCAATTACCACTCATTCTCTCATCTGAAGTGAACATAATTGTGATGCTTAGCAATCTTAGTAATTATCATGCAGGAGGGAAGGTGAATTATTCTGAAATGATCCTTAGAAAGGATGAAAATTTGTAATACATGTCTCTTGTAACATTCTGAGAATTTTAAAAGATTAGAATTATTTTGTCTTAAACCTTAGAGAGAGGAAGGTAGTGGTTTTGAAACACACACAAAAAAAAGCATTTCTACTTTAAAGCATGTAATAGTATGATATCATGCTGACTAAACAAATCACTGGGAACCTATAAAAGCTCACATTTTAAATGCCACGTCATTGATAGCAATCATGCAGTAGATTTCAGTTAAGTGAAGTTCAACATAAAGACAATATTTCTTATCTTCTCTCTTCCCTAATAGTGTACTGACAATATCCCCCGGTACAATTGTTTCCTTTCTCTGTATGTGCAGACTTCAAGATATAATGTTAGCATCAGCACATTCTTATTCTTAGTTCTTACTGTGAAATAAATTAGGCTTTACCTGGCATGTCTGATTTTACAACTTTCCCCTTTTTAAAACGTAAGCAATAAACTTTATTTATTAAAAAAAAAAAGAGACTACTCTGTGGGGAATTCCATGAGCTTTCCAAACTCTGAGGGGAGATATTTGAGTCACAGCAGACATTTCCAGAATTAATCCCACAAAAACTTATTTACCTGTTGCAGGATAATATTTTAAGTATCCAAATATGCTATTAACAATATTAAGAAGATGTTGAGAGCCTGGAAAGGAGTAAAACTAAATGAATACACACACACAAACACACACACACACACAAAACACACACACAGAGGTGGAGAGATTTCTAAAATGATGAACCATTTCCATATGACACTTTACTGTAATAGTACAAACTTTAATCCAGCTTGAGGTCACATTGTATTCTTTTTTCTTTATTTTTTAAATTATTCAATTTACGCCAAATTACAATACCTGTTCTCACTCATAATAACATCAGTTCCCATGCACTTTCACTTCCTTTTTATGAACACGCATAACTCTGTGCTTCTAGATAAGTACAATCCTCTGTATGTGTCCTAGATTCCATTTGTTATCACCTATGTCACTTTAAGATATTATACAAATAGTTTTCTGAAATCTCTTTTATACCATCAATTTTACCTTTTCTATCCATGAGCATGAAAGTAAACTGCTGTATCTACAATTTTAAAGAGCAAATAAACAAACAAAAATGTCTCTTGACATCTCTACCCTCTTCAACTTCTGCTCCATTTCCCTATTTTTCACTCATCTTCAAAAGTATTTTTTTCTATTTATTTTCTTCAGTTTTTCTTCTCGCCATCCCTTGAGCTGTTGGTGGTCTCAACATTACTAAACTTAATGGTCACATGCCAGTACTCTTAGTGAATGGTCAGCAGCATTATTCTTTCCCATCTGGAAATGCCCTTTTGCTTCAAGAATAACACATACTACTGATTTTCCTCCTAGATTTCAGGATGCTCATTTTTTAATCTTCTTTGTCAAATTTTATCATCTTAAGTCCTTAAATTTTATAACCATCACTGAATAAAAAATACTGTTCAATGTTTAGGTAAGAGAAGAATTAAATTTTGACCACTGGATCAACAAAAGGAAGCCTTGAAGTGAGCTATTTTAATGTAGATAGAGGTGGGGTAGAAATCCTGTAAAAAATACATTCAAGAAAAAACAGGAGAAAGAGAATTGGAAACAGTAACTATAGATAAATATGTTAAGGAGTTTTGCTATAAAGAGGAGCAGGGCAATGGGACAATGTCTGCAAGGTTCCCCAGGGTCAAGAGATGGCTTTTAATGATGCAATACATATTTCTGCTGCAGGTAATGATCAACTACAGAGATGAATCTTGTTGATAAAGAAGAGAAAGTGGATAATTGGAAGAGTGATACCCTTGGGTAGGAGACAAAAGATGAAATCTAGTGCACAAGGGGTGGTTTTGATCTCACATAAGCATGTGTACAGCTCACCAGTTTACATTAAGGGAAGGCAGAGTATGGAGCTACAGAGAGAAACAAGTTGGTGAATGCAGTGGTTTGAACAGGTGGAATTATTTTTGGTTATTGCTTCAGTTTTTCAGGACAATATTTTATGATTTTGATGGTCTTTTGGGTAACTTCAGTCTATTGAACAGGAATTTAAAAACAGAACCATAAGAAATGGTTGAGGTTTTGTTTTTTTTTTTCCAGCTTGGTTCAGTGTTCTGGTGCATATGCGTAATTGGGAAATATTTTGTTTTAATCAGTTTTCGAGTTTTGTAAAAGTATTCAGATCACCTGAAGGTAAATGTACAAGATATGTATTTGTTGAAATCAAGTAATTATATTAAATATTTCATAAGTATTAACAAAAAATGAAGAAATGATTTCCAGAAAGTATGAAGTGAGGTCATGGGTAAAGTTTTCTTTGCGACTTTATGTTTAATTGATTAAATGAGGTTGATGAGACAAAAATGTTAAACACCTACCAGTTTTGGGAAACCAGTTTAACGCTGTGAAAAATAAATATAAAAATTTCACCACAAAGTTACATATAATACTTTAAAAACAATGTCAGCACATTTCTTGAATGCTATTTTTATATGATTTCCTTTTTCACTTTTTGGGGGATTCTATTCATTTTGCATTTGTTTATCTTCAGTAATCACCAGGACTTTCATTAATCCTATATTGTCTTCAGGTTTTTTTCAAAAACATTCTTTCATTTGTTTATCTTTGTAAAACTTTTTTATGTATTACAAGATAGACATAGAGTTTGTTTTAAAACAGAATGTAATATAATACAAGTTATGATAGACATAACATTTAGACTTTATATTAAGAATAAAAAGAGAAGCATTTATATAAAATAATCTTTTTTTTCTTGAGACAGATTTTTGCTCTTGTTGCCCAGGCTAGAGTGCAATGGTCCCATCTCAGCTCACCGCAACCTCTGCCTCCCAGTTCAAGCGATTCTCCTGCCTCAGCCTCCTGAGTAGCTGGGATTACAGGCATGTGCCAACATGCCCAGCTAATTTTTTGTATTTTTAGTAGAGATGGGGTTTCTCCATGTTGGTCAAGCTGGTCTCGAACTCCTGACCTCAGGTGATCTGCCCGCCTCTGCCTCCCAAAGTGCTGGGATTACAGGCATGAGCCACTGCGCCTGGCTGTAAAATAATCTTATTACCAGAGGGAATTCTTACCCTCGACCTGCCCTTATAGAAACAATGAGCGATTGTACAGTTTATCACATTGTAGAAATTACTTTAAATATATTATCTTAATTTATCTTAAAAAGAAGTCCGTGAACTAGATTTTAATCTAGATTTTACAAATAACATAATTGAGCCCTTCTTTTAGTCACAAAATTAGTAGATTTGGTACTCAAATTCAGATTTTTTAACCTCAGAGCTTTTTTTGGCTAATATTGCTGATGATTGGAATTGATTCTTACCTAATGATTAAAGTTTCAAAGCCCAGTTAGTAAGATGCTATCATAGTTTTCCCTTTTCTTCTTACTTGTACCTTTATCTACTATATATGGTTCTGTGAAAATTCACAAGAGCTCATGAATGATTACAGGAAATTTGGATTTTCTAGGGGGCGGACAGTGCACATTTGATGGCAAAACAAGTTTATCTGTTAAACCTATTCAGAATCTTGTAATTACACAATCAAGACCCAAATTATTTTAAATTTGTTTCAACATAGATGGCACTTTTAGGTGACATATACAGTGATATTTATTTTGAGATAGTCATTGAGAATACCATAATATTTTCAGGGACAAAAAGGAGTAAGCAAGGACTTTTGAATGAGAATCTAAAAAGAAATTCCAATTACAATGATAAAATTGCTCTAAATTTTGTTAAACAAAGAAAAGTCTCTAATGTCCTCTTTAAGCTTAAGTGGCATGCCATCTGTACCATGTTGTTTTTAAAATTCAATGTGTATACTATCCATAGAAGCAATGCAATTTTGAAAGGTTTTTAGTTTCAAACCATTTATAAATGCATGAATATTTTATTAAAAATATATTAGACATGTTGAATTGAGGCATTAAGAATAACTTTATTGACTTAGTGACAACTGTTAGTTTCTCTGTGTGTTAAGTCTTTGTGACCACTATGTAATTATTTTAACACCTAACCAAAAACAGTGTTAATGGGTTTTCACAGTTGATCAATCTTTTATTGCAAATCTTTATCATACTTACATGTATTACTATTTTTGAATGTTGAGAATTTTAGCTACTTGAAAAACTTTAAAAATTATACTATACTTATACACATTTTCCTAAAACCTCTTCAATGATGAAAAGAAATTAAAGAGTAGTATGATTACAAAGTCCACTCAGAATATTAATTTTTATGTGCAATAATTAAAACAAATTATTCATAATGGAGACAGAAATTTAATGTAGCAAAATCATTTTTAATAAATGAGACCAAGTTATATTTTTATTAAAAAATATTGTTTGAAATTCTATATACTCTTGGCTTTCTTCTAAAAATTACTCAAAATTTATAAAAAATAGAATTCTCCAGTTTTCACTGCTAACTATGACCCTCTGAGAAAAACAAACTTGGTCATGATCCCTTGCCCAGTGGCTTTTTTTTGTTGAATTGTATTAAATAGTTATGAAGGCATAGAGTAACTTGAATTGCTAAAAAAGTAGAAGTGTTCTGTATCATGTACTGTCTCACTTAGTTTCTTTATGGAATAAAGAAACTGATGTTATATTACCTGAATAGCTGCTTCTATTGTCTTCCACTTGCCTACTGCTAATTTTATATGGCAGGAAAGGGTATGTAAGCTTTAATATTAATGTTCTTGATTCTTAATATTAACAATGATTTTAGATTCAATTTTAAATTGTAATATTCATGTTTCTATGCTCTAATCTCTGTCCACAGAATTTGTGTGTCCCACTCAAGGAACTGTAAACTGACTCACAGCAGAAGAAAACTGGAAATGGTATGATATGATATGATATGATACGATACGATATGATATATGATATACCCTTAACATTGCACTTGTAGTTTTTTCTACTTTAATTTTTACATTTATTTTCTGTTCTTTAGAGCAGATATGTGACCCACCAAAGTCAGGCCTTTGTCATCATCTAATTCTCAGCGCTCAGCATGGTGTCTGGCTGTGAGAAGATGCTCCCATAAAATTTATCTTTAATGAATTACTGCTAAACAGAGAGAAAAAAAAAATCACAGTTATATTGAAGTAGGCATTGATCAATCTCATTGGGAGAGGACTTGAAACAAGATATTATTTTTCAAATATTTTGCAAATAAAGTCAGTGGTAAATTTGATTGTATTTGATTGTAAAATTTATAGTTTTACTTGGGAAGTATTTTTATATTTAGCCAACTGTGTGTCCTCAACCATGTATAACAGTTTATCTCAAAATTTATATTTCCCTCTCATGTCCAAATAAAAATAGTTTAGAAAGTTTTTGAAATGGTGTATATATGTTGGCAATTTGTGCAAAACTGGTTCTTTAACACTGCTTGGAATCAAAGTAAATCAAAGTAAAATATTTACAGAAATAAATATGGTTTTAACAAACATCTCAAAAACAGATTTACTTTCAATTCCCTTTCATGGAGCCATTAGTAATAAGTGAAATTCATGCCTATTTTGGGGGAAGGGATTGTTATTTTTCGAGTATAGATATGTTAATTTAGATTAGAAATACTTTTACTTAGCAAATCTCTACATGTTAATGTACACGAAAAAGAGTATGAAAGCAAGAGAGAAATTATAAAAAGAAATAGAAGAGGAAATGACACAGATCAGATACCATAGTACAATATATGTACTTTAATAACTTACAGATGCATGCAATTAATATACCATACACCCCTACTTTTTCAACTGAGTAACAAGGGGTCATGAAGTTTTTGTTTGTTTTGTTGAGTGTAGGTGGATAATGTGTGTGCGCACGTGTGTGTGCACGCATGCACACACATGCATGTATGCCAGAGTCTAAACAGGAGGGATGTAGAGTGGGTTTTTAACCAAGTTCTGTGTTGCTCAGGGTTCCCTATCTAACACCTTACATTTCTGGCAACAATTTGGAAACACTGCACTACCCTGTCTTTAACAAATGAAAATTAAAATAGAATAAGTAAATTATATTTCTATATAACCAAGATCTTAGGTTCCTTTAAGAAAGTATTAAAATATATAAAAATTAACTTCATAATGATATAAAGGAATTTTTTTAAAGTTCCTTATAAGTCTATTTGAAGATCAGAAGTTGACAGCTCTGGAAGGTGTCAGCCATTTCTATGCTTCTAGGAATAAACAATGGGAAGGGACTCTTTTAAGTTCTCTGAAAAATGACGTATTTCCTCAGTTTCCTAAGTCTCTATACAGCCTGTATAATTTGCTCACAGAACAGAAGATTGTTTTTCTGGATTGAAGCAGGGTTGTGACTTTTATTTTCCATTTCAAAGACATTATTAACTAACTCCAGATACCCACGCTGGGATAACAAATTCCCCAAGGGAAAAGTTTAGAAGTAGCAGCAACCTTAGAGAGCATCTAGTCCCACCTCTCATTTACTGGCACAAACTTCTAGCTGCAGCATAGAACAAATGTAAACAAATGAGTAAATATATACAGAAATGAAACAGCCACACCAAGCAAAGCATACCCTCTTGCCCCCAGTTTCATGGGAAAGAGTTCCTCAATTTCATTTGGTAGCTGGGCTGTAATGCTACGGTGTTGCTGCACACTGCCTGCCTACTGCTGCTCTCAAACTGCTCTGTACCTTCCTCGCTCCTGGTGCCACAGAAAGACGGTGCACACTAGTTTACATTTGCTGTTATAGACTTTTCATCAACTGTGAATCCTCTGGGATGAACCACTTCTGCTTTGGGGAAAACATGTATTTTTAATGTGTCCTTTTTGATTTTTAACTGAATTCCTATCACATGATAAAGTATGTAATGTACTTTGGTATCATGTATTTTTAAAGAAAATGTATTCTATGATTCAGGAGAATTTTCTGTATTGCACATTTTAATATTACATCTCAGAATCAATTAGAAATAGTAATTGATTTGCTGGTTATCAGGAGTTGGCAAGTGGTCAAGGTGAATTATTGACAAGTTTGAGAAACCTTAAAGACATATGGTCATGTGTTGCTTAATTTAATGCGATATGATTTGAGAAATGCATCATCAAGCAATTTTGTCACTGTGTGAACATCGTAGAGTGTCCTTACACAAACCTAGATGGTGCAGCTGACTACACACCTCAGCTATATGGTATAGACTATTGCTCCTAGGCTCCCAACTGTACAACATAGTACTGTACTAAACATCGTAGGTAATTATAACACAATGGTAAGTACTTGTGTATCTAAACACATCTAAACAGAAAAGATACAGTAAAACTATGGTATAAAAACTAAAAAATAGTATCCATGAATAGGGCATTTACCATGAATGAAGTTTGCAGGACTGGAATTGACTCAGGGTGAGTCAATGAGTGTTGAGTGAATGTGAAGGCCCAGGACATACACTGCTGTAGGCATTATAAACACTGTGCAATTAGGCTACCACTAAATATGTGAAAAAAAAATTTTTTGGTAATAAATTAATCTTAACTTACCATAATTTTTTCACTTTAGATATTTTTAAAAGTTTTTAACTTTTTGACTCTTGAAAAAATACTTAGCTTAAAACACAAACATATTGTACAGCTGTAAAAAATATTTTTCTTTATATCCTTATTTTATAAGATTTTTTCTATTTTTAAAGTGTTCTGCTTTGTTTTTCCTTTTTGAATTTTTTTATTAAAAACTAAGACACAAGCACAAACATTAACCTAGGCCTACACAGGATCAAGATCGTCAGCATTACTGTATTTCACCTCCAAATCTTTTCTCATTAGAATGTCTTCAGAGGCAATAACACACATGCAGCTGTCCTCTCCTATAACAATGCTTTCCTCTGGATACCTCCTGAAGGACCTGCCTGAGGCTGTTTTATAGTTTTTTTTTTAATAATTAGAAAAAGAACACTCTAACAATAAAAAATATAGTATGGTGCATACATAAACCAGTTACATAGTTTTTTATTATCATTATTAAATATTATTCAGTATACATAGTTTTATATACTAGATTTTTACACGAATGGCAGCACAGTAGGTTTGTTCACACAAGCATTACTGCAAAAACTTGACTAATGTGCAGTGCTATGATGTTGCAATGGCTATGATGTCACTTAGCAATAGGAAGTTTCCAGCTTCATTATAATCTCAGGGACTACCCTTGTATATGTGGCTTCTCCTTGACAAGGCAGCATACAATTTTTATAAAATTTTTATAAAATAGTATTAAAGGATGAGAGACTGGTTTTCCCCAATTTACCAACAAACAACCATTGAAATTACCAATAATTAATAAAATTAGAAGTATCTTGCATTGCCACTACAATGTAGGCAGGAATGATGTTCACAAACTGGGAACAATGATAAAATAATTATTTTCTGATAGAAAAGTGTGTATAAGCCAATGTCTAAGGAAGATTTGACAATATTTCTGTCTATAAAGCAGCAGCAAGGCAAGTAATGAGAGGACAATGTCTTTGAACAGAATCTCAATAACACCTCTTATCTTAGCACAAGGGAAAAAATAAACATCAGACTTAAAATGGGCTAGCTGATGGTGCCACAGTTAGTGCCCTTTCATCTCACAGTATTTAGGAGTGCCAGATTTAGCAGATAATAATACAAGATGCCCAATTAATTTTAGATAAAAAACTATTAATGTTTTCAGTATATGTACATTCCACACAATATTTGGGACATACTTTACTAAAAACATTTCCTACTTATCTGAACTCAAGTTTAACTGGAAGCTCTGTATTTTATACTCCACAAACCCCATACTATATGGAGAGCCTGTCCTAGAAGATTTCATCTCAATTAACACTTGGTTCAGTTTTTCTGAGAAAGCCATCACTGGGGCCACTAATTGAAAAACTTCCCGCCTACATCTCAAACACACTGATTTTTCTTCTCTGAGGTGGTGCTCAGTGCTTGGATTGCTTCCAGCCTCATCCTCTCTGGGCTGCTGGATGTACAAACTATTCACATAAATTCACCGGAAATCAAAGTATCCCCTTTGAAATGCATCCAGAATCAATGTCCAAAGATAAACTAAGAGAAAATACCAGACATTAACAGAAATTGTACTACAAAGAAATAAACCAAACTTAGTTACTCTAAAATGTCATTCTATAAAATAGGTTTTTAGAAAAAATACCACACGGATTTCAAAATATCTAAAATGTCTCTCCAGTAAGATTTAAATTGATACTAAATTTGCAATGTAGAATATAGTAATCATGAATAGATTTTAAGTCCAGAAAAGAAGTCATGAAGACAACAAGAATATTTTTAAGCAACAAAAGCAGTAAATAGCAGGGTAGATACTGCAGAAAAGTAAATTTCCCTTACAAATAATGTTTGGAAAGGCACAAACATATTCACTTTTATGGAATTGATATAATTATATAATTAACAAGCCCAAATGAATCAACTAATTAAAATACATACTATTTCTTTTCATTGTTATTATTCTTTAATAAAACATCTGTAAAAAATTAATAAATATTTATTTATGTATTTAGTTTAAAATAATACATTTGACATTTTAAAAATAGGTAATAGTGAGATTATATTCATATAAATATTTTAGAAATAAAAATGGATTAAAAAAATCAACCATTCACTCAATCTAAAAAATGTAAAAAAAAAAACTAACAAAAATTATATATATTTTTGAGATGGAGTTTCACTCTTGTGGCCCAGGATGGAGCACAATGGCACGACCTTGGCTCACTGCAACCTCTGCCTCCCAGGTTTAAGCGATTCTCCTGCCTCAGCCCCCCAAGTAGCTGGAATTACAGACACCCACCACTATGCCCAGCTAAATTTTGTATTTTTAGTAGAGACGGGGTTTCACCATGTTTGCCAGGCTGGTCTCAAACTCCTGGCCTCAAGAGATCCACCTACCTTGTCCTTCCAAAGTGCTGGGATTACAGATGTAAGCCACCACTCCCAGCCTTAATGAACCACGCCCAGCCTTGATGAAAATTTCTAAGAGAACACGTGGCTAAGTAATGAAATATTAACTGGACCCAGTTCTAGGTATTTATTAACTTTAATACATTTACTTACCTCAATTACCCTATAAAGTAGTTAATATTATTATCTACTTTGCACAGTTGAGGAAGGTACAGAGAAGTAAAGGAACTTGGAAAAGCGTACACAACTAATTTGTGGAGGAGCTGGTATTCCGTTCCGATCAGTCCTCCCTCTCACTAGTGTATGTAACACTTCCTATATATTTACTTTCACTACTAATCAAAGTTAACAATATTTTACTACATTTCACCTATATAAATGGTAAGCATTCTAATGGGTGGAACATAGAGTTAAGCAGGAAAAAGTAAAGTGTTGGGGTTTTTTCACTGTAGTAAAGAAGGACTGATTTGGTAATACATATCGTGGTCTTTTAATGCTTGTACCTTTTGATGAAGTAATTTCCTTTCAGCAATTTATTTCAAGTAATAGTAATAGTGGAGTTCTAAGATATTTACAAAGTTTTAAATCTCATTTATTAATAATAATGAAATTTGGGATATAGAATAAATTCCCCATTATAATATAATGCTTAAATAAGCAAAGCTATATTAATAGAGTGGACAAGTATCCAGATATTAATGTGTTGTGCAAAATTTTAAAATTACCCTCCACAGTTTCCTACTTTTATCTCTAGGACTGTGAAATAGATGAACTACCACACCTATGATTATATTAGGTTATTTGGCAACAGGAATTTTGCACCTGCTGTTAAGGTTACAAGTTAGTTGATTTTGAGTTAATTAAATGAGAAATTATGCATTTGGGCCTAATATAATCATGTGAGCCTTTTTAGGAGAGTTTTCCCAGCTGGTCACCTAGGGTATATCAGAGAAATGCAAAGCAAGGGAAAGGCTCCATGTACCACTACTGGCTTTCAAGATGGAGACAACCAAGTGCAAGGATAGGGGAGTGCCCTCTAGGAGTTGAGACTAAACCTTGGAGAATAGTCATCAAGGAAATAGCTCCCTCATTCCTACTACTGCAAGAAAGCGAGTTGTACTAACAACCTGAATGACCTCTATATTTGTCAGGGTTCTGTAGAGGAACCGAACTAACGGAATACAAATACAAACACACACACACACACACACACACACACACACACACACACACACATAAAGGGGAGTTTGTTAAGTATTAACTCACATGATTACAAGGTCACATAATAGGCCATCTGCAAGCTTAGGAGCAAGGAGAGCCAGTCTGAGGCCCAAAACTGAAGAACTTGGAATCTGATGTTCAAGGCAGAAAGCATCCAACACGGGAGAAAACATGTACACTGGGAGGCTAGGCCAGTCTAGTTATTTCACATTTTTCTGCCTGCTTTATATTCTAGCTATGCTGGCAGCTGATTAGATAGCTGGTGCCCACCCAGATTAAGGGTCTGCCTTTCCCAGCCCACTGACTCAAATGCTAAATTTCTTTGGCAACACCCTCACAGACACACCCAGAATGAATACATTGCATTCTTCAATCCAATCAAGTTGACACTGAATGTTAACCATCACAAGTCCACCCCTTGTCAACTTGAACCCATACCCATAATTATGACCTTATTATTGTCTGTATTTGAAGGTTATAAGATCATATATAACCTTCAAATAAAGACAATAATAAGGTCATAATTATGCGTAACATAACACAACTATCCTTCCCACAACTGGAAACACATCAATCCCCAACCAAACTACTATTACTTAAAGTTAACCATACTTAAATGCTGATATGAAGTCAATAAATCCTATGAAACATGATAAAGGAAAAAGGAAATAAAATTAAGATATTTTCTTAGTACAAGTGTATACATGCACAAACATGTTTTTTAACAAAAGAAGCAGGAAATACTCATGACAATTACAGTCCTTATTTCTGCAGCTGGTCACATGGTCAAAGCAAATACTGATGACTACCTTATTCTACTAAGCATTCTGTATTCCCTTTGCCTTCAGCAATCACCTCACAGGTTGTGGTTTTTTTCCTGGTGGAGTGACCCAAATCTTCATTCCTAAAGGGCCTGGGCCATTTGTAGTCCCGCCTGGATTGGGCTTTAGTAGTTTCCTATCGACCTTAATAATGGGACATGGTAATACAAAGAGACACCTTAATGGAACTCCTGTATTCCATGCATACTCTTCTTCACCTCCTTTGTGGAGTAGTAGACTGATTTCACCTTGATAGTCCAGGTCAATCACCCCAGCCAACACTGTAACTCCCTTCTTAGCCTGTTGACTTAAAGGTAGGAGGAGCACAAAGTGTCCAGGTGGCAATCTTAACTTCCAGTTTAATAGAATCATGGTTGTGTCTCCTGGTGGCAGCGTTCCTCCCTCTGGAAGTAAAACATCTAAGCCAGCAGAATGTAATGTTGTGGGAGCAGGAAGCAATAATTTTGCCAGTGGATCACTAAGGGTGATGGTGAATGGTGCCACTTCCACTTCCACCCCTTGCTTCCTGGACCTGTGAATCCTGGCTATGGGAGAAACTGTACCATATATTTGACTCTGGTTCAGAGAATACACGGTCTTCTGGAGAACTTTACTCCAGCCCTGCAAAGTATTGCCAACTAGTTGGCATTGTAATTGTGACTTCAAAAGGCCATTACATCATGCTGTCAATCCAGCTGTTTCATGATGATGGGAAACATCATAAGACCAGCAAATTCCATGAGCATGAGCCCACTGGTGCACTTCTTTAGCCATAAAGTGAGTGCCTTTTTCAGAGGCATGTTTTGTAGAATACCATAACCATGGATAAGGCATTCCATAAGTCTACAGATGGTAGTCTGGGCAGAAGAATTGTGTTAAGGATAGGCAAACCCATATCCAGAGTAAGTCTCTATTCCAGTGAGAACAAACCTCTGCCTTTTCCATGATGGAAGAGGTCTAATATAATCAACCTGCCTCCAGGTAGCTGGCTGATCATCCCAAGGAATTGTACCATATGAGAGCTCACTGTTGATATCTGCTGTTGGCAAGTTGGGCACTCAGCAGTGGCCATAGCCAGGCCAGCCTTGGTGACTGAAAGTTCATGTTGCTGAGCCAATGCATAACCCCCATCCCTGCCACCATGACCTCTTTGTTCTTGGGCCCATTGGGTGGCTGGGAAAAGGGGCTGAGTGGTATCCACAGAACGGGTCATCCTATCCACTTGATCATTAAAATCCTCCTCTGCTGAGATCACCAGTTGGTTAGCACTCACATGGGATACAAATATCTTCACAGTTTTTGACCTCTCAGAGAGGTTCATCCACATATCTCTTCCATAAATTTATTTGACACCAATTTTCCACTCATGATTCTTCCAAGTCCCCAACCATCCAGCCAAACAATTGGCTACAGCCCATGATTTAATATATAATTGCACATCTGGCCGTTTTTCCTTCCATGTAAGTGCATAACCACGTGCACTTATTGAAGTGCTGTAAACTGGGAAGATTTCCCTTCACCACTGTCCTTCAAGGATATCCTAGAAAGGGGCTGCAATACTGCAGCTGTCCGCTTTTTGGTGGCACCTGCATATCATGCAGAACCATCTGTGAACCAGGTCCTAGTCTTCTCTTCCTCTGTCAATTCATCATAGGGAACTCCCCATGAGGCCACCGGTGCAGGATGGGAGAGAGAAGGCAAGTGGCAGGAGTGGAGACCATGGGCATTGGAGTCACTTCCTCATGTAACTTACTTGTGCCTTTCGGACCTGCTCAGGCCCGATCACGTATATACTACTTACATTTGATAATGGAATGCTGCTGTGCACGGCCCAGTTTATGGCTAGATGGGTCAGAAAGCACCCAGTTCATGATAGGCGGTTCAGGTTACATGGTGGCTTGATGGCCTATAGTTAAATGTTCCATTTCCACCAAAGCTCAGTAACAGGCCAAGAGCTGTCTCTCAAAAGGAGATCAGTTATTTGCAGAAGATGGCAGGGCCTTTCTCCAAAATCCTAGAGGCTTCCGCTGTGATTCACCTATGGGGGCCTGACAAAAACTCCAAGCAGCATCCCTATCTGCCACTGACACCTCAAGCATAATCGGATCTCTAGATAATATGGCCCAAGTGGCAGAGCAGCTTGCACAGCAGCCTAGACCTGTTGCACAGCCTTTTCCTGTTCTGGACCACACACAAGCTTGGCAGCCTTTCATCTCACTCAATAAATGGGCCGGAGTAACACACTCAAATGAGAAATGTGTTCCCTCTAAAATCCAAATAGTCCCACTAGGCATTGTACCTCTTTCTTGGTTATAGGAGGGAACAAATGCAGTAACTTATGCTTCACTTTAGAAGGAATATCTCAACAGGCCCAACATTACTGGACCCCTAGAAATTTAACTAAGGTAGAAGGTCCTTGAATTCTAGTTGGATTTAGTTCCCATCCTCTGGCACACAAATATCTCACCAATAAGTCTAGTGTCTTTGCTACTTCTGGCTCACTGCATCCAAACAGCATAATGTTATCAATGTAATGGACCAGTATGATATCTTGCAGAAGCAAAAAGTGATCGAGGTCTCTCTCAATAATATTATGACACAAATCCAGAGAGTTGATATACCTCTGAGGTAGGACAGTAAAGGTATATTTCTGGCCTTGCTAGCTGAAGGCAAATTGCTTCTGGTGGGACTTGTGAACAGGAATGGAGGAAAAAGCATTTGCCAAGTTAATGATTACATACCAGGCACCAGGAGATGTGTTAATTTCCTCAAGCAATGAAACAAATCTGGTATAGCAGCTCTAATTGGAGTTACCCCTTAGTTAAGCTTACAATAATCCACTGTCATTCTCCAAGATCTATCTGTCTTCTGCACAGGCCAAATGGGAAAGTTGAATGGGGATGTGGTGGGAATCACCACCCCTGCATCTTTCAAGTCTTTGATGGTGGCACTAATCTTCATAATCCCTCCAGGGGTGTGATATTCTTTTCGATTTACTATTTCTCTAGGTAGAGGCAGCTCTGATGGCTTCCATTTGGCCTTTCTCACCATAAGTGCCCTCACTCTACCAGTCAGGGAGACAATGTGGAAGTTCTGCCAGCTGCTAAGTACGTCTATGCCAATTATGCATTCTGGCACTGGGGAAATGACCACAGGATGAGTCTGGGGACCCACTGGACCTACTGTAAGTCAAACGTGAGCTAAAACTCCACCAATTACCTGACCTCCATAAGCCCCTAACTGGAGGACCCCTATGATTTTTGGGGCCCCTGGAATGATTGTCAGCTCAGAGCCAGTGTCCAGTAGTCCCTGAAATATCTGATCATTTCCCTTTCACCAATGCAGTTACCCTGGTAAAAGGCCAGAGGTCTCCTTGGGGAATGATGGGAGAAGGATTAACAGCATAAATTGTCAGTAATTTAGTGGGGTCCTTCTTCAAGTGGACCTGGCCTCCCTTTCTTCAAGGGGTTCTGGGTCTGTTAACTGGCTCAAGTTTGGAAATTGATTGACTGGTCATGATTCTCTGTTTTTATAATTCAAATTAGTCTTTTGTAAATTCGACCTAGAAGTTTTCTGCTTATATAAATTAAATAGGAATGCAGTAGGCTTCCTATCAATTTCACTTATAGGAGCACTGTGATGAATTAGCCAATGCCAGAACTCTACATAAGTCAGATTATTCTAATTGCTGCTTTGTTTCTGCTGTCCATTATGGTAGCTATGCCTACCTTACCTTTGACTGTTGAGTGCCACCACTTGGCCCCTGCCATCTTGTGATCCAATTATTCCCATTATTTTTGAATTTTGTAATTGAGTGACTGTGGTTCCCACTGTTAGATCTGACATACAGAGAAAATCAATTACAGGGGTCTTCAGAGTTTTAGGTGTTGCCCTCACAAATCTATTTCACGTCATTGGTCAAGGGCATATCTTCTGGATCCTTCCAGCTGGGATGAGTAGGTCTAAAGTGACTAATCCCCTCAACCATCCCAATCTCCCTAAGCCTTTGGATCCCTCCCTGTACATTAATCCAAGGGAGATCAGGCATTTCCAGCTCACCCAAAGTGGGCCATCTTTTAATCCATATTTCTGCTAACCAAGGAAATAAACTATAACTTTTTTTTAACTCCCTGAGCTGCAATGTTAAAAGCAGAGTCCCTACTTAGTGGTCCCAAATCAATAAATTCAGCCTGATCCAACTCTATGTTCCTTCCACCATTATCCCACACCCTTAATATTCATTCCCATGCCTGTTCTCGAGATTTCTTTCTATAAAAATTGGAAAACTTGGCCAGGCACGATGGCTCACAGATGTAATCCCAGCACTTTAGGAGGCCAAGGTGGGCGGAACACCTGAGGTCAGGAGTTCGAGACCAGCCTGACTAATATGGAGAAACCCCATATCTACTAAAAATACAAAATTAGCCAGGCGTGGTGCTGCATGTCTGTAATCCCAGCTACTCAGGAGGCTGAGGCAGGAGAATCACTTGAACCCGGGAGGTGGAGGTTGCTGTGAGCTGAGATCATACCATTGCACTCCAACCTGGTCAATAACAGCGAATTAGAAAACTCAAGCACTTTTTTTCAAGTGTAGCACACCTCATCATGGTCACACTCTCAATCTCACCTCTAGGAGACCCACTGGGACCTTAGTCTAGTTATAAGTCTAGAAGCAAACAGGGGTTTTGCAGGTGGCTCATGAGAGGAATCAACATTATCTTGCCTGGCAACTGCCTCAGGGGAGGCCATTACTGTTGCCTCAGGCAGTTCAAGGTTTATCTCCTCAGATCCTCAGACAAAGGTGGAAAGGCTGATGGCAGCATGGGTCGAGGAGGGTATGTTGCCACTACTGGGTAAGGGGAAGTTATTTCTTCTCTTAAAAAAGGTTCATCAGAGTCTAGAAACTCAGTGTACCCAGCTTCATCAGGGTCCTCCCACACATCCCCATTCCAAGTTGCAGTGCCCCAATATTTTCCAATCAATGCCCTCACTTTAACAGTAGACACCTAGCAAGGCCGTGCATGCACCTTTCGTTGCAGGTCAGCCACTCGCACGGTAAGAGCTTGTGTCTGTTTTTCCACAATTTCAGCTCTTTCTCTACAAGAGGTAAGACTCTCACTCAGGCCAATCTTAGCAGATTTGAGGCTCAGTATCTGTTTCTGAAGCCGGGTGATAGAATCCCTGAGTTCATCATTTCCTTTCATCACTTTGTCCACTAAACTTAGGGGCAAGAAACCAGCTTCATTATGTTTCTTGGTTCTCCACATATGGTCAAAAATAATATTTATAGAATCACTAAATTCCTTGCCTCTCATGAGCGATGAATCAGGAGTGTCAAATGCATTTATTTTGCATAACTCTCTAAACATTTCATGACAAGGACTATCAGTGTTCTCCATACTATTAGAAGTAGATTCCTTAGCATTTTGGGGTATGATCATATTAAGAAGCCAACTCCAGGAACCACAAAACCAACAAAAGAACTCCAACCTTCATATTCTGCTCCTCTAGAACCACTCCTGGTATCAAAATCTGTATTAGTCAAGGTTCTCTAGTAGGACAGAACCAATGGAATATATATATATATATATATATATATATATATATATATATACACAAAATATATATAAAATATAAATATATATATAAATAAATATATAAAAATATATATAATATACATATGTATATGGGTACACTGAGTTTCTAGATTCTGATAAAGAGGAGTTTATTAAATATTAACTCACATGATCACAAGGTCCCACAACAGGCCATCTGTAGACTGAGGAGCAAGGAGAGCCAATCTGAGGCCCAAAACTGAAGAAATCGGAGTCTGATGTTCAAGCGCAGGAAGAATCCAGCGTGGGAGAAAGATGTAGGCTGGGAGCCTAGGCCAGTCTCTCTTTTCACATTTTTTTGCCTGCTTATATTCTAGCCGTGCTGGCAGCTGATTAGATTCTGCCCACCCAGATTAAGGGTGGGTCTGCCATTCCTAGCCCACTGATCTTCTCTGGCAACACCCTCATAGACCCACCCAAGATTAATACTTTGTGTCCTTCAACCCAATCAAGTTGACACTCAGTATTAACCGTCACAGTCTTATACATGGATTACTTCATTTAAACCTAATATCCACCCTATAAAATAGTAAAACTATTATATGACTCCCGTTTTCAAGATGAAAAACCTGAGACAGAGTTTTCCCAAAGTCACAGAGCTACTAAGTGGCAGAATGTAATGGTTGATTTTATGTGTTAACTTGAATATGTTCCCTACTTGGCAAAACATTATTCTGGGGTGTGTCTGTGAGGGTATTTCTGGATGAGATTAACATTTCAATCAGTAGACTGAATAAACCAAACTTCCCTCTACATATGGGTCTCATCTAATTTGTTGAAGCCTCAAGAGAATATAAGGCTGAGTAAGAAAGAATCCTTTCTGTCTGCCTGACTGTCTTTGAGCTGAGACACAAATCTTCTGTTGCCTTCATTTTTCTTTCGCCTAGTCTCTTAAGGTGCTGCAAATCCAGGTTTTTTTTTTTCTTTTCTTTTCTTTTTTTTTTTTTTTTTTTGAGACAGGGTCTTGCTATATTGTCCAGGGAGGAGTGCAGTCATGAGATCATGGCTCACTGGAGCCTGGACCTCCTGGGTTCAAGTGATCTTCCCACAGCCTCTCAAGTAGCTGGGAGTACAGGTTCATGCCACCATACACAGCTAATTTATTTTTTAATTTTTAATTTGTAGTGACAGGGTCTAATTATGTTGCCCAGACTGGTCTCGAAATGGGCTCAAGCAATCTTCCAATCTCAGCCTCCTGAGTAGCTGGGACTACAGGCATATACCAACAAGCCTGGCTTCTTGCCCTCTGACTTGGACTTAGACAAGGAATCTACACCCGGTACGCTCTCACTTTCAAGCCTTCAGACTCAGATTAGAACTTACTCCATCAGCTCTCCTAGTTCTGAAGACTTTGGAATAGGGCTGGAACTATAACATTGGTTTTCCTGGGACTCCAGTTTGCCAACTGCATATCTTGAATTTCTCAGTTTCCACGATTGTGTGAGCCAGTTTCTTACAGTAAATCTATCTCCTTCTGTCTTTCTCTCTTTCATAATAAATAAATATAGAGATATCCTACTTTTCCTGAATCTCTTGAGAATTCGGATTAATACACAAAGCAAGAATTTATAAGCAGTTTTTATAGCTATGTAACATACACAGTTAAAGACTGAACTGTCACAAGCATGCCCTTTTGAGTGATAGGCTGCATGTCTGCATTAAATAACACACTGTATTAACTGCACAAACACCACTTTAGACACTGTCACTGCTGCTCTTTTGTTAAATAGTTCTCTGCATATATTGGGTAAAAATGTGTCCATCAACATTTCATATAAAACAAAATCATGTATTTTATTGAATGACAACCTCCGTCTTTGAGGTAATACAGTTTTGTAGCACATGTCTTCCCTTTTAGAATGGTTACCTAATAATGTTTGACTCTTTAACCTGATAAAACCCTGTTGTATTTGCTGCGACAATGGTGTACACTATAATAACTGCAACACCATCAGACTGTTTATGCAGTTGGAGAAACCCACCCACAGGCAGAAAGCACAAAGAGGTAATAATATATAACATTGTGTATTATAAAGCACAGAGAAGAAATAGTTTGGCCTTTCCATCCTCACAAACCTGAGACTTCCAATTTGTTTTAACGAGGGAGAGAGAGAGAAAGAGAGAGAAGGAACAAACAGAGGAAGGAGGGAAAGAAGGAAGGAAAGGGGGGAAGACGAGAAAAAAGGAAGGAAGAGGAAAAGAAGGAAGGAAGGAAGGAAGAAGGAAGGAAAGAAAGAAGGAAGGAAGGAAGGAGAGAAGGAAGGAAGTTTAAAAAAAGAAAAATGCATTCCCAGTTTTCAGAGACCATATAACAGTTTTATCCATAGGAAAGAAACAACAAAATGTCTAAAATTTCTGATGTTTCTAGAAGGTAATTTCCTTCATAGTGGAAAAGAGAGAACTGTATTTTGTACCTGTAGAAATCAAAACAGAAATATTCCCTAACTCCTCATAACCAGATATACTTAATGTCAATATGTGAAGTATTCCCTTAAAGCCTCTGAAATGTGTATATACATTTGAATTTATTTGCTTAATTGTGAACATTAAGTAAATTGAGTTATTTTTATACTATGTGAACATTTTATTTTCTTATTATAGTCACATATTCATATGCATTATTAAAGACTGGCTCAGTAAATGCAATTTAATAAAATATTTAAAAATATATCAACTGTAATTTTATTATTTAGGGTTAAGTAACATTAATGTTTTCTATTAATGATTGGGTTAAAGTCCTATATTTATTTATGTACTCTTAGTTTTTTATAATACATGACATATTAACTATTATCCCACATAGTTTCCTTGAAATTATGGTTATTAATTGTGTTAGTTTTCTATAACCATAAGAACTACAAATTTAGCAGCTTAAAACAGCACCTTTTATTAGCTTGCAGTTTTACAGGTAAGTAGCCCAGGCAGGTTCGACTATGTTGACGGCTCAGGGTTTCCCAAGACTGAAATCAAAGTGTTTATCAAACTGGGCTCTTATCTGGGGCATTTTAAAATAATCCAATTATGAGATTGTGATGGTTAATGCTGTCAACTTGATTGAAGTATGCAATGTATTAATCCTGGGTGTGTCTGTGAGGCTGTGCCAAAGGAGTTTTTTTTTTTTTTTTTTTTTTTTGAGAGGGAGTCTCGCTTTGTCACCCATGTTGGAGTGCAGTGGCGCGAACTTGGTTCACTGCAATCTCCACCTCCTGGGTTCAAGAGATTCTCCTGCCTCAGCCTCCCAAGCAGCTGGGATTACGGGCATGTGCCACCACATCCAGCTAATTTTTTTTGTATTTTTAGTAGAGACGGGGTTTCACCTGTTTTGGGGGAATATGAAATTGTATGGGGATTTTTGACTGCATAAGGGTAATACTGTTCAAGGGTCAACGGTATTTCACATAGTTTTATTGATCAAACATAATTATGTATTTGAAGAAAGAATATTATTAGTGTAGACCTCAGTTGTGGTTTCCAGGCATTTAAATCCAGCTGTTTACTTGGCATTTTTATCTGGACATCCCACAATTCAAACTCAATATATTTTTTAAAATCCCTTAATTTCCCACCCCAATCTGTTTCTCATTTAATAGCACTATTATGATGAAGTAAACAATCTTCCTTCATTCACTCAAATAAAAGCCCCTTTGTCCACATATTATATTTAACAGTGATCCCATTCCCTTATTACTACCACTGTCACTTATCTCTTACTGAGTCCCACTTTCTTAATTCCAGACTCCGTTGTCTTTTTCATGCATTTTTTTCAGGGACTTGTTGGTTTTATTTTTATTTACTGTTCAAATTAACATTCTTCTGAAAAGCTTCACTACTGTTTTAATTTGTGTATTCTTTTTTCTTAAATTTTATTTTATTGTAGTAAGAATATTTAACATGAGATCTATCCTCCTAACAAATGTTTAAGTGTACAATACAATATTGTTAACTATAGCATAAGTTCTAGCAGATCCCTTGAACTTATTCATATTGCATAATTGAGACTTTATTCCTATTGATTAGTTGATTAGCAACTCTCCATTTCTCCCTCCTCCCAGCCACTAGCAACTACAATTCTACTCTCTGATTCTATGAGTTTGACTATTTTAGATATGCATAATTTCAATTATGCAGTATTTGTCTTCTATAACTTGCTTATTTCACTTAACATAATGTCCTTAAGGTTCATCCATGTTGTCACTTATTTCAGGACTTCCTTCTTGTTTAAGGCTGAATAAAATTATTTTATATGTCACTAATCATCAGAAAATACCAATCAAAATCACAATGAGATATCACCTCAAGTCTATCAGCATGGCTATTATCAGAAACAACACAAACACAAACAAAACAAAAGACAACAAGTGTTGGTGAGGATGTGGAAAATTTGGAACTCTTGTACAGGGTTGGTGGGAATGCAAAATGGTGCAGTTGCTAAAACAGTGTAGAGATTCCTCAAAAATTAAAAATAGAACTACCATATGAAGCTATGCCACTTCTGGGTATTTTTCTGAAAGAACTACAGTCAGAATCTTGAAGAACTATCAGCATTCCAATGTTCACTGCAGCACTATTCATACTAGGCAAGATGTAGAAACAACTTACATTTCTGTAACGGATGAATGGGCAAAGAAAATATGGTATATATCTGCAGTGAAATATTATTCACCTCTACTGAATTTATAATAGATTTCTAACTTATTACTAAAGATTTTGATTCAATTTCATTATTTATAAAATCATGAATGGCCTTTCTGCAATATTTCTATAAGTTTTTTTCTATATAAATGACAGATAGTCCCTGACACAATGGTTCAACTTATGGTTTTTAGACTTATGATATTGTGAAAACAATACACATTCAGTAGAAAGAATATTTCCATTTTTGAATTTTGATTTTTTTCCCAACTGTAGGCTAATGTAAGTGTTCTGAACACATATAAGGTAGGCTAGGCTAAGCTATGATGTTGGGTAGGTTAGGAGGATTAAAAACATTTTCAATTTACACTGAGTTTATTAGGATGTAACCCCACTGTAAATGGAAGAAAACCTGTACTTTGATTCTCCACCGTGTAATCTACAGGCTATGAAGCTATTTTTCTTAAACAGGTATTCAAAGCCTTCTAATGTCTAAAACTTGACTCTCAACGTTTCTTTTCTGCCTTATTCTTATTGTGACCCCGTGATGCAGCCATACTGAACACTGAAAATTCTCTGAAAACATCCCAGATCCTTGCTCTCTACCTAGAATGTCTACCTAAACCTTCCTCACTCCTCCTTCTATCGTTCTAAAATCATCCTTTCAGCTCTTCAGCTCTAAGATTTTACTTAACCAGGTGTTGTTGTTGTTGTTGTTGTTTTGTCTACCCTCAACTTCCTATTCGCTACCTGAAAGATTTGGCACTCCCCCTTTTGTACTCAAAGGCACACTGGCCATCAGGTAAGCTTAACTGAGCTGTACCCAGGCCCTGTGGAGATTGCTCCCTTTCTTCCTTTCATGGAGTTATTTTCCTAGCCTCAATAGTTTCTTCATACAGATGTGCTGATTAGTACTCAGCTGAAGGTTTGAAAAGAACCCTTTGCAAATATCTGCGATATTGTCTCTGTGCAGCTTTCTCCCTCCTGGGTACTCTGCCTTAACAATTCTACTCCCCTTCATTTTCCCAGGCAATTGTCATTTTAAACTTCGTCTCCCCAGACTTTGTCTCCTCAACTCAGGTAGTTTAGGAGCTTGACAAATGTGCAAGCAGGAAGCTAGGACAGTTGAGGGGCTCACTTCATTTATTTTCTTCTTTGGGGATTACTCTCCTGAACTGCACATTGGTCAATATATGAAAACCATTTCCTTGTATGTAAGTCTGCTTTGTGATTTGTTTAAGTGGGGAAGCTTAATTTTATCTTTCTTACTCAAAAATCCACCTGGAAGGAGATGTCTATTGTTTGTTTCCTTTAAGAATTTTCAGATTCTCAAACTACCCAAAGTAAGAGTCTAAGAAATTAAGGAGAATAATTTCTATAAAGCAAAACAGAGTTTCCAGCTGTCTCACATACCTGAGAAGTTAAAAAAAAAACTATAAAGAATTTAACCACAGAAATGGAAATTACAAAAATAATAATGCAATAATTAAAAGTAAGGGCTCAACAGCATATTGAACAGAGGAGAAAGAACATTAGAAGTTGAAACACTGATAACTGAAGTAATTTGAAAGTGTAATACAGAGTTGAGACTTTTCGGATAGAATGAAAAGGTCTAAAAAATAAGCCATGAAGTTTTAGAGATGAAGACAACATATGGGACAAAAGTAACAAAAAGGGGTGATATATCTGCCCACCTAACCATCTAAGCTTTTATTTAACTGAGTCTGTATAGAATATACACTTTTTTGTCATACTTTCATCTACTGACTATTAAAAACAAGTTATATAAAGTGTAAGTTTAAGAAGAATACAGATATAACTTCTCAGATAAGAAAGTGTATTCTAAGCACTGAGCTAGATAAATAAATTCCTGTCTAAAATATTTGAGTTGTGTAAAATGGGGTTATTTAGCAGCTGGACTGGGAATGCTCTATCCTTTTCTTTGGGGATTTAAAAATTTCTGGCTTAGACTGTTCGCTAAGATAAGGGCAGTGGGGTTTACAGCATGCTGTTTAGTCTGTAACTTCCCTAGCAACTCTAGGGCCAGTTTGTTTACTGACAGTCTTCACCCAGCATAATCTGTTAGACAGTCTGGCTTGACCAGAAAGGCAATAATGACTCCACTGGGAACATCTGCCTTGAGCTTTCCTGAAGCACAGATTTTGTTGATTCAAACTGGAGAAGTGTGTCCTTGTATGAATAAGGGCCCTAGTACACTTGCACCTAGATGCTTCTAAAGCCTCAGATGCTTGCCTATACCCACTTTCTTGCTATAGCTTATTTTTTGACTTCTAATGAAAACCCTTAGATGTACATGCTGTATGGATTTTTGTGAGTTCTTCTTGTATTGTCTAATTCATTATTATTTTCCAATCTGGTTAATGCTTTTACTGTGCTTGGGTTAAGAAAACATTCTTACTTGAGGTCATAAAGATATTAACCTAGTTTACCTTCTAGGAGTTTTATGAAATGTGAAATGTGAAAGCTAAATGCCTACCTTTTATATTTGAAACATAATTTGCCTATAGGAAATAATTTTAATGTATGGTGTGAGTTAGTGGTTAAGATGCAAATTTTACTCTATGGACATCCATATGTATGCACCAATGTTTGAGAAGACCATCCATTTATTCTGTGTAACTTTATAAAACTTGCCACAAATCCATTGAACTTTCCTATGTGGAAGAATTTCTGTACTGTATTATATTTCATTGGTCGATTTGTCTATCCTCCTGCCAATATTTATTGTAGCTTTATAATAACCCTTAATATTTGTTTAAATAAGTCTTTCTAATTTTACTCTTTTTATTCTATATAAATTTAGAATTACCTTGTTGCTTTCCAAAAAATTCTGTGGTTAGGTCTGTGACTGTGTTGAATCTATAGATAAATTTGGGAAGAAATAACTTATCCATTATATTAATTATTCTATTTATAAACATGTATATCTTCTTACATATTTTTCACTTATTCTCAATATTTTATAGTGTTCTAAATAGAATTCTTTTCATCTTTTCATAGTTTAATTTCCTCAATGTTTTGTTGTTATCTTAAATGATGTTTTCATGCTAATGATTTAGTACCAAAACTCATCATATTTTATATATTGGCTTTGCATATGGATACCCTTATTAATTTTTATTGTTTATATGTGGATTCATCTGATGTTCAATTCAGAAAATCATGTCATGTTTGAATAATAGTTTTCATCTTTTCTTTTAATTGTTTTTGCTTTTTTTCCTTAATGCAGTTAACAAAAAGATGATTATTTCAATAAATCTGAAAATGCATTAATAAACCCAAAAACCACTCATTATAAAAGATTTTGGAAATGTAGAGATCTAAAGTAAATGTATTCATCTAATAAATCTACAGAAATTCTACAGCAATTGTCATTGTTAAAAATGAAATAATGAAAAAGTTACCTTGAAATTGGAAATGAGAAAAGGATACTTGTATTCACATTTCTATTCAACATTGTATCAATGATGGGGATTTCATTTGCTAATATTTTATCAATAATTTTGTATATATGGGTAAAAGAAATATTGGGCTATATTAATGGTATCAAGTTTATACTGAACTCAAATAAGAATTGAATATATTAGTGTTCACTTTCTCTTCTCTGGAAGAGTTTCTGTAGAGTTTACATAATTACTTTCTTAAAGGTAGATTTCAGCAGGGAAGTTATCTTTGATTAATGATGTTTTCAGAGGAATATTTGTAATTTTGAATTTAATATTTTAATAAATACAGGAATACACAGATTTTGTTTGGAAAAGTTGTTTTTTCTTGAATTTTGTCCATTTCATCTAAATTTTCTCATATATTTTTGGCAAAACATTTTATATAGCATCCTTTTCTAATTTGTTTGCACCTACTCCCACTTTTCTTGATTTGTCTTGGCTGTGGTATATGTATATAATTGACCTTTATAAAAATGAACATATAGATTTATTAATTTTATTTTAGCCCATTTGTATTCAAGGTTAATATTGGTATGTGCAGATTTGATCTTGTCATCATGTCATTAGCTTATTATTATGCAAATGTAATTGCATTGTGGCTTTCTAGTGCTTTATAATGTATGTAGGTATGTACACTTGTTTTTGTGGTGGCTGGTAATGGTCTTCCTTTTCCATATTTAGCACCTGTTAAGGACCTCCTGTAATGCGGGTCTGGTGGTTATAAATTCTCTTTGTATTTGCTTGTCTATAAAGGGTCTTATTTCTCCTTTGCCTGTGAAACTTAGTTTGACTGGATGTGGAATTCTGGATTGGAATTTCTTTTCTTTATGAAAGCTGAATACAGGCCCCAGTCTTTTCTGGCTCCTGTGGTTTCTGTTGAAAGGTCTATTGTTAGCCTGATGGGGTTCCCTTTTTAGGTGACCTGTCCCTTCTCTAGCTGCCTTTAACATTTTTTTCTTTCATTTCAACCTTGGAGAATCTGATGATTATATGTCTTGGGGATAGTCTTTGTGTATAGTATCTCATAGGGGTTCCCTGCATTTCCTGAATTTGAATGTTGGCCTCCCCAGTGAGACTGGAAAAATTTTTATAGATGATTCCCCACGCATAATTTTTAAGTTGCTTGTTGTCTCACCTTCCCTTTCAAGGGTGGCAATGAGATGGAGATTTGGTAGTTTTACATAATTCCATATTTCTCAAAGGTTTTGTTCATTCTTCTTTGTTGTTTGTCTTTATTTTGTCTGACTGAGTTATTTTGAAGAACCCATCTTTGAGCTCTGAGAGTCTTCCCTCGGCTTGGTCAATTCTGCTGTTAATAGTTACAACTGTATCATGAAATTCTCATAGCTTTTCAGCTGTATCAGACCAGTTTTGTTCTTTCTTAATATGGCCATTTAGTCTTTAATCTCCTGTATCACTTTATTGTATTCCGTGGATTCCTTGGATTGGGTTCCGACTTTCTGGTGGATGTTGACGATCTTCATTTCTATGTATATTCTGAATTCAATTTCTGTCATTTCAGCCATTTCAGCTTGGTTAAGAACCATTACTTGGGAACTAGTGAGGCTGTTTGGAGGTAAGAAGACACTTTGGCTTTTAGAGTTGCCAAACTTTTTAACTAGTTCTTTCTCATCTGTGTGGGCCGTTGTCCCTTTAATCTTTGAAGTTGCTGTCTTTTGGTTTTATTTATTTATTTTGCTTTTATTTTCTTTTATGGGGTTTGATTGTGGTATAAGGTGGGTTCAATTAATTGGGTTTATTTATGAAAGATTTTTAGGGGCCAATTCTCAGCTCAGCACTCCTGTTTTGTGTGGTCTAACTCTGCAGGGCTGGTACAGGGCCCCTGGCTTTGTTCTCTGGCCCCTTGAGGACAGGAGCCAGCTGCAGTGGAGTGGCTGAGGTGTTCCCAATCTGCTGAACACAACACTGCCATAGATGGTGCCCACCAAAGCACTTCATCAGGGTGGCAGCAGTGGGATGCATTCTTGTTCCTGTGTGCCAGCAGCCATGGTAGCATGGTGGAGAGTACACATCAGCTGGGTGAGGTACTGTCAGAAGTGGGGCTATAGCATTTCTACATGTACTTGCACCAGCACAGAGGACAGGGTTACCAGCGTCTGTGCTCATATTCACACCATCAGCTGTGGGGATAGGGCCACTGGCGTCTGTGAGCTCGTTCACAACAGTGGCAATTGTGGTGTGCAGAGGGTGGCAGAGTCACCACCGTCTATGCATGTGTTCATACCAGCAATGACAGTGCGACTGAGTGCCCACACATTAGTGGTGTGGGGGGGCAGCATGTTGCTTCACACCAGCAGCAGCAGTGGGGTGTACATGCAAATGTGCAATGGCAGAGCGAAAATGAGGTCTGCCTCTACATGCCTGCTCCTGTAAAGCGGTAAGGGGGTGGCCACAGGTGAGTTTGTGCCAGCAACGGGAAAGCTGTGCGGCCAGGAGGGTGCAGGCAGGCTGCGGCACATTGGCAAGAGCCACTCTTTTGGAGCTCTTCAATGGTCAGGCATGGCCTGCCATTGAAGGAGTGTATTAGTCCGTTTTCATGCTGCTGATAAAGACATGCCCAAGACTGGGTAATTTATAAAGAAAAAGAGGTTTAATGGACTCACAGTTTCACGTGGCTGGGGAGTCCCCACAATTATGGCGGAAGACGAAATGCACAGCTTACATCGCAGCAGGCAAGAGAGAGAATGAGAGCCAAGTGAAGGGGGTTTCCCCTTATAAAACTATCAGATCTCTTGAGACTTATTCACTACCACGAAAACAGTATGCGGGAAACCGCCTCATGATTCAATTATCTCCCACTGAGTCCCTCCCACAACACTTGGGAATTATCGGAGCTACAAGTCAAGATGAGATTTGGGTGGCGACATAGACAAACCATATCAAGGAGCTATGATGAGAGCCCTCAGAAATCACCCTGGTTGGGTGTCCGATTCTGTGCTGTCAATGGTCATGTCCAGGCTGGGGCCCTGGGAGAGGAGAGCAGACAGGCGGGAGCTCGGATCAGACTGGCACTGCCTTATGGGCAAGACTGCCCTGTTTCACCCAAGTCGGACAGTAACTCTATGGCAAAGTCTTGTAGAGAAGCAGGGTGAGCCTTGAGAGATGAGTGTCCCTGGCCGTCCTCCACTAGAGATGTTCCCGCATCAAACTCACTGGGCTCCTCATGGGCTGGAGTCCTGCTCCTACCACCTCTCTAAGTCACCCTCCCTGCCAGCTTAAGTGTCCGTGAGGGTCACGAGCTTTTCTCCTGCCCAGTTTCTGGAGGTCCGTGACAGGAGCTGGTCACTCCTTGTCTGTTCAACTTACCCCTTTCTGAGGAGTTGCAGGGGGCCAGAAATAAGCCCTAGTTCTTGGAAACCCCTTGCAGGTTTTCCAATTTCCTCCTCCTTCAGCCCAGCGTCTGCATCCTCCCTCCATCCACTCTAAAGGCCTTTTCTCTGAAGATCTGCTTCGTGTGCCCCAGTCTTCCGGATGTTTCCGTCTCTCAGTGGCAGATCTTCCTCTTGGCTGCATCTGGTTGGCCATCTTTAAAGCTGAGCTCTTTTTCTTCAAGTGAATTATTTAGCTCACATACTGTTATAATTTAAATACTTATGATTTAATCTATCATGCTTCTACTATTTATTTCACCACTTTTGTTTCTCAGTATTGTTGGTTTTAAGAATTGAATAAGCATTTTTTTCTTCTTCAGTTGGAATGTTTGTTATACATACTTCACTTTCTATTACTTGTTACCTAGAGATTGCAACATAAATCTTGACATTTGATTTAATATTAATTCTTTACCACTTACTGGAAATGCAAACTACTTAAGATCTTTTATCATCTGTCAATCTATATGTCGTTGTTGCTTATTTTAGTGTGATGTGCACTTTAGACTTCTCCAATACCGTTTTATTATTTTATAAAGTTAGTTTCATTTAGTGTTCATTCAATCCAGATATTTACACTTCCTTTGGCTTTTCATTTTTTCCTGCCTATCAACCTTCCATCTGATATTATTTTTTGCCTATAGAGAAAACCCTTTTTATTATTTCCTTTAGTCTGTGCTGGTATGGACAAATATTTTTAGGCTTTTTTTCTTTGTCGTTTTTGTTTATTTCCTTAAAAATATGAATTTTATCTTTGATATGTTTTCTTAGGCTTAAGGTAAAGAATTGTTGATTGCAAGTTATTTATTTTGTAGCACTTTCAACATATCCTTCCATTATTTTCTGGCTTCTATTTTTTATTAGGAGACAGTTGAAAATAATATGTCTTTGGCTCTTGTTAAAGTTGTTACTTTGTTTCAGATTTTCTCTGATGTGTATGTCTAGCAGTTTTCTTTGTATTTATAACATTGATAATTTTAAAAGATCTTGAAAATTCTAAGCCATTATCTCTTTCAGTATTACTGTGCCAATTTTTTTCTCTTTCTGAAACTGCAGAAATATATGTGTGATATTTCTCACCATTTGCCTTTGTCTCTTATTTTTGTCTTTATTTTCTTGCTGCTTTTTCTCTGCTTCAGTCTGAATATATTCTTTTGACCTGTGTTCCAATTCCCATTGAATTATTTTCAGCTTAGGCATTATGCTCCTACATCCAATTTTTGAGTTTTTAATTTCATTTATTGCAGTACTCAGTTCTATCATTTTAATATACTTTCAAATTTTCTTCCCTAAATCACCATTTTATAAATCTTTTTATCATCATTTTATACTCTTTTTAAAAGATGTGCCTGATGACAACATTGTCTAGCTTATCCTTATGTGTATTTCAATGGTTTATTTTATTTTAGGCAAATGCCTCTTTATATGTTTGGCCATTAAATATTACAAAGATATTTTAAAACTCTGAATGATATTACTTTTCTTCAGAGAAGTTATATTTTCACACATTTTGTGGCCACTTGTGCTTAGATACTTATCAGTCCTCATATAATTAATCAATTATAGAGTTGATTTAAACCTAAGCTTCAGTCCTTATGAGATATATTTCTTGTTTGCTTTTATTTTTTAGATATAGACACTTAGGAACCCAATTTATGCTAGGGCCTTTATCACAGATCTTTCTTTTTGTTGGAAATTTACGTAAAATATAGCCTCCTAATCTGCAATTCTTTGAAAATGCTTTTCAGATTCTCCGATTCTCAAACACTGCTTTAGGCAATGACTATTATTTCAAGTGGAAATGATGCACACTGATGAATCATACTTTCATCGTTTTCCTCCCTTCTAGGATCTTGGGCCAGCAATTCCTTACTGTCTTGAAGGCTCTCTAATATTTTAAATCAAATTAGAGAGTTACTTTTTTCATATTTCAGTAAGTCAAAACCACCTCATCTATAATTTTTACCTGAAGAACATCTAGTGGTATGAATAAAGAAAAGGCGACATATTTGCAGACAAAATGCAAAGGAGCAAAAATTATCCCAAAGCTAATGCAAGACATACTTGATTTTGTTAATAGTTGGTTAGATTAGAAAATGGTGGACCATTAAAGAATGTTACTGAGATAATTGTTTACATGACAAAATAGTAAGTTAAATGAGTATATACTGCCATGCACAGCATAAATTCCAAGTCTACTAAAAAATTGAAAGCACATCCTAAATAGAATAAAATAAATGGTAATATTTATATAATTTTCAGGAAGAGAAGATATTCTTAAGTGAACATTCATACACACACACAAACACACACACAAACACAAAACTTCAAGGAAACATTGATGTATTTAACAATATTAAATGTAAAATTATTCCATCTGTCAAAAGCCTTCATGAACAAGATGAAAATGCAAACTAAAAACAGGAAAATCATTTTTGTTGTGCATTTAACACCAAAATGTATGTCCAAAATAAAAAATAATGTAGAAAAAAGTTCAAAGAAAATTAATATGCAAGTCACAAGAAAATAAACTTGTAGAAGATGATAAGTCCTATTATTAATTATGGAAATATAAGTTAAACCTACAGGACACTCTTCCCTATCCCTCAGAATGGCAAAAGTGGGATATTAAAAATTTTGGTAAATATTGGAGAAATAAGAATTCTCTTGCACTGTTCATAGATTATACAAATTGATACAGCAGTTATAAAGACAGCATGATAGTTTATAGAATATTCATAGATGCTTATGTCCCATAATCTAAAAATTTTTTCAAGTATGTATCTTAAAAATTTTGCCATGTTTGTACATGAAAACATATCTTATTTCAGCATTGCTTCTTATAGAAAAAAATGGAGATTAAATGACCACCCAATAAGAAAGAATAAATAGATTTTTATATATTTTAGATTACCTCATGTCTTTGGTATCAATTTCTAACTAAAATAGAATTGAATGTGGGCCCCTCTAATCCTACTAGAACACCTCACCCTTTCTCCAAAAACTCTCAAAAATCGCCATAGTTTTACATAAATTTTGTAGGACACGTGTCAAAAGAAGAAACCTATAATTACAAGTGACCATTCCTGGCCAGGTGCAGTGGCTCACGCCTGTTATCCCAGCACTTTGGGAGGCCAAGGGGTGAGGATCACAAGGTCAGGAGATCGAGACCATCCTAGCTAACATGGTGAAACCCCGTCTCTACTGAAAATACAAAAAAAAAAAAATTAGCTAAGCGTGGTGGCGCAAGCCTGTAGTCTCAGCTACTCGGGAGGCTGAGGCAGTGGAATAACTTGAACCTGGGAGGCGGAGGTTGCAGTGAGCCGAGATCGCACCACTGCACTCCAGCCTGGGCGACAGAGCGAGACTCCATCAAAAAAAAAAAAAAAAAAGAAGTAACTATTCCTCTTGCCCTGTGTCCCCACACATCTCTCTAAGCAGGAAAAACCATTGTAGGACATGTTCTTTCCTTATACTCTTATCTTCCATACATCTCTGGTCATCCACTAAACCACTAAGGGCTAGACATCCACCTATATGTCCCGATTAGTATTACATTTTAAGTCTGTAGTGTGTAGGAAGAGGGGTTAGGAAAATAGAGAGTGTAAGAGTTGACTCTTTCTCTACTTCAATAGTCTTCTTTACTTGCTAAATATCTCCATGGATGATTATATTTTCCTGTCCATTTCCCTATGCTTGCACTCATTTTGCTAGCATTTGGAGTGTGAAAACAGCTGAAACCGAAGATTAGAGATGAGTAGTAATGGCAGAATGTTTGCTATTTTTTTTTAATTTTTGCCTTGTCACTCTTCTTTTTAAAAAGCAGAAGCAGGTGCTTGAAAGCCTAGGATATTAAAAATTAAATACAAAAATAACAGTGATGAGGAAGGAATGGAAGGTGAGCATTCACAATAAACAGTTGTATTTTGATATGGAAAAGGAGCAAGTGATAGAAGAAGGTAGGAATTTGTGTCACCAAAGGATACATGTATTGATTGCCTCTGCATCCTCTGATGACAGTGATTTGGGGTTTCCCTTCAGCATCATTTTATACCCACCATTTCCTAATTTTTGATAATTTTTTCTCAATCTTTTCTAAATCATCTTTTGGTAATTTGAATCCTCCTTTCCTGCTTACATATATTATGAGATATCTTCTTTAGAAATAGTTACCCAAGGAGGTGAAAAAAGTATCTAAATGATTTAAGTTTGGAAGCTTCTGGTGAAAATGAAGTGATGCAATTTCTGGTCCTATTCCATGGTATGAATTAAGTACTCCAGCAACGATGTATTTGTAAGGCATTGAAAATCTGCCACATAGTCTTTTATCTGGGTTACTTCCTCATGCCAAGTCCTGCCTCAAACTAAAGCAACACAAAAAACTGTGGAGACATGTCCTGACCACAAATCAGTTATATTGATTTGACGCCAGTTGTTAAAGATAGATATAATTCTCCATTTCTCATTTTCTTGGAAGTTGCAGTATAGAACGTACATTTTTAATAGAAATAATTTTAGAAATACTTCAGAATACTGGTTCTATTACTGGTTATTCAAATAATCAGCTGTGTTATTTAAGACAAGCTATTTTACTTCTTTGGACCCCAGGATCATTAATTCTAAAATAAAAAGTTTGAGCCTGATTGTCATAATGTTACTTCCAAACTACTCTGTACTTTCCTTGCTTCATCAATCTGGCTTTACATTTGAATCTACCTTCATTTTAGATATTTTAGGTTATATTTTTCTATATTTTATATGAATGTTCAAGTTAAATTAATAAGTTCATGCACATATTATTTCTTTAATATAGTAAAACCATTTTCAATTCACAATTCTTAAAATTTTTGTAAAGTATAGGTCTGAAAATGACTCTGTTATTTTCTTCAATGTATTTCATAGATCCAAGCCATCAAGAAGTGAAATACTAATTTATCTCAAAAGATGCAAATGTTGACGTAGAAGCACTCTGAAAACAAATTTTGTAATTTTAGTGAGTTGTGTTTCCAATTAGATCATCTATTAAACAATTTACTTGAAAACATACACAGGAAATTCTACCAGTAAGATAATTAAAATATGAAATTTTAGAAACAAGTTTTAATTGTGTAAATGATGTGGACACAGACCTCTTGTCTAACAGCTTTGGGTGTCTTTCATCTTAAAATTGTATTGCATCTCTGTAGTTTTCCTTGTTGGCACAGAGGACAGGTGTTATACAGATGGGGAAACAGTCGTGGTTTTATGGTACCTCCTCTCCTAAGCACATTAGTATTTGTCATTCACATGGGTCCTCTTTCTAACACATGACAAATGCCCTCATGTGCACATATTGTCAAAAAAAAAAAGGAATTTAGTATCTGGGAAAAAAAGAAGGCATGCATTACTTTTATTGCATGCAGAGTAGGAGGTGGAAGGAGTTTCCTGGTACAGTTCAGATATCGATTACATAAGAAAGTGATTACTTAATCACAAATACCTATCAAAAAAAAGGCTATAGTTGCAACATAAACTAGTTTTAAGACAAGAAAAAGACATCCCTCACTCCTATCTGCCCCTCTCAACATACACACATAGAAAAAGACATGCCAAATTGCTACATAAACATGAAGGTCTCTGGTGGCAGTGACAGGAGTAACAAGATTTTTGTAGAAATGATGAGAAATATTGAAATGAAACCTGCGGTTTTATTTATCTGCCTGCAAGACCACTTTATGGACCAATCTTTGCCATCTTTTATTTAACTAGTTCAATTGTAACATAAATGACACAGTAAATGTTGCTGCCTGGCATTAAAGATAGAACAACCACACAAATGGCCTGAGCCAGTGACCAAATAACTTAGAAGCATCTTTCCTACCTAGCTGAGTGGTCTCTCTTCTTTTCAGATCTTTCTTTAAATGAACCATTCAGGCATTTGCCTGCAAATGAGTTCCTTGTATAGTTTGAATATTAGTTTTCTGTTGGATGAATAGTTTGCAAATGTTTTCTTCCATTCTCTTTACTCTGTTGATTGTCTCCTTGGCTATTCAGGAGATTTTTAGTTTAATGTAGTCACATGTGTCTATTTTTGTTTTAGTTGCCTGTGCTTTTAAAGTCTCAGCCATAAAATCTGCCTAGACTAATGTCCTAAAGAGTTTCCCCTATGTCTTCTTCTAGAAGTTTTATAGTTTGATGTCTTATATTTAAATATTAAGTACTTTTAAGTATATTTTTATATGGTGAGAGATAGGGCTCTAGCTTCATTCTTCCTATGCATATCTAGTTTTCACAGCACAATTTATTGAAAAGGCTATTCTTTCCTCAAGGCTTATTCTTGATACCCGTGTCAAACATCAGATGTATATAAATGTGTACACGTATTTCTGGGTTTTCTACTTGATTTCCATGATCTATACATCTGCTTTTTATACTAATACCATGTTATTTTGGTTACTATAACTTCAGGGTATATTTTGAAGTTAGGTAGTGTGGTATCTCCAGCTTTCTTCTTTTTGCTTAGGACTGCTTTGTTTATTCAGGCTCTTCTGTGGTTTAATTTGAATTTCGGAATTGGTTTTTTTCCTATTTCTTGAAGAATGTCATAGGTATTATGTATTGATTGATTGATTCATTTCTCAGGAGTAACTTTATTTATTTATTTTAATTTTAATTTTTTATTTCCATAGATTTTGGGGAACAGCTGGTGTTTGGTTACATGGAAAAGTTCTTTAGTTGTGACATCTGAGATCTTGGTGCAACTGTCACTAAGCAGTATACACTGTACTCAATTTGTAGTCTTTTATCCCTCACCCCCCTCCCACCCTTTTCCTTGAGTCCCCAAAGTCCATTGAATCATTCGTATGCCTTTGCACCCACATAGTTTAGCCCCCACTTATGAGTGAGAACATACTATGATATTTGGTTTTCCATTCCTGAGTTACTTTACTTAGAATTATGATCTCCAATTACATCCAGGTCGTTGTAAATGTCATTATTTCATTCCTTTTGATGGCTGAGTCATATTCCATGGTGTGTGTGTGTGTGTGTGTGTGTGTGTGTGTATATTCTAGTATTCCATATATATATATATAAACTGAAATATATTCTAGTAGTATTCCATATCTATCTATCTATATACATATATATATATAAAATGTATAAAACAATTTCTTATCCACTGCCTGATTGATGGGCATTTGGGCTGGTTCCATATATTTTGTGAACTGTGCTGCTATAAACATGCATGTGCAAGTGTCTTTATCGTATAATGACTTCTTTTCCTTTGGGTAGATACCCTACTTTTAGTTCTTTAAGGAATCTCCACATTGTTTTTCATAGTGGTTGTGCTAGTTTACATTCCCAACAGCAGCGTAAAAGTGTTTCTTTTTCACCACATATCTGCCAACATCTATTTATTTTTATTTTTTTATTATGGCCTTTCCTGCAAGAGTAAGGTGGTATCGTTTTGTGGTTTTGATTTGCATACTGCAATTTTTTTGTGCGTTGGCAATTTTTAAATTACCACTTCAATCTTAATGCTTGTTATTGATCTGTTAAGAGGTTCTATTTCTTCCTGGTTTAATCTAGGTGGGTTGTATATTTCCATTAATTTATCCATCTCTTCTAGGTTTTCCTGTTTATGTGCACAAAATTGTTCATAGTAGCCTTAAATGACTTTTTGTATTTCTGTGGTATTGGTTGTGATATCTCCCGTTTACTTTCTAATTGAGCTTATTTGGATCTTCTCCCTTCTTTTCTTGGTTAATCTCGCTAGTGGTCTATCAATTTTATTTATCTTTTCAAAGAACCAACTTTTTGTTCCTTTTATCTTTTGTTTGTTTCAATTTCATTTTATTTTTATTTTTTTTGTTTCAATTTCATTTAGTTCTGCTCGGATTTTCATTATCTCTTTTCTTCTGCTGGGTTTGGGTTTGGTTTGTTCTCGTTTCTGTAGTTCTTTGAGGTGTGAGCTTATATTGTCTATTTGTGCTCTTTCAGACTTTTTGATGTAGCCATTTAAGGCTATGAACTTTCCTCTTAGAACTGCATTCACTGTATCCCATAGGTTTTGAAAGGTTGTGTCGCTATTATCGTTCAGTTTGATGAATTTTTAAATTTCCATCTTGATTTCATTGTTGACCCAACTATCGTTCAGGAGCAGGTTTTTTAATTTTCATGCAGTTGCATGGTTTTGAGGGTTTCTTTTGGAGTGGATTTCCAATTTTATTCCACTGTGGTCTGAGAGAGTACTTGATATTATTTCAATTTTCATAAATTTATTGAGACTTATTTGGCAACCGATAATATGGTCTATCTTTGAGGATATCCCATGTGCTGATTAATAGAATGTAAATTCTGCATTTGTTCGGTAAAATGTTCTGTAAATATCTGTTGAGTCCATTGTTCTAGGGTATAGTTGTTGTTGACTTTCTCTCTTCATGACCTTTCTAGTGCTGTCAGTGTAGTATTAAAGTCCCCCACTATTATTGTGCTGCTATCTCATTTCTTAGGTCTATTAGTAATTGTTTAACAAATTTAGGAGCTCCAGTGTTAGGTGCATGTATATTTAGAATTTGTAGTTTTTTTCTGTTAGACAAGTCAATTTATCATTATATAATGTCTCTCTTTGTCCTTTTTTAATTGCTCTTAAAGTTTGTTTTGTCTGAAATAAAAATAGCTATTCCTCCTAGCTTTTGGTGTCTATTTACATGGAACAGCTTTTTCCATTTCTTTACCTTAAGTTTATGTGAGTCCTCATGTGTTAGGTGAGTCTCTTGAAGACAGCAGTTACTTGGTTGGAGAATTATTATCTATTCTGACTTTTTGTATCTTTGAAGTGGAGCATTTAGGCTTTTACATTCAATGTCAGTATTGAGATGTAAGGTACTATTCTATTTATCATGCTATTTGTTGCCTGAATACTTTGTGTTTTATTTATTTATTTATTTATTTATAGTGTTTTTGTTTTATAGGTCCTGTGAAATTTATGCTTTAAGGAAGTTCTATTTGGTGTATTTTGTGGATTTGTTTCAAGATTTAGAGCTCTTTTCTGTTGCGGGAAGTCAGGAACCCTGAATGGAGGAACCTGCTGAAGCTGCGGCAGAAGAATATAAATTGTGAAGATTTCATGGACATTTATTAGTTCCCCAAATTAATACTTTTATAATTTCTTACGCCTGCCTTTACTGCAATCTCTGAACATAAAATGTGAAGATGTCATGGACATTTATCACTTCCCCAATCAATACTCTTATAATTTCCTATGCCTGTCTTCACTTTAATCTCTTAATCCCGTCATCTTCCTAAGCTGAGGATGTATGTCACCTCAAGACCTTGTGATGATTGCGTTAGCTCCACAAATTGTTTGTAAAACATGTGTGTTTGAACAATATGAAATCTGGGCACCCTGAAAAAGAACAGGATAACAGTGATGTTCAGGGAACAAGGGAGATAACCATAAGGTCTGACTGCCTGTGGGGCTGGGCAGAACAGAGTCATATTTTTCTTACTGCAGAAAATAAGTAGGGGAAATACCACTGAATTCTTTTCCCAGTAAGGAATAACCCTAGGAAGGGAATGCATTCCCAGGGGAGGCCTATGGATGTCTGCTCTGGAGGCGTCTGCCTTATGCCATTGAAAATAAGGGATGAAATACGCCCTGGTCTCCTGCAGTGCCCTCAGGCTTGCTAGGATTAGGAAATGCCAGCCTGGCAAATTTTAGTCAGACCAGTTCTCTGCTCTTGAACCCTGTTTCCTGTTAAGATGTTTATCAATGACAATGTGTGCACAGTGGGACATGGAACTTCATTAGTAATTCTAATTTAGCCTTGGCCTTGTGACCTTGCTCTGCCTTTCTGCCCTTGTGATATTTTATTGCCATTTGAAGCATGTGATCTCTGTGACCCACTCCCTATTCGTACCCCCCTCCCCTTTTGAAATCCGTAATAAAAACTTGCTGGTTTTGCGGCTCAGGTGGGCATCACGAAAACTGCCAACACGTGATATCACCCCCAGAGGCCCAGCTGTAAAATTTCTCTCTTTGTACTCCTTATCTTTATTTCTCAGACTGGCCAACACTTAGGGAAAATAGAAAAGAACCTATGTTGAAATATTGGGGGCTGGTTCCCCCCAAAACTTTTTAGCAGTTTTTGTAGTGCTGGCTTGATAGTGGCAAACTCTCTCAGCACTTTTTTTTTTTCTGAAAAATATCGTGTCTTTTCTTCATTCATGCTCATAAAATCAGTGTAATTTGAGCTGGAGTCCAAAAACAAAAACCAACTAAAACAATAACAGTAGCAACAGTAAATGCATGCCCATAATAGTCTAATGAATATTGCTATCAGAAGTAAGTATTCTTGGCTGCACATGGTAGCTCAGACCTATAATCCCATAACTTGGGAGGCCTAGGCAGGAGGATCACTTGAAACCAGGCTGGGCAACATAGCAAGGCCCCATCTCTACCAAAAATTTAAAAATTAGCTGATTGTGGTAGAGTGTGCCTGTAGTGCCAGCTACTAGAGAGGCTGAGGTGTGAGGATCATTTGAACCCTGGAGGTAGAAGCTGCAGTGAGCTGTGACTGTGCTACTGCACTTCAGCCTGGGTGACAAAGGGGGACTCCATCTCTAAAAATAATCATAATAATCTTCTAAAATATTAAAGTCTTCATTATTTACTTCAAAGTTAATTCCTCTGAGAAGTATTATCTTAAAATGGCATTACATCCAATGTAATCTTTCAGTTGTATTCAACTGGCTTCAGTAAATTTGTCTCACTCATGACAGGAATATTGAACTAACTTGACTTTTGAATGTGACCAAGTTCAATTTATGAACATTCAATAAGTTTTGCAACATCTCTTGGAATTATTTGCTGAAGAATTGGAAATACAGGATGAGATATAAAATGAGTGTGAGAGTGAAGCTTTTAACACAGGTAACCATGCTTAGGTTTCATGGTTGCCTTGTTTATTTAATAAACAATTACTGAAGTCATTGTAACTCAGCTACTGTGGTTGCAGGGATTGCATAAACCACCATAAAAAGTATTGATATAGAAATAAAAACAAAATATACTGGAAGACAAAGATGAAGACTATTAGTTTTATTTGTTTGCTTGTTTTTTTATGGAGAGTTCAGAAAAGGCTTAGCTTGATTTTCTGGCTCTTCTGAACAGTAACAGAGGCTACCAGGCATCCCTAAATCCAAACCTCTGACTGTTCTATAATCTCTTGGAAAGCTTTCTCTGACCTTTTAAATAATTATCTCTCTCTCTCTCTCTGAGCTCCAACTCAATAAAAAAAAAAAGTGAAGTAACTACAATGCTACATACAAAGGAACAAGAACTCTTTTTGTTCCATCCTTGTACATTTGTTTTCAATATTTTTTCCTTTTGATAGATGAAAATTAAATTGTAGTGGCCACTAAATGAAAAAGATTTTTTCAGTAATAGAGAAGAATGAAGAATCATCTTTGTCATATATGGGAAAAAAATACAAAAACACAAGGATTAGTGTTGACATTTTTAAAATATAAATAAGAAGTTTTGCCTAATGTTAACATTGATTGGAGAGTTAAGGATAATTAACAATGGACTCCAGGTTTGAGGTTTGGGTAGATAGTTTTCTCATTAATGAGACAAAAAACACTGGGAGGGATCCTTTTTATGGCAACATGTGAGTAAGAGACAGAAGCCAAAAATAAATATAGTTTTACAATACTGAGTTTGAAATGTCTATTGAATATAGGCTATAACTTCTATAAAGCAGTATAGGGTAATTACTAAAGGTAAGATTCTGGAACTGCACAGTTGGCTTTGATATTAATTCTACAACTTTTTAGCAATGTTACCTTGGGCATATTATTTAAGTGACTCATTGTCTTTATATATAAAACAAGAATAATAATAGTACCTACTTCACAGTTGTGAGGATTAAATAAGTGAACATATACAAAGGAGTTTAGAAAAAGTCTGGCATATAGTAAGCACTATATGAGTGTTGGCTTGTCGTAATGGTAATGAATAAAATGCTAGCTTTGCAAGAGGTGAATGTTATGCAGGATAAATTAGAGAAAAGCACATTTGCTTTTCAGGTACAAAACCTGCATTAAAACTAACCTTTGTCACTTAATATTTTCACAACCTTTCACGTTTCTGAATTTTAGTTTTTAAAAAATACAAAATAAAAATAATAAAGCTTCGTAGGTTTGTCATGAAAATTAAAAAAGAGATTATATCCAATAACTTTAGAATGTTGTCTGGCATAGTTTACAATATTGGTTATTATATCTGAAAACAAGAAAATAAAGTCTAAACCAGAACTGTAGGGGCTATCAATATTGAATGGATAGATTATGCAAAAGAAACTAAAAAAGCGGTCACATGGAAAGAAGAAAAAAATACCAATAAATTAACTTTCAAACTAAGAGCATCTTTTTTTTTTTTTTTTTTTTTTTTGAGACGGAGTCACGCTGGGTCCCCCAGGCTGGAGTGCAGTGACCGTGATCTCGGCTCATTGCAAGCTCCGCCTCCCAGGTTGACGCCATTCTCCTGCCTCAGCCTCCCAAGTAGCTGGGACTACAGGCGCCCGCCACCATGTCTGGCTAATTTTTTGTATTTTTAGTAGAAATGGGGTTTCACCGTGTTAGCCAGGATGGTCTCTATCTCCTGACCTCGTGATCCGTCCGCCTCGGCCTCCCAAAGTGCAGGGATTACAGGCATAAGCCACCGCGCCTGGACAGGGTATTTTTTTTAAGGAGGAAAAAAGTGCAATCAGCTATATCAAATGCTACAGTAACGTAGCAGAAGAGATGAAGTAAAAATGTGCTCTTCAAAGTCAGCTCAAATAAGCCTAATGCTAATCTTGATGAAAACAAATTCAAAATCCAGATTGGATTTAGATAAACTATAAATCTAAGATCAGGTGATGGAGTCCAAGTCTTTAAAGATATGGAGAAAATGGACACCTGAACTGGAGCCATGTTGCACATCATTCTCGCGCAGACCAAACTAGTATTCCCGTTCCCCGAAGGTGGACGGAAACAGGAAGGTATTGATGAGTTATTTAAGGTACTTAAGCAAGTGTCTGTTGACCAAAAATGCTGTGGAAACATTTTAGTATCTTATCAATGGCCATACTATTACATATTGTATTGAAGCTACATGTATAGAAAGATCTTACTAACTACAATACAAGATCATTGACAGGATGAAATGTTTTATACTTTGTAGTCAGTATAATACTTACCACTTATTGAAAACTAAATATGCATATACAAATTTAACATAATATTATTAATAATAATATAATATTAAATAATATATGTAATATTCCAATTTACTCTTGCTTATTACTCCTTGAGCAAATTGAAAGTGAACCTTTAGCAAACATTCTTCCCTCTAATGCTCTAAGAAGAATCATAGAAAAATACAAATGCTCATGATTTATTCAATTATATAATTCCTTGCTATTATAGTGATACAGGATAAAAACAACCAGTAATCACTCAGCCGCATCTACTTTCACGTTTGTATTTCTAAGGTTTCAGTTTTTCTTAATATTAAATTTTAAATAAAGAGACAGCTTTTATAATTCTGTACATAATATACATATTTAATTATATTTCTTCAGTTATGTTTTTGTTACTTCCCATTACATCTCTTTATGTAAACATCCTTATTTCACATTTTTATTTCATACATTCTTTTTTTAGTATCTCTACCTAAGCCTGGTAGCATCACCCAAAGAAGAACAAAGAGAGAAATATATATATATATATATATATTCTTGTGCAAATGTTTTATTTTCTAATTCAGACAGTTAAATATTTTTTAAAATTAAAACAAATTGATGACTCCATTTTCTTAAGTTCCTACAGTGTTAATAACACTCTACCAATAGTGTACGCCTGTAGTTTATATATCTATATAGTGTGTGTGTGCATATATGTATACAAAATTATATATGTCCATCAATTATATATATGAAACAAATTTTTATGTGCAGTTATGCACTGCACAATGATGTTTTGTTCAATGACCACATATACAACAGTGGTCCTATAAGATTTTATAAAGTATTTTTACTGTAACTTTTCTGTGCTTAAACAAATACCACTGTGTTACAATTCTCAGCATTATTCAGTATAGTAGTGTGCTATACATGTTGGTAGCCTAAGGGCAATAGGCTATGCCATACAAGCTAAGTGTCTAGTATGCTGTTGTATCTAGGTTTGTGTAAGTCCAGTCAATGAGATTTGCATAATGACAAATTGCCTAATGATGCATTTCTCAAATTATACCTCTGTTACTGTGATGCATGACTGTATAACACTTAAACAACACGTATAAATTTAGACCAATTTTTAGACTTACTATTTTTCTACTCTTATGCTAAAAGAAGTAAAAATGTGATTATAGAATAATAAAGTTGTTGGATCAATGCATATCATTTGGATTGGGTATTATAACAAACAATACATTTTGGTAATTTGAATTTCCCACAATCTTCACTCAACTCTTTATATCCCATTGTGACCTCTCTCCATTTTCTTGAGCTCCTGTGACACTTCCTTAGAGAATCCTTTTAATTTTGTCTCTGAACTACTTCAGTATTCTCTTCATTCTTCTCCCTGACTCAGTTTCTCATCCACTAATACACTATCCACCATTCTGTCATCACCTTCTTTTACAACTCAGATGGTTCTTTGGCATCCTTTTGCTCTAAAATCTTCTTTATCTCCTTTCTCAGTGTCAACAAAATAAAAACCACTCCTCAGCCTGAAATTCACTACCTTTCACAGTGTGGCCCACCCGCTATAAATACACTGTGTAGTTTAATTGTGCTAGAATCACACACTGCTCCCCCAAACAAGCCAAGGACTTTCAAGGCTTCAGATCTCATTCTTGCTATTGTTCCCATTTATACTCCATTGCCTCCCGTAAAATCCTTCCCCGGTTCTGAAAGGACTTAAGGTTAGCACTCTCATTTAGGAGCCAATTTACTTTAAACAGACAACTTTTGTACAGCAAACACATTGGGGAACATTAGAAAACAGAAGTGCAGAAAAGAAGTCCTCTTTCAAACTGAATTCACCTTAACTATTCTGCCACTTCCTGCATTTTCTCATTGAGATTCTGTGCTTTCCTGCCGTTCTTAATTGGAGTTGAGCCTTTATTTTCTTCAAGGTATAAGAATTAAAAAGATGTAAAGGGGCCACAGAAGTAGAATAATGATGTTTAAACCTGAGGTAAGAAAATACTGCATTTGTTCTAGATGGTAAAATACCACATTTTATAGACCTGTAAATTTGGTACAGTAGTCTCTGCCTTATGTGTGGTTTCACTTTCTGAGATTTTAGTTACATGCTGTCAACTGTGGTCCAAAAATATTACATGAAAAATTCCAGAAATAAGGAATTGATGGATTTTAAATTGCACACTCTTCTGAATAGCATGATGAAATCTCACATCATTCACTCTGTCCTCTCTTTATCACAAGAAGCAGGATGAGTACAGTACAATAAGATATATTGAGAAAGATATAGACAGACTATATTCACATGACTTTATTACAGTATATTGTTATAATTAATTTATTATTAATTATTGCTATTAATCTCTTATTATAACTAATTTATAAATTAAACATTATCTTAGGTACATATGTATAGAAAAAAATAGTACAAGTTCAATATCCCTTAGTCAAAATGCTTAAGACCAGAAGTGTTTTGGAATTCAAAATTTTAAAAAATATATTTGCATTATGGATACTGGCTGAGCATCTCTAATCTGAAAATCCAAAATCCCAAATGCTTTGTGGTTTCAGTCATCCACTGGGGAATCTTTGGATGTATCCCCTACAAACAAGAGGCTACTTCTGTAATTGGTTGAGTTGTAAGACTGTACAGATGCTTCTCAACTTACAATGGGGCCACAGTCTGATAAATCCATCATAAGTCAAAATATCATAAGTTGAAAATGCATTTAATATCCCAATAAACTATTTGTAAAGTTGAAAAATTGTAAGTTGAAACATCATAGGTTAGGGATCCTCTGCATTAGAGTTCTTAACAACTTGAACATTCATTTTATTTATTTTAGAAGGGATTTGTAGAAACGAATCCTGTTCAAATTATTTGTGTGTTTACTAATTTTAACTTTTTAAAAGTTCTTGTCTCTATCATCTAGGTGTTTTCTATTTTTGCAAATGTGACAGTTTGTAGATTCAATGACTTTACCTTGATCATATGTAGATGTATATTTGCAAGTGCTTCCCAAGATCCTTTTTTTTTCTCATATACTAATAAGCAAGGCAAAGAGTATGTGTTAACTAAATAAAACCTGAAGTTTTGTGAATAATATATTGAGGTGATTACATTGAGATAAAAATAACACTGCTATTTGGGCACATTTATTTTTATATCACACCTGTTTGCCAGATAAAAAACATACATAAGGTTACTCTCATTTACTGGTTATTATTGCAAGCCTCAAAAATTACAACTTCTGATTCACAGTCAGAGTTTACGGCTCAAATTTTTAAACTCTTGGAATGTGCCAGCTTAAAGGAAAATATTCAAAATATGTGCTGGCAAATTCATGAAGCTTATTAATTTGAGTCACTGAAATTCAAAGCAAAGATTTGTGTTTCAGAGAAACTCCTTGAATACAGGGATGATACCATTCAGCAGGGAAAGGTTTCCTACATGTTACTGAACGTTTTACTTGAGTTGTTAATTTTTTGTACTTACACTTTCAATATGTTTCACTCCAGAAGAACTAAAAAATCTAGTTCAATATGTTACTTGTTAGCTGTAATAAGTAGGAAAATTTGATTTGTAATAAATGATTTGGTATTACTGAAGACAGTTGTAAAAATCCTGTGTAAACTCTTAAAAATAGTGTAATTTAAAATTAATAATTTTATATCACCATACAAATTATTTTTTTATTTTTATTTTTATTTTTGGTTTTAAGGGGCAGAGAGTTCAATAGGCAAGACAAAAGGAAGAAGCTCCTCTGTACAGAGACAGAGGGAGGGGGGCTCCAAAGCCAAGAGAGGAGACCACACCAAAAACTATTTTTAAATTACCTCTATTAATTCAAATAAAACCTAATTAACATGATGGTTGTTATTTTCCCTTAGAGTCTTATATAGATTAGAAAGAACATAAGGAGCTACTCAAATCAGAGTATAAGAAATTTTATTTATCTAATCTATCCATCAACCTATCTCTTTCCATTTCTTCATACAACCGTCTATCCAGCTACCGTATATTTAATGCATTTATTTTACCTTTGAGAATAAAGCAAGTCCTATTCAGAACATATAAGACTAAAAATTCAACTTTCTAAATGTATTATCAGTGGTTATTATTCGTGAAAAGTGCCTTACAATTTCTACCCTGGAAAAGAAGTATTTTCTATTGTCTTAGCTCTGTAGTAACTAGGGGTTATGTTCTGCATATTAAAATTTACGTAAGACAGAAATATGACCCTGAATATTCAACAATGTATAACCCTAACACTTTAAAATGCTGAGTGTTTTTTGTATTATGTACAGTGAATATATTTATTTTGTAAGGTACAAACAGAAAGAAACAATAGAAAAACACTTTAAAGAAAGTGGATAGGTGACATTAATCAGCTATTAAACACTTTTATCATTTTGCACTAAGAAAGTTATTCCAAGGTTAAAAAATATTTATGGGAGGTGAGAGAGTCTTAGGAAACTTATTTGCTATAAGCTTTTAAATGTTTGGTTAGTGTTCTTTCAACAAAAGAAAATAATATCTCATTGACAGATAAAAATTTCAATAAAACAAATATAATTTTTTAAATTACTGATTAATTTTGCTCATCAATTTTGATAATTATACTGCCTTAATACTGGTTGACAAAAATTATGTGTTATCATGTAAACATACTCTATCAGGTCATAGGAGGATTGGTTCCAACTTTCTCAGAATTTAAGGTGTCAAAAAATCTCTATGCTGAATGATGATGTTAGTTGAGTTCTGAGATGCATGTTGATTCCATAAACAGAAATTACTTCAGTCACCCATTTTCAGTAGGTTAATTTCTACTTGTTTTAATGAATTCACACAAATTTTAGTCAAATTCATATGGCAGAATAAAACATTATAATTAACTAAACAGAAGCATAAAGGGATCAGTATTAGTAATTAGAAATAGCTAAATCAATAAACATTATAATTATTCTTCAAATGTTTTTTCCAATAGCTTGTGCAACTACAGAACATTAACTTATCTTAAAGTTTAGAATTTCTCAAATTCAACTAGAGCTGATCTATCAATATTAGTTTACATTTTTTGTTTTTTCTTAACCAAGAGTGACCTTGAAGCCTTTACCAATCAGGCCTATTTTACCTATGTTGAATCACCAAAGGAAACAAGGTCAAAACAAAGTCATTGAAAGTCTCACACCCTAGCATGCTACTCTTTGGGACTGATAAATAGCTTCAATTTTCTCAATTTCATGACAAAGAGAATTGGGGCAGTTCTGTGGAGATTCGTAAGAAACTGGCTGTAGCCAGATGAAAAATGATATTTCTTGTACTGTTATTGGCAAGGTTAAAGCTTTTTATAAATAAAAACTTAAGATTTTCTCAGAAGTTAGAGGCTGAGTTGTTTTGTCTAGGCGAATTGGACAATTAGAGAAACTTTATAAAGTATTAACTGTATTTAGAGATGTCTGAAAATGAACCTTAAATTCTTCAGAGTAACAGATACAATGTACCATTCTGAGATTTAGTTTCTTTATTGACTTAGTAGATATATAAGATGTTTTTCTTATGTAACAGGATGTAGTGAGTATCATAGTAGAGCCAACGGCATGTATAAAAATATTTAAATAGCAAAGATACATACAGATACAAAATGATCTAATTACAAAGAAAAAATAAGAAACATAGATATTGGATTTTAGTCTTGACTTTATGAATAACAGCTCACTTTACATTAACAGTCCCCTAAATAAGAGCCTCAGGCATTTCTCTGAAAAGTTATAGACTTAGAATAAATTATTTGCAAGCCTCTTCAAAACATTTTGCAAAATATGTTTGGATAAAAATAAGTAAATAAATAAAAAGTAGACTTATTTTGGGAGCTTTAGGACCTTGCCAAAAGAGGAATGACTTTCTTTTCTAGCTTATGTAGAACATAGCTCACGGAAATTTTATGATAACAAGTGACAAAGTTCACTCAAAGAATGCCCTATTCTTTGCATGGATTTCAATCCATGAGCATTCAACAACAACAATACTCAGTCCTCATCCATTTTGCTGTTGCTGAGGTAAATTTATTTATTTATATATTTATGTATGTATTTTTCTTTTTTTCTTTTTCTTTTTTTTTTCAGACGGAGTCTCGCTCTGTCACCCAGGCTGGAGTGCAGTGGCCGCCATCTCGGCTCACTGCAGCTCCGCCTCCTGGGTTCACGCCATTCTCCTGCCTCAGCCTCCCGAGTAGCTGGGACTACAGGCGCCCGCCACCACGCCTGGCTAATTTTTTGTATTTTTAGTAGAGACGGGGTTTTATCATGTTAGCCAGAATGGTCTCTTATCTCCTGACCTCGTGATCTGCCCGCCTCGGCCTCCCAAAGAGCTGGGATTACAGGCGTGAGCCACCGTGCCCGGCCGAGGTAAATTTATTTTAAAGGGTATGAGTAGTGGTGAAACGTGAGTTTCTCACCATTAGCCATACTCTTTGTTTCCAAAGATGGATGTTTTCTGCCTCTTTTTTTTTTTTTAACTTTAATCGGGGCAGAAATACTGAGCCATGATGATATGTTCCCTCACAATGTCCTTAACTTATCAGTCATTGAAGTATAGGCAATTCCACTGCCTAATTAAAAGATTAAAGTATAAAGAAGGGTAGCTCTTTGATTAAAATAATTCCAATAAGAATGTTGCAGTATATTACATGTATCCTTCCCTTATATGTTTAGAGATGTGTACTGTTTTTTAGAAATAATAGTCACAATTTATTATTCTTTATTTTACTCAGAAAAAATAAAGAACACTCATATTGCTAACTTTAAAAACTAATTTTACCAAGAAAAATGTTCTTAGGATATTCTGGTGGAGTGGACCAAGTAAAAAATTCCATTGTGATTGGCCCTTTTTTACATTAATTGTCAAGATTTCTGAGCATATTTGATTTTGATTTTTGTTTTCATTTCTAAAATAATTCTTATCTAACAAATAGTAAGTTCAGACTTTTAAAATTTCAAAAATATATTTTAGACATTATAGACATTTCAAGATAATTTTTTTAAAAATTAAAGTTAGGTTTCAGAGAAATGTTACCTAGTTTATTTGCCATATAATATTTACAGCAAATGCATCTTTTTAAATTAATTGATTTTTTAGTTTTAACTCCATATTTTATATTCAAGTTTAGATTTGGTTGATAATGCTGGCTATATAGCATTACTAAAATAGTAAATATTTGCTGTTTTTCAACCATCAATCATAGCTGTGGTATGGCAACTCTTGTAATATTGAAGGATTAGTAATTAAACTTGAGATGTTTAATTATGTGCATACAAACTTTAAAAAAAAAAGTGACCTTTGATATCATTCCCTACAAATAAAATTTCAGATCAGACAGACATACCAATCAATAACTTAGTGTTTATGGATCATCTACTTTGAATTAGAACTGGTAGTAAAGGATTCCACATGCTAATTAGTATTTAGAGAAGTTAATCTGCAGATGCATAAAACCATGCCTTTTCCATGCTGACTGGGATTAGGTGCACTGTCTGTAATTAGGTGCACAGTATTAGCATTAGCAAGTTGCTTCGTATGACTGAAACTGCAAGGGAAACCTGGAGACTAGAATTGGTGATTATTTCTTAATATTAGATATTGAACAATTAAATAGAGGACTAAACACAAGAGACTGGAGTCAGTGATTACTTTTTCACAGTGAACCGTTGAATAAAGGATTAGACACAGAAAAATAAAAAATTCCATTAAAACAGAAATTAATTGTACTATATTTGTTTATTAATAAAATTATAATATTTATTTAAATCTAGCATATTTTGAGAACTGCATTTCTATTTAATCTTATAATGATACTCAGGCTACATTACAGACCACAGCTTTTAAACATGTATTCGCCATCACATAAAAATATATCTCTAGCAAAATGTTATTTAAAACTTTATTTAGACGATTTATTTACCTAAAGTCTTTTATTATTTATATATAAGCTTTTTTGCATCATTTAACATAAAAATTTACCAAATTCCAATTTGCAATCATATATGTCTCCTATAGATTAAAAACTATAAGGTAAACATGAATTAAACTTGAAGATGACTATTTCTTTCACTATTGTTTATCTTTAATAACCTCATGGTATCAAATTTTTATGCTGAGTATATTTCAAAGAATATGAAATAATTACCCTTGTTCTTATTAGTGACATTTTATCTTCTAATTTTAATTAGATTATAATTTTGCTCTTGCCTTCAGATCTGTCTCCAGTGACCAGAAAATATACTTAAGGACTATTTGCTATGCTGCATGAATAAATACTGAGTATTTTGTGGAGACACAGGACTAGCATCTTTCTCTCTATGATATTTGTTTGTTTATTTTCTCCAGTTAATACTGATATCTGGCAATTATTCTGTACTTTTACCACTCATATGAGCACACTTTTCTTAAATTTCTTCTGTGAAAACATAAATTCACAAAGTTTTCTTATATTTAAAACACGAAAGATAGCACCAAGAAAAGAAAGCTTCATTTTGAAATGCTCAATTAAAAGTATTAGTTCTTGCATTTGCAAGAAACCCATCTTCTAAGAGATAAGTTTTTCTCCCACACGATTTTCCTATGAAATCACAAGTTGTGGGCTACTAACCATATCACATTTTAAAAAAATGCATTAAAATCTAATAATTCAAATTTGTCTCCAAGAACAAAATTATTCTATCCAGAATTCGATGCAAATTACAAACCTAAGTTTTAAAAAATTGTTAGCAATATGATATGGTTCTGATACTTTTACAAGCGATAGCATGGACAGTATCAGATGGGTTTACTGAAATTTTCAATTAACTGGAGAGGTTCGGGGTTATGGGCACAAAACCTATCATGGTCTCAAAAAGGGCACAAAAAGAACTAATAAAATATCCAGATTTATTTATCTTACCCCAGAAACAGTGTTTGTAGTAATTACTTTACACCTACTACCACCCATGGGGCTTTTATAATTCTTGCTATTGATGTTTTGAGAGCCTCTAGCTAAAATGAATTTCAAGTACCAGATTGGCTAGCAACCCTGCCATAACAGAAAGTAAAGGGGAGCTGAATGTGGGTTTTTACAGTGTGTCTATCACAGATATTTATTTCACCTGGCAGATAACCTGATGCCCAGTTCTCTGATCTGTGTACCAAGGGGTCCCTCACATGGGAAACTTGTTTATACTGGCAGATACCCTTGTAACTCTTGTCCGACCTGTGTCCATTTTATGCCTGCTTGACCAGTACTCTGATGCTGAGAGCCTGACCTCATGTTCGTCCTGATGTCCTAGATAAAACCCAGCCTGTGGCAGCCCTTAGTTCTTCATAAGGAGAATGCAAATTCAATACACCACAATGATAGAAAACAAGTTCAAAGATGCAAAAGTCTTCCACAAAATACTAGCAAACAGAATTCAACAACATATTAAAATGATCATTCACCATAATTAAGTGGGATTCATCCCAAAAGTGCAACGATGGTTCATCATATGTAAATCAATAAACATGATCCATCACATTAACAAAACCAAGAACAAAAACCATCCTTTTATGATGAAAACTCTCAAAAATCTGGGTATAGAACAAATATGCCTCAAAATAGTAAACGGTATATATGACAAACCCATAGTTAACATCATACTGAATGGAAAAAAATTCAAAGCCTGTACTTTAAAAACTGGAACTAGACAAGGATGCCCACTTCCACAACCCCTATTCAACATAGTACTTGGTATTCTAGCCACAACAATTAAAAAGAGAAAGAAATAAAGGATAGCCAAACTGGAAAAGAAGTCAAATTGTTCTGCTTTGCAGATGACACAATCTTATATATAGAAAAAACTAAAGGCTGTACTAAAAAACTATTAGAACTGGTAAACAAATACAGTACAGTTGCAGGAAATAAAATCAACATACAAAAATTATTAGTGTTTCTATACAGCAATAATGAACTAGCCAAAATTAAAATCAAGAAAGAAACCCCACTTACAATAACTACAAAAATAAAATAAAAATCTAGGAATAATTTAGCCAAGGAGGTAAAAGACCTCTACAGGGAAAACTGCAGAACACTAATGAAAGAAACCGAAGAGGGTACCAGCAAATGGAGACATCCCATGCTTACAAATCAGAAATTAATATTTTTAATTGACTATATCACCCAAAACAATCTACAGATCTAATGAAACTTCTATCAAAACATTAATGACACTCTTTCTGCCATGTGAGGTTACAATGGGAAGCTGACAGTCTGAAACCTGAAGAGGGCCCTCAGCAGAACCCAACCATGCTGTTAATCTGATTCTGGGCTCCCAACCCCCAGAACAGTGAGAAATAATTGTCTTTCATTTATAGGGATAGGAGGCAGGACCAAATTGCAGCTCCCACTTGGACAGACAGAGCAGCATTTGGAAACATATCGTGAACTTTTGCTCCAAGAACGACTGCAGGAACATACCAGGAAAGCCGAGAGAATGCACAGACCCTTTGAAGGAAGTGGATTGCTCCTGCAGGCCCCAGCAGACAGCCCCCAAACTGAGAGTGCTCAAAATGTGAAGGTGTGAAAAGAGGATTGTCTGCTCCCAAATAAACACCTTCACTGGGGAACCTGAAAGTCCAGATTATGAGAGAAGGATTTGACCTTACCTGGAGCTGAGACCATTTAGAGAGCTGAGCAAAATGCAGGTGTAAAGAAGCAGTGGAAGAGCACGGTAAGCTCTCCCAGTCCCCAGGGAAGCAATTTCTGACGTTGTCTTGCATAGATCCTTGGGGAGGGCTGCCAAAGGAACCGGGAAGAGACCACAGGGGGAAGGAAACTTCCACTTGAACTTTGTAACAATATCGAACCAAGGTGAAGTTTCCTGGGCAGAACTCAGAGGAGGCAGTGAATCTGGAGTGCAGACACAGCACATAAGCTGCAGCAGGCAGGGAAGCAGGAAACCTGAAAGCCCTGTGTGCCTTCACAGTTAGGAGGCTGGTAGCCTGGGGCAAGTTCTCAGCCCTGATCACCCACTGCTGGGAGAAAAACTCCTGGCTGTTGTGGCAGGCATGGTGGGAGTGACACTGGCCTTTTGGGCTGAGTGGAAGCTGGGTGAAGCCTGTAACTGCTGGCCTTGCCTCACTTCCCCGGCCACCTACATGACACAGCAGAGGCAGCCATAATCCACATAGGAACATAATTCCATTAACTTGAGAACCACACCTTCACCCTCAACAGCTAAGACATGCCTAACCATGCCCCCACCTGAAAGTTTTTCTGTACTATCTCTTCCCTGGTAGCCAAAGACAAAGGATATATTCTCTTGGGAGCTCTAGGGCCCCACTCACCACCTGATCCTCTTTATACTATCACAGCTGATGCTTTCTTGAAAGTGGTAGCTCCTGGCAGGAGGCCAACCAGCACAAAACTAGTGCAATAAACAAAACTACAACTAAGGACCCTCACAGAGTCCATTTAACTCCCATGCCACCTTCACCAGAGCAAGTGCTAGTATCCACAGCTGAGAGACCTGAAGATGGTTCAAATCACAGGACTCTGTGCAGACACTCCTCCAGTAGCAGCCTGAGCCCAGTAGCTCTGCCAGGTGGCTAGATCCAGAAGAGAAATAACAATCACTACAGTTCAGCTATCAGGAAGCCACAAAAAAGGGGGAGAGCACTACATCAAAGGAGTACCCCATGGGACAAAAGAATCTGAACAGAACAGCAGCCCTTGAGCCCCAGATCTTCCTTCTGACATAGTCTACCAGAATGAGAAGGAACTAGAGAAACAATTCTGATAATATGAAAAAACAAGATGTTTTAACACCCCCAAAAGACAACATTAGCTCACTAGCAATGGATCCAAATGAAGGAGAAATCACAAATTACCAGAAAAAGAATTCAGGAGGTCAATTATTAAGCAAATCAAGGGGGCACCAAAGAAAGGTGAAGTCTAACTTCATGAAATCAAAAAAAGATACAAGATATGAAAGAAAAAGTCTTCAATGAAATAGCATAAATAAGAAACAATCACAACTTTTGAATATAAAGGATGAACTTAGAGAAATGCAAAATGCTCTGGAAATTCTCAGCAATAGAATCAAACAAGCAGAAGAAAGAACTTCAGAGCTCAAAGGTAAGTTTTTTTAAATAACCCAATCCACCAAAGAGAAAGAAAAAAGTATCAAAAAAAAAATTAGCAAAGCCTTCAAGAAGCTTGGGATTATGTTAACTGACCAAACCTGAGAATAATTGGTGTTCCTGAGGAAAAAGAGAAATTTAAAAGTTTGGAAAACATATTTGAGGGACTGATTAATCAAAGAAAACTTTCCCAGCCTTGCAAGAGATCTACACATCTAAATACAAGAAGCTCAAAAAACACCTGAGAAATTTATTGCAAAAAGATCATCACCTAGGCACATAGTCATCAGGTTATTTAAAGTTAAGACAAAGGAAAGAATCTTAAGAGCTGTGAGGAAAAAGCTCCAGGTAACCTACAATAGAAAAGCTATCAGATTAACAACAGTTTTATCAGCAGAAACCTTACAAGCTAGAAGGGATTGGGGTCCTATCTTCAGCCTGCTTAAGCAAACAAACAATAACTATAAGCCAAGAATTTTGTATCTAGTGAAACTAAGCTCATGACATTCAAATTCTTATTGCTTTAACAGACCTATAGAAGTCTTGATCACTGCCTAAAGTAGCCTTTAAACTAATCCACTCTCCATAATAAATTTTAAATACTTTACATATTGTAATGCGCTTTTATGAAGTATAAATGGGAAATGATTTTGGATTATTTTAATGTGTTAATTTGACATGTAAGTAAGTGGTTTCTTTAAAATTTCATTTCTAACATCAAAACATTTACTTAAGAATTAAAAACATTTTATTAAATATCTCCTATATAGCAACTCTGTTCTATGGACTTAAAATACACAGATATTCAGGACAGGCTTAAATTTCAGTGGACAGAGATCAAATAACCAAAGCAAAACCAAATAAGGGCAATTACATTAATAGTTCAGGTACTTACAAATGCACTGAAGAAAATAAGAGACAGCAGTATAACAAGAAAATGATTGCAGTGGTAAAGAGTGTTGGGCACAGCATTATAAAGGGTTGTCAAGGAGGAGGTAATATAAGAGTTGAGCTGAGAATAAAAAAATAGGACCCTGTCATAAGAAGAACAATCCAGGAAAAGTGAATGAAAAGTAAGCAAATAGAGTCTGAGGTTGGAACAAATGTTTCACATATGAAGAGCATTAAGGCCACTGTCACTGAAGCACATTGAGTTAAGCACAGAGTGACATAACATCAGATTGGAGAAGCAGAGTGGTCCATCCCGCTTACGAAATTAATACATGATAAAGTGTTTTGATTTTATCACATGTTAAACAAAAGAGCAAAAGAGTATCTAAAAGAAAGAAAGGACAAGATCTCTTACATTTTTAAATATTATATAACAGCTCAATAGAAAATATAACTGAAGTTTCTGGTTAAAAATTCTTTCTAGACTGTCATTTAACTCACGGGAGCTTCACAACAATTTAAGATCAATTCTATGATTAAATTCCACTTATTATAGTGAAGTTTTCCAAATAATTAACAGTCACATAATAATCAGGGACACTGCTAATTTGTAGGTCCCATTTTGACTGCAAAGGTTCTTACATTAGATTTGGATGTTAAATTTAGAAAGGGGATTATGTGTGCTAATCATAATGACATAAAATAATACTATCCTTCACTAGAATCCTGCCCACTGATTATACTTGGTGATTTCTCACAGAGAAATAGGTTTTTCTTCCTTTTAATTTCTTACATTGTGCAAATGGGTTTCAAAATGAGAGAGTTACAAAGACGGGCGAGTTGTATCGATGACTAACAGGTATGGTGACTAGGGAAAGGAGTAATGACTAATATAATGAGTAGTGACTAGGGATAATTGCTTATTTATAACCATAAAAAAACTAAGTATATTTTTAACACACAATAGGGGGCAAAGAAAATAAGTGGGTGTGCAGTTTCAGTTTGTAACAATATATTGACAAGGGATCATGACTGGAACATTTCTTGATTTCTTACATGAAACTGGGCAATGCTTTGGGAAAGCTCTGTGAAGGAATGATTCAACTTCAGAAGATAAGAAAGTGATGACTCCCATGAAATTCATCTGGTGTAAAGGAAGAAACCATATACTCACAGCCCCATAGAATTTCATGGCAGAATGGAATGGTTAAGATGACTGACTTCAAACCTTTAGTTTTCAGGTGAAGAGACTGAAGATTTATATCTCAGTATTCTTTATAATACAAAATTTTAGTCTGGTTTTCATAGGAATCAGAAGATCTGAAAAAACAGGATATTTCCATTAATTTTTCCTACTTATTGTAACGGAAGAAAAGGGTTTTCAAATAAAATATGAAGTGGTATTTAGGAATTAAAATGATAGGAAGAAATATACTTGGTAGGCTGGGTGAAATCCACAAGACCTGATGTATCAGTAAGTAACTGTGAGAGAATGTCAATAATCTTAAATTGTGTCCGCTGAATAATCTAAAAGTTCTTTATTATTTATTGAGCATGAAAATCTATAATTTTCTATTACAGAATATTGTGCATTCACAACATGTAATAAGAAGAACACTCAAGAAAGCAAGATCAAGATTTCCTTAACAGTTACAATGTCAATAAAGAAATTATTCTCACTTCAGAATACCTATCATCACATGGTTGTTACGAGGTTTCAATGTTAAAATGAATTCAGAAGTTATAATAGTGATAGGCTTATGTTACTGGACAGTGGTCCGGATCCACACCCCAGGAGAGGTTCTCGGATCTCACGCAAAAATAATTCAGGGTGATACAGTAAAGTGAAAGCAAATTTATTAGGAAAATAAAGGGATAAAGAATGGCTACTCCACAGACATAGCAGCCTTGAGGACTGCTGGTAGCACATTTTTATGGTTTTTTTTCATGATTATATGCTAAACAAGGGGCAGATTATTCATGCCTTCCCTTTTTAGACCATATAGGGTAACTTCTTGACTTTGCCATGGTATTTGTAAACTGTCATGGCACTGGTGGGAGTGTAGCAGTGAGAACAACTGGAGGTCACTCTCGTCTCCATCTTGGTTTTGGTGGGTTTTAGCCATCTTCTTTACTGTGACCTGTTTAATCAGCAAGGTCTTTATGACATGTGTCTTGTGCTGACCTCCTATCTTATCCTGTGACGAAGAATGCCTTAACCTCATGGGAAAGCAGCACAGAAGGTCTCAGCCTCATTTTACACAGCCCCTACTCAAGATGGAGTTGCTCTGGTTTACCTGCCTCTGAAACCTATAACATTTGAGAACTTTGTCTTTTATTTCAATAATATCAGCAAATAATATGTTAGACTATCTATTATGTAGGAAATTTTGTGATATAGTAATATATTTATGCTTTTAAAGTGATTTAATCATAAAAGTACAATTTTACATCAGATTATGCAACTTAGATATAAATATCAATCCAAAGTCAACAAAGATCAATTGTAATTGCTTGAGTAACAATTTTTAAAATACTTATGTCATTTGGAAATAGTATCTCGTTTAACAGTCATAGAAACCTTGCCAGATCCAAAGAAAATGTATTATTGTTTTCACTTTCTAGGTGAGGACATAACTTCAGTAATTGCAGTCCATAATAACCCTGGAATCAGGGCTTCAGTTCTGCCTTCACTATCTTGCATTGAAATTTAAGATTAATATATTCACATTGCTTGAGGCAAAAAGCAGACACATCTCATGTCTATCAAGATTTTTATGCTTTTTGGTTAACTTTATCAAAATTAACATTATGCTGATTTTTTAGGTAAAGAGATGATAAAATAACTATTTCCTTAGGCATTTTCTAGCGTTTGGAAGGTCACTTGAGAGGTCTTATGCTGCATAGGCCCAGGTTTTGGACTATATTCACAAATATAAAAATACCATCCTTTGGATAATGTCTGGGAATGTTGCTCATCTATGAGTGGCACATTCTCCTATCCAACTCCCTAATTGAACTTCTGCTTTAGAAGACATTGTGCTGTCTCTTGGTAGTAATGACCTTGTCCTAGAAGAGATGTTTCCTAAATAGAAAAAAAGAAAAGCACTCAAATAATATCTGTAGATAGTATAAAAATGTAATATATTTTGAAAACAAGATTTTTTTTGTTATCTTTGTTTCTGTCATGCATTATTCTGTTCAGAATAAGTATAGTGAATATTTATATTTTTATTTTAGAATTTTATATTAAAATTGCAGAAATGTCTAACTAAATGCATTAAAAGTAAAATTCTTGTTAGCTAATGACCAGTTTGATCCAGTCTTTTTCACTAGATGGATCTACTTGTGATGTAAATAGAAAGTTAGAGAAATAGGCAAACAGCAAGTTCCAGTCAATTTTATTCACAGGCAGCTGAAAGTTGGATTTGCATCAGAATATTTTACAGCCTTCCTAACAGCCTTTTAGAAGTTAATCCAGTTTTCACCACAATAAACTTGCATAGTCTTTGAAATATTGAGACACAATTCCCTACATAAACATTTGTTATAGTAAAAAATTTTTCAGAAAAGAAATACAAAACAAACTATGAGATAAGCTGATACATCAATGAACAAAGAACAAGATTCGTGGAATGTCATTCATGATCTCATGAATAACATTCAACATCAAGATCTTCATGATCAAGTGGTCAAGTTCACTTAGGCAGCTTCAGGGTCTTTTGTCAAGGCTGAAATATATTTTTTTTTACAGAAGTCTTAGACAGCATTCACTGTATTACTTATTTCATCCATGCTACAGTTCTACAGAGCAAGAAAACATATTGTCCAGTTAGAAACAGAAAGAAAAATATAAGACAGCAAAAATTTGTTGAACTTATCTTTTTATTAATGGAAAAAATATAATAAAATACAAATCCTTACACATTAAATTGTTTAAAAAAATACATTGTGTATAATCCAGTTTTTTAAAAAAATACTATCTTGACCCAGATTTGAAGCCCTAACTAGTGGCTGCCAGTCAATGTCCCTCCTGAGTAGCCAATTAAGTTCCCCCTCCAATACCTTCCCTTCTCAGGCTTTCACACTTCAGGACCCCTATACACCCACCTTCATCACCCCTAGGGCCACATACCAGACACTCAGAAATAGCCTCTGTGTGCCTGAGAGTGGGACATTATCCAAATTAGATAAATCCACAAAAAGCCCCACAGGAACCTAGCTAACCCCACCCTATTTGCCATAGATAGGCTGCCCCTACAGCTCCAGGTTGCTGTTGCCCTGTCCCTCCATGCAAGCCCCTGTGAGATACTGCCTGGCAGCCTTCTCTCTTTTGGAACTCTAAGTAGCACAAATTCTGCTTTTTATCTAAGTGTCATTGTGTTGTTTTCCACCATCAAACAAATCTTTAAAGCTTATAAAATATTGTGGTGTGGCATCACATGTAATGACTGGACCAAGACACAAAATATATAAATCTCAGTGAAGGCTCTGCCATTTATTAGGTAGATGATGTGTTGCAGATACAACACTTGGATCTTCACTGAAGCCATATTCTATAAGGGAGAGGTTAGGCTGTACCAATGCCTAGACTATAATTATCAGGAGGAAATCATCCTGTTTTAATATCCAGAGTGAGGATTCATAAACTGGTGTATATAGATATACATGCATGCACAAATGCAATTAAAGGGAAATAATACACCAATTTTAGGTTACCAAATAAATTTATAGTCTCACTAAATATCGGTATCATTGAAATATCTTTAACCTGGGAAGTGATTTTTTACCTAAGATATTATGAAGGAAGAATATAAGAATTATTGAATCAGAAATATTGGAGACAAACAAAATTTAAGATATAATTAATTTATGTACAACATGAATATAAAAATTATTATTAACTTCTTCTTGTTACCTAGAAAAGATCTTATAAAAGGTCTTAGTTAAGTGTGACCTAGAGACTCTATTATCCTGATACTATTAATCTTCAACTTTTCCATAAACTGCCCTGTTAATGTTAATGCTCTTTTAGGTTTTTTATATCATTCTTGACCCATTTGAAGAGGGCTTCTGATTTTCAGCTATTAGTGTTGTTTTAAAAAACGTTCAGTTGCTTCATTGACACAATTTATTTAAAACAAAACTCCATCAAGTGTTTTGTTTAAATAGCTTTGCTTCTCACTAATATAATAAGAAAATAGCTTCCAGTAATCCATTACTCTGAGGAAATTAATTCCATGCTTCTTTATAGAGAGAGATGCTATTGTGTCCTAATTCGTAGAAATTTAAGAAAATTCTATGCTAAGTCCTACTGTTTTGTGTTCTAAACTGCTGCTTTACTACTCCCTACTTGCCATGAAAAAGTAATAATTTGCACATTCTATATAAACTGAGAAAATAATAATTATTAATGTAAATATTAAGATAATGACAGTTCTTTTACAGTTATGCATTTTACTGCCTTTATACATAAATGCTAACATCAGCAATTGTCAAAGTTTACTATTTGGCTATTTAGCATAATAACAAATGGTTTATTTTGCTCAAACTCTTAGCATCTCAATTACCTATAAACCTCCTTTTGCCTTCCAAGTGTTTCCTAATAAAGGTAAACCATAGATTCTGATTTTCATGATCTAGGCGAGCCCAAGGCCTATCAAAAAAAATGAAAAAAGAAATTTAATAAGAGAACAACCACGTTAAACTGGCTCATTCAGACAGATACGTCATCAGTGCAGTGGGAACTAGAAATAAGCATCACATTGTATGTTCTGAAAACCATTGAACTGATACTTTTGTTAAAAATGGTCCTAGAACTTTAGTGTCTTGATAAATAGTATAACAGAATAAATACAGATTTTCTCAGGATGATGTCTCATGAATCTTAGGACTCACAAATTACCAATATATAAAGTTCTAGGGAAATTAAGAAATTAATCTCTCTCTCTCACACACACACGCACACATACACACATGCACAAACACACATACACACACAAATAAAAATTACAAAATATACATAATTACAAAATTACAAAATAACCAGCAGCAAACAGCAAAGGAATATTTGAAAAAGACTTCAGATAAAGGAATTGCCAGACACATAATTCAAATGGTTCAGAAATAATAGGAACTTGAACACACAAGTAACAATTTTCAAAATAACTAAAATAGGCTTTATAAATAAAATAAAGTAATAGACATGTAAAATTTAATGTATCAGTTTAACTACAAGTTGATATATTGGGAGATAATAGTAAACCATTAGATAAGTCTACAGAAATTATGCAGGATGCATCAGAGATTTTTTTTTTTAAGTAAATGAAAATATGAACAAGCTCTTAAGAGACCTGGAGGAGAGGATAAAATGAGAAATGGGGTTGTAGAAGGACAAAAACATTAATTATTCAGATATATCATTAAGAGATGCATTCACCAAGAGTTTTTCAGAAGTAATAAAGTACAACAGTTTACATAGTCACATAGCCAGTTAAATCTAAGTAATATTAATAAAAAAACTTCAGACCTAGAGATATCAAGGTAATGGCTTATAACACGAGACAAACTGATAATCATAAAAATAGCGGAAACCAATGCCTGTTTAACTGCAAAAATGCAAAAATAATACATGTAATTTTAAGAGCAACAATCAAAGTCAGTGGAGTGATTTTGTAAACTTGTGGAAAAGTAAAAGCATGCTGTTTATCTAGAATGTTATACTTAATTATATTATTTAAGAATTACGAGAAATCAAGAATAGTTTTAAAACAAAAGTAGGGCTGGCCTCCAACAAACCTTCATGCATGGGAATTCAAAATGTTGTACTACAACAGGAAGGAGAAAATGATACCAAATGAAAATTTTCTGATAGAAAAAGCAAGGATAGCACAGTAGTAATTAATTGGAATTCATGATAGACCTTAGACATTTTAAAGATGTTTTTAGAGTTTAGATGTGCAACAAAAACATTAGTAAATATTAGAATGACTTAAATACGTGTATTAACATTCTTAGCATATTTATAAAAATTGAAATACATGTAAATATTTCCAAATAGTAAAGTTTGTATGAAAAATCAAAAAACAAGGAAAAGTAAACCTAGAAAATGCGTAGGAAAAATAGAAAGCATAAAATAAGATGACATCAATAAATACAAATATCTATAATAAATTTGAATGGTGAAAATATTATAACTCTTATTCACTAGTATAATGAAGTCCTCACTAATGAATAAAAAAAGAAAGATAAAGGGTATACAGATTGAAAAGGAGGAAATAAAATTGTCATTGTGGATGACATGATCAATTACACAGAAAAATCCTCCCAAATTTACCGGAAAAAAACCTTCCTGGAATTAATAAGTGATTATTGCAAGGTTGCAGGATACAAATTAACATACAAAAGACATTTCCTATATGCCAGAAAAGAACAATTGGAATTTGAATGTGGAAACAAAAGCACCATTTGTATTAGCACCAAAAAAAATGAAGTGTTTAGGAATAAATTTAACAAAATATGTATAAGATCTACATAGGGAAAACCACAAAAAGGATGAAAGAATAAAGACTATCTAAATAGATGAAGAGATAGTTCATAGTTATGAATAGAAAGCCTCAGTATTGTTAAGATATCAGTTCTTTCCAAATTAACTCAAATTGAAACATCTTGATTCAGTGTAATCGCAATCAAAATCTCAGCAAATTATTTTGTAGTTGTCAACACACTGATTCTAAAGTGTGGTTGAAAAGATAAAACAGCCAATACAGTAATGAAGAAGAAAGTCAGCAGAGTGACACCAAGAAACGATAAAACAGCCAATACAATATTGAAGAAGACTAAAATCAGAGGAGTGACACTCCCTGATTTCAAGACTTATTATAAGGCTATAATAATGAAGACAGTGTGGTATTGGCAAAAGAAAGGACAAACAGATCAATTCATTAGTGTCAGTAGCTCAGAAATAGATCCACACAAATATAGTCAACTGATATTAACAAAGAGCAGGCACATGGTCTCAGAACCTCCTGAGGGCTGTGTCGTGAAAAAAGAAGCCAAACAAAAAACAAACAAACAAAAAACAAAACAACAAAACAAAAGAGTGAAGGCAATATAAAAGAGTAAGTATAATATTTTAAATAAGTAGTGCTGAAACAACTGAATATCCACATGCAAAAATTTAATCTAGACACTGTATTAACATCCTTAAGAAAACAAAACAAAATACTTCAAAATGTATTATAGAACTAAATCTAAAACACAAAACAAATTTCTAGAAGATAACGTAAGAAAAAATCTAGGTGACTTTGTGTTTAGTGATGAAATTTTAGATGTCATACCAATAGAATGCTCCAAAAACGAACAAACGATAAGCTGGATTTCATTAAAATTAAAAAACCTCTACAAACGACACTGAAGAAAGAATGTAAAGACAAGACCATCTGAGAGAAAATACATGTAAAATACACGTCTGATAAAGGACTTGTATCCAAAATACACAAAAAATACTTAAAAGTCAACAATGAGAAAACAACCCCATTAAAAATGGGCAAAAGATTTAGACAGGAACTAATCAAATAAGATACACAGATGTCAAATAAACATATAAAATTATGTGTGATTCCTATGTCATTAGAAAATTGCAAATTAAAAACCTAATTATACCACTGTACAGCTATTAATTGGCTAAAATCCCAAACACTGACAACACAAAAAACAGATCAGAATGTACAACACTAGGAACTTTCATTCACTGCCAGTAAGAATACAAAATAATACAGCCACTTTGGAAGATATTTTGGCAGTATTGTACAAAACTAATAATACTCTTACCATACAATTTAGCAATAGAATTCCTTAGTATTTACTTAAATGAATTGAACACTTATATAACACAAATACCAACACACAAATGTTTATTACAGCTTTCTTAACAATTGTCAAAACTTGGAAGCAGCCCAGATGTCCTTCAATATGTGAATAGGTAAACAAATTGTGATACATCTATACAATTGAATATTATTCAGTGATCTGAAATGAGCTATCAAACCATGAAAAGACACAGAGAAAAAGTAAAGACACATCACTTAGTTTTAAATGCCAGTCTGAAATGGTTACATACTTCACAGTTCTAATATTACATTCTAGAAAAGACAAAACTACAGAGGCAATAAAAAGATTGTTAGTCACTGGGTGTCAGTATTGAAGAAGGATGAACAGGTGAAGCACAAGGAAATTTTAGAACAATGAAATTATTCACAATGATACTGTAAAGGTTAATGGTAGACACATGACATTATATACTTGTCAAAACCCATGGAACAATACAACACAAAGAGTGAGTCCTTATATAAGTTATCAGTTGTTACTACAACTAATGCAAGATGTCAGTAGTAAGAGAGGTATATAGGAATTATCTACATTAAGTGTTTAATTTTCCATAAACAAAACTGATTAAAAAATAAATTTTATTAATTAAAAAAATACTCCAAACAACATATACAAATACATTTGAGCTTCCCAACAAAAATTAACATAAAACTGCATATTTCTATATAAATAGAATTTAATAGACAAATCACATACAATTTATTAATAATCAAGAAGTCTGTTGTTACCAGATTGAATTAAAATTTTATGTATCGTAAAAGATCAAAAACTCATTAAAGAATATAAATATTCAAATAAATTCCTCTTAAAAATGCATTGGGACACTATCTGAAACTTTAAAAGCAATAGGCATAATATTTAAATGGTCCTGTATGATAGATACGAAGAGAAAATCTACCCATTCTGATACTATAGTTCTAAAACAAAAGAGAAAAGTAGCAAATCAATTATGTACCTCAATAGTACAAGAACAGTACCACATTTCAAGAATACTGCTTTAATCAAGAATGGAAAGATAGTTTGATATAGGAAAATATTTTAATATATTTCATGGGTCTAGTAAGAGAGCAAACACAGATGCGCTTCATGAGAAAAAAACACATTTGACAAAATGCATCATATTTATCATTGCCAAAATAAAGCCTTAAAAGTTATCTTTAGGAATATATTTCATTAAAAATACAAACATTGTAAAATTGGGTTGATATTTGACATTTCAAGATGAATGCTCAAGACCTTATATTTATATGATACATAATGTTTTCAAAGATTCAGTTAGGTGATATCAAATACAGTGTGGCAGCCCATGTTCCTAAAATTTTTACCACTTACTTCATAAAAAAAATCTATTAGTACTATCAACTCTTAAGACTACTCATTTCCATTTTTATCTGTTATAGGTATGTATCTATTCTAAGAATTTGAATGATTTTGCTGCCTCAGAATAACATATTTAGTGTTAAGAGCATAAGTATATTAATAAGTAAAAATACAACTATAATATTTTAATAGAAATAAGAATGTTTAGAGTAGATTAATGAATAGTAACATTTTGCTACTTTTTTTGCTTACTGATATATTCTTCATTTCTAGATTTGTTCTTGGAATATAGTATGTTCACATTAATTTATGTTGAATGGATAAATTGATTATCAATGGCTGGTAATATTAGCGACTTTAACATTGATTTATTTGTTAAGCAATAATGTATACATTGTAATATTAGCCAGTACATTTGGCTAAATCACATGAAATTTTCAATATTTTATCTGTTTTATATCTTGATACTAATATTGTGACTAGGTTGGGTGAATCTTCTGATTACATAATAAAATAATATGTAGAATCACAAAGTTATGCTAATGTGACTAATTGGGTTCCTGCAAATACATTACAATGTATTCTACTCAAATCAATCAAGTTTTTAAAAATTTTGCTCTATTATATGGTACACATTTAAAAAATTATAGTTCCAGTTCTACTTTTCTAGACCCTTCCTGTAAACTTTTTAATGATCTGTCTTTTAAAATTATAGGCTTCCTCAACCAACTATAAAAAGTAGACAAGGAAAGAGAATGGCCAGCATCTCTGGCCATTCCCAGATGCTTCTATGAGAACTGGTGGTTCGTCAGAGCCTAGCCACAGTTGACTACAAATGTATCATTTTAAGTTTAATCAGCAACCATGTTTTCTTCACGTTGGTCTGAGGAAAGAAGACATGACTTAGCAAAGACAGTAAGGGAACATTGAAACAGATAAGCCTAGGCAGGCAGAGAGAAAGGATGAACAGTGCCTGCTTTCCTAATTCTAGTTCTTGCTGAGGTCAATGTGTGCTGCTGCCTGTTTTTATGAGATTTCTCCATAGTCTTATAATAAATATTCCTTTCTCCCTGGGCTAAAGTTGCTCTTCTTCATTTGAAATCAAAACAGTCCTAAGTTTTTGTCTTATCACATAAGAAACCTAATAAAGTACAATAGAGACTGGAGGGTATAATTAATTACACTCCCCTGTATCTACTTTGTTCTGTATCTGACAGCTATCTAAAATAGTGTTTTAATTATTCTTTGATTTGCATTTTGCTATTAAATAAACCACCAAGAAAAATCATCCCGTATAAAAATGATGAAGCATTAAATAAATCACTGTAGCTAGTGATTTTTAAAATGGAGATATTTTTCTTAGTGTATTTTAAAATTTGGTATTAAAATCTTTTTTCTCATGGAACTAGAATGATATGCATGTGTGTGTGCAAGCAAAAATGACTAATATTGAGACATATCATTAAAGTTGCATAGCAACAGTTTACCAAAGAATTATAGAAATGATAATAAAACTTAAAAATTGAGGCCTCAGATTTGCAAATAATAGATTATAAATTCAGCTTTTTAAAATCCAGGCAGCAATGGTCAGAGAATCAGGGAATTCACAACTCAAGGAAGAGAGTTTTAGCTTTGTTATTTCAGAATAATTAATAGGGGAAGTACATTTGGAGAAAAAGAGCTTATATGCTCAAGTAGATGTGGTAAGCAACAAATGAGTACATTAACTAAATAATGTTAATTACACAGAAAGGCGCATAAGCTAGACTTATTTTTTTTAAGCTGTGCAAGAACAAACAAAAATACAGTTTAAAGGACAGAGGCTTTGAAATTACAAAAATATGAGTTGCCACCTGACAACAAACAAATCTAGTTTATGAGCATAAAGTAAAGAAGTAAAATATATGGCTTGGTTTTCTTTGCCTAATTTATAGATGCAAATGCAGGATTATGTATCCTGTAATTTTAGATTAAGGTATAGAATATAAAATGTTATCCATAATAACACTACAAATATGTAAAAACTAAGTATGAGTGAATTTCTTTATTTAAAAATAAAATGGAATTGTAAAAAAGTTACATCTTTAATTTATTGCATTTCTGTTATTTTAATGTTTTACAATAAATTAGCATTTTTAGAAATCAAGAAATATAAGAAAATTTACATCTGATAAATATTGTATGTTAGCATTTTATAACAATAATCATATCCATCAGTTTTTATTATGTCCTTCCTCAGAAGTAAAGAAACTGAGACCCAGAAAATATATGTTTTTTTCTTCGTTATTTTTTCCAAAGAACAAAATCAGGTGGCAACTCACATTTTTGTAATTTCAAAGCCTATGTCCTTTAAACTGTATTTTTTCCCCTTCAGAAAGCATGCCTATCTAAATGTGGACACTGTAATATGATTTTATGATAAAATCAGAATGAAAGTGGAAAAATTTGACACAGTATAAAAGAGGAGGAGGACAGCATTTTCAATATATTTTCTGATTGAGAACAGGGAAAAGATCATTTGTAATGTTGTAGTTCTATATTATTTCAGTGTTGCCATTATAAAAATTGGTAAAGTTTCAATTTTGGGGGTTGTTTTTTATTCTTTTGTTTGAAAAATCTGTGGAATTCTTATATAATTTATTTCAATGCCACGTGCTCTGTCATCTAGATCATTATATTTCTGCAAATAACAAAACAAAATATACTATTATAATAACTTTCAAATACTGGTTAAACAAAAATCTGTTACAAAAATGGAGTTTACAAACTTCATCAGAATATTCAAATATAATTTTAATTAATATAAAGACAAATATTAGTTTTCTCTTCCATATTCCTGGCAAAAAATATCACTGACACTGGGTACTTAATAATATTAAAAACAAAAATCCAAACAAGCAAAACTACTTATATGACGACTCATAGATTTTTTATTAGTTACGTAACTTAATTAAAATTCTCTATTTTTCCAGATTTATAATTTTCAACTTCTACTTTTATGTTACCATTAAACATGCTATTTCTAGCAATGTAATTTTTAAAATGAATTTAGTGGAACAGATGCTACTTTAAATTATCAAAAGCTATATTTTATTTAATAATGGTCACCATTCATTGATTTCACTAGGGTCTCTAGTTGTGCTTTATACACATTTCAGTTTAGTTTTGTTGCTTCAATTCCATTTATCTTTTTTTTGCTTGTTTGTTTCTTAAAGAAGCACTCCATTTCCACATGCTCTACAATAATAGCTTCTGCCATCAACTGATGACAAAATGTCTTACATTCCAAGTAATTTCACCATGTCTACTGGACATACATCCTTTTCCTTTTGTTTATCACAGTTAAATTTCACAGGATGTATCTTTTCTTACTCTTCTTTTCTTATTATTTATATGCACAGACTAGCAAGCTTAGAGCTCACTATTATTTGAGATCTCTTTACAGCTGATACTGCCTAAATAATATTACCTATGGCACACAGAAAAAAATTCTAAGAGGTTAAGGTTGATACGATAAATCTGAGGTTCATGCATACAGAGACGAATGGCACCATTCTTTTGTAAACCTTTAGCTTCTTTTGGAGTTTAATATAACATGGATGTCAGATTGTTGGCCTTCCAAAGGACATGCTGAGATTTTTGATTCACTTCTCTGGTTCTTGTCTATTAATAAATTTTTTGACAGCATCTTGCTGAGTAGCAACATTCAGTGACAACTTTCAGATATGTGTTGCCAAGAAACATTCTGAAAGCATGTAGTTTTCATCTGGTACAATTTAAGGCATGACTTTGTCATTTTGTATGTGTGTGTGTTTGGCAAGAACAGTTAACACGAGATCTACCCTCTTAAGGATTTTTTTTTTTTTTAGTGTATATTAAACTATTGTTAACCTTACGCACATTGTTGTACAGCAGATATTTAGATCTCATTCATCTTACATAGTTAAAACTTTATACTCTTTGATTAAAAACTCCACATTTCCCCCCTCCACCATTCTACTCTTGGCAATCACCATTCTACTCTCTGCTTCTTTGAGTTTTGCTATTTTGGGCACTTCATTTAAATGGAATCATTAAGTATTTGTCTTTCTGTGACTGGCTTATTTCACTTAGTATAATGTCCTCAAAGTTTGTCCATGTTGCCACACATTTCAGACGTTCCTTCTTTTTTAAGTCTAAGTAATATTCTACTATATCTATATGCCACATTTTCTGTATTCATTTATCTGTCTATGGACATTTAGGTTGCTTCTACCTCTTGCCTATTGTGAATAATACTGCAATGAGCATGCAAGTGCAGACATCTTTTTGAAATCTTGATTTAAATTGTTTTGGATAAATATCCAGAAATGGGATTACTAGATCATATAGTCATTCTATTCTTAAATTTTTGAAGAACCTCCATACTGTTTTCCATAGTGGCACTATTATTTTGTATTTGCACAAATAGTGTACCAAGGTAACAACATCTCTACATCCTCTCTAACATGTTGTCCTTTGATAACAGCTACCCTCACAGGTATGAGGTGATATCCCCTTGTGATTTTTATTTGTATTTTCCTGATTATTAAAAATTTTTACCATTTTTACATATAACCATTGGCTATTTGTGCATTTCTTTTGGATAAATGTCTGTTCAAGTGTTTAATGCATTTTAATTGCGTTATTAGCTTTTTTGTTTATGCTATTGAGTTGTAGAAATTCCTTATATATTATGTATATGAACTTCTTCTCAGGTATGATTTGTAAATATTTTCCATCATTCTGTAGGATGGCTTTTACTCTGTTGATTGATTTTTTTTTGTTGTGTAGAAGCTTTTCAGTTGATGTGATTCTGTTTCCTTATTTTTGCTTTTGTTGCCTGTGCTTTTGGTATCATATTTTAAAAAATAATTCCTAAGGCTGATGTCATAAACTTTTCTTCTATGGTTTTTTGTAGAAGTTTTAATCTTTCAGATCTTAGGTGTGAGTGTTTAATGCATTTTGAGTTGATTTTGTATATAGTATAAAATAATGATCCAATTGCATTCTTTTTTTGCATGTGGATGCCTATGTTTTACCAACACCGTTTATGGGAGAGTCTGTCATTTTTCTATTGTGTTTTCTTGGCAGCTTTGTCAAAGATTAGTTGACTGGGTATATGTGAATATAATTTCAGACTCTCTTTTCTGTTCTGTTGGTTTATCAAAATCTCAAAGACATTTAAAAAAAAAACAGGGAAAAAGTTAGAAAAAATTCATATGGAATCACAAAAGACTCCATAAAGATAAAACAATCTTGAGAAAGATGAACAAAGCTGTAGGTATCACACTTCCTGCTTTCAAAATATATGATGAAGCTACAATTGTTAAAACAGTATGGCAATGGTGTGAAGCCCTTTGTCTTAAGGTTGTCTATTAATTTACAGCACTACAGGAAAATTACCAGTAATATTAAGTATGCATTCTTTATTCTGGAAAAAAAAGCCTATAGCAATGTTTGCAAAGATTGCCCAAAGTCTAACACCAAAGCTGTTGAAAAAGCAATATTTCCTCAAGATAAAAACATATAAAATGCTAATTACTGCATCTTTGCTTAGTTTTTTTTCTCTTGTATCGTAGAAATTAATATGAAAAATGTGTCTCCTCCCTGCTTTGTTAACCAATAGGCTAGGGAGAATATTATTAATGTTTCTTCTACCTGGTTTCATTTCTATGGAAGTAACTTACTGGAAACTTGTAGGTAAAGAAAAATGATGGGTATGTCTCTTTATGTTAAAAGAATAATAACCATATGCTAAAAGTGAGGATTTAATGATTAAAGAAAACTCTAGGAAGAAAAACAAACCAACAAACAAACAGAGATGGGGGAGGGTGCAAGGGATATAGGAGAGTTAAAATTGGTTGAAAAATTTTAAAGTGGCAGGAACAGTTTGTTTTGTGGCCTATGTATGAATCATCTTATAAGTGTTTATAACAACCTTATGAGTTAGGTACTATTGTGGTCTCCATATTACATTTGTAGAAATGGAGGCACAGTGAGATTAAGTGACTTGTTAAATGTGCAGATAAATAAACAGCAATACTGATATTTGAACACAGGCAATGTGTTCCAGAATATGATCACAGTATAGGCAATAGAACTTGCTTCTAACATTCCTATCAAAGACAAAGTACTGATATAGCCCAGGATAGAGTTTCCTGTAAACAGGGATGTATCACTTCTTAATGACGTTGAATAACTGTTGATGTCAAGTTAATATTCCAGGAGGATGTTATGTAATTGCTGTTTGATAGCCAATAAAAATTTATAGCTATGAACTTGTGGCTTATGTAATTATGGCTATAGTTAATGTATTAGTTTCTAGGGCTGCCCTAATTAAATACCATAAACTAGGTGGCCTAAGCAACAATGTGTTTCTCATAGTTCTGGAGGCTGGAAGTCCAAGATTAATGTGTAGGCAGTTTTGTTTTTTCCAGTGACCTTTCTCTTTGGCTCACAAATGACCACCTTCTTGCTGTACTGTAACATGGTCTTTTTGCTGTGCTCTTGTGTTGCTGGTGTCTCTGTCTATTGGATTAGGGCCTGATCCGTTTAACCTTAATTACCTCCTTGAAGCCCCTATCTCTAAAAACAATCATATTAGGGGATAGGACTTCAACATATGTGTGTTGCAGGGACACAAATGAGACCATGAATTAGTATATATGTTATATTTATGTACACATAAATATTTCACAAATATATTAATGGTATATGGTAGATTACATGTATATGTCAAGAAAAATGATAACTACATATTCATTATTATTTATTCTGCTTTTGATTCTTGCTTTTCTATTACATAGAAGATAGCACCAAATGATAGAATTATTTAGTAATAATTGTGTCTATATAAATTTATTCTGACTAGGTAAATTCAAAACCTCTTATGGAATTTTTCACATAAAGAAATATTTTTTGTTTTAAAGCTCTCACAAATGGTAAATTTATTACATAATTGCAAATATCTAAGTAATTCGATATCTTTAAATAAATACAACAAAAGAAAAATTCTTATTAAACGTTGATATGAAACTAGACTGACAAAATGATTCTGAGAATTTCACCTTCAATATATGTTCAATTCAAAATAATGTCAATTAGGATATTCTAAGAAAAAAATATTATCAAATAAAAACCAATCTGGACTTAGGTAGGGAAAGACTTTATTCAAAAGAATCACTGCAATAAGAGAGGGAGATTGTTGCAGTAGGGAGAGTCTTCTGACCATAAGATCTATAAGAGTTTCAAAGGTCAACCAAAATAAAATTTCTATTCTAGGGAGGAATAAAGAAAGCTAGTAAGAACCCGATATGAGAAAATGGGATGAGCTGATGGTGTGTTTGGACTGTTAAGCAGGAAATATGTTTTCTGAGGCCATCCTGTTCTCTGGAGTGAGTGACTTGTTTTTTGTTTGTTTGTTTGTTTGTTTTTTGAGATGGCGTCTTGCTCTGTCGTCCAGGCTGGAGTGCAGTGGCCTGATCTCGGCTCACTGCAAGCTCCACCTCCCAGGTTCATGCTATTCTCCTGTCTCAGCCTTCCTACTAGCTGCGATTACAGGCGCCCGTCACCACGCCCAGCTAATTTTTTATATTTTTATATTTTTTTATTTTTTTTGTATCTTTTAGTAGAGACGGGGTTTCACTGTGTTAGCCAGGATCGTCTCGAACTCCTCACCTCGTGATCCACCTGCCTCGGCCTCCCAAAGTGCTGGGATTACAGGGGTGAGCCACCGCGCCCGGCCTGGAGGGACTATTAAGAGGAGATAGTTCTTTATCCCACTGCTGACTCAGACTGAGGGCTGGTCAATATTAAAGGAGCCTGGGGAAAGGAAAAAAGCTTTAGCTATTTTAGTCAAGTCAAATTTGCAGGTATTGGGTCCACATTGGTCAGTGAGTACAAACAGTTCAGCTAATCACTTTGAGGCAAAGGATAGGAATTTGGATGGTCTGTGGCTAGCCTTGTCATAGGTAAACGGGAGTTTTTTGAAAGTCCTATGGGAAGGATGGTTCATTGATGTAAGCCATTTTTCTTCGAACACCAGTCTAGGGGAATTTCTTAACTTTGCTGTTTTCCAAGAGCACAGAGTTCAGGTAACGTAGCATTGTCAAGATTAATGCACATTAGTGGCTGTCAGCAGGAGTTATAGTCTTTTAATATTCAGACATATATTTTAGTATGTGCAACTTTCTGTTAGTATGACAGGACACTTCATAAATATTACTGATAATGATGTATTTATCATCACAGCTAGCAGAAAAAGTACTTATAAAATAGACAAATGTCAATTCTTAGCTCCATTTACAAGCACTACCTCAAGACAAATTATATTATAGAATCAAAGGTGACTAAATACTTTGTGGATTCTTTTCAGTGTGGATCCATGTGATGGCATGGATTTAAAGACACTGTGATGCCTTCCCTTCACAAGAGATATAGAATGAAAAGTCTGGTAAGATGGTGAACATCTGTGTCTGTTACTTATTTTGGACATGTGCTTCAAGTCATAGGGATTAAATATCACTTCAGCTTCTGGAATAGGTCAATGGAATAGTTGATAGCAGATTTCTTCTGTCGGGTCTCATGCCACTTCTCTTCCAACAGATGATGTAGTCTCCATTTGATTTTATTTTTTATAGTGCTAAGAGATATGAAATCAAGATACTGTCACAGTCTTTTAAAATCAATACTAACAAGGAGTTGCATTGACATTTTCTTATGAAAATTGCTTATCTTTGCTCCTTGTGCATATTTTTCATGCAAGAGTATAAATACCAGCACAACCAGGGCTGAGCTTTCTGCTGTTGTGCAGACATCAGGAATACATAATTCTACTTTTTCTAAGAAATACAGTTTTTGTGTGTTCATAAATCAAATTATGTATTTCACTTTGGAAAGTATCTACTTGATAAACAAACCTGTAAAAAGTGTATCTGTTTTAACGTACCTGAAGGTATTTTATCTGCAAGTCTTTAATTTCCCTGCAGAACAAGATAATTTATATATGCTCCCATTACAAGAAGGTAATTGTAGCCTGAAATAATTTGCACGTTTACTATCCCACATCAAAATCCTCTTTGTCTTGGTGTATGTTCATATTCTCAATAATAAATAGTAACTTACTTTGTACTTGAACAAATAACTTTTTAAACTAAATTTTTGGAAAATTGCTAAATTCTCCAAATTAAGTCCTGAGTAAGTTATTCTGAATTGCACAAAATATTAATGCTTTATTTGATGTATTATAATTATTTTGGTGAAATTTTAAGATATATATTTGTATAGAGAAATTTTGTATGACATAAAATTTTTCCATAGGAAAATGTAAAATTACTAATGTCTTCTCAGTAAAGACTAAAGCAAATTCCTGACCTGCTGAACTCAGTCTAATACACACTCTGCCATACACACATATCCCCAAAATGTAGAAACAAATGAATTCATTTGAGGCAGATTTAGCCGACTCAGACCCAGACTCAATAATGTTAAGTCAACTATATGATATTATAAGCAAATAAATATAGATTTTTGAGTAATCACTAATGTGGAGTACCATCAAAATTATAAATGTCTAAATTCTTTATTTCATTAAAAACATAAAACTTTGTTTTTCCTCTTTCACTTATATAGTCACCATTACATTGAGACTGCCTTTCCTACCCCAACCCCTGTTTAAAAAAATGGACGCAAAAAAAGACAAATAATAATTAAATATAATAGAATACACCTCAATAAAAAGGCTCAGTGGACTTGAGATCTTTGTATATTTCACTCTTCCAATTCTGCTCTTTCTGGAACCCAGTTGCCTATCCAGTGAGAAATTCTGCTTCAAATCCTTTTTTTCTTTCTTTTCTTTTCTTTTTTTTTTTTTTTGAGATGGAGTCTCACTCTGTCGCCCAGGCTGGAGTGCAGTGGCGCGATCTTGGCTCACTGTAAGCTCCGCCTCCCGGGTTCAAGCCATTCTCCTGCCTCAGCCTCCCGAGTAGCTGGGACTACAGGCGCCCGCCACCATGCCCGGCTAATTTTTTGTATTTTTAATAGAGACGGGGTTTCACCGTGTTAGCCAGGATGGTCTCGATCTCCTGAAATGGTGATCTGCCCGCCTCTGCCTCCCAAAGTGCTGGGATTACAGGTGTGAGCCACCACGCCTGGCCTTCAAATCCTTATAATGTTACATGGAGATTATGAATTGTACTGCATCATAATATGCAGACTGCATGACATTGTGGACAATTGGTTGTTTCCCATCACCCAGCAGTTCGTTGCAATTATCTCATTCTTAGTGGTATGGCTGATATTGGTAATCCCCCAAGCTCAGTTAAACGGTATCTGTATTTAAAAAACAAACAAACAAAAAAAACCCAGAAAAATTGTAAGTTAATTTAGTTTACTTTGGAGATCAGAAAACAGCTTAGGTTGGTAAAAGTAGTTTTATAATGTGTTTTTAGCTCTTAAAGTTACTACAAAATGCATTCTCATAGGTATTATAATTTTCTCTTTCTTTCTCTTTCGATTTTCTTTTCTTTCCTTTCTTTCTTTCTTCCCTTTCCTGCTATCTTTTCTTCCTTTTCTTTATTTTTCTTCTCCTTCTCTTTCTCTCTCTCTTTCTTTTTTATGTTAATGTGTATAATTTGTAAACCCCAAAGCTGGAGACATATTAAAATTGTGGTTCATATAGTGTTTATTGCGTTATTCTATTTTTAAAATAAAATATGGGAAGAAATTTCTTTGTAGAAGTTAGAAATATTTCTACAAAGAAAAGTTGTTTTTCTGGAATCAGAAATATAAAAATCACTGAATAGATATTATAATTCTTTCTTCTTTCTCTTTTATTTTATATCTTAGAATGAATTCCCCAATTTACCCCTCATCCTGTTTCTTTTCCTTTTCACACAAGAAATGACAATTCCTAGATAAGCATCCTCCCCAACAGTGTCTCCATTAAAGTTTTGTTTGGCCTCCATTTTTCTCTAAGTTCATATTTCAAACCCCTTAATGACATATTTTCTTATCTAGTTGAACCGACTGAGGCAAAGTTAAAAAGAGTGAGATTTAAATGTTATACATGCACATACATGGATTTGTTTCTGTTTTTTTTTTAACAAGGTATTTTGGACAATTTTTCAAATTGGAATAGGATAAAACAAAAATTGCAGATATATTTAAATTACAAGTTTAGAGTAAATATTAATATAAATTCACTTAATAAAAATATGAATTGACTCTTTTGTAGTTTAAAGAATAAGAAAGAATTGAGCCTGAGATTATTTTAAATCACTAGAAATATATACTCAAAATATTGAGTACATAAGAATATACTTAAAATAATGTTGAATATATAATAATACGCTCAAAATAATAAAAGTCTGTACTCAAATATTGTGCTTCCATGTCTTTCCATACACTAAAACATATTTGTACATGTTTTGCTTTACATAAGTAAATTTATAGTATCACAGATCCATTTACACTAAAACATTTTTTCTATAAATTACAGCATTATTCCACTGCACAAAATGCTTCTATCACATTATAAAGGAAAAATTGATAGTAATATATTTGTTTTCTACTTTTGCTGTACTAAATTAATAAAATTTTCCTAGCAAAGTGTGCATAACTGTAAGGGTATGAGGAATTCAATAACAATGCAAGAAAAATCAAGTCGGATCATGTCTTTGTGTTGTGTGGGGAAATAGATCATGCTAGCAACTGGTTTCCTTATCCTCCATTTCTTCACTTTAAGAAACCATGATGTACATGTATATATCTCCAACTTCTGTAAAATGGTTCAATTTTTCTTGCAACATTCTTTCCACTTGCTCAAGTTTCTGGGTCTATGAAGAACTAGCTATCTTCCAAAGGACACACATTTGAGAGTGCAAGAGAGAGGCGTGCTCTGCTTCAGCATGGCAGTTGCCTACATGGGGGCACATTTGTTTTCTGACAGTCTAATTTATGGTAGAGTTACATATAGTGTTTTATCTAATTCTAACTATTGCTATAAATCAATAAAAGCGATTACTTGATTGTTATTCGTAAATGTTATCATGGTTGAGAAATATGTAGAAGGAGGCCACACCTGTTTAGAAAAGGCTGATCCTTAATCTTGTTTCTTTAAAGAAAAATTCTTAAATATCCCTGTTTTACCACTTCACATTTTCTGAACAAAATATATTGCTGGAATTAGTATGTCATAAATGAGTAGAATAAAATTTAAAATATTAATATAATTGAGCTAATAAACAATTAAGTCCCCAAATTAAAAAAAGAAATCATTTCCCTGGTCCACAATGATAGTAATCCAGATAACAGAATTCTGTTGGAAATATTCTAAGCATTCCCTTCACAAAGTCATTACAGACTGGCCTGCTGCTTCATATAATTTCTGTGATAAGTTACTGAAAATTTAATTGGCTTTAGCTGTAAAATATTTCTTCACAAAGTAAGTACAACCGATGAATAAACCTCTTTGATTCATTTATTTATAGCAACTTAAGGAAACTGATTAACACATTTCCTTCACAGATATTTGTATTAAATAGGGATGTGCAATGAAATATTGCAAGGATCTTTAAGAACCCATATTCCCTACCATAAAATCATGTTCACGGATGAAATATTTGATTAAGTGAATTAAGCATCCACTTAGTTTGCTGCCAGAAAGAAACAGCAAGTACTATTTTTTCTCTCTTATTGTGATATCATAGAGGTTGTTATTGAAATTTATATTTTCTTGAATCAGATTTTTAAAAATCTAAAAAAATTCTACTTCTTTCTTATATTGAGATTTTCCTTTTGAGAATTGACTACATGCCTATATTTTAAGTGTTGTAAATTCGTTCTCTGTTTTTCTTTACTGTGTTTCCTTGCTTATTTTAAGTGATTCTTTTCTATGAATCATGATTTTTAAGCAATTGCAACGAACACTAGTGAAAGATATACCCAAACTTTCCTTGTAATTCTATCTCAGATCTCATTCAGTCAATAGGTCTTAGCAAGCAAAATGTTGACTCCTACCTTGAGTGTAGGCATATCACACAATCCTTTGTCAGCATATCCATGACACACTTGATATCTTCCCTCTCCAACCTCTTCCTTTCACCTAGGACCCACACCCCAGTGCTCATGAAACTACCGTGTGTTCACTTAACTTCATGCCTTCATTTCCTGTGATGTTTTCTCTCTTAATTCTCCTTCCAATTAGATGTGCGGCACATTTTCTCAGTGATGACACTTGTTTTTAAACAAATTTCTCTTCTATTTTATACACTTTTTTCACTACCTTAAAAATTTGATAGGATAATATTATAATTACAGTTACATCAAACTTATGTATTTAGGATAAATAATAGGACAGGGCAATTTCTTGGAAATATTATTTGACTGTGTGTGTGTGTGTGTGTGTGTTTGCATGTATGTGTTTTAAAGGAAGAAACAAACTTTGTAATGGCTTTTGTTTTCATTTTTATGTTTCTTTTTAAAAAACTTTTACTTTAGATTCAGAGGGTACACATTTGGATTTGTTACAAGGGTATATCGTATGACGCTGAGGTTTAGAGTAAGATGGAACCCATCACCCAGTTAGTGAGCATAATATCCAATAGATGGTTTTCAACGCCTGCCCCCTTCCCTTATATTTCTATCAATTCTTTCACTGTCTTGTGTCACTTAGAGTTTCTCATTTCTTACTACTCCAGTCCAATTTTAACTACTGTGTGTATATCTCTTCCAGGACCTAGTCACTGATTATTATGTTAGCTCTTTTGGTATAGGGTCCAAACCTCTTATGCCCATCTTTTCTATAAAAAGTAGTGCATTTTATTTAACTTTCAAGTCCATTTCAATACACTTGTCTACGCATTAATATTTCTAGCTCCAATTCCACTTCTCAAAATTTTTCAAAAGTTGCTTATATTATAAATCAAATCAAATAAGATAATATAATTTTTATAAAATAGTTTAATAATACATTCTGGATTACTGAGTATATGTGTATATGTGTGTGTGTTTATTCCTTTTTTCATGGAGATATTCAGGAAGGATAGTGTTAAATATATTTTCTAAATTCCAGAATCTCAGAATGATTTCGTATTGCTTTCACACATGAACTTTAAAATGAACTAAAAAATTATAAGCTAAAAACCACACTCCTAAAAAAAATCTATTTATACCACTGTATACATTTGAGTTTCTTTACTGCTAAGATTTTTTCCAAGATAATAGTATTTATTATATCAAAAATTATATTCAGATATAGACTTAGAGTTCATATTAAAATTTCTCTTAAGATTAAGAAAAATCTCCCATTCTTCTGTCCCTCTCTCCTTCTATCTCCCTCCCTCTTGTCTGCTCTCTATCCCTCTCCTCCTTTCTCTCCTTCCTTTCCTTATTTTTCTTCAATCACTTATTGTGATAAAATATACATAACATAAACATTACCATCTTAACCATTTATAAGTGTACAGTTCAGTGGTGTTAAGTACATGAATTTTGTTCACTCATCACCACCATCAATCTCCAGAACTTTTTTCATCTTGCAAAACTGAAACTCTGTACTTATTAAGCAACGACTCCCTATTTCTTCTGACAGCCTCTAACAACCATCATTTTGCTTACCATCTTTATAATTTTAACTACTCTAAGCAAACATAAAAATAGAATCACACAGTCTTTTTGACTGGTTTATTTCACTCATAATAATATTCTCAAGTCTCACTTATGTTGTGATGTCAGAATTTCCTTTCTTTGAAGGCTGAATAATATTCTGCTGTATGTATATACCACATTTGCTTATCTATACATCCATCATGGACATTTGGGTTGCTACCATATTTTAGCTATTGTGAGTAATTGCTGTAAACAGAGGTGTACAGACATTTTTGTTTATATCCTGCTGTCAATTCTTGTGTTTCCTCAAAAGTCGATTTGTTGTACAATATGGTAATTCTATTTTTACATTTTTTTAGGAATCACCATAGTGTTTTCCACAGTGGCTATATAATTTTACATTCCCACCAACAGTGCACAAGTGTTTCAATTTCCATGTTCTTGCCAATACATATTTTTTGTTGTTTTTTGGCTTCTTTCTTATTTTCTCTGTTTGTCTCTTACAGCAGCCATAATAATGGATGTGAGCTAGTATCTCATGTGGTTTTGATTTGCATATTCCTGATGATTATTAATATTGAGTATATTTACACTGGACAACTGTCCCGTTGTATAATCTATTCAAGTTATTTGTCCTCCTGGAATAGAGTTGTTGAATTTTAAGTGTTTTCTATACATCCTAGGTATTAATACCTCATCAGATAGATAACTTGCACACATTTTCTCTCATTCTATGGGTTGTGTTTTTACTGTCTTTTTTCTTAACTTTTATTTTAGGTATATGCATTTCTCTAGTGACCGGTGATGATGAGCTTTTTTTCATATGCTTTTTTTTTGTTGGCCTCATAACCTGACTTCAAACTATACTACAAGGCTATGGTACCAAAACATATATAGACCAATGGAACAGAACAGAGGCCTCAGAAATAATGCCACACATCTACAACCATCTGATCTTTGACAAACCTGACAAAAACAAGCAATGAGGAAAGGATTCCCTATTTAATAAATGGTGTTGGGAAAATTGACTAGCCATATGCAGAAAACTGAAACTGGACCCTTTCCTTACACCTTATACAAAAATTAACTCAAGATGGATTAAAGACTTAAACATAAGACCTAAAACCATAAAAAACCCTAGAAGAAAACCTAAGCAATACCATTTAGGACATAGGCATGGGCAAAGGCTTCATGACTGAAACACCAAAAGCAATGGCAACAAAAGCCAAAATTGACAAATGGGATCTAATTAAAGTAAAGAGCTTCTGCACAGCAAAAGAAACTATTATCAAAGTGAACAGGCAACCTACAGAATGGGAGAAAATTTTTGCAATCTATCCACGTGACAAAGGACAAATATCCAGAATCTACAAATAACTTAAATAAATTTACAAGAGAAAAAACAAACAGCCCCATTAAAAAGTGGGTAAATGATATGAACAGACACTTCTCAAAACACCTATATTTTTAAATTTACTAAGAATTCATTTGTGGCCTAACATATGCTCTAGTCTAGAAAATGGCCCACATGAAAGTGAGAAGAATGTGCATTCTGTTATTGTTGGGTAGAGTGTTCTGTATATGTCATTTATACTCCACCATCATCCCAGAATCATCTTTCTCCGTATTTTTGTATTAATTTATTCCTTTTTCTGCTGGTATTTTCTTCACTTTTTTCCCTCCACTGTGAAACTGTGAAAAGTGTCCAATTTGCTCTCCACATCATTAATTATATTTTATTCATGTACCAGTAATATAAAAGGCTCTCCACACATCTTTTCTGCTTCCTTAAAAATATGTTTGTAATAACTAAATAAAAATGAAATAAGAAAAATCCATCTTTAAAAATATTTTCAAGACAGTCTTATTTTCCTATGTATCATTCCATAATCACATTCCTTTTTTCCCTCCCATCCAAAAATAAGTATCATTCTAAATTTAAATTTCTTAAAGCCTACATATATCTTAATAATTTTATTACTGTTGTATATTATAAACAATAAATTAATTAATATTTGAAATAAATGGCTAGAATTGTATATTGCTTATACTAAAAGCTTGTTCTCAGAGATATATATTAATGGAGAATGAGACTTCCTTCCTAGGGATAAAGGGCAGCATTTACATTACATAAGTAGGGTTTCCAAAAATGTCCTTTTACTATACTGGAGATTCTAGGCACTGCTGTGTGATTATACATATATTCTATTCTAACTCATTTGTTAATTTTTTTAGTAAAATTAATGTAGCAGGAAATTTATGATACACTTTTGATAAATAAAAATCATGTATGTTTGTCTATTTCTCATGGGAGAGAACATTTATCTCATTAAAATCCATTTTTCTCACTGTTTCCCAATTCCCAATCTTATACTCCCAGACATAATATTTTACTATTTACTATTATTAATAATTTATATTTAATATAGTAAATATTATTTAATATGTACTTTATTAACAATAATATTGTACTTATTGTTTTTCTGAAAATATAGCTTAATAACAGAACAATAAATAAATAAGAAAATTGAGAGGTTTGCTAACTTTTTGTTCATACTCCAAAGATATGATGGGAAGCATATTCTCTTGCAGTCTTTATGGAAGCTACAATTGACTTTATTCCTTTTGTCCAGAAAAAAAGTTGTGCAAATAACAGTAATTTCAAAGCCAGCTGATGTTTAGTATAAAATTTCAGGCAAGATCTCACTATTTATGTCCAGGCTTATTTTATTATAATTGCTTCAAGCTCACACACACACACAAACAGGTTCAGATGCTTCATTTAAGGTGTGTGATTATCATGAGGTTGCATTTTACTGATTCGGCTTACTGATTTCACTATTGAGAGAAATGTATAGAAATCAACAAGAATAGGAACCTACAACATCTATACTATGAGCTACTGATTTCTGTGTCCTTTTAGGAGCTCATGGTTAAACACTTATACATAAATATAGTCTAATACTTTACATAAATAATGAAGCTCAGAGTTGTCTTTGCTTATTATTTTGGATAAAATGATTCTAAGATAAAATTCACTGTAAAATACTACATGAAGTTTGAATATTGGGTTCTTTTTTTAAGATGGTTTTCTTGTCATCCCTTCCCAGAGTTATATCTTAAATGACTTAAATATTTATATTAACCTTTAGCATTAAGGTTTCCAAAATTCTTTAGATAATTAAAAAACAAAAAGGTAAAAAAAGAGTGAAGCTAAACCATTAAACCAATTCAGTGACAAAATATCTGCTTTAAGTTTAGAATTTACCCAAGGAAAGGATGTCAATAAGCAGTGATGAGTTCCACAATGTAGGTGCATAACAGCAAATAGAACAATCACTCAAAATGACACAATTCAAACCCAAAGAAATGAGAGACCTGTGTCAATTGACTTCAGCTAACAATGTGTTAGAAAATGGACTTGAAAACTTCTTAAGGTAACTTTGTCCACTTGCGTGGCATCTTAACACAGTACCAGAACTTAATAGGTAATGCAAGTTTTAGAAGTAGCTTCGGGCCTGGTGCAGTGGCTCACATTTGTAATCCCAGCACTTTGGGAGGCTGAGGTGGGCGGATCACTTCAGGCCAGGAGTTTGAGACCTGCCTGGCCAAAATGGTGAAACCCTGTCTCTACTAAAAATAAAAAAAATAGCCAGGCGTGGTGGCACGTGCTTGTGGTCCCAGCTACTCGGGAGGCTAAGGAAGGAGAACTGCTTGAAACCAGGAGGTGGAGGTTACAGTGAGACAAGATTGCACCACTGCATTCCAGCCTGGACAACAAAGTGAGACTCTGTCAAAAAAAAAAAAAAGCACCTAGGTTAAAGAAATTAGAGACTTTACAACAAGTAGTACACAAGCTCTACTATGATTATGCTAGACTAATTTTATAATCCCCAAAACATTCATACTTAATAACATGCAGAAAAAGTACCAGAAAAGTAAAGTACATTAATCCCAAGAGATACAATCTCTAAAAGGAGAGATTTTATCATCATATTTTAAATGAACAGGCATTGTCAATCAAGTTGCTCCACATTTTAATAATTTAGATTTAAAATATTTATTAATCAAAATCTAGATGCCATAAATTATACAATAGATTATCCAAGAGCAAAAACTCCAAATGTCAGGCAGCGCCTAAGGGAATAGAATGGGGGAGAAGAAAATGAAAGGCTGTAGGGTGTCAGTTCTGGACATACTTTAAATTAGTGGTAGGGTATGTAAATGAATGAATTCTAGTGTAGTGCACGAAGTAATGACAGGTACAATATGCACTTATATTTAGAGGTTGTAAGTATGAATTATTTATATGTATATATAAATAGTTCACAAAATTTAGAGGTTCCTACTTTTATTATAAAATTGATGTTATATAACAGTGTGAGAGAATGTTGAATACTGGAAAGTAGTTTTCTATTTATGTTTTTGGGTAGAAGTCTAATGTTTAATAAATGCAAGCTTTGTTTATCCCTGGCTTTAAAAAATGAAGTCTTTTCTATTCTTCCACGTCCCATAGGATTTTCTGTTTTTTTTTAAATAAACTATATATTAAATTACTGAGTGATGAGTAATTAATAATTTAGATATGACTCATCTGCGGATGAAAAATATAAATATACACAATGCTGTCTCCTGTTTTTTTAAAATTATTTTTATCTTATTTACTTTTTCAGCACAATTTGAACTCTAGTAGTTCCATTTCAGAACATATCCTAAATGAGGTGAATGTTAATTCTACATTCAATGATATTGCAATCTTCAGGAGAAGGCATGTGTGTTCATTGGAGCCTAGGTAGCACAATCAGGATGGTTTCTTGTTTTATTGACAGATACAAACAGTGTATTTCTTCCTTAAGCAGTCACTTAAGATCATTATTAGAGTGCTTATATTTACACATAAATTAGTATTTCAAATATTTGTTACAGCTAAAAATTTATTTTACCTTTGAAGATGGGAAAAACATGAGCTTTGACTTAGATATGTCAACTTCTGCTAATTGCAGAAACTGATGAAACTGAGTCAAGCAGATTATAGAAAGCATACAGAAATCCATAGACTTATCAATCACAGAAATATAAATACAGTGCAATAAACTTAATTTCTTCACAGTAAAACTATCTCATGTAAAATGCTTGCCTTTAAGGAGTAGAACAATGTCCTAGTTTAAATAATATTATATTCCAGTTTTCCAAGAATAAATAAACATCTCGATTACTTCTATATTTATTTAAGGAGTAGAACAATGTCCTAGTTTAAATAACATTATATTCCAGTTTTCCAAGAATAAATTTGGTGGAATTCTTTATTAAAAATGAAAGAATATAAATCTTAATTGTGCTAGAAAGTAAAAAGCAAAGAAACTTAAAATGACTCCCCCCCCAAAAAAAAATTCTACGTCATTTTCTTGACCTAGCAAATTCAAGGGCTAATGTCATGTTCTCTAGGATTTCAATGATAAAACCATCATTATAATTTTGTAGCATTGTAATACACATTAGTGAGATATCATAAGTTAAAATACCTAGCCCAAAACACAACTGGTGCTTGAGTAATGTTAAATGCATTAAATTCTGGGCTTTTCCTTGCATGAACTTTCAAGAAAATACTTGATCCATACAAGTTGAATGATCAATACTTTTGAAAGAGAAAACTAAAAATAAAACTGAGTCTAAACTTGAAGCTCTCTAGTGACATAATTAGTTTTTCCAAAGCAAAAGAGATGTACAAAGACTCTGATCTGAAGAATTAAAATATGACAATTGTGCCTTAATACGATTAATCTGACTTGATTGACATGTGAGCCTGTGTGATACATGTGTGTTCATTTCAATGTAAGAATAAAGAATAATTGGACGGGCGTGGTGGCTCACACCTGTAATCTCAGCACTTCGGGAGGCCAAGGCGGGCGGATCATGAGGTCAGGAGATCAAGACCATCGTGGCTAACATGGTGAAACCCCGTCTCTACTAAAAATAGAAAAATTAGCCGGGTGTGGTGGCGGAAGTCTGTAGTTCCAGCTACTCGGGAGGCTGAGGGAGGAGAATGGCGTGAACCCTGTAGGCGGAGCTTGCAGTGAGCTGAGATAGTGCCTCTGCACTCCATCCAGCCTGGGTGACACAGCGAGACTCCATCTTAAAAAAAAAAAAAAAAAAAAAGAATTATTCGGCCAGGCACGGTGGCTCACCAGCACTTTGGGAGGCCGAGGCAGGCGGATCACTTGAGGTTGGGAGTTTGAGACTGGTCTGGCCAACATGGTGAAACCCCGTCTCAACTAAAAATATAAAAATTAGCCGAAAGCAGTGGTGGGCTCCTGTAGTTCCGGCTACTCAGGTGGCTGAGACACGGAGAATCCCTTAAACCCAGGAGGTGGAGTTTGCAGTGAGCTGAGATAGCGCGACAGCACTCCAGCCTGGGTGACAGAGCAAGACGCTGTCTCAAAAACAAACAAACATACAAGCATGATTAACAGGGAGTCTCCCCAAACCCAAACTGTTGATGATGAAAGGCAAACATCTTGATTACTTCTATGTTTCTACAACTATTCTTCTATATCTATTAATAAATATAAAGATATAAAAAAGATACCTGCAAAATATATATACATAAATATTTTTGCCATGTGATTCCTGACCACTTTTCTGTATTGAATTTCATGATTTGTATGTAATAATAAGTCTCTTGGTGTGCTCAACTGAGTAATTCTCTATTTTCCTGACAGTTCACACAAATAGCAATAAACTTCTCTGACGCCTGCCTCTTTATGTCATCTGGAAATGAGTTACTGTTATACTTTCAGAATAAGTTTAATTTTATTCTTTTAAACATGGATTTGAGTGGTCTGGTACTTTAGCTTTTTTCTGTTATGTTATGGAATATTATTAAGTCCAAAGTGATACACTTATAGGAATAGTGCCATATAAATCCTGCTGCTATTGTGGAATCTGGGATTTGTCTCCATGGACACTGAGCCAAGCTAACACTCAGGGTTTCATAATGTAACATTGACAAAGAAGACTGAGAAGTTAAGCAGTCTTTATTCAAAATGAAGTGACTATAAATTAAGCAAACATTGTATATATTACATAAAGAAGTAATTTCTCAAATTTTCTTTACAACAAAATATGGAAAAGAGGTTATTAAGACTTCCAGAATTTCGTGAAGCAGTAAAGATGACTACTTTCTCCAATATTATTTCTTATAGGTTAATAATTTTTTATGCTTTACTAGCAAATATATATGATAATGAATTAGAATGTAGACAATATAATGAATGATGACAAATTCATTACTCTATAGTAAAATTAGAAGCCAGTATAATAAGCACCCTCATTGACTTTGAAATAGTAAAAATTCTCCAAATATATTTTTGTATATAGTAACAAAAGAACAAAATACTGCTTTACAGTGAAAAATTAATCAAATATTTGACTCAAATTATTAACAAGGGCTATATTAAGATGACTTTTTAATGTATTCTATTTCAGTATTGGAAACATAGCTGTCAGAATCCTCAGTGAAGATACTTGTGTTTTGAGAAGAAAGGCATCCTTATTAAATTTGTGAATCTGCCTTGATTACTGTCTCACTCACCCATTGACTTGTTCATCCATTCTGGAGATCTTCATATAGGCCTGCTTATATGTGGCATAGATAAAGTTGTATTCCATCAATGGTAGATTAATCTCTAATTTTTATTTTTATCTACATTGCAATAAAGTAAGTGATACTCTACTAATGATTATTAACTAATTGCTAATTAAATATATATGTTACTATAGAAATCATGCTCAGCTTCCAAAAATAGGATAATGTTTATAAAGACACTCATGTGATGCTCAGCATATAATAAATTTGCAATAACGTTTAATCACATGCAACATGACAATCAAAAGTAATACAAAATAACTCTAATGTAGAAAACATATTTTAAAAAACATTAAAAAGAACTTTAAAGCTTACAAACCCACGAAACAACATTTTACATATACCTGTGGTTATAGTAACCATTTCTATATTTCTCTGATATATATCATTTTGATTATTTCTGATTTGGCCCTCATTTGTCTAGATCATTGATGCAAGACAAGGATTCTGAATCATTTTGAAAGTCTAAATATTGGATAAACATTTTCATTAGCACTCATTTCACCTTTCTTGAATATTGTTTTCTTCTGCTCACAAATAAAACAATGTGTAATGTTGACATACCAACACTGCCCAAGAAAGGACAAAATCCTTTTAATAAGAAAAAGAGAAAAGAAAAAAGAACTTTTGAAATCTGCTTACTTTTAAATAGGAACAACAGTAATTATTGATGTATATGTCAAAGTTTCAGTCAAGACTTGAAACAGAAGTAATCGAATGTGACAGTATAAAATGAAAATCTGTTGTCTTGCTATTTTAAGCTGTAGTTGCTGAAGAACATATTGGAAAATTTTATGTTGTAGAAGTGGAGGGCACATTTAGAGATGAATTTTCAACTAATTCACTAGAAATCATCTGTTGCTTTGTTTAAAACAGTATTGCAAAGTCCATCACCCTTATAGCATGAACTCATTTTTTAAATGGAGTAAAAATAATTGCTAATATTTAGCAAGAAAATAAGTATGTTAGATTAATTCATGGACTAATGTTGGCATTGTTTACATTATTAAAAACTCTAAAGATACAAGATTAGAAATTAGCTACCAGATTGCCCATTCAGTTGCACATATTGGTGATGTAAAAATTGCCTATGGACATCTTGTAATGCAGCTGCATGTATTCTTCCTAAGATACAAAGCCATTGAGTTACTGTGTTCTACTTCTCTTGTGATGATTATGACAAAATAGCACATAAAGTTAAATTTCATTTTTGTGACAATTCCTTTAGCTATTGAATGTATAATTATATCAACTTCTTTTGCATTTTTAATAAAAATTAAGTAATCACTCAAATAATTACACATCAGGCCCAGGAATAATTGCTGGCTGTTTTCTTTATTGCTATTGTATTCACCTAACAATCAGCGATAAGGAAATAAAGATGATTATCTCTGTAGGTTCACAAATGTCAGTAATTATCCATCCCATGTGTTTCCTTAGTCCACAGGATCAAACATCTTCCCAGTCACAGTCTCCTTGGTTCTAATTGGTTATTAAACTTATTATTTTCCTTATATCACAATCCATTGAGGGCATAATAATGCAAGGAAAAGATATGATCTTAATGAAGTTATTTTCTTACAGGTAAAACAAACAAATTTTAAAACTCAACTTACAAAAAAAAGCCATACACTGGAGAAATTTCTCTTTTTTCCCTGGGATAGCAGCAAAGGAGATAAGTATGAGGGAATGGCTATATCTGTAATGTAAGAGCCAAGAAGTAGTATTTCCATCTTGTTGACTCTTTTTGCAAAGTAAGGAAACATATACCGTATAATCAACTGTTCTCTGCAATAAGGAAAATGGATATACTATAGTTAAAGAGGTGAGGGAAACAACACAGATTTGAAACAAACCCTGTGGGATAAATAGCATTTTTTGTTCATTTCTTATAAGAAGAAAGAAAGACTCTAAGGCTTAGAGCTTAAATATTATTTCTAAACTTACATAGTCAGCAAGGCTGAAACATATTTAAACTGCAAAACTCATTCAGTGTCCAGCATATTGTGACGTAGGAGAATGCCCCAGGTATGAAGGTTTATTCAGAGAGAAAAATTCCACATTTTAAATGTCACAAATAGAGCAGGTTAAAATCCTAGCAGTGGTATGGTAAGGATGTTGCTAAACTAGAGGGGAGTGGAGATGCAGATTATTGGAATGTAAGTTATTTGAAAAAATAGAGCAAACAAAAATAAAAATGTATTTGATGAAAAAAAAATTAATGTTGTTCAGGATGCTAGGGCCTAAATTATGTAAGAAAGTCCCTAAGTTTATGGGAGGGGGTGCAGCAGGTCACTTGATAATTGTTCCATAAATATGAGATTGGTTTTAAGGGAAAGTATTTTTCTAGGGAGTGAGTATGAGTAGAGGATAAAATAAAAAAACAGTGGGTTTGGTAAGAAAGAAACAAGTGTATATATTCACATAATCCTGGCCAGGCTGAATGTGTGAGTTTAAGAACCATCAACTCTCAGAAAAGTTATAAAGAAAGCAGAGGATAAAGATGAGTACAAAGTAAAAGAATACATTTTGGAATGTTAAGCTCGCATTTTAGAATGTTATAATTCAAGATTTGATTGTGTAGGCCATGTTTAGCAAAATAGGAATCTGCTTGTTACTCTTTTCATTGTTTTATTCTGTATATTCCATTTCAGGACCTAAATGAATCTCAAGAAGACATACTATGTACAATGCATATATCAATGAACTTTCATGACATGAAATACATAATTAAATAGACCTATAAAGAATGCTTTCAAAATTATTACTAAAGCATATCATTTTATAATAGGTATTTTAAAAGAATATGAAATGATATGAAAGTGTTACAACAAAACCATATTAACACCTTTTTAAAACTGAAATTCCATTTTAATAATCTTTGAGTTTATCACCAGATATATATGAAATAAATTTATCAAGAAAACAAACAAATATATTTAAATATCTTATAAACCAATGAAAAATATTCAAAGAATGGGTTTTCATATGTCTAGTAATTCAAGTCACACTACTTTAGCTATAACACCATTATATTTTGTTATATTACTGGGATAAATAAAAATTAAATGGACGGATTTTAAGAAACTAAATATGATGAAATTCAAATAGTGAGATTCATGAAGATTTGGTAGTGTCTTTAACATCCTTTCTGTATGATCTAAGTTGGTTTATCTATTTGCTTAAGCTTTGCGTCAAGAAAATATACTTCTTTTTTGCTGTAGTTTTATTTCAATTAAATTTGTATCTGAATACTATATGTTTATAGTAAGAAATAACACAAAATGTTACAATGAAAAGTCTGTCTCAGGCCTTTTTCTTCTTCAACTTCAATCAGACACTTCTGAATCTAGTTCTTTTAATTCTTTTTGTTTCAGTTTTACCAGTGATTTCCTCAGTAACTGCTTAAAACAAAGTTATACCTATTGCTTGATCTAACAACTTTAAACAATATCCATTGGCTATCCGATGAATACTGAGATTTTAGATGATTTACACTATTCCCTTGGCCCAATGTTTGATAAATAAATTTTACTGTTTTTAATTGTACTTTTGGTATGAGTTATAAATTTATATATTGAAAAATTACATTCAAATGTATTTCTTTAGCAATAAATATTCGACGTATCTCTATTTTTAATTATTATACTTTAAGTTTTAGGGTACATGTGCACATTGTGCAGGTTAGTTACATACGTATACATGTGCCATCTCTTAACTCTCAAAAATTTTAGATAAACATATGATTCCTCTATATTTTTCTAAATTTTCTTTTCTAATTTATTAAACTTTTCTCATAGTTACACTAATAATTTTACATGCTATACCACTAACCTCTACATTTTTCCTAAAATCGTAATAAAATAAAAACATGAACTTTGAAATCACTGTTCCATTTCTTTATTATTATTATTATTATTTGAGATGGAGTCTCGCTCCGTCGCCAGGCTGGAGTGCAGTGGCACGTCCGTCGCCAGGCTGGAGTGCAGTGGCACGATCTTGGCTCACTGCAACTTCCGCCTCCTGGGTTCAAGCGATTCTCCTGCCTCAGCCCACCGAACAGCTGGGACTACAGGACCGGACCATCACGCCCGGCTAATGTTTGTATTTTTAGTAGAGACAGGGTTTCACCATTTTGGCCAGGATGGTCTCGATCTCTTGACCTTGTGATCCACCCACCTCAGCCTCCCAAAGTACTGGGATTACAGTCATGAGCCACCGCGCCCGGCCTGTTCCATTTCTCCTGCCTTCCAGTGTTTCTATTGGAAAGTCTGATTTAGATTTACTTACTTTCTTTTGTAAGTAACATTTATTTATTTATTTTGATTAATAAATTTAAAAATTGTATATGTTTACCTTGTGGAATATGTTGTTTTGAAAAACGTATACATTGTGGAATAACTAAATTGACCTAATTAACATATGCCTTCAGATATCTTGTTTTTGTAGTGAAAACATTTAAAATCTACTCTCCTCAAGTAAATGACCTTTTTTTTTAACATTCAATGAGCTTTTAGAATCTTTTTATTCTTAATATTTAAAGTTCATAAGAATTTTTTGGTTTTACTTTTATAGTGGTCATTTAGTATAACCTTCAAATCTAAAAGTATGTCTTTCACCTCTGAACATTTTCTGTTATTACTTTAAAATTTTTTCCTCCTAATTTTTTTGTCGTCTTTCTAAAGCCCCTTATTAATTAGGATTTTAAGCCTTTCAATCACATTTATTACATTTTCTATATTTACATTTTGATTTGGTCTTTAAATAATTTTCTAATTTATTTTTATTATTTTCTTTATTAACAATATGTATTTTTAATAGATATTGATGTCTTGACATATTACTACATGTAGTTATTATATACATGTGTGTATATATTTAATGTCAGTGTGTGTTGATTTACACTTAAAATTATTAAAATAGCAAATTTTATGAGTTTTATATATTAATACATATATACATATATGTATGCCAATAAAACCACAATAAATATTTCTTAAAAGACATGCAAATAATCTTACTAAAACAAAATGTAGTTACTTTGTAGTGATTTCATTGTAATACATTGTTCCCCATTCTCTTTACCCCATTAAATACTGAAAATTAATTAGGACAGAAATATAAAATTGTAAATTATTATTGCTTCCCATTTTGAAGTTGAACAAAAAAATATAGTAGCAACACAGTGTTTGGAGTCAGAAGAACTGAATTTTAATTCACATCTTTTTGTTCTTTAAAAGATCTTTTCTAACTTACTTAAGTTTTTAAAATACATTTTAGGTTTGCTGATAGCAATATGTACCTGACCTTACTACATCAGTTAGTCTGAAGGAATAACTGAAATAATATTTTTGAAATAATTCTGTATACTAGGAGAAATAATAATTATTAGATATTATTTTGGGGGCTTGGCAGTTGTAGTAATTAGAGTTTTGGAAGATTAAACTCTTGACTGAGAACACCTGAAGAAATTCATCAAAATAAAATGGATGTCAGAATAAAAAGGTTTCGGCAGAGTAGTACAATTTTCCTATACTACTGAACTAAGTTTCACAGTTTTATCATTTTCATTGTCTACTATTACCCTTCAAAAAATAAAAAATAAAAAACCAGGGATTTCAATTCATCTATTGATAACAGGGGCTGGCTGTGCCTAGTACAATTCATTACTGCTTTGATTTTTACATAGTTCCTTTCGACTCTGTTTGACTTGTCATCCTCTTGTCATGTCCATTTTTTCTGCAGTCTATATCACGCTGACCTGTACTTAGATTCCATATTCATTTCTTTGCTGCCTCTTGCACACTATGTAGTGACATAGATGTCTACCATGGTGAAGAAAGAAGGTTTTTTTAGCTGCTTTAAGATAATTGAATTTAGGGTTTTGATTGTGCTTATACAGAAATAATGCACTAGGGAGAATGTAAAATGAGTTTTGATTGAATATAAAATATAAAATATATTAAAATGTGTAAAGACAATAAATAATTATCCAAGGTAACAGAGACAAAGAGAGGAAAAATTTATCATATTTAAGAGATTTAAATGTACCTTTTTTATGTGTTCTATTTCCCTTAATGCTTACAGAAAAGATTCCAATAGATCTCATCCCTACTATTTATGCATTGCAAAATTGCCTCAAATTGTTTATGTCTATACAAAAAATTAATGTACGTATAACCTCTGTATGTGTGTGAACTGTGCCTCAGTAATTCATTTTAATATGGATTTTAAAACATTTAAAATATTTGCATGCATTATTACCCTTATTGAGCAATGTAAGATAATAGTTGTGTTGCTGCTCAAGTTGATAAATATCTATATAATGTGATTTTTCTTGAGCTTGATAACCTGAGGCAGTTAGTAAACACAATATACTGAGCACTTATTTTGTGCTAAGCATAAAACATATTTAGATTTCTGAGAGAATTTCAAAGAAATTTTCATGACCAGGGGCATTTTACAATTTCAAACATGCCCATCAACACATAGAATTTTCAGGTATTCTAGTTTGACACTAATTGATGTAGCAAATGATATACCAATATTGCTTTGATGTGCATTTTTAAATGCTAATGATTTTAAGCATTTCTTTATATGTTTATTGACTCAGTTTATTCCATAAATAGCATATATAATTTATCCATTTTCTACTATTACTTATGTATCTCTGTTATTAATTTTAAAAAGTTATTTGCATATTATAGATAATAATCCATTTTGCTAATGGATATCATCAATTATGTCCTCTAACTTTTAAGTTTATGAAAATTCTATGCAACTCCTATTCCAGAATGTTCTGTTTTTTTTTCACAAAACCTTCAATTTGTTCTAAAATATATAGAGATGTGTAAGCATACACAAAAAGCCCAATCAATTCTTCAAAGAGAACAAGTAAGGCATACTATAATATACTATAGTATGTTTGCTAATGTTTGGGATGTACAAGAACATACAGATAAACCAATTGAAAGAGTAGACAGCCAGAAACAGACCAGGTATATATATGGCCATTTTATATACAATAATATGTTACCATAAATCACTGGGGAAAGATGAAGAGGTTAAGTAGGTTGCATCAAGAAACCTAACTCTTACAAAACAAACAAACAAAAAAAGTAATCAAACAAGACATACAAGGATAGAACATAGATTTACTGAATATTTAATGTTGAAAGTTGAACTGTAAATTTAATAAAGAAACTGATGGAAATGTTTATTGTGTCCTAGAGGCAGAAAAGAAACTTCTTGCGTACAACTTCTATAGTACAAATGACAGGGCAAAAATTGTTAAGTTTAATAATATTGAAATTAAGGATTTCTCTTCATAAAGGGTATTACTGTCAATTATAATTAAATTCACTACCAATACAGAATACAACGTATATTTTAAAATAGTTTTATCAGTTATAACATCAAAAATATTAAATGTCTAGAATCAAAGATTTGCAAGAAGTTGATGTAAGGATAGATTTAATGTTTTAGACTTTTTCATTCCCATTTGATATCTAGATTCATTTCAATCAAAATTCTCAATTTTGGGAGGCACGTTTGGCAACCCTTTTCCAATAAACCCAAGCCCAAGAATATGCAAATGCTCTCTTTTAAAGAACTGTAAAGAATGAGGACTTGTTTCCACAATCATTATGATTTGTAATAAAGCCAATGTTTGTAAGATAGCTTACGTTGCCATTGGGGTGGCAAAATTAACTAACTGAATTGAGTGGAGGTCTTAGAAAGAACCCCTCACACATATAGAAGCTTGATTTATAAGAGAACTGGAGTGACTCATCATCAATAGGTCACTCCTATTGATATTTACAATAATTTCAACATTGTATGCTGTTTTTTATAGTATACATCAACTTATGAAACCACTTTGCTTGGTAATTGATAGTTGTAGCTAAGCAAGAAATTTGTGACCAATAAAACCTGTGTTTAAACAGGACTGTGTGATTGTTAAATCACTATATTTATCAGAAAATGCTACTGTATAATATGAGGCTTGTTCTTTAAAATAACCTGGAAGAGTTAAAGGAAAAATTGAGGGAGAGCTGATGAACTCCTCTGCTGCTTAGTTCTTGATTTGAATAAAAAGCAAAGCATTATTGGCCACTCAAAATATGGGTCATGTGGGCTAAAAAGAATTACTAATTTCTAGGCTGCTATTTTCTTGGTGCCTACAATTAACTAGACTTTCTTTGTAAAATAAACCCTTATGTGATCAGACAAGTTACCCGTATATTAGATGGAAAGTTTAATATATTAAGACTACATATTTTATTTCCTTATCAGGCTACCAAATCCTGGAAACCGTATGTTTATATATTAACATACAATTATAGTGTCATTCCCAGTTCTAAGGACAAAGAAAAAAGCAGTAAAAACAATACAAAATCACTTATTCCATGGATTAACATTCTGTTTGGCCAAATGGAAAACAAGTTAAATAGTGTAAAAGTAATATATCACTGCATAATCAACTATCCTAAAAGTATGTGACTTTAAACATTTATTAGTTCACAGTTTCTGTGGGCCAGGAATTCAGGTGCAGCTAGTCAGGCTGCCTCTGGCTCAGGGTCTTTCAACACGCTGCTAGTATGTCATCTATATGACATATTAGCATATGAATGCTAATATGTTAGCATCATATTATATTATCTGACTCATTGATGCAGTCAGAAAATCCAAAAATCCAAAAGGTCCACTTCCAAGCTCACTCACATGACTATTCACTGTTGGTTGGAGACATCATTTATTTCAATGTGAGACTGACCACGGAGTTACTCACCAAATAGCAGCTTGCTTCACCCAAAGCAAGGGCCTGTGAGGTGGAAACCACCGTTATTTTTGTAACCTACTATCAGAAGGTGCATCCTACTGCTTATACCATATTCTATTTATTAGATATGAGTCAATACATCCTTCCTACATTTAGGAGACAGGAGATTAAGCAAGGGCACGAATATCAGGAATAAGGATTATTGCATCCTTTTAAAGGCTGTTTCCTATAGTAAGTAAATAAATGGTGGTAAGGGCTATTGAGAAAAAAAATAATGACAGGATGTAGAAAATACGTTTCAGGGAGACAGATGAAATTTTGGGTAGGATAAAGCTGGACTGACAAAGTGAAATTTGAGAAAACTCAGGGGTTTTGACATGTGTGAATATGTGAGGCAAGACAATTCCAGATGGAGAAAATGATAAATGAAGAGATCCTTACATGTAACAAGTCTGTAATAAGAAAACAAAAATCAGTTCATGCTGAGAAAGTAAAAATTCGCCCTTCTTGTCATTACATTAGGATAACAAACATAAGTAAGGCCAGCTCAAAGTTAAAATAAGCATATCTATGAGAATATGCTGCAGCTGTGACGTGTCATAAGGACCCATCTTCTTTAGTGACTACTGATTTCTTAATCACCAAGAAACTTCGTTCCCTAAATATCATAACATCAGTAACACTGATGTTTGAAAGCATAGGCAAGAATGAAATATGGCGTTCTTTCCTGGGGATCTAAGTTATTTTGATGCAGAAGAGCAGCTTCAATTTTCAGTCCATGTGCAGAGATGTAGATAATGGTTTTTGTGGACACACCATTCTACACTTAAATTAACTTTGAATTTCCATGGAAACAAAATCATGGGCTCACTTTTGAACCCAGATCTCATATTGACCCCTTTACACAAGCTAAGCTTTGGGTTTATGCTATCAAAACACTGTTCCACTTAGATTTCACCTAAATTCTACCTGTCCCAAATTCTATAATAACTTTATCTTTTCCTTTGTGGAGACATCTCATGGTTTCTCCAGTGTGCAGTCTCTCTCATTGAGCTGGGTTCATAAGCCTGACTTTGTTGGAGTACAGTCCTGCAATTGGTCTTAGGTTAATTGGGCCGGACAAATAAGGAGCCATGAATGAATGAAGGAGAGACGGTAGCAGAGGAAGACACAGAAATATCTTTTGTCTCTTTCAGGGTAATAAAGTATCCCCTAGTCATATAGGGGATACTTTTATATTGCCAGCATTGCCTTTCTCAGACGATTTAATCTTATTGCAGACAATTGGGCAAATTAATAGAGTGAGTTGTACATATGTGGGATGGATAATGGGATAAAAAGTAAATGTACAGCCTTGGGTACATGGTGGGATTATAATTAATTTAATGTATTTGGCACCTGAGGGCAGATTCTACACTGCCCCCTTTGGGAACCAGGATAATTAACCAAGAAGTAGTTGGTGTTTTAAAAGCAGCTGATGGAAGTAGGAGCAGGATAGCCAGGATGGACTTTGTTTTATTCTTCCAAAGGGTATAACTAAACCCTGATGATCAAAATTTATGACCAGCAGGCAAAAGAATATAATGCTGAGTATGGATGGGGAAAATACATTACCCTGACCTGTATTTCTGGCATCTTATCTTCACTCTGGCTTCCTGACTGTTGGAGCTAATGTATTTGGCTGTGAGCACATGAGATTTTCCTCCTCTCCTACCAGGACCAAGAAACAGTTTGGAATATTTGCATTGCCAATTCAAACCTGCTGTCAGGAGCCCTGTATCAAAGTTTCATCCCTTTTCTTTTTTTTTTTTTTTCTGGAGGAGGTGGGATTTGAAGTAAGCAGAGAGAGTTAACAAGTCCATTTGGAAGCATACTTTAATCATATCTTCCAATCTAAAATATACCAATAATACAATGTTTCCAAACAATAATTATCATTCCATTGATTTCATTCCCTATATAACTCTCAACTAGTTTTGAATTTGTGTAAGAGGAGCAATACTATAGATCAACAATATAAAGCCCCAACAGTCTCCTCTAGCTATCATCTCATTTTCCAGTTTTCCATCATATCCAAACAGCTGGAGAATGTTACCTACATTTGCTATCTTGACTTTCTCATTTCTCTACCTCATATTTCAATTTGACTTTTATCATCAAAACTCTACTAAACCTTTCTTATCCAAACTCTCATCATTTGAAAAGTTTGATCATTCTCTCCCTCATGATCTTTTTTTTTAGCTTCTCTATACCTCATCAACACATCTCAGTTCTCTTATTGATATTTCTTCCTTTCCCCAACCTTTAAAATCTGAGAACCTCAGGTCTAGTGTTCAGTCCTTGTCTTCTTCTCTTTTTCCTAGATAACCTTATCTAGTCTTATGGGCTTTATCTTAAGTTACACACACACACACACACACACACACACACACACCCTGAGGTTTGTTTATCCACTGTCCCTTTAACTCATTTAAATACAAAATCAATTAAGCATTATTTGCACATTTTTCTGAATAATTAAGAAGTGCTTCAGGTTTATGATATTCAAAATTAACTATCTTCATCCCCCCCACTCAACTCCCTGTAGAACAAAGATATTCATATTTCATTCATAGTTTCTCCTATCACATTAAATGCTATCCAGGTCCATTCAGAATTTCAATTTCAAACCTTCAAGTCGTTCTTTGCTTTGCTACCTGCCCTCAAGACCCACCACCCCTGTTATACAACTAATCCATGCTCAGATTCTGTAAATTCACTTCAAACTACCATCATGTCTGTCTTGAAAAAACTATAACAAACACCTGTCAAATCTCTAATAATTATTGTTTTGCTCCAAACAATCTTATATGCTAGGCTCAAATTTTTCTTACCATAATATAATATATTCTCATATCTGATATAATATAATCATATTTCTATTCTTATAACTCCCCTTTCTACCTTATAATGCATTTTATATATATCTAAGTCTTTTTTTAAAAAAAAAGAAAGTCATGATATTTTCTCTTTAAAGTCATCGCATACTTCTCATTATAAATGGACACTTTTTTTTTTAGAATTGGATTATAACATTTTCATACTAGGGCCCACCTTTTCTTCCTATCTTCAGTTTCACCCATTACTCAATCTGTGCCCTATGCTCCAGCAACTGAACTTCTCACCAATGCTGTGAATGAGTTGCATCTTTTTTTAATGCTTTCTTAGAATCTCTGCCCTCCTTTCTCAATGGGAAAAACATAAACCAAGTCCTTCAAGATCAGCTCACACATTAACTCTTCTGTAAAGCCTTCTCCTCCCCAATTGCTCTTTCATGACCTCTTTTGTTTATACCTTTTGTAAAACATATCGTTTAAAAGCAAATGAATATGTATCTATCTTTACTATTAGTTTGGATCCCTGGAGTTCTGAGATTAACTATCTCCAGGTCCTAGCACAGCATCTGATTAAAGGTGAATATTTTAGAAATTGTCAGGGGATTGCATTGAACAAATCACTCTGATTATCAACTTATAAAAGATGGATAAAGTTGAGTAATTTAGCCTTAAGATTTTGTACTCAATGCCATTTTCCACTTTTTTCTATTTTTACTTTTTTTTTTTTTCCTTGAGATGGAGTTTCGCTCTTGTTGCCCAGGCTGGAGTGCAATGGCACAATCTCTCACCGCAACCTGCATCTCCCGGATTCAAGCGATTCTCCTGCCTCTGCCTCCAGAGTAGCTGGGATTATAGGCATATGCCACCATGCTCGGCTAATTTTGTATTTTTTTTAGTAGAGATGGGGTTTCTTCATGTTGGTCAGGTTGGTCTCGAACTCCGGACTTCAGGTGATCCTGCCCGCCTCAGCCTCCCAAAGTGCTGAGATTACAGGCATGAGCCACCACGCCCAGCCCTCTTTTTATTTTTGAGAATTCATGCCTCAAAATAATACCATTTTAAATGAGTAACAAAAATATCTTTTCCACAGGTTATACAACAACTATGAAATAATTTTCATATCAATTTATGAATATATTAAACAATGCAGCTGCAATTATTATAGAGAAAATTTGAAATAGTGCTATTTATTTTATTTAAAGGCAAAGTATTTTAATTAGTCTACCAAGTACCATGATGAACATTACTAGTCAAGTTGTACATAAATAAGGCATGGATTTTCTAAAATTCATGAAGTAAGCACATGCTATTGTTATTATTAAGACTATTATTATTAGTCCCAATAGAATTTCCAACCACGTCACTGAGCACGAAGCACCATATAGTTGAACAAGCAAGCCTAACACACTTACCTTCCACTAACCACAAATGTTTCTTTCCTAGTGTGTACTGCCCACAGAAACTGTGTATCTCTAACTTATTACCTAAATAAACTGTCTTTACTTACAAAATAGTGAGGAAAATCTTTGTAACACATGGACTGGTTAGTATTTATAGGTTGCATCATGACTATGGTAATGAAATGAAACAAGATAAGAAAAAAATTATACATGTACACTTTTAAAAGTTTATTTCCATTATTTCAGAAATAGTAATGGAAATATGATATTCTAGGGTGAGCCAAAAGAAAAGAGAAAATCTCTACAGTTAGAAAGGCAAGATTTTCCCATGCATTAAATGGCCTGCAGGCTGTACTGCAATATGTCACTTACCCAGTCACCTCACTGCTTAGGCAGTGCCTTTCTGCCTAATCACGTAATGGTCTCAGTATGTGGGGCACACAGTATATTGCCAACCTCAGACACTTCGAATACACTCTCTCCCTCCCATTTTCTTCATTTTTAGGCAATCTCACTTATCTTAATATGTTTTCCTTAACTGCAAAACATATACACAATTCCTCCAAGTTATTCTTCATAAGACTTGATCAAAAATGATTTGTGAAGATTTTGAAGATATTTTATGACACTTTTGCTGAGTTCTGTGGAAAAAAAAGCAGAAAACTCTCTTCCACAAGGATTTCATTCAGCCCACTTTAAAACTTGATCCATAATTTGATCGAATGCTCTTGGGCACTATTAAATAGTAATAATGAACTTCACCTAAAGCCCTTAGTAATTTTGTTCCACATTTCCTTCTCTAATTATCCACTATTCCCTATTTATTATTACTTCATTCCCTGCCTTGAGGCCGTCTAAAAATACTAAGAATGATAAATTAAACAATACATTTGGCACCAAGTTAACCTGTGGGGAGGGTTATAATTTAATGGGTTGTCTTCTGAATTAATTATTTCTGAATTATTTAATTGCAGTTTCTAAACAAATTTCTTAGAAAATGTGACATTAGAACTTGCAATATATTTTTAATAGAAGTTATTATGACAAAAGTCACAGGTCTGTCATATCTAAGCTACATTTTATAATCATTTTTTATAAATCTGTAGAAATTTACTCGATATATTTGTAATTTTACAAACAAACATTATCTCCTATAGAAGTTTAACAATATTTTCTTTAGTATCTCACTAACACAGACATTAAATCATTGGCATTTTGAAGCCAATGCCTTTTTTCCCCCTAAGTAACAATAGTCATTGACTTTTATATTAAAGACTTATGAGTCCCATTCTATATATAGTTTTTAGATTAAGTGCTACTTTAGAAGAACATGATGATACATTGTACATTAGTTACTTACCCCCACCAGTCTCATTAAAGTTCTATGATAACCAATTTCTTTTTCTCTGAGCTAGAAATTTCATCATCTTATGTAGGAAAATTGTCACTTAAAAGAATCCACATTGCAAAATGTTAACCAAGCTATTATGGTGTGAAATTTAACCCATAATGCACAGGACTTCTTAGTTTTCCTCTTGGAGAGGCAGAAGCTTATGGAAGTTTCTCACAATGTCAACAAACAAGAACTTCTCAACCATTTATCATCAGCAGCAGGTCCAGAAAAAGTAGAACAACTCATCTGGTCTTAACCCCTGGAATTTTCCCAAATTAATTACCTACTACATCCAGCCCACAAAAGCCTTCTCAAATTTCATGTGTGAATGGCTGCAGTGCTGATCTAAAGCTCTTTACAACCTCCTTTAATACTTTGAACTTCTGGACAGCTGCTTTTTAATGCTTTAAAAAGCTCAGTGGTAGAAAGAAAGTTTTCACTGAATGTTAGGATATTCAACTGTAAAGTCTTAAATTTTCAAAAATGTACCTAGTCCTTTAATATTTAATGTCCTTTTCTTTTTTCATATTGTTTAATATTAACTATATGTGGTGGACTAAATTAATTATGTGCTGCTAATCATGGACTAGATTTATCCTTACACCTAGAATAACAGAGTTTCTGTATGTCTGAAAAATACTGATAACTGTCTCAGAAAAAAAAATATTTAGGAAGGCAAAAGCATTTCAAAAGGAAAGTGGGATTTTAATACAGAACAGATAGAAAATGCACATTGTTACACAAATTTTGGAATACTATTTGAAATTTTCTGTTAAATATAAACATCCATGCACATAAATGATATAGAAATTTCATAAATGGGAACACAAGTATACAAATAGAACTGGTTGGGAATATTCATAGAAACATTTTGTATAAAACGTCCAAACTGATAACAAAGATCGACAGTAAGTTGAAAAAATATAAATTGCTCTATGTGATAATAAAAATAAAATAAAGGAAGCTCCATACAAAAATATGACTGATGGCTGGGTGTGGTGGCTCATGCCTGTAATCCCAGCAATTTCAGAGGCCAAGGTGGGACGATATCTTAAGGCCAGGAGTTTGAGACCACCCTGGGCAACGCAGCAAAATCCTGGTCTCTACAATAAGTTGTATTAAAAAGTTAGCCATGTATGGTGGTGCATGGCTGTCGTCTTAGCTATTCAGGGGACTGAGGCAGGAGGGTTGTTTGAGCCTAGGAGGTTAAGGCTGCAGTTGATCATGCCACTTCACTCCAGCCTAGTTGACAGAGGGAGACTGTCTCTAAACAAAAACAAACAAACAAACAAAAACAACAAAAAGCAAAGAATGCAGATGCAGACCCTGCCTTAAAAATTATATAATATACGTGTGTGTGTGTGTGTGTGTGTGTGTGTTTGTGTGTGTGGCCAAATTTTACAAACATAATATTGATTGAAATAAGTCAAACACAAGAGTACATTAACTAATTTATATAATATTAATTTCTCTATAGACTAACAATGAGCAAATCAATCTGTAGTATGAAAGTCAGGACAGTAATTACTTTACAGAAGAAGAGAGGAGGTGAGATTTGATATGGGCACAAGGCTGGATGTTTGGCAATGTTACTTGGCCAAGGTGGTGGTTACACAGATGTGTTTTCTCTGATCACTCAAACTGTACGCTTATGATTTGTGCATTCTTCTATACATTCATTATACTTCTTGATAAAGAAAAATTTAAGCTGGCATATTATAAGTTAGGTACACAAAATATTAACATTTATTTTTCTTGACCATTATCAGCACCTTTGCTCCCTTGATAATCTTATAGACTTCAATTTGATTCATCCCTTTCCTTCATTTCTTAAATCCAAACTGTGATAAGTTATTCAATTTTTATTTTTGAAATATTTTTTAAATTTACCTGAATATAATCTAATTGTTTCTTTATTCCTATTGCCAGTCGCCTGTCTTAGTCTACTTTGTGCCACTATAAAGGAATATCTGAGGTTGGGTAATTGATAAAGAATAAAAGGGTTTGTTGGCTCATGGTTGTGCAGACTGCAAAAAGCATGGCATCAGCACCTCCATCTGATGCAGACCTCAATCTGTTTTCACTCATGGCAGAAAGCAAAGGGGAGCTGGTGTGTGTGGAGATCATATGGTTAGAGAGGAAGAAAGAGTCGAGCTATTTTTAACAACCAACACTTGTGGTAACTAATAGAGTAAGAACCCTCATTCCCTGTCCCAGGAGAGCTTTAATATATTTATGAAGAATCTACCCCCATGGCCCAAACACCTTTAATTAGGCCCCGTCTCCAACACTGAGGAACAAATTTCAACATACTAATTGGTAGGGACAAACAAACCATATTGAAACCATAGCATCCCCTAATGGAGACTCTCCCCACTTCAAGATTAAACAACTGTACTGCTCCAGGTTGGTTTTACTGATTTACATTTCTTTTATCTGTCTTGGATACTTTTCCTGAGCCACCACCCTTTGCATTTGACACCTATGATCAAGTACTTACTTCAGTGACTTTGATCACCTGCCAGAAAATGCTTAAAACATTTTGCCTTGCTTTGGAGGCCCTCCATTATCTGATCTTTGTGATATTATTGTTACGTTTACACTTTATATGTTTTCCATATAAAATGACTTCTAGAAAGACTTTTGTTCTCTATATTTTATAAAAAATATATTCTAATGGCAGTTTTTTCCTACTTAAGGTGTTCTTTCATTGTTTCTTTATATATTTACCCACACATCTAAAGTTCTGTTGGATTATACTAGATCTAATAATCTCTTTTTTGGTAACATTTACATAATTCTTAAGAATGCAGAGTATAGGTTGGGCACAGTAGCTCATGCCTGTAGTTTCAGCACTTTTGGAGGCCAAGGCAGGATGATCACTTAAGGCCAGGGGTGTGAGACTAGCCTGGGCAACACAGTGTGACCTCATCTCTGCAAATTAAAAATAAAAAAAATTACCAGGTGTGGTGGTGTGCCCCTTTGGTCCTAGCTACACAGGAGGCTGAGGCTAGAGGATCTCCTGAGCCCAGAAATTCAAGGCTTGAGTGAACTGTGATTATGCAACTGCTCTCCAGTCTAAGCGACTGAGACTGTCTGTCTCAAAAAAAAAAATGCAGAGTTTCATGACTAATTTTATTATTCTCATTTACTTATTTATAAAGATGCTGCTAATATTTTATACCATAATCTGTACATAATAATAAACATGTAGAGACATATAGAAAAGTTCTATGTCCTTTTTTTCCAGAATTTCATAGTTTTATATATAAGATAAAGATAAGAAAACACATAACTAGAGTATGCTAGAACATTAAACTTCAAAATTTTTTTCCACACTATAGGAGCAAAGAACTGACAGCAATATGAGATTTTTTGTTAAGAATATAGAGAGCTTCATGTAGGCTATAAACCGAGTTTAATAAGCAGAAACAAGAAGTTTTCCATTTGTTTGGGTGAGGGACAAACATAAAAGTGACTGGATTTAGTGTGTGGTGATTATTTTCACGCCTCTTTGGTAAGACTTTTGACAATCATAACTTTATCTCATAATATTTGTACATCTCACAAAGTGGTTGAGGACATTTTAAACCATAGTATATATAATTGTGTGTGTGTATGTATATGTGTAATATATATAAGATAACAAAGATGTAAAATACAATTAAATGATATGTTGCATATTAAACACTTAACACATTATCCAACACATAGCAAGTCCACCAAAAAATTATTGTCATTAATGTTTTTATGGTTGATTTGGTGAAGACAATTATTCTATTTTCTATTTATATTGGTATGAAATTTTAGGATAGTACAAATGTAGAGAGCAAGATTAGAGGTTCAAAACTTTTCATTCATTCTTAACTATTATCATTTGACCACACCTAAAGGTTTTCTTTAAAAACTAAAGCAAGAATTTGCTAAACTCACAAACCTTAGAACTATTAGTGGGAGCCTGGCGGGTACCAATGGATGATGTCTTAGTCCTTTTTCTGTTGTTATAACTCAATGCTTGAGACTAGAAAATTATAAAGAAAATATGTTTATTTCTTAGAGTTCTGGAAGCTAGGAAGCTTAAGGTCAAAGGGCTATACCTGTTTAAGTCCTTCTTGCTGGTGGCTATCCCTGTAAAGTCCCTGTAAAGTCCCTGTAAAGATAGCACATGGCATCACATGGCAAGGGGGCTAACAAGAGATGGCCAAACTGGCTTTTTTTTTAACAAACTGAGTCTCATAAATAACCCTCTTACTCAATAACCCATCGAACTGTCAATCTATGAATGGAATAATCTATTCATGAGGGCAGAATCCTCAGCACCCGATCACCTCTTAAATGTCCCACGTCTCAACACTGCTGCATTGTGAACAAGGTTTGTAACACATGGACTTTTAGGGGACATATTCAAACCATAGAAAATGATTAATGCTAACAGGAATAGGAAGCATATGCTTATAAAATATACGTATCTATGGTAACTATTATAAGCCCCCAGACTCAATGGATTCTTTTTGAAGGATTTTCTGGGAAAATGGGGTTTAATCTGCCTTAAAAATGTAGGTAAAAATTTAATGATAGGGAGAAAGCAAAGAGATCAATATTCTAGTTTTATCTAAAAGATCTACATTCCTCTGGGAAGAAGAATCAATTATTCATAAATAAGTTGCTATTTTCTTTTTATACCCTACAAAACATACAAATTTTAGCCCATATGGAAATAGTAATGTCCTATATTTTAAACATAAAAATTTGTTATTTTATTTACTAGATTTGCTACTGTACTGAGCATGGTTTAAATATGCATAAAATATTTCATAAAACACATACTAGAATAATATACTGTATTTTTTAATTGAAAAAATTCACTTGCAATAGATCTTAACTAAGGAATTTATATATCTGCATGTATTGTAGTTTCTTAAAATGACAATGGAGTTTGCGATTCCTAAGATAAATTTGTGAGAGTAAAGTACAAATAGTAAAAAATAAATAAAACTTGTTTAAAGATCTTTTTTAACTAAATACATTTTTTTACTCAAAATATAACAAACTAATGGAATTTCTATGCATAATGAGACCTTTAAATTAAGTGAATGTATATAAAATCCTACAGGTTATAGAAATTTCCAATGCCCATATCATTTTTATAGATAATTTAAATTGGTTTTAACTAACAAAGGAAACAGCAGTGTGGTATTTGCAGATAACAATGCTTGAGCTGCCATGTTAATTTTGAAAAGATTCATAATTGTTTTACGTTAATTGTGTCTGAAATAACATCCATGGAATTATAGGTCTCTATTTATTTATTGTATAATTATCCAAAATTATTTTAAGTCACAGCCACCTGGCATGTAAATAATGTCCTAAAATCTGAATATATAGAAACAATTCACATTCCTACTACTTTATTTATTTGAAGCAGCATCAAATGTGCATGCATAATAAAAGTTGCTACATTTTCCCCAAAGTTAACAGTCAATTAACTATATAAATGCAGGTTTTTTTGCTGTTGTTTTGATATGTTATTTTGCATTACATTTACCAAGAATACAAACACTATAAATATGTTTTAACTAATACCACTAAGTATTAATATACACTTGATATCTATAGTGTAATCTATTAGTCCCAATTCAACAGAAAAGAATTTAGTTTATAAATAGAATGTCCTGTTATTAAAATAGAGAAATAATGAAACATAACATTCTTATACAATTAGTTCAGTATATGAAAATGTTTTTTAACAAACGTTGGTACTTTATTTTCATTGCAAGATTATCACATAAAGCCTGCTGTATTTTCTTTTTCAATGTGTACATTTTCTTTTCATTATCATGCATGAGACCCTGACATAAGCATGCAAATGGAATGAATTACATTACAAATTGATTTTTCTGAGTAAGGCATTATATTTTTTAAATGGGAAATTTAAAGCCACAAGTAATTTTGTTGTATTGACATATATTTTTATAACTAAATATCTTGAATATGTAAATAATTTTATAGTCATCAATATTTTATGTGAATTTATTTTAAACATGAAGATGGAAATATATTTCCTGCCTGACTACTATCTATATATAGATATGGAAACTCATATGAGAAATATACATAAATATTTATGTTCCATGTGGGTATAATATAGATGGAAAAACATTAATGATAATTATATTCACATTCAGTTAAATTTTATGGGTTTGTATGTATATCTGTAGAATATGTCACACATTTTGATACTAAGCATACTAGGACTTACATGTATCTAAGTTTTGGCATTTATTAGCCTGCTAAACTAAGAAATATATTGTAAACTCTTTTATCCTCAGTTGATTGATCTGAAAAATGAAGCTTCTGTTGTTGTGAGGATAAATATAATCAAATACATCAAGTGCTATACATAAAGTTGAATATATAATTATTGCTCAATAAATTGTCTAGTGATACATATGCAAAATGCTAAAATTTTTATCAGAATGCAATAGTTTCAAATTATATTTCCCAAATGTTTAGTATCTAAGTAATATACAAGAAATACAAATAATAAACCATTTACTTAAAATAGTAAACACATATGTAAATTTTAAATCTGTCATATATACACATATATGTATATGCACATATATGTATAAATATGTAGATGTATACACATATGTATATATGTGCATATACATATATATACACAAGAGGACTTCAAAAAGTTCATGGAAATGAAATGAAAAGATGAACATTAAAAACATAAGCTTAACTCCTGAACATAAGTTTCATAAAGGTCAAAACACTTGTAAGCAATGATACCAGCCATTTAGTCCATCCTTAAAGAATGGAGAGTCCTGAAAACTAACCCATGTCAATGTAGTCTTTTTAAAATTATTAACTGAAAAAAATTGGTGACCTCAAAAAAATTTTTTAAGATTAGGAAACAAAAAGTACTTAAAAGGAGCCTCAAACAAATTTACAAGAAAAAGACAAACAACCCCATCAAAAAGTGGGCAAAGGATATGAACAGACACTTCTCAAAAGAAGACATTTATGCAGCCAAAAGACACATGAAAAAATGCTCATCATCACTGGCCATCAGAAAAATGCAAATCAAAACCACAATGAGATACCATCTCACACCAGTTAGAATGGCGATCATTAAAAAGTCAGGAAACAACAGGTGCTGGAGAGGATGTGGAGAAATAGGAACACTTTTACACTGTTGGTGGGACTGTAAACTCGTTCAACCATTGTGGAAGTCAGTGTGGCGATTCCTCAGGGATCTAGAACTAGAAATATCATTTGACTCAGCCATCCCATTACTGGGTATATACCCAAAGGACTATAAATCATGCTGCTATAAAGACACACGCACATGTATGTTTATAGCAGCACTATTCACAATAGCAAAGACTTGGAACCAACCCAAATGTCCAACAATGATAGACTGGATTAAGAAAATGTGGCACATATACACCATGGAATACTATGCAGCCATAAAAAATGATGAGTTCATGTCCTTTGTAGGGACATGGATGAAGCTGGAAGTCATCATTCTCAGTAAACTATCACAAGGACAAAAAACCAAACACCGCATGTTCTCACTCATTGATGGGAATTGAACAATGAGAACACATGGACACAGGAAGGGGAACATCATACTCTGGGGACTGTTGTGGGGTGGGGGGAGGGGGAGGGATAGCATTAGGAGATATAACTAATGCTAAACGACGAGTTAATGGGTGCAGCACACCAGCATGGCACATGTATACATATGTAACTAACCTGCACATTGTGCACATGTACCCTAAAACTTAAAGTATAATAATAATTAAAAAAAGAAAGAAAAAAAAGGAGCCAAATATGACTAAACATATATTCGTATGATTTCCCATCAAAATTTTCACAAACTTGCTCTTGTTTGATAACAGGAATGAGTAGGAGAATTGTCATGGTGGAGAAGGTCTTTCTGGTGAAACTTACCTGGACACTTTTCTGCTAAAGCTTGGCTAATTTTCTCAAAACACTCTCATAATAAGCAGATGTTATTTCTTTAACACTCAAGAAAGTCGACAAGCAAAATGTCCTGAGCATCCCTAAATACTGTGGCCATGATTTTTCCTCTTGGCTGGTTTGCTTTTGGTTTCAATGAACCAATTCACCTTTTGGTAGCCATTGCTTTGATTGCGCTTAGTCTTCTGAATTGTACTGGTAAAGCCATGTTTCATCTGCTGTTACAATAATTTGAAAAAATTATTTAGAATCTTGATTCCACTTGTTTAAAATTTTCATTGAAAGCTCTGTTTTTATTTTCACTTGATCTGGGCACAGAAATTTTGGCATCTGTCTAGTGGAAAGTTTGCTCAACCTTAATTTTTCAGTCATAATTCTGTACATTCAACAAATTCAGATAGCTATGGCATTGGCTTTTGTTTGTGCTGTTGTTTGTCTTCTTCAATTAGGAACCAAGCAAGATAAATCTTTTCTTTACAATTGATGTGGGTGGTCTGTCTCTGCAGGCTTTGTCTTCAACATTGTCTCATCCCTTCTTAAAATGAGCTATCAATTTGTAAACTGATGATTTCCTTGGAGCAATATCCTTTTAAACCTGAAATGCATCAATAATTTCATCATTCTTTCACCTTCTTCAATTTAAGTAGAATTTATGTTCCTCTGATAATGGCTTTTTTCAAACTGATGTTTTATCTTTCTCAGCGCCTCAAACTACATCCTGTTTGGACATATTATAAAAAAACTATTATGGATTTATTTTGTTGCAAAAAATTAGAAATCCATGCATGGTTTTTTCTTCATAATACACATTTTCCATAGACTTTTTAATTACCTGGATTGTGTGAGTGTGTGTTTGTGTGTGTGTATGTGTGTGTATGTGTCTGTGTCTCTGTGTGTGTGTGCATAGTCTTGGTTTGTTTGTACTGCTATAATAAAATAACTGAGACTGGGTAATTTATTAAAAACAGAAATGTATTCCTCACAGTTCCGGAGGACTAGAAGTCCAAGATCAAGGTGCCAGCGAGTTTCATGGTCTAGTGAGGGCTGCTCTCTGTTTCGAAGATGGCATCTTGTTGCTGCATCCTCCAGAAGGGAGTAATGCTGTCTTCATGGTGGAAGGCAGAAGGGCAAGAGCAATAAACTTCCTCCAAGCCCTTTATAAAGGAATCCAATCCCATTTATGAGAGCTCCACCCTCATAGTTTAATTACCTTTTCAAGGCCTCATCTCTTAATACTGCTACACTGGCAATTAAGTTTCAACAATATGAATTTTTTAAAATTTATTTTATTTATTTTTTATTATTATTATACTTTAAGTTTTAGGGTACATGTGCACAATGTGCAGGTTAGTTACATATGTATACATGTGCCATGCTGGTGTGCTGCACCCATTAACTCGTTGTTTAGCATTAGGTATATCTCCTAATGCTATCCCTCCCCCCTCCCCCCACCCCACAACAGTCCCGAGTGTGATGTTCCCCTCCCTGTGTCCATATGTTCTCATTGTTCAATTCCCATCTATGAGTGAGAACATGGGGTGTTTGGTTTTTTGTCCTTGTGATAGTTTACTGAGAATGATGATTTCCAGCTTCATCCATGTCACTACAAAGGACATGAACTCATCATTTTTTATGGCTGCATAGTATTCCATGGTGTATATGTGCCACATTTTCTTAATCCAGTCTATCATTGTTGGACATTTGGGTTGGTTCCAAGTCTTTGCTATTGTGAATAGTGCTGCTATAAACATACATGTGCGTGTGTCTTTATAGCAGCATGATTTATAGTCCTTTGGGTATATACCCAGTAATGGGATGGCTGGGTCAAATGATATTTCTAGTTCTAGATCCCTGAGGAATCGCCACACTGACTTCCACAATGGTTGAATGAGTTTACAGTCCCACCAACAGTGTAAAAGTGTTCCTATTTCTCCACGTCCTCTCCAGCACCTGTTGTTTCCTGACTTTTTAATGATTGCCATTCTAACTGGTGTGAGATGGTATCTCATTGTGGTTTTGATTTGCATTTCTCTGATGGCCAGTGATGATGAGCATTTTTTCATGTGTCTTTTGGCTGCATAAATGTCTTCTTTTGAGAAGTGTCTGTTCATATCCTTTGCCCACTTTTTGATGGGGTTGTTTGTTTTTTTCTTGTAAATTTGTTTGAGTTCGTTGTAGATTCTGGATATTAGCCCTTTGACAGATGAGTAGGTTGCAAAAATTTTCTCCCGTTTTGTAGGTTGCCTGTTCACTCTGATGGTAGTTTCTTTTGCTGTGTAGAAGCTCTTTAGTTTAATTAGATCCCATTTGTCAATTTTGGCTTTTGTTGCCATTGCTTTTGGTGTTTTAGACATGAAGTCCTTGCCCATGCCTATGTCCTGAATGGTAATGCCTAGGTTTTCTTCTAGGGTTTTTATGGTTTTAGGACTAACGTTTAAATCTTTAATCCATCTTGAATTAATTTTTGTATAAGGTGTAAGGAAGGGATCCAGTTTCAGCTTTCTACATATGGCTAGCCAGTTTTCCCAGCACCGTTTATTAAATAGGGAATCCTTTCCCCATTGCTTTTTTTTCTCAGGTTTGTCAAAGATCAGATAGTTGTAGATATGCGGCATCATTTCTGAGGGCTCTGTTCTGTTCCACAATATGAATTTTAAAGGAGATATAAACGTCTAAACCAGCACACATATATATTACATATATCTATCTATATATGTACATATATGAATAATCAAACAAAAATTTTCAGTTATTTTTGTAACAGATTTAATAAGTAAAATAATAAAATAGAGATTGATTTTATGAATGCACCATGTGTGCTAATTATCAGGCTCAAAAATTAGAGATTAAATCTTTATTGGGAAAGTTGTCTAATGTAGATTGTACTTCTTTATATCATGCAACAATTTCAATTTCTTCTTTTGCATTGCAATACAGATAATTGTTATTTACTTTTATTATATGAGTAATGCTTGTTAAAGCTTATCAAACATGATTAATTTTGAAAATCACAAATAGACTGATTTTGTAATGAGCTATGGTAATTTATGTCTATCTGTGATTTCACTCCTGGTGACATTGTCATATTTTTGACCTTTAGAAAGTCAGTGCAAATTATTTTTGTGTGAATAAAAAAATGTAGAACAAACAAGGAAAATGTACAAATGATGATCCAAGTTACTTTATATTTCAAGTATTTATACATTTTCTATCTGTGTCACTATCATCACTTATTTCCAGTCCACACGATATAATTATAGGTAAGAAACTGTATTAATGAGGTAAATTCAGTTAGTAAGATTCATATCTGGAATTTAAAGCCAATTTTCTCCCCATTACACCATTCTCAAGAAGTTGCAGTCTAATAAGAAAGAAAATAGTAGTAGGTAAATATGCAAAATACAAGAATGAATATGAAACATTTCTTAAGTGGAGAGCAAAAAAGTGCCATAAGGGTTGAGAGAAGAGAGAAATTGCATGTGGAGTACAAGAGGAATAAACATTATTGAGTTGTCATTTTACTTATAAACCTGAAAGATTCTAAATAGGTGTTATTTTTTTATTCTCTATAGAAAATATTTCAAAAATTTTTAAACCAATTGGTCTTATAGACCAATTCCAACTCTAAACTTAAGGCAAATATTGGTTTCATCCTTACGTTTTCAGCTACATGAAAAATCTCATTTCAGTTAATATATTTTTTATGACACATGAAAGCCATGATTATTGTGGATTCACTATGATATGAAGATAAGTTTACATTTTTAAAATTATCTAAAGTTCTATAGTGAAAAAAATCACAACATAAAAATCTCATAACAATATTTAATAGTTTAGTGTAATTATCTGCTTTATAAAAACTGGAACCTAGTTATCATTTGATAAATTTGTTTTTAAGGTTTTCAATGTATTTTAAAGATATATTTTTTCATATGATTTCTATACTTCTACATAAATACGACAATTTGAAAACTTTAAGGTTATGTACATATATATTTAAAACACATTTCTTACACATGATTTTAGTTCTTATATATAAATACTATGTTGAATTTATTCACTCCTCTATTGGTGAGTATAAAGTTGTGGACAGTGTTTTTATATTTTAAACAGTTAGCACTCATTCTTAATATATGCAATTAGGACAAAATAATTCAAAGCTATTTTTTTAAACATTGTATGTACATCTATAAAATGTATAATTTGGATTTTCATGCATTTTTTAAAATTGTATTTTTCATACTGTTTTGAAATGTATATTATTTGTGTAATAATACATCTTGGAAATATTTCTACATTAAATATGAATCATTCTAAAAAATATTTTATTTACATTTTTAATAGACAAAATTTGTATATATTTATCATGAACATGTTAGTTTGAAGTATATATACATGGTGCAATTGCTTATTAACATGTGTATTATTTCACATTTATCATTTTTTATAATGAGAACACTTAAAATCTATTTTGTTAGAAAAATTTTAAAATATATTATTATTAATTATAGTTACCATTTTGTATTCTAGATTTTTTAAAGTTATTTATTCTATGAAACTGACATTTTATATCCTTTGACCATCATTTTTTCCAACCAGCCCCACTCCCAGCTTCTGGTAAGCACCATTTACTCTTTACTTATGAGTTCAACTTTTTTAGATTCCACATGTAAGTGACATCATGCAGCATTTCTCCTTTCATGCATGACTTATTTTGTGTAACATAATGTTCTCCAGGTTCGTTCATGTTATTGCAAATGACAGGATTCCTCCATTTTTAAGGCTTAATAATATTCTATTCTGTGTATATACCACATTTTCTTTATCCATTTATATATCGGAACTTAGGTTGATTCCATACCTTAGCTATTGCGAATAACGTTGTAATGAACATGGGAGTCCAGATATATTTTTGACAAACTGACTTCATTTCTTTTGATTGTTTATCTAGTAGTGGGATTCTGGGATCATAGAGTAACATTTCCATACATTAACATGAACTACACAAAAATCAAGAAAACAACCCTAACAAAAATATAAAATATTTAGAAATAAATTTAACTAAAGTGATGAAGGACACACACACAGAAAAATATAAGACATTGATTAAATAAATTGAAAAAGGCACAAATAAATGGAAAGCTATCCAGTGTTTATGGGTCGGAAGGATTAATATTGTTCAGTTGTCTGTATATCCAAAGTGATTTACAGATTCAATGCAATCTGCAATAAAATTTCAGTGATTTTTTCCATAGAAATAGAAAAAAAATCCTAAAATTTGTATGTAACCATGAAAGACCCCAAATAGCCAAACCAATCCTGAACAAGATAAACAAAACAAAACAAACAAACTGGGGGCATCACACTACCTGCCTTCAAAATATACCACAAACCCGTAGTAATCAAAACAGCATGGTACTGGCACAAAAATGGTCATATAGAACAATGAAATAGAAGCTCAGAAATAAATCCACAAATTCCATGCATTTTAAAACATTATTTCCTGAGTTGTGACAAATTGATGGTAAAGACATTATAAAGCTGCAATAAAGGACAAGATTTTAAAATCGTGACCGCCAACAATGTTGAATTTCTTTTTTGCCCTATCATTTTGAACAGCAGTGCAAGTTAAGAAACTTTCCCACCCTTTGTTTTCCAAAGTATAGCTTACTGCAGAGAACCACCCTTCTCCATATTACTTAAATAAGATTCTTAGATGCCTCCGTGGTTTACCTATGACAAGTCTAAACGGGGACCTTTAAAATTCTCTTTCTTGAACTTATAAACGATTAGTGGAACTGCTTGTCTCTACTGGACAATGGGTACAAAATGCTTGTTAATCAAACTTTGGTTAAGCTTCTCTCTTTCCTCCAGGCCACTGAACTGAAGTTCCCCTCAGGCTGAGTCAGCATATAGTCCCTTCTGAGGATAGGCTGGCCTCAGGCAAAACTATTTCTAATATACTATCAAATTATTTCACTTTTTAAATCCATTTTACTTTCTCACACTTGATTGTTTCTAGCCTTAATTACCCCTCTTTATACTTAAAACAACAGGAAACACTTTTTACAAAACAATTAAGACACAGATCTTATGGTCAGAGCCTTCTCCTGAATTTAATAGTTTCTTTCTTCAGTTTGTAATAATCCTTTTGAATAGAGTCTCTCCTTACTAAGTCCGGAGCTGTGTTTTATTTGACACCAAGTTGGAATAAGATCAATAGTCTGGACTAGCAAAATATTCATATAGAGAGAGCCATCAATATTTTATGTAACATTTTTGTATTTTGTGTTTACTTTTATTTGAAGAGCTTACACAGAGAAGATATTTACAAGATAAATATGTGAAACAAGTAAAAATGTATCTTAGAAATAAAATAATACAGAAAGTAGTTTATTAGAATAAAGTACTTCAAAGTAAAAGCATAAACTCTTTTCTTTACATTAAAATAAAAATACTGACATAATTACTTCATGAGGGGCACATGCATGTAATCCTTGCACATGTCTGATCCTATGTGTACATTTCAATTCCATAAGAGCTCAGGGAGTATTAGAGTATAGAATATTTTTTATACTAGATATTTTACATAGGTTAGTCAATCTGCAAAAGTAAACTGGAAATGTAGTTACATAAAGAGGAAGTAAAGACTCAGGCATATCATCAAAGATGCTTGCTAAAGTGGTGTAGCAAATGCAATGAATCCATAAGATTATAATTAAAAAATTAAGCCATATATGGGATCTAAAATTTATAAGATACATTTAGCTTTGGTAAATTTTTCTATACTATAAAATAAAACTGTGATATTATTTTCAATTTTTTTCTGGTTGTTATTTACATTTTAAAACTAAGATTTGCCACTCCTATCCTAAAAGTAAGGGAGATAAAAATACCAATGATATGTAATTCATTTTATTGCTTTACCAAAGATATGTAGCTCATTTTATTCCTTTGTTAACAATCTTCTGTTCATTCTATATTTTCACAAGTCTGTTGTTCATCACTGTATATCCTCTATAGAAATTAGTTACATTGTCAAGAGACTTGGGTTATTTTAGTGCATTTCTGATTTAGGAGAAGAGAATGATAATGATTCATTTCTACAAATGGTAATATTTGCATTCATATTATTCAATTTTTCTCAGTTCAACTAAGTAATCAGCATAGTATTTTGTTTCAGCAGCCAGAGGTTCTAAATTAATTACAGCATTGTAATTCAATAGATTGCAACTTTAAAGGAAGAAGGCGGGAAGCACAGGACAATCTTTAGGTGGTGACAGAGCAGGAGATAAGTCTCAGATAAAAGAACATGCATTTCATACTACTTTAACTTTCCTATTGTGTGTTCTATGTAAAATATTCACACTGAGGAACTTCAAGTAACTGTGGCTGAATAAATGTTCATTAAAGTTTGCATTATGATTTACAGATAGTTGAATTACACTGTACTCCATAAATTCCTCTATGACTGATAATTTTTTCTGTACCAACAAAATATGTGATTTCTATTATGTACCATTTTAGATCTGAGTTTTAGTTCTGTGTTATCAACATTTTTAAAAAATCTTATATCCACATATGTCCTGTAATTATTCATCTGTAAATGCTAAAAATATTATAGCTACTTAGTATAAATGCTTTTGTGAAAATTTGTGAAACTAATTTTCTTTGAATAAAGTGTAAATGAAGGTGAAGAACATATAATGCAAATTTTTACACTCAAATGTATTACTAAATTATTTCTCAGCAAATCCTCACCATCCCATCAGTTGATGCTAAGACTGGTTACTAAACTCTACATGCAAAATCCATTTCTCCCATTACTTCTCCTTCACTATATTGTTGTTTCCATGCTAACAGACCATAATTTTATTTTCCAAAGAACGAGAATCTCTTTCTAGGGAGGCTTCTTCACTCCAGCAAGTCTCATCAGAAAACTAATAATCAATGAAGTGTGTTCACATAAAAATCTCTAAAGAATTCTGATAAAGCAGTACATTTTACTGCTTGCCTGTCTTGAGAGAAGCTTTAGAAATGAAGCCAATTGCTTTCTCCCCTGGGAGTTCTAAACAGTAGAGATCAAGGGAGAGGGTAATATTTACCATCTCACAAATTAAAGACTACATGGTAACTTTAGTGTCAGAAAGCTTCAATTATTTTTTCCTGCTTTGTAGTTTGGATAGTTTAATCCAGGTTTCGCTGCAGCTGACAACTTGGAGTGAAAAACCAAGCAGAATGACAGCATTTACTGAAGCAGATAATGTAGCTCAAAAATGCAGGACCTATTTTCTGGAATGCTAGACAAGGTTTTGCATCCCTTTATCCACACGACTGGGTGAAAACGCTAATATTCCTCTAACGCAGAGAACATCAGCAATGATACAATTTTCCAAACATTTGATTGAAATAGAAAAGATCTAAAATATCTTGACATAAAATATGCAATATAAGTTAAGCATGTATTATTTATACTGAATTTACAGTATATACAAAAAAAATCAATGTATTTTGAATGCAATATCCAGAAATCATACATTCTAGGAGAAAATACCTAGTTTGTATATTACATATCATTTACTGACTGTTTTCCTGTATTTCTATTACTTTTATAATTATCTTTCACAGATAATACTGTAGACAGTTTAGGAAAGTGAAAAAAGAAAATCAGGCTGGCATTTATCTGATTTTAAAAACAAATTTTTAAAAGCTTACAAGTGTGATTGGGTGTTGTAAATTTTCACGTTTACAGACGGAAATGCTAAGAAACCTGAAAGCAGCCTCTATTAGGAAAAGAAAATTTCTGTAGTGCAGAGAAATTGCAAGAAGATACTTCACTTGGAATTTCTTTTTTCTACCTTTTTCAATTTCATGCTTGTGTTTTTTTCAGTATGTAGTGTTACCAGTTTACAAAATTTTCCCTGAGCCTCTTATGATCCCTTGAGGGTATTCATCTCTTATTGAATCTTCAGGTCCTACTACAATGTAGTTACTTCTGGATGTGCCATTTATTCATTCATTTATATACATTCACTCATTCATCTATCCATCAGTCAATGGTTAATGATTGATTATTTGTTATGTGTTATGCTGCTTATTAGACTTTGGGAATGTAAATATAGATTAAATTCTGCAACAACGCTAGAAGAGCTCATTGTGAAATAATTTCTACTAATCAAAGTTCTTATTGATTTACTTTTGGAACAGACAATAAAGGTTTTAACAAGACTTACTGTATTAGCTTTACTGTAGTAAGAAATCTTACTGACAATCAAAGTTTATTCCTTCTTCATATTAAAGCTAGTATGATGGTTTTTTTTTTATTTTCTCATGGTGCCGTTTTTTTTTTTAATTTGCTCCTCCTCTATGGTGTTTTGATTTTTTAAAAAATTTTCTCATACAAGTTGCAGACTGAAGGAGAAGCCCCTATTTGAAACATGACATTCATGTGGTGGATGGTAAATTCTAAGAGAACTGGCATAAGTTACCTCCTTTCCTGTCTTACTGGCCAGAGAAAATCACCTTACAAAGTCTGACAATAGGGTCAGGATAAACTCTCTGAGTTATGTGAGAATAAGCAGTAGGTAGATATGGACAAATCTCTCCAGCAAAGGGAGTTAAGGACAGGTAGTAATCATATAATCTTGATCTTGTAGACAACTGATTTATTTGGGTGTAATTTGGATATTTACAATAATATTTCTAATTAGGCAAGGATCATCAATTATTTTAAGTATTTTAATCCACTACATTTTATTCTTTGGGTACCTTTTAACCAAATCCCTAAAACCAAATTCTCATTATTTGTAGCATTAACTTCCAAATATCAGAAAGTTATACTACTAGATAATAGTTTGTATTATGAAAAAGAGATTAAAATTAGCAGAGAATAATTTTTCATATTTTGCCTAGAAAACAAGCCCTATACTACTACACAAAATTCTGTCTATATTAAAAGGATCATTACATATGCTAACATATTTGTAGCATGTTGTTATATAAAATAATGCTTGGTAAGATGCCTAACTCCTTAAAAAGCAAAATTTTTAATATTTATATATACTTCTAAATATGAATGATTTTATTCAGTGAAAATTAAAGTTTCTGTCTTAGAAAGCTTATCGTCTATATTCCTTTCAGCTAGTTAGAAGCCTAAGGAAGAGAAAAATCCTATGAACAGAATGTTATAGGTGAAATACAGCTGCAGGGTTGAAATTTCATTATGATTCTATTCTATTTCCATCGCCCCACAGGAACACATATGCTTAATTCATCAGAGCCCCCTTATTATCTCTGCAACACCTCCAACATCCACATGCAACACAAAACCATTAGTATGGCCAGTTATAACATTTACAAATGAATCCAGCTTTGAAACAGAACAGTGCTGACAGCATGCCCCATATGCTTTTAAAACACATACAGAAAAAGCGCACAGCACGATGTTTCTCAAAAGAATAGCGATAGTCTCTTTATACACCTAAAGTAAGAAACCTATGTTCATGCTGATATGGTTAGGTGGATTCAATTCCCATTCATAAAGCGATATGTTGACTCAAAGCTGAAATATATAACAAATTCCTCATTTGAAAGAAGTCATCTCCACTGCCAGAAATTGCAAAACACTATACGTCATGTAGGAAGAATCTAGTCACTCAAAAGCCATTCCAAATTAGCTTAGAGAAAAGTTCAATGTAGAGAAAAGGTTATGCTCGCTGGTATACTCGCTTGACGCTAACCTTTGTATATATATTTATTTCTCTCTCTCATTTCCTTATTTTCAAATATTCAAAAGGTAACATATGTATCCCTCTAGTGAATGAATATTAAGTAATAATAATTTTATTTTTAAAGCCCATTTATGACTTCAGGTTTTTCTTATGTTATTATCTCAGTCTTGAACAATCTGTATTTTATTTCTGATATGATAGATTTTAGATTATTTTCTGATTTCTAATTTATATTTTCTGTCCCCTTTCTGGAATTTTCTCTTATTTGTACTCAATCTTCTTTGTGGGTGTCTCTTTCTATGCTTGTTCTTTAAGTGGTATTATATAACAAATAGATTTTTCCCCTTCGGTAAGTTTACAGTAATACTAGAAGCAATAATAAGAGCTAACTTTCATGGAGCACATGCTTTGAAAGTGGAACTTTCCAAAGATAGTGGAATAATAGGTCACTCACTCATATCCTTCCATAACAGCAGGAATTCTTCTGCACCCATCTATAGGCAAAATCTTGTTTTAGGAGCCTTGGGATTCCATTCCAGACCATCTCAGCCAAGTTTCAGAAGAGCATGGACAGCTCACAACTCTTTCAGCAACCCAAAGGGTCCCCTCCCAGTGACCTAATAACAGGTCCACTGTCTGCAAACACTGAAGCGGACCCTTGTATCAGAATGAGCCCCACAGACCAATGTTTTGGAGACAGTTCAGTCCACCCAAGGACTAAATAGAACACACACCCACTAGAGCTCCTGGGAATAGGATCACCAAATGTAGTCTCAATTCCAGACCCAGCATCAGCATGTGACCACGACCATGTGACCATGTGACCAGCATGTGAACTAGATCCAACTCCGGTCAACTATGATACCAGAGGCAATCACATCAGCCTGCATACTTACAGGAAAAGACTTTTACTTGACAAAACAAGTTTGTAAAGACTGAAAAAGAGTTTTTTCAAATGCAAGACTACACAGATAATAAAGAATCAGACAAACATGACATTGTCAAGGGAAATTTATAAAGTTCCAATAATTGATCCCCAGAAATGAAGATATAGAGGTTACCTAAAAAAAAGATTTTAAAATAATCAACTTAAGGAAGTTCAACAAGGTGCAGGAAAATATGGATAGGCAACTAACTAAAATTAGTAAAAGGATGTATGGAAAAATTAAAAGTTTAATAAAGACATAGAAATCATAAAATGAACCAAACAGAAATCATTGGGCTGAATAATAAAATGACAGAACTGAAAATTTCAGTAGAGAGTTTCAACAGCCGACTTGCTCATGCAGAAGAAGTGATTTGTTAACTCAAAGGCAGATCATTTGCAATCAGCTGATTAGCAGAACAAAAAGAAGAAAGATTAAAAATGAGTGAAGAAAGCATAAGGGATTCATGAGATACTATGAAACATATACATATACAAATCATGGGAATACTAGAAAAAGAAGAGAGATACAGAAAAGCAGAAAACTAATTTAAAGAAATACTGCCTGAACACTTTCCAAATCTTGGGAGGTATATGAACATAAAAGTTCAGAAAGCTCAAAGGACTTCAAGCGGATAAATTCAAAAATTAATACTTTGAGACACATTATAATCAAATTGTCAAAATTCAAAGACAAAGAGAAAATCTTGAAAGGAGCAAGAGAAAAGAAACTCATCATTTATTAAAAAAAAAAAAAACCCTCCCATAAGGCTATGAGCAGACTTCTCAACAGAAACCTTGCATGCCAGCAAGGAGTGGGATAGCATATTTAAAGTGCTGAGAGAAAAAAACAGATTGAGCTAATTTAAAGAAATACTCTCTCAATCAAGAATGTGGCACCTAGCAAGGTTGTGCTTCAGAAATGAAAGACAGATATAGTCGAAGACCAACATAAGCTGAGAAAATTCATCACCATAAGACTGACCTTAAAATAAATAAAGGATTTATTTTATTTCAATAAAAATGTAATAAGTTTCAATATAAAAACATACGAAAGTAAAACCCCAGTGGTACATGTAAATATTTAATCAAATTCAGAAGATACCAATACTGAAAAGGTGGTGTGTAAATCTTAACTCTAGTATGAGGGCTAAAAGAAATAGGTATTAAAAATAACTATAGCTATAAATAATTAGTTAAGAGCAAGACAACACACACACACACACACTTACAACACATATATAAATATAAAGTATGACAATTAGCATAAAATGCGGGGAAGGGGACAAATAAAAGTGTAGAGCCTTTGTATGTGATTCAACTTAAGGTGCTATTAGCTTAAATTAGAATATTATAACCAAAATATGTTTTATGTAAGCTTCATGCTAACCACAAGAAAAAACTTTCTAGTAGAAATGCAAAAGATAAAGTGGAAGGAATCAAAGCATACCACATACAAAGAAAACAAATTATAAAGAAAGACAGTAATCTTAAAAGAGAAGAACAAAAAAATAAACTATACAACAGTCAGGAAAAAATAAACAAAATTCCATAGTAAATCCTTACCTGTGAGTAATTACTTTAAATGTAAGTGAATTAAATTTTTCAATCAAAACACCCAGAGTCACTGAATTAATTTTAAATCAAATAAAACAAGATGTGAAAAGGTGCTGCCTACTACAGACTCGCTTTAAGCTTAAAGACACACATACACTGAGAGTAAAGGGATGAAAAAAGATATTATAGGAAAATGGTTATCAAAAGAGAGCAGAGAAACAGGGTTATTAAAAACAATAGACTCTAAATAAAAAAATACAGCTAAGGAGACAAAGCATTATATTATTGTAAAGGAGTCAATTCATCAAGCGGATATAACAATTTTATATATACAAATACACATACACACATACAAATTATATATATGCACATACACATCCAACATCAAAGCAACTAAATATATACAGCAAATATTAATAGATCTAAAGGGTAAGATAGACTACAATGCAATAATAGCAGGGGATTTCCATACTCCTCTTTTAACAGTGGACAGATCATTCAGATAGGAAATAAACAGGTAAACAGTGGGTTTGAACAATATGTTAGACTAAATATACCTAACAGACATATATAGAGCATTCTATCCAACAGCAGCAAAATGCATATTCTTCTCAACTTCTCAACTAAACATTCTCCAAAGTAGGTTGTTATGTTATAGATTATATGTTAGAGCACAAGACAAGTCTTAATAAGTTTAAGAATATTAAAATCATATCAACTATAGTCTCTAACAAAAATGAAATAAAGCTAGAAAGCAATAACAAGGAATTTTGAAAAACTGACAGATAGTTGGAAATTAAACAATATGTTTCTGAACAACTAATGGATCACAGGATAAATTAAAATAGAAATTAAAGAAAAAACCTAAGGCAAAAGAAATTGGAAATACACTATACCATAATTTATGGCATGCAGGGATGTTTATGGCAGTAAATGCCTACATCAAAAAAGGAGAAAGATCTCAAGTAAAAAACTTAGCATTACACATCAAGGAACTGGAAAAGGGAGAACAAAAGTAAGTCCAATCAGTAAAAGGAAGGAAGTAATGAAGATGAGAAAAGAAATAAATGAAATAGAGACTGAAATGACAATAGAAAAGATCAATGAAATTAAGAGTTGGTTCTTTGAAAAGGTAAAATAAACAAATCTCTAGCCACACTGAGGAAAAAAAAAAAGAGAAGACTCAATAAAATCAAAAACAAAATAGGAGATATTACAACTGATACCACAGAAATACAAAGAATTATGAGAGTACTCATAATACTATGAACAATTATATGCCAACAAATTGAATAACCTTGAAAAATGAATAAATTCCTAGAAACATACAATCTGTTATGCCTGAATGAAGAAGGAATAGAATATCTGAGGAAACAAATAATGACTAAGAATATTAAATTAATAAAGTTTTAAAAACCTACCATCAAAGAAATGGCCAAGACTAGATGGCTTCATAATGCTATTCTACCAAACTTTTAAAATAGAGCTAAAACTAATCCTTCTCAAACTCTCCAAACTCATTTTATGAGGCCAGAAGTACCCTAATCTTTAAGATCTGGCTTTAAACCATGCAATGAAACAACAAGAAAAGAAAATTAAGGGTCAATAACCTTGAAGAACCTAAATACAAAAACCCTCAATAAAAACTACCACATAATTCAACCACACATTAAAAATATTTTATTCACCATGATCAACTGGGATTTCTGGGATGCAAGGATGTTTCAACATACATAAATCAAAAAAAATTGCTACATCATGTTAACTGAATAAAATACGTATGATTTTCTCAATAGATGCAGAAAAAGCATTTGACCAAATTCAACATCCCTTCCTGATAAAATCTCTGAACAAATACAGGATGAGAAAATGTACTTCAACACAATAAAGAGCGTATATAATAAACCCACAGCTAACATCATAGCAATCAAAGAAATTTTGAAACCTTTTTCTCTAAGATCTGGAACAAGCTGAGGATGCTTATGCTAGGCAATTCTATTTACTATAGTAATGTAATTCTAGCGTTCTAGCCAGAGCAATAAGGCAAGAGTTGGATTTTTTTATGTTTTTTTTCATGCTAAAACAGAAAGAAAGAAGTGAAATACCCTATTTGCTAATGATATGATTATATATATATATATATATATATATATATATATATATATACATATATAAAAACCTCTAAAGAAGCCACCAAAAACTATTCAAATTAGTAATGTATTCAGTAAAGTTTCAGGGTACAAAATCAACATGCAAAATTCAGTAGTATTTTTACCACACTAATAACAAACTATCTGAAAAAGTAAAGAAGTAAATCCATTAACATAGCATAAATATAAACATAAATAAAATTATTAGGAGCAAAATTTAACAAAGGAGGTGAAAGATCCATATACTGAAAACTGTAAAACATTGATGAAATAAATTGTAGTTGACACAAAAAATGGAAGATATCTTACGTTCATGGATGAGAAGAATTAATATTGTTAAAAAGTCTGTACTATTCAAAGTGATCTATGGATTCAGTGTAATTTCTATCAAAATTTCAATGTCATTTTTCATGGAAATAGAAAATACTATTCAAAATTTCTATAAAAAATCACAAAAGACCTCAAATAGCCAAAGCAATCTTGAGCAATAATAACAAAGCCAGAGCCATCATATTATCTTATTTTAAAATAAACTACAAAGCAATAATAATCAACAAGTCATGGTACTAAACTAAAACAGACATATTGTCCAATGGAAGAGGGTAGAGAGCCCAGAAATAAGCCCACATTTTTAGGGTCAACTGTTTTTTTACAAAGCTGCCAATAACATTCAATGGAGAAAGGACATTTTTTTTCAACAAAAAATGTTGGGACAAATGGATAGCAACAGGTAGATGAAAAAAATTGGAGTTTTATCTACACCATATACAAATATCAACTCATAATGGATTTTAGACTTAAATGTAACATGTGAAACTGTAAAACTACTATAATAAAACATAGGGGAACCTCTTTGTGACATTGCTGTGAGCAAAGATTTCTCGGACAAGACCGCAAAAGCACAGACAACAAAAGCAAACAAATAAATGGGATTGCATCAAACTACAAAGCTTCTGCACAGCAAAGGAAACAATCAACAGAATGAAAAGGTAATTTACAGAATGGGAGAAAATATTTGCAAATTTTCTATCTGATAAATGGTTATTATCCAAGATGCGTAAGAAACACAAACAACTTGTTAGCAAGAAAACAAGTACCCAATTTAAAAAATGTGCAAAAGACCTAAAAAGACACTTTTTAAATGCAATACAAATAGCCAACATATACATATATATATTGATATATATTTATAAGGCTTATTACCACTAATCATTGGAGAAATGCAAATTTAAAACACAATGTCATATCACCTCATACCTGTTAGAGTGGCTAGTACCAAAGACAAAAGATAACAAATGTTGGAAAGAGTCGAAGAAGAGGGAACTTTTGTTTACTGTTGATGGGAATGTATTTAGCCATTATGGAAAACAGTATAGAAATTACTTGGGCAACTAAAAAAAGAATTGCAATATGAATCAGCAACGCAATTTTTGTGCATATATCCAAAGGAATTGAAATTAGTATGCCAAAGAGATAGTTGCACTCCCATGTTCACTGCAGCATTATTTACTATAGCTACGATATAGAAGCAATCTAGGTATCCGTGATCGGTTGAATGGATAAGGAAAATGTATTATATTTACACAATGAAATATGATTTGGCCTTTAAAAAGAGGAAAATATTATTTGTGGCAACGTGATTCTATGGCAACATGGAGGACATTCTACTAAGTAAAATAAGCCAAGTACGGAAAGACAAAAACCACATGATCTCACTTATACGTGGAATCTAAAAATGTTTAACTCATAGATGCAGAAAGAAGAATGGTGGGGTGGACAGCAAAAAGGAGATGCTGATACAAGGTTACAGAGGTTCAGTTAGGAGAAATAAGCTTTAGTAATCTATTGCACAAAATATTGGCTAACAATAATAATGCATTTTCAATTTCAAAATTGCTAAAAGAATAGATTTTAAAAGTTTTCACCCCACAAAAATAAGTATATGAGGTGATGGATTTGTTAATTAGCCTGATTAAATTATCATTTCCCATTGTAAAATATATCAAAGCATCACATTTTATTCCATACAAATATACAAATATTGTCAATTAAAAATTAAAATTAAAGAATAAATAAAAGTAGTGTCATCTGGGAAAACAAAAAAAAAGAAACTTTCTAATGCTTTTTATACTGACTAGCCACAATAATTGTAAAAGGTAGAGACTATTATTAGTTGCCATTTACACATGAGAGAGATAAAAAGTTGTTAAATGACTTCTCAAAGGACATTCATCTAGGATGAGGGGACCAAAATTCAATTCCAGAAAGCCTAACTCCAAGTATAATATTAAGCACTACATGTTTCTTACACTACATGCTTCCTATGTAAACATTTTCTGCTGCTGCTGATTCCAGAATCCACTTTTCCAAATCAAATATTTCGTTTGAGCTCCAGATCCATATTCCTAACTGTTTTAGGCTATTATTGCATTACTGTAAATACCTGGGACTGCAGAATTTATTTTTTTTTAAAAATGAGGTTTAGTTGTCTTACAGTTCTGCAGGCTGTACAGGGAGCATAATGCCAACATCCACTTCTGAGGAGTCCTCAGGAAGCTTACAGTCACGGTGGAAGCCAAAGGGGGAGCAGGCACATCACATGGCAAAAGCAGAAGCAAGAGAAAGAGAGTGGGGGGAAAGGTGCCACACACTTTTAAATGAGTAAATATTTCAAGAACTCACTATCAGGAAGACAGCACCAAGCCATGAAGGATCCACTCTCATAATCCAAACACCTCCCACCAGATGGCACCTCCAGCATTGAGGTTTACCACTCAACATCAGATTTGGGTGGGGAAACATATCTACACTATATCATTCTGCTCTTGGCCCCTCCCAAATCTTACTGTTCTCTGACATTGCAAAATAGAATCATGCCTTACCAATAGTCCCCCAAACTCTTGACGCATTCCGGCTTTAACTTAAAAGTCCACAGTCTCATCTGAGACAAGACAATTCCCTTCTACCTATGAGCCTGTGAAGTCAAAAACAAGCTGCAATTGAGGTATAGACATGGAGTAAACACTGTTGTTCCAAAAGGGAGAAACTGGCCAAAAGAAAATGGCTACAGGCCACATGCAAAGTTGAAACCCAACAGGGAAGATCTGCTCATTAAATCTTTTTTTTTTTTTTTTTTGAGACGGAGTCTCGCTCTGTTGCCCAGGCTGGAGTGCAGTGGCACGACCTCGGCTCACTGCAAGCTCCGCCTCCCGGGTTCACGCCATTCTCCTGCCTCAGCCTCCCGAGTAGCTGGGACTACAGGCGCCCACCATCACACCTGGCTAATTTTTTGTATTTTTAGTAGAGACGGGGTTTCACCGTGTTAGCCAGGATGGTCTTGATCTCCTGACCTCATGATCCGCCTGCCTTGGCCTCCCAAAGTGCTGGGATTACAGGTATGAGCCACCGCGCCAGGCTTGCTCATTAAATCTTAAGACTCCAAAATAATCTCCTTTGACTCCATATCCTACATCTAGAGCACACTGTTGCAAGGGATGGGCTCCCCAGGCTTTGGGCAACTCTGTCCCTGTGACTTTGCAGGGTTCTGCACCCTAGGCTGATCTCACAGGTTGTTGAGTGCTGTGGCTTTTCCAGATGCAGGATGAAAGCTGCTGGGGTTGGAAGATGATGACCCTCCTTTCACAGTTCCACTATGCAGTGCCTCATAGGGGACTCTGTGTGGGCTTCCAATCCTTCATTTCCCCTTGGAACTGCCCTAGTAGAGGTTCCCTGTGAAGGTTCTAATCCTGCAGCAGGCTTTTGCCTGGGCACCCAGACTTTCTCATACATCTTCTGAAATCTAGGCAGAGGCTGACAAGTATTCTTCACTCTTGCATTCTGTGCACCTAGAGGCTTAACACTATGTGGAAGTCACCAAGGCTATGGCTTGCATTCTCCAAAGTGGCATTCTAAGCTGCACCTGTTCCCTGTTGAGCCCTGGCTAGTGCTGAAGCTGCCAGGAGGCAAGGAACAGTGTCCCAAGGCTGAGGAGGGAAGAGAGCCCCTGTGACGGGCCCACAAAACCATTATTTCCTTCTAGGCCTCTGGGCTGTCCCAAAGGTCTCCCAAAAACCTTTGAGACCTTTTCTTTATTGTCTTAGATATTAGCACTTGGCTCCTTTTTATTTACATAAATCTTTTACATAAGTGGTTGTTCCACAGCCTGTTTCAATTCCTCCCCTGAAAAAGCTTTTTCTTTCTTTGCCACTTGGCCAGACTGCAAATTTTCCAAATTTTTAATGCTTTGCTTAACTTTTAAATATAAATTCCAGCTTTACACCATTTTTTTAGCTCCCTGATCTGAGAGTGTGTTGTTAGAAGCAGCCAGGTCAAATCTTGAATGTTTTGCTGCTTAGAAATTCCTTCTGCTAGATATCCTAAATCATTACTCTTAAGTTCAAACTTCCACAGATCCCTACAGCAACAACAGAATGCAGCCAAGCTCTTGGCTAAGGCATAACATGTATGACCTTTGCTCTAGTTCCCAGTAGTTTTCTCATTTACATCTGAGACCTCTTTGGCCTAGACTTCACTTGTCCATATTACCATCAGCGTTTTGATCACAACCATTTAACCAGTTCTCTAAGGAGTTCTAAACTTTTCCTCCTCTTCCTATCTTCTTCTGAGCCCTCCAAACTCTTCCAACCTCTGCCCATTACTCAGTTCTAAAGTCTTTTCCACATTTTCAGGTACCTTTATAGCAATGCCCCATTCATCAGCACCATTTTTCTGTATTAGGCAATACTTGCATTCCTGTAAAGAAATTCCTGAGACTAGATAATTTATAAGAAAAGAGGTTTAATTGGCTTATCGTTCTGCAGGCTGTACAGAAAGCATAATGCCAAAATCTGCTTTTAGGGAAGCCTCAGAAAGCTTACAATCATGGTGGAAGGCAAATGAGAGTAGGCATACCACATGACAAAAGCAGGAGCCAGAGAGAAAGTTGGGTGGGGAGGGGCCACAAACTTTTAAATGACCAGATCTCATGAGAACTCACCAACATGAAGACAGCACTAAGCCATGAGGGATCCACTTCCATTATCCAAACACCACCCACCAGGCCCCACTTCCAGCACTGAAAATTACAATTAAACATGAGATCTGTGCATGAAAAAAATATCCAAACTATATTACTAACTTCCTAAAAGAAATGCCTGTCCTCAAACATAACAGAAATTCAGTAGATTGAATACTAAATTGTTTTATTTCTCTTCACAATATGTCTTCTGTGGTGTTTCCCAACTTAGAGAATCATACCATTCTCCTCCCAGCTTCCCCAAGTCAGAGGCCTGATTTTACTTCACTCATTGCTTCCAATTTCTATCAATGTAGTTTCCCAAATATATTTCAAATAATTCACATCTCTCTGTCTCCATGGCCACCACCATCTTTCAGAATAGTTTGATTGCTTTTGAGTATATGCGTATATATTTAGATTTATAATAATGATTCAGTGAAGTGCAGTAGTGCCTTGTCTAAATCTTTCCCATTCATATTGCTGCTTCTGAAAGAGAGCAGCTCTTTGGCTGTAAACACTGATACCCCAAAATATGGTGATGTTGTGATTTGGTTTTGGTTTGTTAGAGTTTAGAGCTTAGAGTTTTATTTTTTCTTCTTCTTAACCTCCTGCTAGAATAGATGTGGATTTAAATCAGTGATATCACCCTCCCAACTCATCTCCTTACTTAAAATTTTCTTTTTAGTTTTGTCTCTTGGTTATACTGATAATTACAATGACAGCATGTACCTTTACTTCTCTGCAGTTTTTTTTTTTCTTTTTTTCTTTTTTTTGAGACAGAGGTTGCTCTGTCTCCAGGCTGGAGTGCAGTGGTGCTATTTCAGCTCACTACAGACTTCACCTCCCAGATTCAAGCAATTCTCCTGCCTCAGCCTCCTGAGTAGCTGGGATTATAGGCGCTCTACACCAAGCCCGGGTAATTTTTTGTATTTTTAATAGAGATGGGGTTTCACCATGCTGGGCAGGCTGGTCTTGAACTCCTGACCTCGTGATCCGCCTGCCTCTGCCTCTTAAATTGCTGGGATTACAGGCATGAGCCACCCCACCGCACCTGGCCTGCAGATCACTTTTTTAACTTTTTAAAATGTTGAGGTAATTTAAAATTTTAAAACAGTTGGAAAAATGAGAAACATATGTTTACGTACCTAAACACAGATTCACCTATTGTTAATATTTTATCATTCTTCTCTCTTTCATCTATATGAAAATAACTTGCATAAATCATATCTCTATTTCTACTCTAGCTCCATCTATCTATCTATATCTCTGTACCATTTTAGAGTAAGTTACATAGATTTTAATTCCCAAATACTTCTTTGCTACATTTGTCCTCCAATATCGAATATGGTATCAGGTCAAGTATTTCATTTATTAGTCAAAAATTTTGCCTTTTAAAATCTGGAATATGTACACATCTTATTTTTTCTTTTATAGTGTTCTTTTTTGGAAGAAGATTGCTCCCCTGTTCGTTGTTTTTACAAGATTAGAACCAGACTATATATTTTTGAAAAAATGCTATAAAAGTGAAGTTGTGTCCTTTTTGGAGTAACACGCCTGGAAGTATACAATATCTATCAAGTCAGTGTTGATACACATTTATGATAGCAATGTTACTGTAAAACAAGAGCATTCCCCTCCCCATTATTTATTTATTTATATATTTATTATTTCATACTGTATAATTGTCTTTTTTCTATACCTATTTATTATTGTTATCTCTATGCAGATAATAAATATATAAATGATTTCCAACTTTGAATAAATGGATTTTTGTAAATGTATAAATAATTACCATCTTGGAAATGTTTAAATATTTACTCTAATTACGTGTGTACTCATATTATCCCAGATTTGGCTTCTTTGTCTTTGTGACATGCCCTAATCATTTTTTGATCACATTCTTATTTTCTAGCATTACAAGGTATGTCAAGGTCTTCTCTACCTACTCTATCTCAAACTGGATTAACCCATTTTCTTGGGATCCCTTGTATAGCCACTCACTTTTAAACTTAACTACTTATGGCCAGTCCTACTGGCTCATGCCTGTAATCCCAGCACTTTTTGAGGTCCAGATGGGTGGATCAATTGAAGCCAGGAGTTCAAGATCTGCCTGGGCAACATAGCAGGACCTCATCTCTACAAAAAGGACAAAATCTTAGTTAGTCATGGTGGCATGTACCTGTAGTTTCAGCTAGTTGAGAGGCTAAGGTGGAGGATCACTTGAGCCCAGGAGTCAAAGTTACAGTGAGCTGTGTTTGCACCATTGAACTGCAGCCTAGGTGACAGAGCAAGACCCTGTCTCAAAAAATAAACTAATAATAATAATAATAATAAAGTAAATATTTCTATTTAAAAAATCACAGATGATTAACTGGTTACAACAATCAAAGTGAAATATTCTTCATTGTTAGATTTTTAAATTGATATCTATTTGATGTACATATTTTTATGGTATATTTGATTATTTGATACGTTCAGATAATCAACTGAGGGTAATTGAGATACCTATAAACTTATTTATGCTAGGAACATTAGAAATATTCTTTTCTAGATATTTTGAAATGTACAATTGACTAATAGTAATTATAATCACTCTACTGAGCTATCAAACACCAGGTCTTATTTCTCCTACTTAAATGAATATTTGTACACATTAATTAACCTCTCATTATCCCTCCTATTTCCCTATCTTTCCTGGACTCTAACACCACCAGCCTACCCTCTACTTTCGTGATATGCACTTTTTTAAAAAGTTTTACTTTATTTTAAGTTACAAGATACATGTGCAGGACGTGCAGGTTTGTTACATAGGAAAACGTGTGCCATGGTGGTTTGCTGCACCTGTCAATCCATCACCTAGATATTAAGCCCCACATGCATTAGCTATTTATCCTGATGTACTCCCTCCCCTCCCTTCGATGACAGGCCCCAGTGTATGTTGTTCTCCTCCCTGTATCCATGTGTTTTCATTGTTCAGCTCCCACTTATAACTAAGAACATGCGATCTTTGGTTTTGTGTTCCTGTGTTTGCTGAGGACAATGGCTTCCAGCTCCATTCATGTCTCTTCAAAGGACATGATCTTGTTCATTTTTATGGCTGAATAGTATTCTATGTTATATATGTACCACATTTGCTTTATCAGGTCTATCATTGATGGGAATTTGGGTTGATTCCATGGATATGCATTATTTTTTCTTCCAGGTCTGAGTGAGAACATGAGATATTTGTCTTTCAGTTCTTGTCTTCTTTCATCTAACATCATGACCTGCAGTTCCACTGATGCCACTGCAAAGGAAAGGATTTCATTATTTTTTATGGCTGGATAATGTCTTGTGTATATGCCATATCACTTTCTTTTTTTTTTTTGTTTGAGACAGAGTCTGGCTCTCTTGCCCAGGCTGGAGTGCAGTGGCACGATCTCAGCTCACTGCAAGCTCCGCCTCCCGGGTTCACGCCATTCTCCTGCCTCAGCCTCCTGAGTAGCTGGGACTACAGGCGCCCACCACCACACCCAGCTAATTTTTTGTATTTTTAGTAGAGATGGAGTTTCACCGTGTTAGCCAGGATGGTCTCGATCTCCTGACCTCGTGATCTGCTCACCTCAGCTTTTATTTATCTATTCATCTGTTTATGGACACTTAAATTGATTCCATATTTGGCTATCAAGAATAGTGATGTAATATACATGGGTGTACCTATATCTCTTTGATATTTTTTTTTCTTTTGGATATATGCCCAGTAGTAGAATTACTGGATCATATGGTAGTTCTGTTTTTAGTTGTTTGGGGAACCATAATACCATTTTCCATAGTGGATCAACCAATTTACGTTCCCACCAAAAGTATACAAGTGTCCTCTTTCTCCACATCCTCCTCAGCATCTATTATTCCCTGCCTTTGATAAAAGGCATTTTAACTAGGGTGAAATGACATTTTGTTTTGATGTGCATTTCTTTAATGATGAATGATGAGCAAATTTTAAATATACTTGATGGTCATTTGTATGTATTCTTTTCAGAGATGTCTATTCAGATCATTTGCTCATTTTTTAACCAAATTATTTTTTTTGTTTGTGTTTTGAGGGTTTTTTTTTTTTTTTTTTTTGCTATTTAGTTCTTTGAGCCCCTTAAATACTCAGGTTATTAATTATTTGTCAGATGGATAGTTTGCAAATATTTTATTGTATTCTTTGAGTTGTCTCTTCATTTTGGTGATTTTTTTCTGTGCAGAAGCTTTTTAGCTTAATGCAATTACATTTATCTATTTTTGCTTTTGTTCCTTGTGATTTGAGATTGTTCACAAAAAAATCTCTATCAAGACTAATGTCTTGGTGTGTTTCCCTAAAGTCTGTTTTTAGTAGTTTCATAGTTTCGGGTGTTAGATGTAATTCCTTAATCCATTTTTCATTTGCTTTTTACATATGGTGAGAGATAGAAGTCTAGCTTCATTTTTCCACATATGTTATCCAGTTTTCCAAGCACCATCTATTGAAGAGAATGTCCTTTCCTCATTGTATATTCTTGGTACCTTTGTCAAAAATACGTTGGCTGTTAATACATAGATTTATATCTTGGACCTCTATTGTGTTCCATTGGTCTGTGGGACTGTTTTTATGTCAGTACCATCTTGTTTTGGTTACTATAGTTTCATAGTACATTTATAAGTTAAGTAGTGTGATACCTCCAGTTTTGTTTTGTTTATATCTGGAAACTGTTCCATTGGTCTATGTGTCTGTTTTTATGCCAGTACCATTTGTTTTGGTTACTATAATTTTCTAGAATATTCTAAATTCAGGTAGCATGATGCCTGAAGCTTTGTTCTTTCTGCTCAACATTGCTTTGGCTAAATCTTTGTTTTTGTTCGCTATGAATTTTATAATTTTTTTCTGTTTCTGTGAAGAATATCACTGGTATTGGGATAGGAATTACGTTGAATCTGTAGATTGCTCAGGGTAGTATTTTTATTTTAATAATATTAATTTATGCAGTCCATGAGCATAAAATGTATTTTCATTTTTTGTGTTTCCTCTTTAATGTCTTTAGTCACTATTTTATAATTTTCTTTGTATAGATTTTTCACATCTTTGGTTAAATTGATTCATAGTTATTTTGTGTACTTGAAGTTATTGTAAAAGAAATTAGTTTCTTGATTTCTTTTCAGATATTTACTGCTGGCATATATAAATGCTACTGATTTTTGTTATGTTGATTTTGTATCCTGCAACGTTACTAAATTCATTGACCAGTTCTAACAGTTTTTTTGAATTTTTAGGTTTTTCTAAATGTAAGACCATGTTGCCTGCTTACAAATTTAATTTGACTTATTCTTTTCCAGTTTGAATGCTCTTTATTTCTCTGTCTTGCCTAGTAACTCTGTTAAGTTGTTAACTCTATTAAGTTGAATAGAGTTAACTTGCCTAGTTAACTCTATTAAGTTGAATAAAAATGGTAAATTTTAGCTTTCTTGCCTTGTTTCAGATTTTAGATAAGGTTTTCTATTTTTCCCTATTCAATATGATGTTGGCTGTGGGTTTGTTTTGTCATATATGGCCTTCATTGTCTTGAGGTATGTTCTTTTTAAATCCAGTTTGCTAAGTATTTTTATTATACCAATATGTTGAATTTTATCAGCTGCTTTTTCAGCATCTATTGAAGCAATCTTTTTTTTGTTGTTCTTTGCTCTGTTGATGTCATGTCTCATGTTTATTGACTTGCACATGTTAAACCCTGTTTGTAAACCTGAGATGAATTTCACTTGATAATGGTGGTTGATTTTTTAAATGTTTTGTTGAATTAAGCTTCCTAGTATTTTGTTGAACATTTTTGCATTTTTGCAAATATGTTCTTCAGTGATATTGGCCTGTAATTTTCTTTCATTTTTTGTGCTCTTGATTGATTTTGGTGTCAGGGTAATGCTGGTCTTTTAGAATAAGTTGGGGAAAATTCCCTACCATTTATTATTATTTTTTTAAGCTTCAGTAGACTTGATATTAGTTCTTTAAATATTTAGTAGTATTCACCAGTGAAGCTATCAAGTCTTGGACTTCTTTTTGATTGGAGATCTTATGGCTTAGATCTCATATGTCATTATTGGTTTATTGACGTTTTTCTATTTCTTCATGGTTCGATATTGATAGGTTGTATGTCCAGGAATTTATCAGTTTCATCCAGGTATTTTAATTTGTTGATGTAAAATTGTTAGTCATAGTCTCTAATGATTCTTTATATTTCTGAGGTCTCAGTTATAAAGTCCTCTTTTTCTTGATTTTATTTATTTGGGTTTTCTCTCTTTTTTTTCTTAGTCTAGCTAAAGGTTTGTCCATTTTCTTTCTCTTAAAAAAACAAGTTTTCATTTCATTGTTCTTCTGAAAATGATTCCTTTATTTTCGAGTGAGATATTTTTAGGGGTGAATCTCCATGACACAGTAGTGACAGCTGATATCTTGGTACTGTTTAGTGCAGGGGTCCTGAATGTGTTGATGTCAAATTCATTTTAGTGCTCCATAAAATATAGCATTTCAAAAAACACAATTCTATAAAATGTGTGAATTATTTATTTTAATATGTGTGTTTTCAAAGGAAAAATAATGAAACGTTGAAAAATAATAAGAGAATTGCTTGCAATGTGGGTACTTGCGATATTTATCATATACCAAACAACAACAACAAATATATTAGTCTTCATCAAAAATAAAATCTTTTGAACATCAAAAAATATCCTTAATAAAATGTAAACAAGATCTGTAGAATGGGAGAAATTATTCACAACACATCTATCTGACAAAGGACTCATACTCAAAATATACAGAAACCTCCTACAACTGAATAAAAAGATAAAAAGATAGGAATGGACAAAATAACTTAAACAGACACTTCACAAAGGAAACTATATAATTGAGTAATAAACTCATAAAATATCCTCAGGATCATTATTCACCAGGGAAATTATAGTTAAAATGACGATGAGATTTTAGTTCATACCTAGTAGGTTGACTAAAATTAAAAAGACACATAACATAAAATATTGGTAAGGATGTGGAGAAACTAAATTCTCATATATTGCTGATGGGGGTTTAAAATTGTAAAAACTGCTTTGGAACAACTATTGGTATTTTCTTTTATATTTTAACTGTACCTATTCTATGCCATTACACTTCTAGGTGTATACTTAAGAGAAATGAGATATATATCCTCAAAAGGTCCTATATAATAATGACCCAGGCAGCTTTATCAATAATAAACAAAAACTGGAAACAATCAATCAACAATAAAATGACGTGGTCACTTGTTCATAAAGATGACTGCCCAACAAACCACGCCTTCTGTTATCCCTGTCCTTATGTGTTCCCCTTCCTTGAATTTGTGCTGGTCTTGTGATTTGATTTTGACTGATATAATACACCAATTGTGAAGCTTTATGATTTCTAATCTGAATTCAAAAGAATCCTTGCAGCTTTCTTTTTGGTCCCTTATAACACTGTCTCTTGATATATTCTCTTACAGATCCTAGCTCCTATACTATAGAAGCCAAAGCCACATGGAAAAGCCATGTGTAGGCACACTGGTTGACACTCCCAGCTAAGAACCCAGCCAATATTCAGCATCCACAGCCACTTGTGTGAATGAGCCAATTGGGATATCCAATCCCAGCTTCGATCTTACTGTGATTGCCGAAGAAACCCTGAGTGAATACTCTCCAGCTAAGCCAGGCAACCCTCAGACCCTGAGAGGTGGCAATTTTTGTTTTGTAATAATTTGCTACGGAAAAAAGATAGAACAAAAATAATAAATAAATAAACATTAATGCAGTGTTATGCTATACAGCAGTAAAGAAGAATGAACTGCAAAAGATTTTTGACACAGAATAGTGCATAATGTATTATTCCATTTATATAAAATTAAAAACACACACACAAACTAATTTATGGTAATAGAAATCAGAATAGTGCTTGCCAATGTTAATAGGACTTGACTGGAAGTGGTCATAGGGCAACTTTCTGTTGTGATGGAAATAACACTGTATCTTGATTGGTGTGTTTGTTACATTAGTGCATATACCTGTCAAATTCATCTAATGGTGTTTCTCATTAGATATCTATCTAATTCACCTAAGATATGTGTTTCACTGTATATAATTGTACCTAAAGCAATGGTCAATAACCAATAACAGTCTTTTTATTAAAATAGCCACTAGTTTGTCCTAGATATATTATTAAGAGTCACACTTTTTTTGCTGTGTCATTTTAACAGCTATTGCATTATTTAGGGTAGCTATAGTGTATTCTCAAGACTTTCCATTTCATCAGTTTAGCAACCTTTGAGTCTTCAACTATTTCTCATATGACATATGAGAAAGTCCAAGTCTTTCCAATTGATATGGTTTGGGTGTGTCCCCACCTAAATGTCATCTTGAATTGTAGTTCCCATAATCCCATGTTGAGGGTGGGACCTAGTGGGAGGTAATTGAATCATGGGGTTGGTTACCCCCGTGCTGCTGTTCTTACCATAGTGAGTGAGTTCTCATGAGATCTGATGGTTTTATAAGGGGCTTTCTCCACTTTCACTTGGAACTTCTCCTTTCTGCTGCCCTGTGAAGGACATGTTTGCTTTCCCTTCCACCATGATTGTAAGTTTCCTGAGGCCTCCCCAGCCCTGCAGAACTGTGAGTCAATTAAGCCTGTTTCCTTTAAAATTACCAAGTCTCAGATATGTCTTTATTAGCAGCATGAGAACAGACTAATACACCAATAGTCTGTATATTTTTCACTAAGTTGTCATTTGTCAATAAATATTAATGTCTAAAGGCTGAACATAGAATTTCAAATATAAAAATGCCATTGTAGATTATCATAGAATTATTATCTCTATCCTGTGCAACAACGTTACTGCACTTATACACACTAAGATTGTTTTAATTTTGGCAAACTCATGGTGCCTATAATAAATAAACAAAAATCCAAGGTCTCTTTTACAATGTATATTGTTCTTGCTGATAATTTTTTTCTTGAAATAAGTAACTACACCAACATAGCAGTCACAAGATAATTTATCCATGCAAAAATTTTCTAACATCTGAAGCCATGTTACATGCCCACTTTATCTTCCTGTGCAATCATGTCTGTATTTCCATCATTGAAATAAACACATTCCTATGAGTTGAATAAGTAAGAGTCATTTATTGGGCATATGGATATCTTTAACATGCAATAACAGTTTAAAAATCCCTGATAAAAACTTCTTTTTTTTTTTTTTTTTGAGACGGAGTCTCGCTCTGTCACCCAGGCTGGAGTGCAGTGGCGCGATCTCTGCTCTTGGCAAGCTCCGTCTCCCGGGTTCACGCCATTCTCCTGCCTCAGCCTCCCAAGTAGCTGGGACTGCAGGCGTCCGCCACTAAGCCCGGCTAATTTTTTGTATTTTTAGTAGAGATGGGGTTTCACCGTGTTAGCCAGAATTGTCTCGATCTACTGACCTCGTGATCCGCCCACCTCGGCCTCCCGAAGTGCTGGGGTTACAGGCGTGAGCCACTGCGCCCAGCCAGTCCCTGATAAAAACTTCTATTGCTAATGCAATTTTTAGGTATTCAACTGCAAGTTACGATAATCAAAATTATGCCAGTATGCGTGGAAGCAAATTTCAGTCAGTAGGTCAACATCAGTTAAATGTAATAATAACAACAGTATAAGTACTGTTTGTGGATGTGTAACATTTTAAGTTTCATTTTTCAGAAATGTGTAATCTAAAAAACATAAAACGTAGGTACACTGGAATACTGGAATAATAATAACACCGTTGGAATAATAATAACACCGTAACAGCAGAATTCAAATTTGTTTTGAAATTTTCTTAAAGGGTATTTATTAACATTTTCTCCAAAAAGCCCTTCAGATAACCATAAATCCTGTGAATGTTTTGTGTTACAAATACTGAAGAAAAATGTTTCCAGGAATTAAAACATTTATCTGATTTAGATGTTACCTATTTGCCTTTCTTTAATTCTTATGACAATTTACAGTAAGTGTTTTTCTTCCTATCTGATATTAATCTAGCATCATTTGCTTCATAGCAATACTGAATTGTCACATTTGAATCAGTAACTATTCTCATTTACACATTATTTCAAGAGGCATTGTTCATTTTGATGCCTTTAGGTCAGTATCCATACTGCAACCAAAACTGCATCATCTAAATGGTAAGAAGAATAATGTGATTGACATATACAGATAAAACAGATTTGAGAATGTGAATCAAATTTTTACTTAAGGCAAGGATTACCCAACCACAATTATCTCTCAAGACACTATCTGAGAGTATAATATTAATTGAATGCCCTATATAAAATTTTTTTAACCTGAGGAATGAAGAAAACATGTAATTTAACATCATGCAACTTAAGGTGTACATTGTGCCTAAGTTTATACAGTTTAGTCTAAAAAAGACTTCCAAAACAAAGAATACCCTGAGTAAAATTATATGTATGTACGTATATATATATATATATTCATGAAGCCCATTCAAAGTAAGATCATATAACATGATAAGGTTTCCATTATATAGTATTTATTTGGCTTTCTTGATTCTGTTGACCTAGGAAAAAGAAAATAAGAAAAAATAGAAGGAAGGAGGGAAGGAATAGAGGAAAGAAAAAAGGGAAAGAAAGGAAAGCCTGATGCCTGTCTACATAGACATTTGTTAAGATCTCTGCAGATGCATATCTAAATACCAAATTATAAACTAGGCTGGTCTGGATACAGGCTAATTGTTTCCCCTGATAAACTGTGAGTATTTCTTACAGTTTTATATTAATATTCATTTGAGATCAATTGGGCTTTCTTTCTGAATTACTATGCCAGATGATTCAAAACAAGGATTTGCTGAACTCCAGACTAAACAACAATTCATTTGAAATGAAAACTTTTCCCCGCACTTTCTAAACTGATTTCTCCTACTAGATCTCCCCCATTCTTTTTAATTGTATGTCATTCACCCCAGAAAAACTCTAGTCATTCCTGACATCTTTTTCAATTTTTCTTTATTCAATATATTACAAATTATTCTGCATTTCATCTCTTAATATCGCACAACATCAATGGTTATCATCTGAGTCACTACCATTCATCTATTAATTTCATACATACTAATTTATTTCCTGGATTTAGTCTCTCAAATAAAAATAAAATCTTTTCATTTTCCTGTCTAAAATACTTAATACTTCTACATTGTGTTAAAGACAGAAATCTAAATTATTTTATATATTACAAACGTCCCTAGAGATGAGGCTTCTGTGTCTCTTCAGTCCCCCTCACAAACCCAAATTATCATTTGATTTAACTTAGTATCTAATCTTGTTCTTTCCTGTTTCTGGATCAATGCTCACACATGAACTCTCACTCACTTTTCTTTACCTGACTAGCTCCTACTCATTCGAGTGCCAATTCTAATTAACTCCTTGGGGAAGAATTCTCTAATAGTACCTGGCTGATTTACAATTATTTTCATAATTCTTTCTTACTCTTTGGTGTCTTTATTTGCATAACACTTGTCAATATATATAGTAACTCTCTGTATAGTTACTCTCAATGACAATAAACTCTAAAATCTTAGAGAAAGAGATGAAAATTCAATTTTATTTAGTAGTTTTATAATCAGGTTTTCTATTTCTTCTGTCAGTTCTGGTTGTTACGATTTTCTTTAGGAACAGGTAATTTCTTCTAAATTTCTACCTTATTGGGAAAAAGTTGTTCTTAATTCTTTTTTTAAATATTTTTAGTATACATAGAAACTATAATGATGCCCTTATTTTTATTTTAATTATACCTCATACTATCTATTTATTCTCTTTGGTTGTTAATTACTTCTCTCTTAAAGAGTCAGTGACATTTATTATTATGAAAAATAAACTTTTCTTCTAGGGTTTTTATGGTTTTAGATAGGCATGGGCAAGGACTTCATGTCCAAAACACCAAAAGCAATGGCAACAAAAGACAAAATTGACAAATGGGATCTAATTAAACTAAAGAGCTTCTGCACAGCAAAAGAAACTACCATCAGAGTGAACAGGCAACCTACAAAATGGGAGAAAATTTTTGCAACCTACTCATCTGACAAAGGGGCTAATATGCAGAATCTACAATGAACTCAAACAAATTTACAAGAAAAAAACAAACAACCCCATCAAAAAGTGGGCAGAGGACATGAACAGACACTTCTCAAAAGAAGACATTTATGCAGCCAAAAAACACATGAAAAAATGCTCATCATCACGGGCCATCAGAGAAATGCAAATCAAAACCACAATGAGATACCATCTCACACCAGTTAGAATGGCAATCATTAAAAAGTCAGGAAACAACAGGGGCTGGAGAGGACGTGGAGAAATAGGAACACTTTTACACTGTTGGTGGGACTGTAAACTAGTTCAACCATTGTGGAAGTCAGTGTGGTGATTCCTCAGGGATCTAGAACTGGAAATACCATTTGACCCAGCCATCCCATTACTGGGTATATACCCAAAGGACTATAAATCATGCTGCTATAAAGACACATGCACACGAATGTTTATTGCGGCATTATTCACAATAGCAAAGACTTGGAACCAACCCAAATGTCCAACAATGATAGACTGGATTAAGAAAATGTGGCACATATACACCATGGAATACTATGCAGCCATAAAAAATGATGAGTTCATGTCCTTTGTAGGGACATGGATGAAATTGGAAATCATCATTCTCAGTAAACTATCGCAAGAACAAAAAACCAAACACCGCATATTCTCACTCATAGGTGGGAATTGAACAATGAGATCACATGGACACAGGAAGGGGAATATCACACTCTGGGGACTGTGGTGGGGTGGGGGGAGGGGGGAGGGATAGCATCGGGAGATATACCTAATGCTAGATGACGAGTTAGTGGGTGCAGCGCACTAGCATGGCACATGTATACATATGTAACTAACCTGCACAATGTGCACATGTACCCTAAAACTTAAAGTATAATAAAAAAAAAAGAAAGAAAAATAAACTTTTGTTCTTTATTTTCTTTTAGCTTTGACAATTTTCTATGTTATTTAGTTTGTTTTTAAAATTATTTTTATCACATTTTTCTACATTTGGGTTCAATATTCTCCTTTTCTTCTAATTTCTTGAGACTGGATATTTTAATTCACTTATATTTCCTCCAGTCTCCCTATAAATATATGTATTTACACTATTAAACTTCATTTAATTATAGCTTAATGGGGATGGCATTGAATCTATAAATTACCTTGGGCAGTATGGCCATTTTCACGTTATTGATTCTTCCTACCCATGAGCATGGAATGTTCTTCCATTTGTTTGTACCCTCTTTTATTTCATTGAGCAGTGGTTTGTAGTTCTCCTTGAAGAAGTCCTTCACATTCCTTGTAAGTTGGATTCCTAGGTATTTTATTCTCTTTGAAGCAATTGTGAATGGGAGTTCACTCATGATTTGGCTCTCTGTTTGTCTGTTATTGGTGTATAATCGCTTGCTTTATCTGATAATTTTACTGGCCCTCCAGTGAATTTCATTCAACTGACATTTGTTTCTCTTGTTTCTCAGTTACACCCTTTGCCTTTTGTGTGTGTGGTTATTTTTGAATATTATAAATTGTATTAGACTATTACAAATTTTATTTTGGTGACTGTATAAATATTTTGAAGCTATGGAAAATTTTGTGATATTCCTGTAGTGAGGATTCACCTTTATTTCTTGCAGACAGTAAGCTTTATTTAATAATATTATTTAATTTCAATCAGAAAATTTTAAAAACTGGTGATGCAAACCTACACTTTTATCCCAATGAATATTGTTTTAGTTTTCCCTTTTCAGGTTGCCTTTTTTCTCACAATGTGTTTCTATGGGAACCCTATTCAAACGATGGGACATGAAAAACAGATTTTTACTCTAGTCTCATGTGTCTTTCAATACTCTCTCCAGAGACATTCTTGGCTTCAAAGGGCACTTGCATATTATCCAATATTGGCAGGTACTGCTAAACAAAAAGCAATTCCTAATGTCAGGCTGACTTCTTAAGGCTTTGTTTTTGTTTTTATTTTTTGGTATACTTTAAGTTTTCGGGTACATGTGCACAACTTGCAGGTTAGTTACGTGTGTATACATGTGCCATGCTGGTGTGCTGCTAACGCTTCTTTAGCTCATAAGCAATTTCAGCAAAGTCTCACAAGAAAAAATCAATGTGCAAAAGTCACAAGCATGCCTTACAAGAAAAGAAAAACACTAAACAGTAGGCAAAGGACATGAACAGACATGTCTCAAAATAAGACATTCATGCAGCCAACAAATATGAAAAAAGCTCAACATCACTGATCGTTAGAGAAATGCAAATCAAAACCACAATGAGACACCATCTCATGCCAGTCAAAATGGTGATTATTAAAAATTAAAGAAAAAACAGATGCTGGTGAGGTTGCAGAGAAATAGGAACACTTTTACACTGTTGGTGGAAATGTAAATTAGTTCAGCCATTGAGGAAGACAGTGTGGTGATTCCTCAAAGATCTAGAACCAGAAATAACATTTGACCCAGCAATCCCATTTCTGGATATATACCCAAAGGAATAAAAATCATTCTATTACAAAGATACATGCACACATATGTTCACTGCAGCACTGTTTACAATAGTAAAGACATGGAATCAACTCAAATGCCCATCAATGATAGACTGGATAAAGAAAATGTGGTATATATACACCATGTAATACTATGCAGCCTTAACAAGGAATGAGATCATGTTCTTTGCAATGACATGGATGGAGCTGGAAGCTATAATGCTCAGTACAGTAATGCAGGAACAGAAAACCAAACACCACATGTTCTCACTTATGAGTGGGAGCTGAACGATGAGAACACATGGGCACAAGGACAGGATAAACACTCACTGGGGCCTGACAGGGAGTAGGGTGGGGAAGGAAGAGCATTAGGAAAAATAGCTAATGCACGCTGGGCTCAATACCTAAGTGATGGGTTGATAGGTGCAGCAAACCACTATGGCACACGTTGACCAGTGTAACAAACCTGTACATCCTGTACATGTAGCCTGGAACTTAAAAATAAAAATTTTAAAAATAATAATAAATAAAATAAAATAGTAAACTTTATACAAAATGGCATAATATTTTCATGACTTCAAGTTAGGGAGTGAATTATTAAATAATATACAAATATGAAAACATTGACAGACTTGTCTCTATTAGAATTAAGAATTTATATTCATAAAATATACTGGTAAAAGAGATTTTTTAAAAAGCCATGAAATGGACAGAGGTAATTTAAGCATAATTAGCCAACAAAACTCATAGCGAAAAAAAAAAAAGATTAAAAGTTCACCACAAAATGCAAAAAGTAAAAGAAGCACAACTAAATAGAAAACTTGGCACAAGATTGGAAAAGACAGTTCACCAAAGATAATACTGAAATGATCAATGTAGAAATAAAAAAGATGTTCATAATTTATCAGATAGATACAAATTAAAACCGCAATGATATGTAACTGTATACTGGTAACATCAGTAAAGTTAAAGACTGTCATTACCATGGAACCAGTGAAATGTGAAGCAACAGGAATACTCATACAAATATGGTGGAAGGTAAAGTAATAGCATCACTATAGCACATCAGCTGAAATTGAAGTTAGGCATATCTAAAACCACTCATTTTACTCCTTGGTATATATTAACAGACCTGTGTGCATGGGCACCAAAAGGCATATCTAAAAGTTGTTCAGAATACCAGTGTTTGAACTAGCCTAAAACTAGAAATTAATGAAATGTCCATCATGAGTAAAAAGGAGAAATAAATTGTGGTGTATTGATATAATGGTATATATTATAGGAAGAAAAATAAATGAGCTATGGCTACACAAAACAACGTGGATGAGTAGCAAATATTATAGTGAGAAAGGAAGCAAGAAGTAAGGTGTACTAAACATATTGTTTTCGTTTACACACATTTAAAACAGGTAAAAACTAATTTCTCATGTTAATTTTAATAGTGAATACCTTTTAATTATAATTCACAATTAGTATGCAGTTAATACTTCTGAGATACACAGAAGGTAGAAAATTGGAGAATCCCGAGGAGCTGTTTTGAAGTTTTGATAAGGTACAACTTCGGGACAAAGGTAGACAAGGAGATTCACTTGGGGATAATTCACCAACTTAACATTTATCACTCATGAGTTTTCCTTCAAAATTTATAATTCAGTAAAAATTATTTTAAAATGCATTCTTTAATCTCTAGAGTAGCCAACAAAAATAGTATAAAAGTTTACCGTGTTCAAATTTAAGAGGGGAAAATGAAGTGATAAAACTTTTTCATAAAAAAAATTAGCCATTAAAAAAAGGACAAAGGGACAAGGGAGAAATAAGAGACAAAATATTATTCTGGTGGAATTAGCCAGTGTCCAAATAACTGATTAACACTTCAATTAAAGTGAAGAACTATCAGACAGGACAAAGAAAATTAAACACCTAAATCACAATATGGGCTGTTTATAAGAAACACATATAGCATATAATACTAAAGACAGTTTGAAATAAACAAGGTAAATGGATATATGATTCAAACACAAAAAACTAAGTGTAATTAATATTAGACCAAGAAAATCTGACATTGATTTTACTAAGAAAAATAGATAAATTTTAACCTATAAAAAGAATTGTATATAAACACATATATTTTATACATATTTTTCATTAGAAATATAATAATTACAAATTATTGTGCACTCAATAAGATATGTTCTTTCCAGACCCCTGATGAATGAGGTTCTCTAGCATGTGGCTCATACAGCACGTATTGGCCTGGAGCTGCCCTCAACAGCCCCTCAGGTAGCTTTGCTGAAGGGAGAACCCTCACAACCACCTCCACCATGAATGGCTTCTTCTCATGTGATTTGTCTTGTTTTCTTAAAGTTTAAAATAATGTCTGGAATAGTGTAAAACACTTAATATCTAGTGAATATATGAATATAACTCAGCTAATTTGGTAGCATTTATTAAGTATTTGCTTCAGGTACAGTCATTGTGGGGACTAGAAAGATGAATGAAGCATGAGTGCTTCCTCTCAATATACTTATCATCTAATTATGTCTACCTACTGAATACTCTAGAATTGACAGGTTGAATTAAGTTCCTTAATTGATTATTAGCTTGCAATGAATCCAACAAATTAGCATGACACAGTATTCTATTGATTTTAGTACTATTTTTTACAAGGTATTTTACAGATGAGTATAGAGGCAAAATCAAAACTGATCTACTGAAAGACTATTTTAACTACAGAAATTTTCTCTAAATATTTGTGTGCATACTAAGTGACAGGTACTATAATGGAGATAGTTCAATGAATAAGTCAGGGGTATCTTTTATTTATAGTGATGTGTTGGGGTTCAATAAACAAATAAATGTCAAATAGGATAATTTTGAGTGGATTATATTGAAAAATTACCCATGTGTTTCCTCCTTCACAACCTTCCCTAAATGGCTCTTCTAGACCACGTTACTTGGCATCTGACTTTGAGTCTCAGGGAAGGATAGTCACAGGAGAAATGTCTAAATGAAGTACAGATTCAACTTTTGATGTTAGTGTCAAAATGAGGCTTCTGAGACTTGTGACAGAGATGAGCTTAGAGAACAAAATGTTTTTCAGTTTCCAAAGGTGAAATTTTCAAAAGCCAAATTCCGAAAGTCTCAGGACCTGAAATTTATAAAATGTACTTTAAAATGGGCAAATTACAAGATAGTGTAAATCAGTTTCTCAACAATAGACAAAATAAAATTAATTCAATTGGGAGGATGGAGAAGAAATTTCGAAGAGTATAGGGGCTAAGACCAATTTAGAGCGTTAGGGAGATAAAACTAATTTCCTAGCTCCCAGAGTGGGTTAGAAGAGCATTAAAATTCTCCTGTGTGCTACCTTGGACGAACGTCCTCCCTGCTTTCTCCAAAAACTCCGTGCAGTCTATGGCTTGTCTTTGTAATTCCCCCAAATTTAAGACAACACCCTGGCAAGACACAAGGTGGGAAATACGCATATTGACTGAGAAAGCCCACAAAATGCCTTGGTTTGCCCTTGACTAAATTGAAATTTTCTGTCCCGAGCACAGTGATACTTAGGATAGAAACTAAGTAAAAATCACTGGACAAAGTTACCTCTCAGAAACAGCTAAGTTTATAATCTGTGAAATTTATACTTAATTAATAAAGAAATGTGGTAATGGCTTTCAAATAAATAAACTGGATAATGGAATGGAGAGTACTGGAGAGACCCGTTTTAGCCACAATTCCAGGCAGGGTGTCTGCATCAGGACTCTCAGTTGTAAGCAATAGAAGCTGACTTTGACTGAATAAATAGAAAAAGTGTACTGGCTAATTCAGAATTCTTGGAAAGGTTGAATTACTAGATTGAGACTAAGCTTCCAGAAACAAAACAAAACATACTAATAAAACACTGCAAATGAGGTCTCAAGAGGAAATTGAGAATGCCAAATAGTTCTAAACCAAGAACTAAGCTTGACTGCTTTAACTGCAAATGTGAACGTTCTTCTGTGCGACAAACAATAATAGAGAAATCTACTGTCTAAACTGGACATCTCTGCTACGATCTTTGCAAAACAAACAAACCAAACAAAGCAGCAGCTTTTGCATTCTCATTTTGTTTATTTCTGGACTGGAGAGTAGTAATTAGGATGCAGATACCAGCTGCTGCAACAAAGATGCCAGTACTGTATGACAAAAGCTCAAAGAAGAATGAGGTTTCTCTCAAGCACAGCAGTCTGAGTGTAAGCTGACATGACAGCTACAGGGACTCAGGAAACCAAACTCCTTTTATCTTGCACTCTAGTCTTCTCAATATAGGGGTCCAGTTTATGTCTTGTATACTGGTTTGAAGAAACATGTCATATAGAAAGGAGACAGTCTTCCTTCCCTTTCATGGACACTTCTTACATGTCATTTGCCAGAATCTAATCACATGGCCCTGATGTACCACAGGGGAGTGTGGACAATGTAATCATCAAATATGCTGAACCATGTGTGGATGTAACTTCTATTACAAGAGAATATGGGGAAAAAGAGAGGTGGGGGGAAAGCATTACCAACATTAGGCATAAGAAGTCTTGTATAGGTACGTATGCTTAACTGGTGGGACTGGGTCACATGCTAGTGACACATCCTCAGTGGAGCTGGGTAAAGTATGTTTTCTGGTTTACATATTGTGGAAGTGGGAGTCACAACAAGTAGGAAATTCTCCAAACAGGAAATGGATTCAAAAATGCTAAGCAGCCAGAGTGAGTGGCAAATACTCACTAAGTAGCAAATTCTAAAAAGGGAACTTTTTTTTTTTTTTTTTTTTTTGAGATGGAGTCTCGCTGTGTCGCCAGAATGGAGTGCTGGAGTGCAGTAGCCTGATCTCGGCTCACTGCAAGCTCTGCCTCCTGGGTTCAAGCGATTCGCCTGCCTCAGCCTATCATGTAGCTGGGACAGTCATGCACCACCACACCCAGCTAATTTTTGTATTTTTAGTAGAGATGGGATTTCACCACGTTGGCCAAGATGGTCTCAATCTCCTGACCTTGTGATCCGTCCGCCTCAGCCTCCCGAAGTGCTGGGATTACAGGCATGAGCCACCATGCCTGGCCAAGGAAACATTTTTAATGAGACTTAGAGCAATAAAATAAAGCAGCTTTGAAGACTTGTGTGAATATTCTAAGATAATACATCAGGAGCAAAGGAAGTAGGGTAGGAAAAAGGCTTCGCATTTTTGAGGAATATCATGTAAATTATGGGTGATAGAGCATAATTAACAAGGTAAAAAGTAACAGAAAATGAAGTCGGAGAGATAGGTTGGAGCCTTTAAGCTAGGGTAAACAAGTAAACTTATTCTAAGATAAATGACAAACCACTGAAGGTTTATATAGGGAGTGACATGATCATATTTGTTCCTTAAAATAATAACTCTGGTTATTGGTCAGAAAATGGATTGTTGAGGGGCAAGAGAGAAAATGGAAAAATCAGATAGGAGAGTATTACAGTAATCTTAGTGAGATGTAGTGCTAGTTTAGACTAGAAGGTAAAGGGAAGATGGAGAAAATTAAACAGATTAGAATCATATTTTTAAGATAGTATGAGTATGGCGAATAAAATAGAGGAATCAATAATAACTCTAAGATTTTAGAATAAGCAATTAGATAGTACCATTTACTTTGTTATAGGAGTTTGGAAGAGAAATGCATTTGTAGGGGAAAATCAAGAACTTCAGTTAAATTATATACATTACATTGTGAGATATCTGTTGGATTTCTAAGTAGAGATATTGGATAAGTGTTTATATATGTATGTATGTCTGACCTGCAGGATACAGGCCTAATCTAAAGCAGAAAATTTGTTATTTATTATCATAAATTAGTATAGCTCTAGGATTAGGCAAGAACACCTAAAGATGGCGGAGCAGAAAAAAGGAGAAGACTTACAAAAAGAAAAATAAACACTAAGGTATTATAACATTTAGACAGTTTAGGTAAAGGAAGGAGTGTCAGAAAAGAAGGGAGTCATTATAGGTTAAGCAGTATACAGAAAGAACATCGAGATAATCTGGTGTCCCAGCAGTGAGCAGATATCTCTAATTCAACAGTGTACTTAGGAGGAAGAAATGATGTTAAAAAAAATTGATTTGGAGGTCCACTAGAAAGGTATTAGGCATACAACTAATCCAATTGCTAAGATAACCTCAGATGTAATCTGCAAACTTGTTGCTTTTGCAACAAATTAATGAAATTCCTCACAAATGGATGAGATGATTGTAACAGCCTATAAAATATATACCTAATATATTTCTGGTGGCTTCTGAATTGTAGCTTTTTGCTATATCATTTTATTGCACTTAAAAAACTTAAAAGAGCATATATTATTATAGTTATTTGCACAAACTTTCTCAATGGAATTTTGGTAATTTATATTCCAAATCTAGAAATATAAAAACTTAACTAAATATTTAAAGATATTCATACAATTGCACTAAAAGGATGTCTAATATATACTACGTTAATGTTCTAGATCAGGCCATATACTAGATATTTATACCTGTGTAACAAATTACCCCCAAATCATAGCAGCCTAAAAGAACAAACATTTTTTCTCTCAGCTTCTGTGCATCAGGAACTTGCTATGGCTTTCTGGGTCCTCTAGCTCAAAATCTCTCTCACAAGGTAGCAATCGAAGTGTCAGGACTGTGGGTCATCTGAAGGCTCAACTGCATAGGACATACTTCAAGTTCACTCAAATGGCTCCTGCCAGACACATCATTTCCATGCCATGCATGTCTGGCTGTAGCACAGCTCATGATATGTCAGTAGTGTATGAGTCCGTTCTTGCATTGCTATAAAGAGAACCTATATAGTGATGAAGGCTCTACTATAGAATAGGTTCCTGCTATTTAAAAGTCATTTGTTTCACAGAGATAGTATACATTTTCTCATGGTAGAAGTTCCTCATGGATGCAGGTAATATGTGTATCCAGTTAGCAAAATAAAAACATTGGCCAATAATAACGGTTTTATATCACTGGTTTTCTTTAAATATGTAACTTAGAATCTTTGTTACTGAGTCAATTTTTATATTTTGTGTTTTATTTTATTTTATTGCCTATCAAACGAACCTTATAAGTAAACATATTTTAAACATAGAAAATAATAGTAATTAGGCAATGGCTATATTAGCAGTTTCAGAAGGAGAAATGACTAATAGCTATAGATGATACAAAAAAATATGTATTGAGGGCCTCAATTGTGTCAGATGCCACCACTCAAATTATATCATTTAACTCCAGAATAATATATTGTGAAATTTCTATGTTCAGGTTAGGTAGATTCAAGCAAAAGTCTACTTACTTAGACCATTGGTTAGTGGGTGGTTAGCCAGAATTTGGCTGATATGCATCAAACAATTCAATATCAAACAAATTGTCTTCAAGTGAAATATTCTTTTCAGGGCAACAAACTTACCTCAATTAAAGTAATTTATATTTTACCTATGTTGAAGGTATTTTTAGAAATTAGTGATTCATTTCCCTCCCTGCCTACACTAATAATAAATTTATGATGATTAAGACATATGAAATATATTAATATAATAGCAAAATTATGAACTAATTATTATTTATTATTAACAAATGTAAAACTTAAATGTTAAACCAGACAGTATACATTATTGGAAGTGTTTTCTGAATTGTAGGGCAAAGAGGGTGTGTGTGTGTGACTACACAGAAAGAATGTGAAGGAGAGTTCACTGCATGCTTCTTTTTCATGAGCAACAAAAAATAAGCAAAATACATAGGTTAATTCATAACATCTGATTTAGAATTTCTTAATCACCGTCAGGCAGCATAATTTGGAAATGAGAGCAAATATTAACCTGTTCTTATAAATTGTCACATAATGTAACATTTATTCATTCGTATATAAATTCGACAAATATTTATTGATTGCTCTATGCACTAAGAAAAATGGAAAAATCAAGTCCAGGAAAACAAATAAAAAGCTAGCAAATAAATTAATAACTATTTAAAATTAAGGATTCTCAAAAGTGATAACTTTTAGGAAAAAATTAACCCGAATAATTCAATGAAGAGCACAGTAAAACTTGTCTCACTCGGATGGACATGCTAGATATTGTTGTCTAAAACTCCTCTCTATTAGATGGCAATTGTTCAAAGTTTTAAAATATGAGACGTTTCTTGAGGATCTAGGGAAGAATGTTTCAGAAACTCAGGAAGCACCTACAAGAGCCGCAAGAGAGGGAGCAAGTTGGGCAAGATGGAGAAATAGCTAGCGACTGCAGGTGGCTAGAACACAGCATGAGGATGAGAGTAACAGGAAATAAGCTTGGAGAATTGAGACAATTGAGACCGAAGTGAAGAAAACAGTTGAATTTTATTCCTGTTTTATTGGAAATCCTATGGCAAGTCTTAAGCAAAGGAGTGAACATTTATATTTATAAACGTATACTCCGGCTGCCATGTGGGGTGTAGAAACAGGCAAACGATTTAGGAGCCTACTGGAATTGTCCTCCCCCTAAAAAAGCTGCAAGTAAGAGACTGATGCAGTGAATTTTGAGTGATATGGGAAAAACTGGGCAAGGGGCAGCTTTGCTCATGGAGGGGTCCTGGGTAGAAAGAGCGTAGAGATGCAATTCAAACGGTCTCTACCAAAGCTGTTTAGACTGAAAAACTGCAATGAAATTATGTGATTGACTCTTGTATAATGACTGACATAATCATAAATTGTTTATGCAGGTTTAAACACAAATTAGGCATGTACTCATGGAACAAATTTTATTACATTTTCACTGTAGTTTGAGTATGAGCTATGCACAACATATGAACATTCACATTTTACTTCTTCCACACATTGCTCAAACTAAATGCACAAAACTGACAAATACATAATCTCCAATAGGACTCTAATCCTTTGCCCTATTGTCATGAGGCATTAGCCTATTATATCCTTGAGATAGAATTCTCATCAGTGCCAAAGGCTGGCAGGTATAATTCAGAATATCAATTCTACACAACTAAATAGAGGTCAAAGAACGTTTTTGTAAATATAATACAAATATCTTTGCATTTATATTTATATTCTCCATGTTCATGTAGAAGATATTTTGATTTGTAAGATTCAGCTCAAATAAATTTTATTCTGAGATTCAAAATTCAAAGTTCAGATTAAACCCAAAAGGACCTGTCCTTTGCTGCAAATTACATATTTAATATGATATACAAAGAAAATTTACCTGGATGAATTAATTTTAAAGGCCTTTGGCTATACAATCATGTTTTCTCTCAGAAACTGGTGTACAATAGAATAACACATAACAAAATTAGTATGATTTTATTTTTGAAATATTGAAAACTATTACAGCTACAGAAATATAACAGAAAGTTTAAATCAATTACAGTTTTAACCCCTTCAATACTTCATGGGTATTCAAAAATTTGTAATGCCTAAGTAAATCTACATTATGTTCTATTTTCCATTTTTTGTATCTTACAAATATTTCTGCTTTTATTTTAAAAAAGAAAACCATTAATTGAATTCACATTTGTGCTAATAAAAATTAACATTTAATATCTCAAATTTTTGTTTTTACTTTGGGCCATTTGAGATAGTTTTACTGACACCAGTGTAATAAATTTTGTTATAATCTGGGATGACATTGGGACTGTTAAGCAAGCAATGTAAGAAAAATCAGTCAAATCAGTTTTCAAATTGATTAGAATGTTTAAAGGTAATTATTATGATGGTAGCTATTTTTTACTTAGAAATGTACACCATTAGGTATAAAACTTACAGACACTTTGTTTTTTGTGTACTCAATGCCTTTTTTTTTTTTTTTTTTTTTACTGATAATGCATGGTAACTGGTAATTAACTGGTAATGGTAATTCATGATTATGTTTTACCTTTCAGGAATAACCTCACCCATCTCTTCACGAAATCTTTCCTAATCTCTTAAAATTGTCTATTGTACTCCTACAGTAACAAAACGTTTCTATTTTATGAATCAAAGCTTTAACATTTAGTTACATTTGGGAAAGCATGTTTTGTTTTGTTTTGTTTTGTTTTGTTTTGTTTTGTATTTCTTGAGACAGAGTTTCACTCTGTCACCCAGGCTGGAGTGCAGTGGTGCAATCTCAGCTCACTGCAACCTCCACCTCCCGGGTTCAAGTGATTCTCCCGCCTCAGCATCCCGAGTAGCTGGGATTGCAGGCCTGTGCCATCACGCACAGCTATGTTTTTGTATTTTTGGTAGAGATGGAGTTTTGCCATGTTGGCCAGGCTGGTCTCAACCTCCTGACTTCAAGTGATCTGCCGGCTTCGACCTCCCAAAGTGCTGGGAATACAGGCATGAGTCACTGCACCTGGCCCAACCATGTGTTTTTCTCCCCGGATAGGCTGTAAGCTTCTTGGGGGTAAGGCATGTTCATCTCTTTACCTCTAGATATTAACATCATTTCTGGTTGAGGGCCACTGAATTAATGGTAATCTTATACTTATGTGTCTTAGTTATCATGACTAAGCATAGAATCTTCTATGATGAACATTTTTCTAATTTCTTAGAAGAAAGCCAGTAAATGATAGACAACGAACCTTGAAACAATGTTTATGTATGTGTCATTGTATCATTTTACAACTCTTAATCATAACTCCAACTATAAATTAAACAATAGTAGCTTTTGTCTTTCAGAAATTCAGAAAAAAATATTTCTTTTCTTGTCTACTCGTGATCATGTATTCCCACTAACTGTGATTCCATGAATGAATTATCATCATCACCATTAACACTTTGTACTACTGCAGTTATTAAGCAACTGGGAATTTAGGAACTCATGGTGTTTATGTATACCTCTCTCTAGGTCTGCAGCTGGCTTTTTGTTTGTGGTTCTTGGAGTTGTGGGGGATTGCTTTGGAAACCGTGATCATCATAACATTAGTCTAGCATTATAGTGACGGTGGTCATAAGAAAATAACACCCAGGGAGGCGCTAGGACTTTCAGAGAAAGTGGTCACTTACAGTATATTAACTTTCACTTTTCCCTTGTTCTAAAGTTCTAAAATTAACTTTTCTTCTTGTTGTCCTAATAGTAGAATATCTTGGCATTATGATTAATTGAAATACATTTTGTTTCAAAAATTAGTTTGATGAGCCACATCAATAATGTGTTGGTAAATTACTTTGATAAATTTAAAAGTACTATAAAATAATTATCATAAACTATGTATGTTTTGTTTTATGGAAAGATATCTGCTTTTAAGATAAAATGATATTTGGATTAGATAGTTTCATAAATAGCTTGCTTTAGGTTTAAGACTGTCATTAATGAAAACCTTCAATAATTTTATTATAATCAACATTTCTTAAGAACTTATCCTATGCCTAGATTTTTTAGTATTACATATATGTATTTCATCCCATTAAACAAATTCAAAATACTTATAAGCTGTGTCTTAATTTCACAGATAAGGAAATTAAAGTATAGAGAGGTCAAGTTTTTCTCCAATGTTACAGCGATAACATATGGCAAAGACAAAATTTTCAACCAGGTTATTTGAGTTCAGAGAAAACACTCTTAGTGAATATGTTAGAGTGTGTGTGTCATAAACAGCACATTGCTTTTCAGTGAACTTCTACACAAATTTGAGCAACTGGGTGATTTAAAAAAATTATTAAAAGGATGATGAATTATTAATCAATTACTGAACTTTTTAAATTGGAGATATTTTAATACTTATATAAGAAATTCCAGTTTTTCAGGTATCATAGCTTTACATATCCCAAAGAGTCCATTTTTGTGTTTCACTTTTAAAGATGCCTCTGTGTGTGAACCTTGCCTTTCTAAAATTATCCAAACACAATCTGAAAACAACAAACATCTACAGAGCATCATCTTTAGCAGTGAAACAAAACATTCTGAAAAAGAATGTCTGAAGAAAAGCCACTAAGTACAGCCAAATCGAATTACTAGGGAAGAGTGCCCAGAAGTCTCAGGTTTACATGGCAAGGAGTGGTTGTGTCAAAGTAATGGGCATGCACAGTGGGTGTACCATAGGTCCCCAAGGTCATCCTCTGGTTGGATGAGTCACTAGAAGTAGTTATCACTCAGAAAATCTGTTTATACTCACAATTGTGGGTTTGTACTGCAAACAAAAGCCAAAAAAATACAGATAAAAACCAGCAAAAAGGAAAAGACACATAGGAAAGAGTCAAGGAGAGAATAGGCAGAAGCTTACCATTATCTTTTTCCATTGGAATAATGTAGACAGTGCTTAATTCTGCCAGCGGTGAGGGGTAACAGCACATATAGTATTGCCAACCAGGGAAGCTAACCAGACTCTTGGTGTCCAGGGTTTTTTTTTATTATTATTAAGGTTTGTTTATAAAACCATGTAGTGCCTGTGTTACTACTGATCCTATTTACTGGGTCTTCACCCTTCAGTCCCTCCAGAGACCAAACTGATACAGTGTATCCCAAATTTTCCACCATGAAGTGCATTGTTATCATAAACTACCTGGTATGTTCCAAGACTACAGGTATGCAAACACACTTATCATTTTAAGAACTTAGAAGTTATCATCTCGCAAGAGTGGATCAAAGGCCAGGCCTTTCTTTCGAACATGCAGAATTTGAATACGCTAAGCCTGCTGAGTTAGGACTTTACTGCACAGCAGGTAAAACCAATAATCCCTATTTTGGAATAAATTAATAACATATTTGCATGTTATAGAAGGCACCTTGATACCTATCATTAATATAATAAATGGCAAAAAGACGACTAAATTAAAACAAGTCAAGCAGTTACAGTTAAAAAAAATTTAGGTTCTTGATGTATTGAAGTAGAGGAAGTTCTGTGGGTGGAAAGCAGTCACATGTCCAACAGTTTGAGAGAAGTGTGTGTGAGGTGATCTACACACACATGTGTTCACACACATGTGAAACACAAACCTGTCTGACAGAAGATTCCTCTGTGTGCATGGGAAGACTGCTTATACCTAGAACAAATTTACACTCCTAGGATATACTGCTAAGTAATTTCCATAGAAAATAGCATAAAACTCAGTCTGTCAACTACTTAAGATTTCTGTTATCTCCACTTATTTACTCTGGTCCTGCCTTATGTATTTCTCTAAAAATAAAAGAGTTAAGATTTCCCTTTATTTAAAATGAACAAATAAAAAATCAATATAACTACACAGCAATACTTTTGCCTCTTATAGAGGCAGCATAAAAACCCTAAATATCCATAAAATGACAAAACACACATGTGCATGCACAAGCACACACACACACACATGCACACCAGGAGGATTATTGCCAAAAAGAAGTAAAAATATAAAGAAACATTATTATAGAGAGTTAAACATATTTAGAATGTCCTTTATGTTATCAAACTTTAGAAACAAAAAGTTCTGGGATGAAATGGTAACACAAGGAGGTAATCACTGAACAGGAAGAGCTAAAATAAGGAAGAGAAAGTAAGGTCAGAGAAATTAAGCTTACCTGGATAAATATGAAAAGAAAATAGACACAGATTTAAAAAAAAGTTATTATATATGACAGCATGACAGTTATATATAACAAAGAAGTTATTTATGACATTATGACAGTTATAAAAAAGTGTGCATACTAAAACATATAAAGAACAGATGGTTTAGGAGAAAATTAGAAAGAAATTGATAGATAATAGAGAATAAAAATGACTCAAAATATGAATATTTAACATTCCCCACAAACAGAACAAATGAAACAAAGCAGTCAAATATATACTTCAATATGACATTCCTAAAATGGAGAAAAACAAATCTTTGGATTAAAAGTTCAAGAAAAAAATGGTACAGTTCAGTCAATACTGACATACTGCCTGGGGCAGTTAATTGACTTGAAAGATAAATAATCCCAAAGGCAACCTAGCAAATCTTCAAGTCAACTACAAGAAGGATAAACCAGGCTTAGTTCTGACTTTTCCATAGTAACATTCTCCACAAAAGGATGGCTGGAGCAAATATCAACAAGATTTTCAGGGAACAAATGTGACCAAAATTTTAAATTTTGCGAAATTGCTATTCCATCAAAAGGGCAATGGATAGATATTGTCAAAGAACATCATCTGAATTTAAACTCATACGTTTTTATCAGAAACAAATGGTCTCTCAGGAATACATCATTAACAAGAAGTAGCCAGGTAAGATTCCAGAAATGCAAAGTCTTTCTGATATTTGCAGTGACACATTACATGAGTAGTATTGAAACTCCTTTTTCATGAATATAAATTCAAAGGCATCTACCTTCAGAGTTACAGGAATAAAAAAGAATTACAGAAGTAATATTCTAGCGATGCAATATGCTACAATGCTCAGTCTTTCTTGATTTACTAAAAAAATCAGCCTATAAAGTCATCTTTTTTGTTTATTATTCAAATTTGAATCAAAAACATCACAGTATCAAGGATAATATCAGAATTACATTTTTCATTAAGACCCTATCTATCCTGAAGCTTTCATTTTATAGTGAACTGCTTTGGTTTCACAATCTGTCTTGTTACAGACCTAAATTAAATTTCTACATTTTTTTCTCCAAATTTATTCTTGTGTGTGTGTGTGTGTGTGTGTGTGTGTGTGTGTAATAACAAAACAAATATATCCTTGGTTTGAATTATTTAAATATATTTTGTGTCAAAATCAATGTCTTTTCTGTTGATACAATTGTGACTAGCACCTACAGAAACTCCCAAAGATGGAAAGGAATTATATATCCTGATCTTATGATGTAGTTATGTCCTTATAAGCCCATAAGTTGAAAATATTGTAAGTTGAAATGCATTTCATACACCTAACTTACCAAACATCATAGCTTAGCCTAGTCTACCTTAAACATGCTCAGAATACTTACATTAGCCCATAGTTGGAAAAAGTCATCTAACACAAAGCCTATTTTATTATAAAATGTGGAATATCTTATGTAATTCATTCATGATCCACTGAATGCATATAGTTTTTGCATCATCATAAAGTCAAACAATTATAAGGAGAACCATTGTAAGTTGGGGGCTATTGGTATCTTATAGCCAATCAAAGTCAATGAATAATTGCTTACAGAAATGAACTAATTACTTCAAAAATACTATTAAGATTGAATTCATTAGCATATATTGCTATTATAATTTATTGCACAAATGACATTTTGAATGTGGGTTAATATTAAGGTTTCAATCCAGATTTTCCAGGGAAAACTATGATATATGGTCAGCCAGGCTATAAACCATGTTAGATATTTTGCTTTCATCTCCACCACAACCGTATGAATAGGTTATTATTCTCATCAGCTAAATGAGAATACTGGTCCCTAGAGATGAATGATTCATACAAAGCCTAAGTCAGTTATGGAGACAGAATTTTAATCCAATACCAAGTGATCCCAAGATCTGTATTTTTCACAGTTGTCTTATGTAGATCTACAATCCATTCAAGATTATAGATTTCTAAAAAAAATTGTTTATCAAATACAATTTTCTGTGTTTATTTTTAATTTTTCTCAAAGTCATAGATAGAATTATGTTCAAAGAAATGTCAGTATTTTTTCTCAAAAGCAATGTAATAGATTAAAGTAAATATATAAATATATGTATGTGTGTGTATGTATATATATATATATATATATATATATAAAATTGTTCGGGTACCTGCAGTTATGCGGTAGATTGTTCAGAGGAAGAAGTTAATGAAAAAAAGTTGCATGAAATATTAGCTATTTAGATGTATATTGTGAAATACCTTAGGGGAAAGTCTATTCCAGTGCAAAGTTATTGTTTGATTTGGTGACTATTTGTTTTTATTATCTAAGTTTAAACAAGTAAAATCCCTGACTATAGTGAGTTCCTATAGTGAGGAGAGCTGCTCTATTTATTTAGCAGCTTTTCACCCGCCGCTTACTAGAGTTCTCAAGGCCAGCCCTGTAAATTAAGGGGATGGAGGAGGGGGAAGCATAAGTTTAATTAGACTAGGAAAGAAGGAAGAGCTTCTTTAATGTGGTTAAAATTGAAATTAGAAACTGGTCAGAAATCACTTGCTGGTCCACCTCATTCCCTCCTCCGGTAATATAGTCATGAGTTTTTGCTTTTTGAGTGCTTCATTCATTTCAAACATGTCCTTCAATTTCTGCAGCCTTTCTCTGTCATTATCAGATCAACATCCAAGCTTGTGATGTTGTGGCTATATAAATAAGACAAATAACTGTTCTAACCAGCATCCACCAACATCACCAGATCTATAAAATGTCTTAGATAATAATAGATAGAATCAACTTTATTTCTTGTTCAAATTACTCACAGGGCTCGATATCAGTTTGAAAAGTTATTGTTGAGTAACCTTTCCAGACAAAAAGTATTCCCATCATAAAATCAGGAGGGCATCAAAGAATATGTCAAAAAACTTTAAAACTGAGTGGGTTGTATAGATGAAGCAGGGGGGAAAAGCTAGTATTAAAGAGTGCCTTGCCTAGAAATATTTTTATTTCAAATCTAGCTCTTTTGATTGGTAATAGTATATACTAAGTTCACAGCTACACATATACAGTCTCTCTACTACAAACAGATAGCAACAATAGAGAAAATATAAATAGTGATAACAAAATATACATAAATGTCCTTAAAGAAAAGAAACCTCTCTGAGTACTAGAAACTTCATGGAAAAACAAAACAGTGATCTGTGTGGGTCTGCTAGGTCCCAGTCCAGACAGGTAACAGTGACTAAGATTTCAAATGCAGCATATTCATAGAGACTAATGCTTTCTAACTTATGTAGAGGTCGAAAGCTCACCTCTTGAAGTTAATGTTTAGAAAACATGAAAAAAGCTAAAGTATCTCACTAAAACCCTGTTTCTGGATCCATGGCTTCTTAGGAAGCTGTGGGCAAGAAGTCACAAAGAAATGTAGAGGCAAAGTGTCCTTTCTATTAGTAACTATATCTGGGATATCTGTAGTATCATCTTGGGGTAGGTGTTGAATAAAAACATAGATTCTGGAACCATTGTAAAAATTTTTAGAAACGAAGAGTAAATGCACAAAACATAAGAAAACTGCTGCATTGGTAGAGAAAGAAAGGAAGACTTATACAGAAAAATAAAATTATCCACTCAAAACTGTCCTGCTTATGAAAACTTGAGGACATATTAAAAATAAAACTCATGTCAAAAAAGATAACCAAAATGAGTAATCAGAATAAGTGTTCTTTTTAGTGAAGTTATCGTTATGGAACCAACAAAGGCTTTAAAATAAATATGTTTAGGATGCTCAAAGAGATGAATGTACAGGTAAGATTGTGAGATAGAGTTGATTTAATATTTTATCAATTCTAGCCTCTGCTAGTGTGCCTTCTTTCACTTCAGAGATAGAAAAATATAAAATATTACCATATTCTCTTGCAGCTCTGTATCTAGGTGGAATGTAGGTTTTGTCAATTAGTGCCTTCACAAAGGCTTGAGTGAAGGACTGAGTTAAGTGGAAGAAGCCAGCCCAAGAAGCACACGGTTTAATAAATGTGGGTTTCAGAAGGTGTGATGTGTCTCTGGACTACCAATGCAGGTGATAGCTACCTTATTTAAAAAAAAAATAAAATATTTATTCCTGGAGTCAAAGTTTGTGGCAATTTATTGATCCTGTATCATGAATAAGCTGCTAGGAACTTAGTTCCAACAACGGGGAATGTGCCTTCCTGATTTCCTGAGAGTCCACCATTGTCATTCTCTCTATGGACCATTCCCTTTAATAATTCTGGTTACAAGGTTTACATGTACACAACTAGCCAATGCAGATACACACACACACACACACACACACTCACACAGAAGCAATAATAGCAAGATAAAGCTTTGAAGAAGAAAAAAAAGGGGATAATTACTTCTTTAATTGTAAAAAGTACTCTTAAAAAGTGGGTGATACAAATATGGATTCATTTGTATGGTGATACAAATGTAGAACATAAAAGACAGAAATAAACCCAAATAACTATAGAATGTGTATGTTGACTTCTCAAAACAGTGGAGGGTAATTATGGACTGTTTAACACATAAGGTTATGTGTTAAACCTTTGTAAGATTACATACTATAAGTTACAAAAACAGATAAATTTAAGTAATTCCTCCCTCACACCATCCACCAAGATAACCTGCAAAACATTATCAAACTAAATGTACAGAATGAAACAATATAGGTGCTAAGAAAAAAAAAATAGGTGAATTCCCTTAAAGCTGGAAAGGTAGAAAACATTCTAATGATGAATTTAAAAATCAAGAGACAATAAAAGAAAGTATGGTTAATGTGAATGTGTAAAAATAACACAACAAGAAAAATAGTTTTGCCTGCAAATTATACCATAGACAAAGTTAAAAAGAAAACTGACAAAAAATATTTGCAACATATATCATAAACATATGGCTAATCTCCTGTTTTCATCAAGAGATCTCTAAATTGAGAATAAAGCAGAAAACACAAAGGCAAAGCACAAGGAAACAATGTTCATAGAAAAATAAAATAAGGCTGGGCATGGTGGCTCATGCCTGTAATCCCAGCACTTTGGGAGGCCGAGGTGGGTGGATCACGACATCAGGAGTTGGAGACCAGCCTGACCAACATAGTGAAACCCTGTCTCAACTAAAAATACAAAAATTAGTCGGGCGTGGTGGTTCATGCCTGTAATCCCAGCTACTCAGGAGGCTGAGGCAGGAGAATGGCTTGAACCCAGGAGGCAGAGGTTGCAGTGAGCCGAGATTGAGCCATTGCACTCCAGAGTGGGAGACAAAGCGAGACTCCATCTCAAAATAAATAAATAAATAATAAAAATAAAATAAATGTGACACAATCAAAGATGCTCAACTTCTCTTGAGTTTACAGTGAGGTGTAACTTCTTCTACCAAACTAATCAAAATGCTAAACTTTTGACAAAACACTAGTAGTAAAGTCATGAGGAAATTCTCCTCCATTGTGAGGAAAATACAAAATGGTAAAATGGAGGGTGATCTGGTGATATTTACTTGTATTAGAAAGGCCTTTACTCTTTGACACGGCCATTACAGTCATGAGATAAATCATACATATGCCCTTGCCTATGATTAAAATGTCATTTAAAAAAAAACAATGCTTTCATACTTTGTTATAGCAAAACTTGGAATCTAATTCATTTTACTATCAAGTAAGCTATGGTTACCTACAAAACAGAACTCCAGGCAGCTCTATATTTTTAAAAGTGAAAAAATTCTGTATATGGAAAAAAACATATTTTAGGATTTATTGTTAAGTGGGAAAAGCAAGCTGTAAAATAGTGTATATGTAATATTACATTTTGTGTAAGAGACAATAGCCTATTTTTAAAAATTTATGCAAATAAATATTGGAAAAATAAGCACTATAATAATAGTAACAATAATAAAAGCACCTGGAGAGCAAGTGGATGGGATACATACATATAAAGGTTGAAGCAATATTTTTCTCTAAATATATTTTACATAACCTAAAAATTTTAATTGTATAAATTGACTTATTTTAAAAATCTGAACTAATTTAGTTAAAAAGAAAATACTAGGAGATAGATAGATATAATAGATATACAAGGATATGTATATATTTAGATATACAAAAAACATTTTATTAATCTGTGAAAGAATCTTACAGAATATCTCAAAAACATTCCAAAACCAAACATAAATCATAAAATCTTATTAATTTAAAGTAGTTAGTAGCTTTGAGTTCTGAAATATGCAACTAAATTCTACGGAGTTATCAGAGTTGGGGAAGGAAGTAGACAAATTAGATCTTTGTACATAATCCTAAGAATTTTGGATTCAATGGAAGTCATTGGAAGGCTGTAAGTAAGGCAATCATATGGTTGAATTTATGTCATTTTAGAAAATTGCTCCAATTGCTGTGTAGCCAATGAATTCTGTAGAGACAAGGGTAGAATGGCCAGTCATGAGATAATGGCATCCTACATTAAAAAAATTTGGATTGACTTAAAGTCAGGTTTTATTCTAAAGAATTGCTGCAAGAGAGGAGAATAGGACTATCGCAAAAAGGAGAACACTGATCATGACCTGCAAGTGTCTCAAAAGTCAGATAGGGAAGGGATTTTCTTTTCTAGAGAGGAGTAAACAAAGGTAGAAAGAACCAAGTGAAAGGAAGTAGAATGAAGTGTGGGGAAGTGGGTTTAAAGCATAGGGTTGGTGGATCGCACTGGAGATCATAGAATGCTTTACCCTGATGTCAGTCTATTTCCTAGAGGGGGCAGTAAGAAGGTGTTGTTTGTTGAGAGGTTGTAAGGACAAACTACATGGCTCACACTGAGGGTGCATCAACATTTAGGGTCTAAGGAAAGAAAGATTTACTAAACTTTGATCAAATCACTATAATCAGCATTGTATTCCAATTGTTCAGTGGTGACAAACAGTTTAGTTAATCATGGATGAGGCAAAGAACGGGAATTTGGACAGTCTGTCTGGCCTTGTCAGAGAAGAACAAACAGGCATTTCGAGTCTTAACTCAAATAGGGAAAATCATATGGGAAATATTGTTCTTTGCATTGTCTGTTTCCCAGAACACAAAAGGGTGAGGGGACTTATTAAACTTTCTCTCCTTTCAAAGATCGTAGTGGTTGAGCAAACTGCAGCACTATCAATGGGCAATGAGAAAGCAGCAAAAGTTAATTAATTTATATATAAAAACATTTGTTTGGAATCTATGTTTCAGCCATTATTCTAGGTAATGGTTAGTTAGAAATTAGCAAAACAGAGAAATCCTCTTTCATCATGGAGCTTTCATTTTTGTAGGCAATCATAGAGAATAAACAGATACAAATTATTATATGTAACAATATAGTATAAGTAATAGGTCCTACGAAGAAAAACTGGGCTATATAAAAATGGATGGGGGATTCTTTTTAAGATGGAGTAGTCAGGAAAAAAAAAAAACCCATGCAATAGGGTAATATTTGAGCAGATATGTGGATAACTACAGGTAGCAAAACCATGAGGCTATCTGGGGGAATATCGATTTGGGCAGAGGCACAGCAGATACAATAGCTCTAAAGTACAAGTAGACACCAGTTTGATGTGATGGAAGAGAATGAGTGAAAAGAAAAATGATGGGGATATACCCAGAGGACAGGTAATGCCAGATCATGTAACTTTTATTAAAGATTTGAAATTTATTTCAATGCGATGAGAAATAATTGGAGGAAATTAAGTAGAAGAGTCACATAGACTGACTTGTTTTCAAAGAATTACTCTGGCTTCTGTTTGAAAGAATACAAATACACAAACAAGGAGACAAGTAAGAAAACCTTTGCATTAGCTCAGGAAGCAGATTTTGGTAACTGAAACTACAGTGGCAGTAGTAATAGAAAAGAAAGATACTAAGAAGTAGTAAATTGCAAGCTATTACTCAAAGTTAATGCAAAATGGCAAAATGATGGTAATGTAGTAAAATAAAGGCAGGTAAAAGCAGAATCAATGATGATTCTGAGATTTTTTAGTTTACATTTGGATAAATAAAAAAACTAAGAGTAAAAAGTATTGGTGATATGGTGGAAATACAGAATTCTGTTTGGGGTGTCTTATGCTTGAGACTTTGAGATGGTTATAAGGCTGCCAAGAGAAAAATCATCCAAGTATATCTACATTTCAAATGATGATATTCCATCGTTAAGCATGAAGATATTTAATACAATATTCTATTCTGGCACTTAGAGTGTCTAAGAAAAAGCTATAATTTTTTATTCATTGGCATATAGATATAACTTATACTCATGATACTGAATGAGATCACTGAGTTAGAGAAACTAAATAAAGAAAAACGTCCCAGGATTAAGCCCAACTTTTAGCTATTTTAGAGAAAAGGATAAAATAATTATGATGATGCAATGATGATGCTAATATTAGAAGTAATACTTACAATGCAGCAGGATAAAGTTCTCTGCCCCATTCTCCCCTTTGTGCCTGTCACTCACACCTACATCAAAATTATACATTAAAAGGTCAAAATTATTAGTAGAAATATTTAATTTTCTTATAAATACTTCACTATGAAGTATCTGAGAGAATCCTGGAAGAAATCTCTAGGCTGATAGGCTTTAGGATTAAGAATTAGGTTCAGAGGAAAATTTTATATAGGCTGATACATGAACTGTTATATAAAGCTGTATCTGTGTATTTATTTACATGCTTTTCAGAAATTTCAATATATAATGTTGGAGTAACAATAATAATGAAATTGAACATGTGTTCAACCTGAATAATGCCAAACCCTTTGTTAGAAGCTTTTAGTAAATAAAAACATTTAATCTCCACTAAGTAATAGTTACAATTACTTTTTCATTTATCAGCTGAGGAAAGTGATTTAGCAAATGGCAGAGACTAAATTTGATTTTATAATTTTGTTCCCAGTTATTATTATTAGACAAAAAGGAGAAAATAGTACTGTTCTTAAATATAAGAAAACTATGAGATAGGAACGGGATTCGCAACATCATAAATTAATTGCCATTAAGATTATGCCTGAATCTTTGGTTGGTTCTAGTGATAATGTTGATCCTCCATATTTACTGAATGATTACTAGAAGCCAGGTAGCATTCTATGTGCTTTATAAGCATTAACTCCTTTTATTTCTTATAATTACCCTATAAAAAAATCAAGCATTGGAAAGATGATAAATTTTACAAAATTCTGCAATTTGCAAGTGGCAGGGTAAGGGTGTAATATCCAAACTTTAGTTCTAGTGATACTGCACTTAGCCACAACTTCCTATGGTGTATTACACCATTCTTGCATTACTATAAAGAAATATCTGAGAGTGAGTAATCTATAAGGAAAATAAATTTGATTAGCTCATGGTTCTGCAGGCTTTACAGGAAACATGGTGCTGGCATCTGTTCAGCTTCTAGAGATGCCTCAGAAAACTTAACAATCATGATGCAAGTTGAAGTGGTAGCAGGCCCATCACTTGCCAAAAGCAAGAGCAAGTGAGAGAGAGTTGGGGGAGGTGCCACACACTTTTAAATGACCAGATCTTTGGTGAACTCAAGAACGAGAGCTCACTTATTACCGAAGGGATGGCCCGTGCCATTCATGAAGGATACACCCCCATGATACAAACACTTCCCACCAGGCTTTGCCTCCAACATTGGGAATTATATTTCAACATGAGATTTGACCAGGGATAAATATCCAAACTATAGTATTCTGCCCCTGGTCCCTGCTAAATTTTATGATCTTCTCTCTTTACAAAATAAGATCCTGACTTCTCAACAGTTCCTCAAAGTTTCTACTCTTTCCAGCACTAACTCAAAAGTCCAAAGTCCAAAGTCCCATTTGAGATAAGGCAAATCTCATCCACCTACGACCCTATAAAATCAAAAACAAGTTAGTTACTTTCAAGATACAATGGGGGTACAGGCATTGGGTAAAAATTGCCATTCTAAAAGGAAGAAATTGGCCAACAGAAAAGACGCTGTGTGCCTTGTGCAAGTTTGAAAACAAGTAGGGCTGTAATTAAATCTTAAAGCTCCAAAAGAATCTCCTTTGACTAGGTCCCACATCCAGGGCACACTGGTGCAAAGGATAGGCTCCAAATGTTTGGGCAGCTCTGCCTCTGTGGTTTTGCAGGGTTCAGCCCCTGAGGCTGCTCTCATTGGTTGTTGAGTGCCTGTAGCTTTTCCAGGTGCAGGGTGCAAGCTGCTAGTATAACTACAATTCTGGGGTCTGGAGGGTGGTTGTCCTCTTCTCTCAGCTCCACTAGCCAGTGCCACATTGGGAACTCTGTGTGGGACCTCCAACCCCACATTTCCCTTTGGCACTGCCATAGTAGAGGTTCTCTGTGAGGATTCCACACCTGTAGCAGACTTCTGCCTGGGTACCCAGGCTTTCTTATACATCCACTAAAATCTAGGCAGAGGCTGCCAAACATTCTTCACTCTTGCATTCTGTGCACCTTCAGGCTTAATACCACATGGAAGCCACCAAGGTTAATGGCTTGTGCCTTCCAGAGCAGCAGCATGAGTTGTACCTGGAACCCTTTGAGCCAAAGCTGGAGCCAGAGTAGCTGGGATGCTAGGAGCAGTGTCTTGAATCTGGGCAGGGCAGCAGGGTCCTAGGCTTGGCCCACAAAACCATTCTTTCTTCCTAGGCCTCTGGGTCCATGATGAGGGGGGCTGCCCTAAAGGTCTCTGAAATGCCTTCAGGGTCTTTTTTCCATTGTCTGGGATATTAGGGGTTGGCTCCCTTTTATTCATGCAAACACCTCTATCAAGTTGTTGCTTCAAGTCTGCTTGATTTTCTCTCCAGAAAAAAAAACATATTTTTCCTTGCCACATGGCTAGGCTGCAAACTTTGCAAACTTTCATGTTCTGCTTCCTGTTTAAATATAAATTTCAACTTTAACTCATTTATTTACTCCCACATCTGAAGTAGGTTTTTAGAAGCAGCCAGGCAAACTCTTGAATGCTTTGCTACTTAGAAGTTTCTTCTGTCAGATACACTAGGTCATTACTCTCAACCTCAAACTTCCACAGTCTCCTAGGACATGTTTGAAGCCAAGCTGTTTGTAAGTCATAACATGTATGACCTTTGCTTCAGTTCCTGATAATTTTCTCATTTCTACCTGAGACTTCTGTAGCCTGGACTTCACGTTCCATACCACTGTCAGTATTTTGGTCACAACCATTTAACCAGTCTCTAAGAAGTTCCAAACTTTCCTTTATCTTTCTTACTTCTTCGGAGCCTTCCAAACTATCCCACAGTGTGGCCATTACCCAATTCTAAAGTCACTTCCACATTTTCAGGTATCTTTATAGCAGTGCCCTGCTCCTCAGTACCAATTTCCTGTATTAGTCCATTCTTACGTTACTATAAAAAAAACCTGAGACTGGGTAATTTATAAAGAAAAGAGTCTTAATTCACTTATGATTCTGCCTGCTTTACAGGAAGCATGGTGCTGGCTTCTGCTTGACTCCTAGGGAGGCTTTGGAAAACTTATAGTCATGGCAGAGGGTGAGGCAGGAGCAGGTAAGTCACATGGCAAAAGCAGAAGCAAGTGAGAGAGAGTGACGGGAGGAGGTGCCACATACTGTTAAATGACCAGATCGTTTGTGAACTCAGAGCAAGAGCTCACTTATCACCAAGGGCATGGCCCAAGCAATTCATGAGGGATCCACCTGCATGATGCAAACAACTCCCACCAGGCCCTGCCCCCAACACTGGAGATTACATTTCAACATGAGATTTGGGTGAGAAAAAATATTCAAACTGTATCATACAGCCTGTTTATAGATAAGAGAGCCGAAGTGCAGTGATGTTAAGTAACTTGATCAAGATCACACCATGGAAGAACTCTACATTCTTAACTTCAACTCTCCAATCCCTGATTGTGACAGCAGTGGACTAAAGCCTCAAAATGCAAACAACAACAACAACAAAAAACCTTAAATATCATATATACTCTCATAGGCTTCCACCTCAGCAGACAGAGGACAATTAAACAGATGGGTCTTACACTCTGTCGTTAAGTCTATAAATACCAAAATTTGTCAAAAATAAGCTTTACAACGGAAGTTTCTTGATAAAATACAGAACTTCCTAGAGAATACCTCTGTCAAGAAGAGCACTTGGAAAATAAAGTAGCAGTTGCTTCAGGTCCTCTGTTTTCTGCTAGGGATTATTTGTCCCTAATAAAAATCACAGTATATGAAAGCTCTTTGAACCTTTTTGAAACTTTTGACATGGACAAAACAATTTATAATATTCTGTGATTTTTTTTAACACAAAAACTTTGAAAGAGGAGGGATCAGAAGATATTATGTCATCAGACATCACATCATTTGTCAGTTGTCAGTTGCCTAAGGCAATGGGCAAGCTGTTATTCTGCTTCTGATTTTAGTTTATCGTATTTAACTTGACTTGTTTCCTGGGGCCATTAATTAAGTTACGGTTAGTTATTAAATAAAACATCATAATTTTATATTATAGAAAGAGGGTGGGGACGATTTCAAAGATGAATTATTTATGCATTATTTATCAGCTGAATAGTAATTTTTCTTACTTGGAAATTTGAAAATGAGGTACCAAAATAACTTATACTTAAATGGACATGAACTTTAATTTCTAGGTTAACCTCCTTTAATAAGTGTGGTAGTGTTACCTGAACCCTTTTTTGCTACACTGTAATGTATAATGTTCATTCATAATTACTGATTAATAGCATATGAAGTCAGTAAAGTGTTATATCAAAAACAACTGATTTGTTACCCTGTGCTAATAAGTGGCTCAATTCAACCTTTTAATTCAAGGGTTTGTCTGTACATTCATAAAACATTTATTTGTGTCTTCTTAATATTTTATTTCCACTAATTATATATAGCATATTAAATGCAGCTACTATTCAAAGAGACAGTATCCACTGACTGATGAGAATGTAGCATCTTTGTCTCCGTAATACATTACTAGAAATAATGATTCTACAAATGAGCCAATTTTACATATGCTTGCAGATTCTTTCTCCTATTCCATTGTTTAAAGTCTGTTTTATTTGTTTGTTTGGTTCATATTTGCATGTTAGACGAACAGATGTTATGTTATTTTACATACCACAAAGTATCATTTTAATAAATATTTTAAAAATAAGATTAATGGATCATAACAGTTTCGAATTACTTATGGTAAAATCTTCTTAGGTCTCTAATACTGGAGTGACCAGATCATTACTTATACACCAGCTCTATGGAAAAAAAAGGCTATATTTGGATTAAAAACTATCATATTAGTTATGACACATTCCAGATGGAGAGAGAAAGATTCAGCTGACACTGTGCTCATAATTTGTGGGGTGTGTTTGTGTGTGTGTGTCTGTCTGTGTGTGTATGAGAGAGAAAGAGTGGGAGAGACAGAGAGAATTTGTGTATTCATTGTTGTGTGTCTTTGCAGATTAGTCTTATTTCTGCATTTCCAAATTCTACAAGAGAAAATGTTGTATCTTCAATCTATCTAATTCAATTCAGCCAAATGGAGAAGCTGTAGTACACAAAGCATTTTTCCAGGTGCTGCACTGCATCTGTAGAAACCTTGTTCCTTGAAATTCCATTGAGTTTGGAAACTCAAAGAGAAGTGAATTGAAATGAGTTTGAAAGTTAAATACTACAAACGTTAGAATATGTTCAGTTACAAATGACACAACAGCAAGGCTCCAACATAAAAACAAAACAAAATAAACCCCACAATACCTGAGTGTATGTAAATAAGGAGTGTCTGGGTGGGAATTAATTTCTTTAGGCATATTTGGATTTCAGAACTCAATGATAATATTAGAACTTCACATATGTTGATTTATCAGCTTTTCTTTACCTTGTGCTGGCTTTAGCCTTGGACTTCTCATGGTAACATGAAGTATCATTGTCTCATTATCTCCAGCCCCTAAAATTACTCAATCTTCAAACGGCAGGGGAAAAAAAAACAGAATCGTTTTTCAAGCAACCCCAGAAAAGATCTCTTTGTGTCTTCTAAGCTTAAATTGGTTCTCCTGATCTTCCCTCAACATATCACAGTGGCCAAGGGAATAAAATACTTTGACTCATCAGATCTGACACACAGATTAATCCCTGAGCCAAAAGGAACCAAAACATTCATGCTGTTTCTGTCCTAACTATAAGAATTTTTCAGAAGCATTTTATAAAGACCATGTTGTCTAATCGAGTGCAACTAAACCAATTTAATTGAGAATCAACAATATGCTTAGCATCGTATCTTGTACTTTATCAGAGAAAAGGATAAATAAGAAGTAATTCATATGTTCCTAATTTAGTTTAGAAGGCAAAAGACACTGATATAGATATTAAAAGTGATACAAAATACTTTGGAGTTTAGGAAAGAGATAAATTGTCCTATTGTAATTTAGCATTAAACATTACTTTTACTTTGAATATATTAGTACTCAAGTATTTTATTTACAATATTGGGGTGCTTTATTCCCTGTAAAAATGGTGAGGTCAAACCTAAGGATGTGACAAACAATATTTAGAGCAGTGCCCAGTATTTTTCCATGAATACATGAATAGTTAAACATCATTTAGTAAAACAATATTTTATTGTCAGTATAATGAGCTAGGTGCCTATCTACTATTCAGTAGTACGGAGTAGTAATTTTGAAAATTATCAAAGTGTTTTCACTTCTTTCAACTGTACCACTACACTAAATTTTAACCATGGCCTTCTCTAAAAGCCTAACTTTAGGCAAGTAAGTTTAATCACATTAAAAATACAATTTCATGACTGAAAATACAGATGTAATGGAAAATGAAGTGCCAGGCTAGTCAAAGGCAATCAAAATGCCCATTTTGAAGAATGAAAAATTAAATAAGAAAAGTACAATAACCATTGAAGTGTGGAGGAGGAGCTGTCAGATACAGTGTAAATCACCCCCTCCGCCAAGAGCTATGGGACACAGAGAACCAGAGCCAGAAATAGATATCTCGATCCTAGCTCTACCACCACATAGCTATGAGACTTTAGAATGTTTAGTTTACCTTTACCCAACATAAAATTGGTGCTCATACAAAGGAATCCTCAAGAACCTTCTGGTCATTACGTTAATTATCTAAAAATTAGAGATTGTGAGAAAGTAGATAAGGTAAGTATTGATAGGGATATAAAGATTCTTGAGGAGAATTATCACCTGAAGAGAAAAGTAGTTTCTAATAAATCAAGTTGAAGTCCAGGCAACCAAATCAAACTCATATAAACCTTCATATCTACATTTGCATTGCTTTGTTAAAATGCCAATACACATATCTTGTTTTGTATGCAATATCTCACAGCTTTCATAATAGTCCCATTTCTATAAGTGTTTAAAGAGTAACTGGAGATAAGTGATATCATTTAGCTAGGAAAGCAACTTGAAAATCTAGGCTAAATGTAATGGGTAATACTGAAGCATTCTATGCAGGAATGTAATTAGATTTGGTTATCCACTCTGAGAGGACTATACTTGAGGACGATCCCAGAATTTCTGTTGGGTGGATTTTTATTTGGAAGGGTTAGAGATATATAAAAACCACATACTCTAAATTTAATTAATAGTGAGTGCTTAATCCTTTTTTGTTTGTGTGTTTTGTTTTGGTTTTGGAAAAATCAATAGCATTGCTCAGAAGAATGTGTGAATTCATTCATTTTAACAGATCTTTAAAGGGCATGCATAGTAAACATAATATGTCTAAGAAGGTCAAAGATAGACAGTCAGAATATGTTTAAACTATTAATGTTACTGGGAATACTTTCAAAAAGCATTTTCTGCATTTATTTTTTCAAATAAAATAGTTGCTGAAATTTGAAAGAGGTCGCCAGGCCTTCTATGATTCTTACATCATTCAGATCAATGTGAGCAATTTAAATCTTATCATAGTCATCATTATCACATATTATTAGATTATACAGGATCTCTGACATCCTGAGCTTTATATGTGTGACTAAAATACTATTTTATACATTTTATTATTTGAATATATTATTTTGATTATTCTGTAATGATGTGGGATAACCCTGACTACCCTTCAAGTAAAAGATCTTTCCTGATTGAAACCTCTATTAGCCATATAGCATTCCCATATTTATAGTGCATCGACTTGTACCCTGCATTTCAATGTTGCTTATTGGAATTTGAACTAAGCTATATTTGTCTCATGGCTGACAATTTTATGTTGTTTTTTTGATGCAAAATTTCATTGTTTTTTAGAGAGCATCATTTTGACACACAGGAATCCAGTCTGTATTTACTGAAGAAAACAATTTGCAATCTTTAAAACATACAACTCATGGTTTCTGTGTTGACAGAATATCATATTAGATGTAGCTGGCACCTGCTAAAATATCATTTTTATTTTTCTACCTGTGTGTTGTAGCATTAAAAGAGAAAACATTTTTTTGTCTTAGACCTGAATAGCAAGAAAGTATTTTTTTCTTTCAGATTTATGAAAGCAAACACAACTAAATAATAGAAATACTCATTATTAATCTAAGCAAATATGATTTTCCACTTAAATGATATATTTTAAATGAAATATACTTCCAAATAAAAGTTGCCTAATACTATCAATTTATAAGACATACTGTGAATTAGATATCGGGCATAGTGATAAGATACAATATATAGTGGTTATTTCACCATAAATAATTTCAAGTCAATGCACTTACTGTATGTAAGGGCAGTTATGTTTGTATAAGCCAAATGAAATTTTATGTCGATTATCAGAAAAGCAGGAAATGTAAAAGTCAAAATGAAAAAGAACATGAAAAATGGAAATCCCATAAAAAGTATAAATATCCTGTTGTATGTTTCTGAAATGATTTTCACCTTTAGAGATTTTAAAAGACCTGGACAATGCCTCCATTTTTCTCTCCTATGAATAAGTATCCTAGGCAGTATCTGCAGTGTACTGTATTATTCTTATTCTCAATTACTAAAGAACATAGAAACCATAAGAACTTCAAAACAACATTATACCAGCTTGATTATAAACATGTGGGCACTGAAATGAAACATCTTATTCTTCACTAGGGAAGAAATTGCCTGAAGAAGATAAAAAAGTTCACAACCCACATTTGATACAGTCTTCCAAATTTTAGCTCTTATCAAGTTTAATACTGCTGGGCTAAAGGAAAGAAGACAAGAACCCTACATACTTAGGCACGGTGAGACTCTAAGCCATTGGGAACTGCATGTGGTTTAGTGGAATGCAGAGCACAGTTAAGCAGGATATACATATTCTAAAGTTTGAAAGCTTTTTGTAAAATTCAGAGAATTCAAACTCTACCCTCTAGGCAAATTTTAATAAATAAAAATTGATGATTGCATATTCTCTTAGGAAAGATTTTTTAAATCCACAAAATAATTATTTCAACAATGGGTAACACTGAATATTTACTGTATATTAAATGATATCATTGTGTCAATGTTGTAGAGGTTCAGGGTTGTGATATTTGCAGTTCACTCACAAACTGTTGAGCAAATAATAATAGTGATATTATAAGATGTATGCTTGTTTATGTAGATGTGTGTATATGTGTCTGTATTGAGTGAGAAAGCAAATGTTCCAAAATATTAATGCGATGAATATAGATTTCAATTTTTTAAAAGAAAAACTGGAAAGATAAACATAGTTATATTGCTTTTGTGAAAATTTATTTTTATTAGGTTTGTAATAGATTATAGAAGGCCATTTCATTTTTTGAAGAATAGTTATTATTTAAAATTTTTCAAATACTTTAAATAGAGCAAAAATAAATAATAGTTTTAGGGAAACCTATAGTTGTTTATGTTGTATCTTATTTGATGAACTTTAAGTACTAATAGCATTTATTGACTTAAGCTGAAAAACATACTTGGAAACAAGTTAAGTTCAGTAAGTTAAAACAACCATGTCCTGCTTAGTCCCATTGTGAACCTACTTACATTTAAAAAATCGAATGCTAGTTCAATGGTAAATGAATTCAATAAATATTTGAGATGATTAAATTTCCTTTCCTAACACATTTTATTTCAAATTCTATTTGAAAAAAAAAAAATGCTAACAACATAGAGATCAAATTCAGCTACCTATTTTTTCAACATTCAAATATGCATTAATTGTCTACACTTTGCTAAGCTTGGGCTGATTTCTAGGGCTATAAACATAAATTAAATTTATTCATGGATCTTAAGTGGCTCATGAGCATTAGTACAGCATATTTGTCAGCCGAGCATAGTGCCTCATACCTATAATCCCAACACTGGGAGGCTGAGGTGGGAGGATCTCTTGAAGCCGGGAGTTCAAGAACTGCCTGGAAAACATAGCAAGACCCTGTCTCTACCAAAAACAAACAAATAAAACTTAGCCAGGAGTGGCTGCACCTGTAGCTACTCAGGAGTCTGTGATTGGAGGGTAACTTGAACACAGGAGTTTGAGATAGCAGCAAGCTATGATCATGCCACTGTACTCCAGCCTAATTGACAGAACAAGAGCCTGTCTCTAAAATCAATCCATATGTCTATATATAGATATATATATCAAGAAAACTTTACTTTCTAGATTACTAGTTTGTTTATTGCTCATTCTTTTTCTAAATTTATTCATTAGGAGGTATATACAATGTGTTTTGGGGGTCTTAAGAATAGTAAACTTAGAGTGAAAAGGGAAAGAATATTCTTGTTAAAATTCCTAAAATAAAGTATTAAACTTATCTATGAAAAGGCATACATTTCTGTCTGATATTTTATATAAAATAATGGGAACATAATCATATATAATATTTTCTATAAAATGCTTAACAGGTTTTCATAACTTAAATTGTACTTAATATTTTAAAACTATTAGAAAAATCACAAATATCAGAATTTCCTGTGAGAAACAGGTACAATGCTATCCCAAAGGAATTTAAAGAAAGGTTTTCTTTGTTAGTCAAAGAGACATTACAAAATATATTCAGATTTGTGTCATTAAGATATTCACCTACAGCCTCATGAATATTTGAGTTTCTGTCTAGATTGTTTTACCACACTGTATTGTATGTGCTTATATTCATCTTAAAAAGAAATACAGTTTCCCCAGTTTTTTTTTCTTGAAATTATCTAGTTCGAATTTCAATATGGGGAAATCTATAATTACTGGGAACACTTGACTCTTACAGACTGCATTCTGGTACTCTTTTTTGATATTTCATGACTTAAAAAGCATTTTTAAAATAGCATCACATTTGTTTAGATTGAAATAGAACATCTGACATTGACTTTGTCTTGACTTTAAAAAATAAAGATTATTTAATACAAGATTTTGTTATTTTGGTGTACATTGTTTTTTATTTTAAAAATTAGCTCAGTTTGATTTAATAAAATTCTACTAATGTATATTTCTGTGGAATTATCTAATGCAAAGCAGATTCTTTATACCATATTTAATACCAATAAAATTGTGAGGCTCTCTAGATATGACATACTTTAGAAATTCAATAAAATTTTGTAAAATAGTAAAGAATTGGGTTAACAAAATAGAGCTTTAGACCAATATTCCACAGGGAACAAGTTTACATATTTCCATCTTTAACATTTTTACTTTCAGAGCTTTGAGATTCAGAATTGGCACTTTTAATATTTACTAATTTTTATTTTAAATTATTTTAGATATATAATAATTGTATATATTTATGAGGATGCAATATTTTGATACAGACATAAAATGCATAATGATCAAATCAGGGAACTTGGGGTATCCATCACTTCAAGCATTTATCATTTCTTTGTGTTTAGAAATATTCCAATCCCACTCAATTAGTTATTTAAAGCATACAATAAATTCTTGTTAACTAAAGTCACCCTATTGTACTACTGAATACTAGATTGTATTCATTCTATCTAACTGTATTATTTCTATCTGATAACCATCCCCATATTAAACCCCCATCCCCTCTACCTTTCACCGCCTCTGGTAATTATCACTTTACTCTCTATCGCCATAGGTTCAACATTTTTAAAATTTCTTAGCTCCCACATATAAGTGACAATATGTGAAATGTTTATTTCTGTGCCTGGCTTATTTCATTTAACATAATATCCTCCAATTCTATTTATGTTATTGCAAATGAAAGGATTTCTTTATTTCTATAGCCAAATAATATTTATTGTGTATATTTACCACACTTGTTTATTCATTCATCTGTTGTTGAACACTCAGGTTGATTTCATATCTTGACTATTGTTTACAGTGGTACAATAAACATGAAAGTACACTTCAATATACAACTCCTCTTCTCTTCTTTCTTCTTCTTCTTATTCTTCTCCTTCTCCTGCTTCTTCTTTCTTCTCCTTCTTCTCCTTCTCCTCCTCTTCCTTCTCCACCTCCTTCTCTCCTTCTTCTCCTTCTTCTTCCTCCTTTCTTCCCTCCTCCTTCTCCTCCTCCTTCTTCTCCTTCTTCTTCTTGTTGTTCTTCTTCTTCCTCTTCCTCTTCTTCTTCTTTTCTTTTCTCTTTCTTTCTTTCTTCTTTCTTTCTTTGTTATTTCCTTTCTTTCTTCTTTTATGATATATAGCCAGAAGTGGAATTGCTAGGTCATATAGCAATTTTAGTTTTTTAGTTTTTTGAGGAACGTTCATACAGGTCTCTGTAGTGGTTGCACTAATTTACATTCCCACCAAAAGTGTTCAAGTGTTCCCCTTTGCCCACATCCTCAGCAGTATTTGTTATTGCCTGTTGATAAAAGTCATTTTAGCTTTTAGCTGGGGTGAGATGACCTCTTGTTGTAGCATTGATTTGCATTTCTCCGATGATTAGTGTCATTGAGCATTTTTTCATATACTAATTGGTCATTTGTTTATGTTCCTTCAAAAATTTCTATTCAGTTTAAAATAATTGGTTATAAGATGTTATTTGCAAGCTTTTACAAATTAAAAACCCAACAAAATATACACAAAAACTAAAAAGCAACAAAGTAAAATATTCTACCAGAGAAAGTCACTTTTAAACAAAGAGAGATAGGAAGGAAGAAAGAAAGACAGGATCAATTAAACATTCAGAAAACAAATAACAAAATCGCAGTAGTAAGTCCTTACCTATCAATAATAACATTGAATGTAAATGGGCCAAATTCTCCTAAAAAGACATAAAGAGTTTAATTAATTAAAAAAAGACCCAACTATGTGCTGCCTATAAGAAACTCACTTTGCCTATAAAGACATACATCATCTGAAAATAGAGGGATGCAAAAACTTATTCCATGCAAATGGAAATCAAAAAAGAGCAGGAATAGCTATGGTTATATCAGATAAAATGGATGTCAAGACAAAAGCTGTTAAAAGAGATAAAGAAGGTTATTATATAACGATAAAGGAGTCAATTCAGCAACAAGATATAACAATTAAAAATATATGTATGTCATTTATTTTAAGTCAATATTTATTTGACAGTTAAATTATATGCATTCATTGAAGACATCATAAAGATTAACCTCATTAAATTATCCCCTACACAAAGCACACTAAGAGTTTCAAATGACATACAAATCAGCAATGTTGTTATTAATAGATCTTCAGAATATGCCAATATATCTGCAGCAGCATCTGGAATCTCAGCAATAGGGTCTTGGATTGTCCATCCTACAACAACATCCATTAAAATTACAAACATTTAAAAATTTAAGAGAAATTTCCTTTATAATAGCTATCAGGAAGTTTCAGAGAGGCTATTAACTACACCACCCTTTGTAAATGAATCTGCTGGATGAGACTTCTTATATATATATCATCATAGCTTTGCTCAAGTAATAATAATTTTTCTCATATTTGAGAAAAGACAGTTATCTGCTCTGAAAGTGAACTCCAAAGGCTGGAGTAGAGGTTTATGAGATAGTTGTGTACCGTTCCTTGAATCAATAAAAATATTATAAAGATATTATAAAGATATTTAATATATATATACATATATATTAAACCAGTTTTAACATTTGGAGAGTCAATGTGAAACACATAACCAACAAAGACAGATCAGAAGAGCATAAACCAAGATACAGACCATAGAAACACATATCAGCAAAAAACAATAAAACAGGGCTAAGTCTGAGTCAACTGAAGAAATAAGCAGAGGGTTGGAGAAGAGGTAAGGTGAATCAAAACACAGCCAATAGCTAGAATTTTTGTTGGGGTATTTAGAATTTTGACTGTAGCCTGAGCAAAAATGATTTTCCGCTATTCTGACTTTGCAACTGACTGAGCCAATTTCCTGTGCTTTCTTGCTTTCCTGAGTATCTTTACAATAACATGCCTATCACCTGAGAAAACCTGATTGTCTCTATTTCTTTCAAACTTAGAGTCAAATAACATACATTCACTACAAAAGCTACTTGAGGAAAGCAGTCTGTGCTGAATAAAGTATGCAGCTTGTCCAAGCTGATCAGTACAGGAACAGAAAAAGGCATACACATTGATGTTTTTAAAAATACAATAATGATAAAGATTGGAAGGAAAGGTGAAACACAGGGTTAGGAAGTAATGTGATATGCTACAGTACATATCACGGAAATATGAAGAATTTTTTGAAGTTTATTATTCCTGTATAATGTTTTCTAAGGCTGGAATGTGGAAAGTTTAAAGTGGTTTCCATAGGCAGTTTCACTGAATACAGCACATCTGAAAAATCAACGTAAACTGACTTTTAAACCAGTGAGATTCTTTTATGTTAGTACGTTTTCAATGTAGTTACGATGTAGAGTACAGGTATCTATTATTTGTAAAGATGGATCTCTTTCCTATAAAATAAAGCATTACAGTATATCTAGCCCAGAATCTGAATTTGTGGATTTGAGGCCAAACTTACCTTGAATGGATAGCTATTTTTAGTTATTTATTTAAAAGCCAGTCATTTGAGAAATCTGGTAATACTAGAAATGCCAGAAAAAAGAAATAAATGCTCAGTTCTAATTGGGATTTCTATCAATGTTTCCAACCATTATTGACAAGATTCTAACATTTAATTTCTTCTTGAATATGGCCAGTCCAGAATTCTATCTTAAAGGAATAAAAATGTGGAACTATAAAAACATTGGTGATTGGAAGATTTTACGAAGACAATGAAAATATATATATATTATTTTTGGGAAAATCTTGCATTTTGTTTTCTTTTAAAATCCTACAGGATTTTTAGAATTACAAATAATGGCTAATAAACACAGATGTAAAAATAACTTTTTTTTCTTTATTTTCAGGTGTGTGTGTGTGTGTGCACGTGTGCATGCACGTGCATGTGTTAGCATGCTGCTATTTGTAAGGTCATATTTGGCATTTCTAATACCTAACAATGGGTGAAATTTCCCCAAACATTTTTTTCTGGGGGCCACCCTCTTCCTATTTTAAGTTCATGTGCTTTGGGTGAAACTGTATCTCTGGTTCTTGGATTGAATGCATGGAGGCTATTAACTGCATTACCAGAAAATAAGAAACATGTCTGGAGAAAAATAATTATTACTATACACATTTTATTATACTTTAAGCAATTTTTCAAGAGGGCTTTAAACTTTTATTTTTATTTTTTACTTTTAATTTTTGTGAGTACACAGTAGGTATATATATTTATAAGGTGCATGAGTTGTTTTGAGAGAATGGATACCACATTCCTCATTATTTGCTTATTTCAAGTGGGTTGTAAACTTGAAAGAACTTATCCCTGTATATAATTAAGCTCCTCAGGTATATTTTTTTCTTTGAAAATATTCAAAATGTTTCTATTTACATTTTATTATAGCAATGATTTTTCATGTGAATGCTGAGATTGCACTTTAGTAATTAGCTTATTTTACATAACCAAACAGTTGTATGTAGACCCAGGAAAATTTCAGCACTCATTATCTGAAGCTAATTTTACTGAGAAAAAATAAATTATTCTACATATAGAAACACAAACATTAAAACATACCTCTCCTTATAATGCTGAGAATCATCACAAAGGGGATGAGAGTTTTCTTGCTTTATAATGAGAGGTTGATGCAGGATATAATAAAAACATTTTTCTCTATGATTTCAATTACTCCGTAAGCTTTCTGAATAAAAAATAATCATTCTTGACCTCCCTTATAATCCCTGCATACAGCTCAGTTATTGTATATTCAATGGGTATTTGTGGCATGAATGAAAGTTTCCACATAAGGAAAGCCATTCTACATTAGACGAAGAGGGCTTATATATTAGCAATTATCCTTTAAGTTCAGAAGAAACTGAGAGAAAATAAATGTAATTCTGTTGCAACTTCACTTTTTCAAGAGAGTTTTGATGTGCCTCGTTTGATATCTCTCAGGGAAAAATAAATAAATGCAATACTCTCTTGCTTTAATAGGTCTTGCTAAAAATGCTCTAGGATCCTGAAATCAGGGTCCATCACAAATATTTAATTCATAACTTCCTTCCTCTTCCATCCACTAGTCTCACCACACTACTCAGCAAAGTGGGGGCTCAGTTTAATTTTTACTAATGATTATTGTCCAAGATACATGTTTGAGAAGAGGCTAGCCACCTCTTTAGATATGAGTTAGTGATTTATACAAACCTTAAGATGGAATTAGACTTTATAGCTGTGTAAGTTGGAATACATATTATAGAACCATCACTAGAGTTGCTTAGTCAGGTTAGGATATATTTTTTCTGACAAAATATGAACCCCAGAGTAGGCAGTGCAAGACTAATACAATAGTTCAATTATAACAAAGAGTTGCAGTTTTCTTCTTTCTTGTCACTTTGTCATTGTCACCCTGTGGCTTTTACCTTTATAATCATAGTATGGCTTTTGTACCACAGACATCACATGCATGTCCCCAGCAGACAAAAAAGAGAATTAAGCCCCCAAAATGAACATCTCTTAAGAACTTTGACTTTTAGTTAGGAAAACAATAACTTTCCTTAAATCTTTATCCAGTACATTTCTGTATATGTAACTGTTCAGAACAGAAATAAGCCACCCTTAACTATACAGAAGCCTTACACATGGAATCTTTACCTGGGCTCACTGTCACTATGAACAAAATAGGGTTGTCTAAGTCTATTGAGGGGCCATATCTGCTGAGGGCCTTCTTACTGATCATAACATAGAGAAGAACTTCACATGGTGAGAGGGCAAAAGAATGTCAACTCAGGTCTCTCTTCCTCTTATTTTTTTAATTTTTTAAAGGTCTAATAATAAGTGTATGTATTTATTCATGGGTGTATAGTAATAGATTGTTAAATATAATGTAAAGAGATCAGATCACAATAAATTTGTATCCTTTACCAATCTTTCCCTATCCCTCTCTTCCTCCTATCCTTTCCAGCCTCTATTATTCTCTGTTCTACTTTTCACTTTTTTTTTTTCTTGAGACAGAGTCTTGCTGTGTTGCCCAGGCTGGAGTGCAATGGCACAATCTCGGCTTACTGCAACCTCCACCTCCCAGGTTCAAGTGATTCTTCCTGCCTCAGCCTCCCAAGTATCTGGGATTACAGGCACCCACCACTGCGCCCAGCTAATTTTTGTATTTTTAGTAGAGATGGGGTTTCGCCATGTTGCCCAGGCTGGTCTCAAACTCAACCTCAGGTGATCCACCCACCTTCGCCTCCCAAAGTGCTCAGATTACAGGCATGAGCTACCACGCCCAGCCTCTACTTTTTACTTCTAAGATACTAGCTTTTTTTAGCTTCCACATATGATTGTTTAACATTCTGTTCCTGGCTTATTTCATTTAACATAACATCCTCCAGTTCCATCTATGTTGCCACCAATGACATGATTTCATTCTTTTTTATGACTAAATAGTATCCCATTGCGTCTATATACCACATTCTCTTTATCTATTCCTTTGTTGTTAGGATACCTAGTTTCATTCTATATCTTGTCTATTATGAATAGTGCTTCAATAAACATGGGGGTGCAGATGTCTCTTCAATATAATGATTTTCTTTCCTTTCGATAAATTCCCAGTAGTGAGATTGGTGAATCATATGGTGGTTCAAACTAAATGATCCAATTAAAAAGTGAGGAAATAATTGGAATAGATATTTCTCAAAAGAAGACATAAAAATGGACAAAAAATATATGAAAAAATGTTCTACATCACTAATCATCAGAAAAGTGCAAATCAAAACTATAATGAGATATCATCTCCCCCAGTTAGGATGACTTATCAAAAAGACAAAAAATAATGAATGTTGGCAATAATGTGGAGAAAATAGAACTCTTATACACTGTAAGAATTTAAGCTAGTTCATCCACCATAAAGAACAATATTGAGATGCCTAAAAAAACTGCAAATAAAACTACCATATGGCGCACTTTGGGAGGCCGAGGTGGGTGGATCACAAGGTCAGGAGTTTGAGACCAGCCTGACCAACATGATGAAACCCCGTCTCTACTAAAACAAAACAAAACAAAATAGAAACTGATTAGGTTCCAAGATGGCCGAATAGGAACAGCTCCAGTCTTCAGCTCCCAGTGTGAGCAACACAGAAGACGAGTGATTTCTGCATTTCCAGCTGAGGTACCGAGTTCATCTCACTGGGGCTAATTGGATAGTGGGTGCAGCCCATGGAGTGTGAGCCGAAGCAGGGCAGGGCATTGCCTCACCCAGGAAGTGCAAGGGGTTGGGGAATTCCCTTTCCCAGCCAAGGGAAGCCATGACAGATGGTACCTGGAAAATAGGGACACTCCCACCCTAATACTGTGCTTTTCCAATGGTCTTAGCAAATGGCACAGCAGGAGATTATATCCCACGCCTGGCTCAGAGGGTCCTACGCCCGTGGAGCCTCACTCATTGCTAGCACAGCAGTCTGAGATCGAACTGCAAGGCGGCAGCAAGGCTGGGGGAGAGGTGTCTGCCATTGCTGAGGCTTGAGTAGATAAACAAAGCAGCCTGGAAGCTCGAACTGGGTGGAGCCCACTGCAGCTCAAGGAGGCCTGCCTGTCTCTGTAGACTCCACCTCAGAGGCAGGGCATAGCTGAACAAAAAGCAGCAGAAACCTCTGCAGACTTAAACGTCTCTGTCTGACAGCTTTGAAGAGAGTAGTGAGTAGTGGTTCTCCCAGCATGGAGTTTGAGATCTGAGAATGGACAGACTGCATTCTTAAGTGGGTCCTTGACCCCAGCGTAGCCTAACTGGGAGACACCTCCCAGTAGGGGCCGACTGATACCTCATACAGCCGGGTGCCCCTCTGAGACAAAGCTTCCAGAGGAAGGATCAGGCAGCAACATTTGCTGTTCTTCAATATTTGCTGTTCTGCAGCCTCTGCTGGTGATACCCAAGCAAACAGAGTCTGGAGTGGACCCCCAGCAAACTCCAACAGACTTGCAGCTGAGGGTCCTGACTATTAGAAGGAAAACTAACAAACAGAAAGGACGTCCACACCAAAACCCCATCTGTATGTCACCATCATCAGAGACCAAAGGTAGATAAAACCACAAAGATGGGGAGAAATCAGAGCAGAAAAGCAGAAAATTCTGAAAATCAGAGGACCTCTTTTACTCTAAGGGAACGCAGCTCCTCGCCAGCAATGGAGTGAAACTGGACAGAGAATGACTTTGACGAGTTGATGGAAGTAGGCTTCAGATAATCAGTAATAACAAACTACTCCGAGCTAAAGGAGGATGCTAAAACCCATTGCAAAGAAGCTAAAAAACCTTGAAAAAAATTAGATGAATGGCTAACCAGAATAAACAGCATAGAGAAGACCTTAAATGACCTGATGGAGCTTAAAACCACGGCATGAGAACTACGTGATGCATGCACAAGCTTCAGTAGCTGATTCGATCAAGTGGAAGGAAGGCTATCAGTGATTGAAGATCAAATGAATGAAATGAAGTGAGAAGTTTAGAGAAAAAAGAGTAAAAAGAAATGAACAAAGCCCCCAAGAAATATGGGACTATGTGAAAAGACCAAAGAGCAAATCTACATCTGATCGGTGTACCTGAAAGTGATGGAGAGAATGGAACCAAGTTGGAAAACACTCTTCAGGGTATTATCCAGGAGAACTTCCCCAACCTAGCAAGGCAGGCCAACATTCAAATTCAGGAAATACAGAGAACACCACAAAGATACTCCTCAAGAAGAGCAACTCCAAGACACATAATTGTCAGATTCACCAAAGTTGAAATGAAGAAAAAAAATGTTAAGTGCAGCCAGAGAGAAAGGTCAAGATACCCACAAAGGGAAGCCCATCAGACTAACAGCTGATCTCTCAGCAGAAACTCTACAAGCCAGAAGAAAATGGGGGCCAATATTCAACATTCTTAAAGAAAAGAATTTTCAACCCAGAATTTCCTATCCAGCCAAACTAAGCATCATAATTGAAGGAGAAATAAAATCCTTTAGGGACAAGCAAATGCTGACAGATTTTGTTACCACCAGGACTGCCTTACAAGAGCTCCTGAAGGAAGCACTAAACATGGAAAGGAACAACAAGTACCAGCCACTGTAAAATCATGCCAAATTGTAAAGATCATCAATGCTAGGAAGAAACTGTATCAACTAACAAGCAAAATAACGAGCTAACATCATAATGACAGGATCAAATTCACACATAACAATATTAACCTTAAATGCAAATGGGCTAAATGCTCCAATTAAAAGACACAGACTGGCAAATTGGATAAAGAGTCAAGACCCATCAGTGTTCTGTATTCAGGAGACCTATCTCATGAGCAGAGACACACATAGGCTCAAAATAAAGGGATGGAGGAAGATCTACCAAGCAAATGGAAAACAAAAAAAAGCAGGGGTTGCAATCCTAGTCTCTGATAAAGCAGACTTTAAACCAACAAAGATCAAAAGAGACAAAGAAGGCCATTACATAATGGTAAAGGGATCAATTCAACAAGAAGAGCTAACTATCCTAAATATATATGCATCCAATATAGGAGCACCCAGATTCATAAAGCAAGTCTTTAGAGATCTACAAAGAGACTTAGACTCTCACACAATAATAATGGGAGATTTTAACACCCCACTATCAACATTAGACAGATCTAGGAGACAGAAAGTTAACAAGGATATCTAGGACTTAAACTCAGCTCTGCACCAAGCAGAACTAATAGACATCTACAGAACTCTCCACCCTAAATCAACAGAATATACATTCTTCTCAGCACCACATTGCACTTATTCCAAAATTGAACACATAGTTGGAAGTAAAACACTCCTCAGCAAATGTAAAAGAACAGAAATTATAACAAACTGTCTCTCCGACCACAGTGCAACCAAATTAGAACTCAGGATTAAGAAACTCATTCAAAACCACTCAACTACGTGGAAACTGAACAACCTGCTCCTGAATGACTACTGGGTACGTAACAAAATGAAGGCAGAAATAAAGATGTTCTTTGAAACCAATGAGAACAAAGACACAACATACCAGAATCTCTGGGACACATTTAAAGCAGTGTGTAGAGACAATTTTATAGCACCAGATGCCCACAAGAGAAAGCAGGAAAGATCTAAAATTGACACCCTAACATCACAATTAAAAGAACTAGAGATGGAAGAGCAAACACATTCAAAAGCTAGCAGAAGGCAAGAAATAACTAAGATCAGAGCATAACTGAAGGAAATAGAGACACAAATAACCCTTCAAAAAAATCAATGAATCCAGGAGCTGGTTTTTGGAAAAAATCAACAAAATTGATGGACCACTAGCAAGAGTAATAAAGAAGAAAAGAGAGAAGAATCAAAGAGACACAATAAAAAATGAGAAAGGGCTATCACCACTGATCCCACAGAAATACAAACTACCATCAGAGAATACTATAAACACCTCTATGCAAATAAACTAGAAAATCTAGAAGACATGGATAAATTCCTGGACACACACACCCTCCCGAGACTAAACCAGGAAGAAGCTGAATCCCAGAGTAGACCAATAACAGGCTCTGAAATTGAGGCAGTAATTAATAGCCTACCAACCAAAAAAGTCCAGGACCAGATGGATTCACAGCCGAATTCTACCAGGGGTACAAAGAGGAGCTGGTACCATTCCTTCTGAAAGTATTCCAATTGATAGAAAAAGAGGGAATCCTCCCTAACTCATTTTATGAGGCCAGCATCATCCTGATACCAAAGCTGGAAGAGACACAACAAAAAAAGAGAATTTTAGACCAATATCCCTGATGAACATCAATGCAAAAATCCTCAATAAAATACTGGCAAACCAAATCCAGCAGCACATCAAAAACCTTATCCACCACGATCAAATTGGCTTCAGCCCTGGGATGCAAGGCTGGTTCAACATATGCAAATCAATAAACGTAATCCATCATATAAACAGAACCAAAGACAAAAACCACATTATATCAATAGATGTAGGAAAGGCCTTCGACAAAATTCAATAGCCCTTCATGCTAAAAACTCTCAATAAACTAGGTATTGATGGGACATATGTCAAAATAATAAGAGCTGTTTATGACAAACCCACAGCCAATATCATACTGAATGGACAAAAACTGGAAGCATTCCCTTTGAAAACTAACACAAAACAGGGATGCCCTCTCTCACCACTCCTATTCACCAAAGTGTTAGAAGTTCTCTGACCAGGTTAATCAGGCAGGAGAAAGAAATAACGGGCATTCAATTAGGAAAAGAGGAAGTCAAATTGCCTCTGTTTGCAGATGACATGATTGTATATTAAGAAAACCCCATCATCTCAGCCCAAAATCTCCTTAAGCTGATAAAGCAACTTCAGCAAAGTCTCAGGATATAAAATCAATGTGCAAAAATCACAATTATTCCTATACACCAATAACAGACAAACAGAGAGCCAAATCATGAGTGAACTCCCATTCACAATTCCTTCAAAGAGAATAAAATACCTAGGAATCCAACTTACAAGGTATGTGAAGGACCTCTTCAAAGAGAACTACAAACCACTGCTCAATGAAATAAAAGAGGACACAAACAAATGGAAGAACATTCCATGCTCATGGGTAGGAAGAATCAATATGGTGAAAATGGCCATACTGCCCAAGGTAATTTATAGATTCAATGCCATCCCCATCAAGCTACCAATGACTTTCTTCACAGAATTGGAAAAACTACTTTGAAGTTCATATGGAACCAAAAAAGAGCCCACTTTGAAGTTCATATGGAACCAAAAAAGAGCCTGCATTGCCAAGACAATCCTAAGCCAAAAGAACAAAGCTGGAGGCATCATGCTACCTGACTTCAAACTATACTACAAGGCTACAGTAACCAAAACAGCATGGTACTGGTACCAAAACAGATACATAGACCAATGGAACAGAACAGAACCCTCAGAAATAATACCACACATCTGCAACCATCTGATCTTTGACAAATTTGACAAAAACAAGAAATGGGGAAAGGATTCCCTATTTAATAAATGGTGCTGGGAAAACTGGCTAGCCATATGTAGAAAGCTGAAACTGGATCCCTTCCTTATACCATATACAAAAATTAATTCAAGATGGATTAAAGACTTAAGTGTTAGACCTAAAACCATAAAAATCCTAGAAGAAAATCTAGGCAATACTATTCAGGACATAGGCATGGGCAAGGACTTCATGTCTAAAACACCAAAGGCAATGGCAACAAAAGCCAAAATTGACAAATTGGATCTAATTAAACTAAAGAGCTTCCTCACAGCAAAAGAATCTACCATCAGAGTGAACAGGCAACATACAGAATGGGATAAAATTTTTACAATCTACCCATCTGACAAAGGGCTAATATCCAGAATCTACAAAGAACTTAAACATATTTACAAGAAAAAATCAAACAACCCCATCAAAAAGTGGGTGAAGGATATGAACAGACACTTCTCAAAAGAAGACATTTATGCAGCCAGCAGACACATGAAAAAATGCTCATCATCACTGGCCATCAGAGAAATGCAAATCAAAACCACAATGAGACACCATCTCACATCAGTTAGAATGGTGATCATTAAAAGGTCAGGAAAAAACAGGTGCTGGAGAGGATGTAGAGAAATAGGAACACTTTTACACTGTTGGTGGGACTGTAAACTAGTTCAACCATTGTGGGAGACAGTGTGGTGATTCCTTAAGGATCTAGAGCTAGAAATACCATTTGACCCAGCCATCCCATTACTGGGTATGTACCCAAAGGATTATAAATCATGCTGCTACAAAGACACATGCACACATATGTTTATTGTGGCACTATTCACAATAGCAAAGACTTGGAACCAACCCAAATGTCCATCAATGATAGACTGGATTAAGAAAATGTGGCACATATACACCATGGAATACTATGCAGCCATAAAAAGGATGAGTTCTTGTCCTTTGTAGGGACATGGATGAAGCTGGAAACCATCATTCTGAGCAAACTATCACAAGGACAGAAAATCAAACACTGCATGCTCTCACTCATAGGTGGGAATTCAACAATCAGAACACTTGGACACAGGGTGGGGAACATCCCACAATGGGGCCTGTTGTGGGGTGGGAGGAGGAGGGAGGGATAGCATTCAGAGATATACCTAATTTAAATGACGAGTTAATGGGTGCAGCACACCAACATGGCACATGTATATGTATGTAACAAACCTGCATGTTGTGCATAGGTACCCTAGAACTTAAAGTATAATTTTTTAAAAAAATTTTAAAAAAAAGAAGCAGGAAAAAAAGAAAGAGAGCTCATGTTCAGAACTAGTACGGAAAAAAAAAAAAAACTACCATATGGCCTTCCTCTGCTTATGTAGCCTCCAGTACTATCATGGGGGTCCCACCCTGATGTCCTAATTTAATCCTAATTACTTTACAAAGGCCCCATCTCTTAGTGGCATTACAATGGAGATTAAATTTCCACATGAGTTTTGGAGAGGACATTAAATCATAGCAAAGGTATATATGAAAATAATGCTAATAGACGGTATTAGTGGGTAAATGATGACAAATATTATAATTTTATCAAAAAATCTCTATACACACAGAGCATTAAATAGTTACAATATAACTATCCTCACTCAAAACTTTGGTCCAGGTAATAGCCCCTAAAGTAAATAGGTCCAGATGAAACAGCTCAAGGTTTAGAAGCGGGGGGTTTTAAGCATTGCTCCTGGAGATCAGAAATGCCCTCTTCAATAGCATAGCTAGCATGGAAATAACAAAAGCATGAAAGCCAAAGATATGGACAAGGAATAAATCAGAGTGGGTTAGCGATAAATGCAATGGTCCAAGCAGTCAGGGGAGAATGTGATGTGAAGATAAGATGGAATGGGAATGTATGAGATAGCCAATGTGTATGATTCAAAAAAAATTCATTTAAAACAGCATTGTAACATGTATATGAACAGACTGCCTAATCTTTTTTAAGTTCCAGAATTTTTTATTATTATTTTTATATGTATTTTTGTATGTAGTATACTAACCTTCATTTGGTGATTATTCATTAAGATAGCATACATAATTTTGTTTTTGAGAACTGAGATCGTATGGTAAAATCTTGAAACATTTAGAAAGTCATAACATAGACAAATCACTGCAGAGAGTAAAAGTCCTGTAAGTTGGCACTTTGTTTCATAAGCTTGCACTTGACACAAATTCTGGAAGAATCAGGGAACATAGTAAAACATTTAATCCTTATCTAGTCTTTTCTTTTACTATCCAAGTAAGTATAATTTTCAATAGCACCATAAAATAGTCCAATTTAGTGACTTGAATTGATTATAATTTGGTAACAACACTCACCAACAAAATTGTTTATTTATTCCTAAGCATCTGTTCTTTATTCTTTGCCTAACCTGTCTTCTCTATTTCATGGAAGGTTTCCCTTTCTATCCACTGAAATCTCTGCTTTGCATATGGTAAAAAAGATATACCTATTCAAACTACGAATTTTGACACTATCAAAAAATCCTAAGCAGTTAAATAAATTTTTTACCATTATACAGAACTGAATATAAATGTAACTATCTGCCTACCTCTTATCTAAAACACTAAAGATATTGCTTATGCTTTAAACCAATGTTGGCAAGAAGAAAAAAAAATAGGCAAAAGTAAATTTCACACAAATGTAATTCACAGCACCAAAGTGTTGGGATTTCTAGCTAAAAATCCATCACTGAACATCTAAATGGGTTGTTGTCATATCTCTGACTTAAAGATTCAAAAAAGAAAACTTACATTACTTTTGCTGTATGGGTCCAATTCCGTCGCCATAAGTACCCTTATCTTACAATGTCAATGAAATTTCTTTATTTTTAATTTCCCACCCTTTACCTTTAGGAATTCCAACTTATCTAAGCTGCGATAAATGGTATGAGTAAAGTCATATGATTTTAAGTGTGGAAAGTAACCTGCCAGGTCTCATCTAGCTGAAATCCTGTTATGTACTCAGTAAATGACTGAATATGTTTATCCATTATCAAGATTTGTTGGAAACTTAGGATGAAAGCTGGTGATAAAATAAGATGTGGATTTTTAATAATTTTGCATCACTGAGTTTACACACTTAGTAGTAGCAGGACAAAACATGCAATTATAATTCTTAATGAAACTATTCTATTCAGAAAGAGCTAATCTATTTAGAAAGTCTAATATCCATGAGATGAATAGCCACCCTGAATAGGGTAGATTTCACACTGTAAGGTCATGTGGTTTTCTCAACTTCAGGGGACTATTCACTCGCTATCCCAAGGAACTTCAGAATGAGGGATAAGTTCAAGAAATGCCATCTTTTGTGAATTAAGTTGGTATACTTTATCATACATTGTGATTGATTGGGCATCAATAGTGTAACCCTTCCTAGAAGGATGGATAGCAATGCACATACTGCTGAGGAAGTCATCAAGAACTTGGTATTAAACTGAAATGTGCTGTCACTAGATTTGACAGTCAATGTGAATGATGCAAAACATCAAACAAAAAATGCAGTCTACTTAGCTACACTATTACTTAAATATTGGCTAATACTTTTTGGTAATTCATTAATAAGAGTCTTTAAAAAGTAACTTTAAATAACATTATCCAGAAGAGAAACTTTGCACATATTAAATGTTCAGTATCAATTATCTAGTTTGAAATTTCTCCATTTGCCATAGGAAATAAAATAATTCAAATTTAAAGCTGTTGGAATGTTAAATTATTCTGAGCCTTGAAAGGAGTGTTGCTATGTGGCTTGAGTCATGTGGCATGCAGCTGCAACTTCTACCTTTTTTTCCCTTTAAATAGCTAAAACCAAGCAGCATCAGAGATAAGACCTCCCGCCCCAGATCACTGCCCCTCCTCATATAGTAATAACGTAATCTTTCTTGGAATGTAGCAACCTGTAGCCAACCAAATTACTATGACATATGTGCTAGTCTCTTACAAAAAATGTGATCCTGCTAAAAGTTTTCTGTCTCTGCCTATAAAGGTGAAACTTTAACTTCACTTATTCATTTGGAGTCTGTGTCCTCCAGGTGCTATCCTCAAGCTCTGCACCCCAATGAAGTCTATATTTAATCATATTTTCTGATTCTCATGATTGAAGTTTGACAGCTGAGAGGAGAAATTCATACAATAAAACAGTTTCATTTAGATTATCTGATTTCCCTTCCACCCACCCACCCCAAATTACACTTGCCAAAGAATCAGATGATATTTAACTTGAACCTGTTGATATTCTATTAAGTAGAATTGTGCCTCAGTCATTTAGTATCTTTCTGACTTGAGCATTTCATTTGAGTTTACTCACAGTGATCCAATTGTTAGATAGCTAGTTGCTTAGAGAAGTGATGTAGTAACATTTTGGTATTTCAAATGTTACATCCAGGATGTGGACTGTGGATTAATGTTGATCAATCCTAGTTAACTTAATTAGCCTACATAATTCTTGCTGTGTTATGTATTTTTTTGCTGTTACATTTACCTCTCACTTTCTCACCTATTATTCAATAATTTTTGCATCATTACCTATTAAATAAATGAGACTGCTATTTTTTGTGAGAAACATAAAATTCTGTGATTCTTGTAGTTTGTATGAGTTTCATAGTATGTCTATACTAATTGTCTAACTTTACTAGAATTAATTCAATGAGATGCAAATAATATTTATAATCTATTTTTACTGTAAATTATCCAAAGTCACATCAGTAGTTAATAATAAAGCTGAGCAAAAAAAGCCCACGCAAAACATCTTGTAAAGCCCACATAAAACATCTTGTCTTTATTTTTTACTACATATGTACAGAAATAACAACAATATGTCTTAGAATATATTTGAAGACCTAATATACTTACAGAAAAAAAAAGTTACAAGTTAAATAATAACTTTTTAAAATATTTTGAAATGTTATTAAGCATGCTTTTAGGTGATAGTAATCTGTACTTATACAACATAATTAAGCAAAAATTACTTGTTCTTATAGGGTTAAAAATACCACCCACGTCATGTTCTCGTGCCATTTAACGCTCCATCATTTGTGGAGTTACCCGAGTTGGTCTAAATTTTATCTGGATTAAATAACTCATTCATTGCAGTCTTATGTTGTCCTGGTACCCATAGTTCCAAGTGACAAGGTAGAACACTTCACTCTTATCATTACTACTGTTGCTGGCTGTAGATGCTGGCTTTCTACAAAAGAGAAGTGCTTTCCTTAGCAAGAGAATTCAGGCTGCTGGCTTGGTTTTTGCTACCTCGTGCCACCTTGGCTAGTATTTCTCTTCTCTTCTCAATTATAAACTGCTCACATGAAGTTAAACTACACAGGAAGCTGTGATGATTCTGCCACTGCCAACCTCATCTCTGCACATGCTCCCCTCCCCCATGCAAAAGCCCAAACCTCCTCATTCTTTTCCTTCTACTGTTGGTGTTTCTACTGAGTTTCTTCACAAGAAACATACATTCTTCTCTTACAGATTCCCCACTGGCCATCTGCCCCCAATTAAAGATACTTGAATAAAATCTCATATATATTTTTGGTTTACAACATATAATTTAGGTATAATACTCACACCGACACACACACACAACTCCCCCACAAAAATACTACCAAACCAACAATACAACAAGACCAATATAAAGAATGCTGAAAATAAATAATACTTAGTGTCAATGAATGATTTAAATAGAAAAGACCATGAGGTCAAAAGAAAAAGATGGTCAATATAATCTGGAATAAAAGCGGAAGGTTATGGAGAAGGTGAGACTTCCCTTTAGCACTGAAAAAAGTCAGTGGTATATGAAAAGGTGGGAAAGGAATAAAAATGCCGTCTTGGAAAGAATAGTGAATGTAATAGAGAAGTGATTTAGAACGTGGATTATTTTGACTAGGAAATTTTTTTAAATAATTATATTCAGATACACTTTGCATGGTAAATGGACTAGCCTGAATGAGTCAGAGTCTGTATGACAGATAATTGAATGGTAAGTTTGGAAATTTAAAATAGTGACATATTCTGAAGTAATTAAATGCCAGTGTGAGGATTTGCTGGCTACTCCAGTCAGGTATTGAAGAAACAAGATGAAAAAGCCATGCCCTTGAATATTTTAAGTTTAATGGAAAAGAGAAGTGTATTGAAAAATAAAAGTAAACTGCTATAGGAGAAGAGGGGAATTAGCATGCGGTATGAGGATAATTTCATAGAATAAGTAGATATTAACTAGACAGAAGAAAGATGATAGGACAGTGTAGGCAGAGAGAGCCTCTTCTGTATGAATAATAAAAATAGCAGCAGGCAAATTAAGCAGTGAAGAATTACCAATATTCTAAAATCTTGAAGAAGATCTATGTAAAAAAGAAGAATGAGAACCAATAAAAGCTAATTTTCTCTTTTACAATTTTTACAAGAAGTTCACTCTCATATAACTGAATTCTTTCCTAGGATTTGTTTATATGCATTTGGCAATCTCCACCCACTTTAATTAGGTAACATTTGTCTTCACTCCTATGTAGGCTTTTATTTGAACACATAACATGCAAAGAAAATTTAAACTGTGCAACTGAAGGTCAAAAAACTAATGCAAAAGCAAGCAGTTTATATCCAGCTTCTAAGTTATCAAACACTCTGGAAGCAAGAAAAGTACAAAGTATAATAATTGCTCAAGTATTGGATCCTTCTAACCACTCACTGATATAAATAGTTCAGTTATTTTCTCCCCTTTCCATATTTCCACGTTGACTGGAAGGGTAAGAATATGAAAGAGAAATAGGGTTTGAATGGTGTAGTCTGAAGTCCGAACTCCTCATATTATAGTATCTATTCTAAGCAGCAGGCTTATAAAATAAGTCTGATAAGAAAGAGTAATTGAAAGACCAATTCCAGTCTTTATTTACTCCCAATCTCCAGACTGTATTGTGCTCCAATCTTTCACTCATTCCCTGTGGCTTAGCTCTTTCTTATGTAAAGCAAGTATAGTCTTTGGCTTTTGTCTTTTTACTTGTGCCCTCATCCATCCTTGATTCAGAAGTCAAATGTTTGTTATGATTGGAAGAGAATGAAAAACTATAATAACTTAAAATTTAATAACTTTTATCTTTTTGTATAAATAGCAAAGCAACTTTGTATTGGATAGAAACTATTAACATTCTTCTAACCATATAACCTACAATGATTAAGGATATGAAATATATATACTCTCCACCTTTATCCATGGGGGATACACTGCAGACTTCCAATGAGTACCTGAAACCATGAATAGTACTGAACCCTATTTATATTGTTTTTCATGTGATAGCTGAGAGGCTACCATGTGACAAATGAATGGGTAGTATACACAGTACGGAAATGCTAGAAAAAAAGATAATTTATTTGCTTAGTGGGATGGAGCCAGATGGGGTGATGATATGGTTTGGCTTTGTGTGCCCACCCAAATCTCATCTTGAATTGTAATAATCCCCACATGTCATGAGAAGGACCTGGTTGGAGGTAACTGAATCATGGTGGCAGTTTCCCCCATGCTGTTCTTGTGATAGTGAGTTCTCATAAGATTTTTCGTAAGTGTCTGGCATTTCCCCTGCTGGCACTTGTTCTCTCCCCTGCCAGCCTGTGAAGAGGTGGCTTCCGCCATGATCCTAAGTTTCCTGAGGCCTCCCCAGCCATGTGGAAACGTGAATCAATTAAACCTCCTTCCTTTATAAATTACCCAGTCTCAGGCAGTTCTTTACAGCCATATGAAAATGGACTAATACAGGTGAGATATTGTCATGCTACTCAGAATGACATGCAGTTTAAAAATCATGGGATGTGTATTTCTGAAAATTTTCACTTACTATTGTTAAACTATGGTAACTAAAACTGTGGCAAGTAATGCTATGGATAAGTGGGGACTACGGTAGTCATATGTTTGTTATCTTGTAAGCATAGGCAATTATGTATACATCTCTGAGCCTAAAATATTTTAATTGTATTATGGAAATAGACTAATCTACCTCATGAATGATACAAAGGTTTATATGAAAACATATAAAATCTCTCTCTATATATATAGAGAGAAATTTATACATATGTGTATATGTGCTTGTGTATATATAGTAATGATATGAATACTATCTTCTATTTGTAGATAATACACTGTATCTGTTTGGATCTTCTAGAAAGCAGATGCCTACACTAAAATGGAAGTGTAAAATATTTATTGGGGATGGCATCAGCGAAAGATAGAGGAAAGGGAGCAGACATTCAGCACGAAAAACCTAAGGACCACCACTCAAGTTTGACACATGTGAAAGGAGAGGCAGAAGCGAGGCAGATTGGGTAAGAAGCACCTTTGACTGCAGAGCAGATCTGAGAATGTCCCAGAGAGCTGAAAGGGCAAAGCCCAAAGATTCTTTCATAGAAGAGTCCCCATTTGGAAAAAAGTAGCCAGGTCATAGAAGACCATCCTTCTCAGTCTGGCTGGCACTGTTCTGAAAAAGCAAGACCTTTGCTACAACATTGCAGTGGATCCTGCAGGTGCTTCAGCTGTAGCCTCTCAGCTAACTATACTTCTTGCAGAAGTAGAATGCACCTCCATAACTGCCACTTACATGAAGAAAGAAGTCAACAATTACAAGTTGCAAGAAGTCAACAATCACAAGGCCCTCCCATATTATCATTAATAGAAAATATTCAAAACCTTTCAGTTCTTTGGAACATTTTTAAAGCATGGCCAATATCTAATAAAATATTCTTAAATTTTCTTCTTTTGCTCAACATCTAGGGAAGGATTGTCAGAACTGTGCGAACACACATCTGCTTAAATTTCTCATTCAATTGCATAATAGACTTCAACTATGGATTCTGTGATCAGGTCACAATTCAGTTGAGATCCATTTTAAATTTCCTTTTAATAAAACATTCCACATTTTAGTATAATAAAATGGTGTATTCAGAAAAGACCTGTGTCCTACATATGCTAAAATTTTATGTAACACACACACTCACACAGGTTTAATGTGATGCTTCTTGTAAATTTCACTGAATTGTAATTCATCACTAGAGATTAAAATAACAGTGGGCAACAAGTTACTTGTCAGCTGCTACTAAAGGGTATAAACAAGTTGGCAAGTAACATCGGGGCATCGGCCTACAGGGATAGATCTAAACCCTTTTGACCTTGGAGAGAAAAAAGGGGGTGAAGAGAATTGCTGATTCATGAAGGAAAACCTTCCTGAAGTGTTCAGTGCTCAGGTTAAACTTCCCTCCTAGGCAGCACTAATTTGGTTGACAGATACCAAGCCGTAGTTAATCTAAGCTGACATCGACCTTGCTGGCATTACCTGCAAAATCCCTTCATACAAATTTTCCTCAAATAGTTATTCCAATGTATTTATACACAGAAAAATTGTCCATCAACACAGCCAAGGATTTTAAATTTTCCTCCAGCTAATATTTACCAATTTTTTGTTACTGAGGAGAGGGAAATACAGCTAGGCTTTGACCATTTGTGGCTTTTATATTGTAGGCAGTAATTTGTGGTTCAGTGCAAAACCATACATTGATTACATGGGAGATTTTTTATAATACTGCAAGTTGTTGATGACTGATAGAGAACAAAATAATTATTGTATATAGACATGCAAATCAATTATGTCTAGTGGAAGAATAACTTATTCCTCCCTGTGACAGAGGGTGGGGGTTGTCAGGGGAACAGGGGAACAATTTTGCCACACATTTGTACATTCATGTCAGTATTTCTAAACAAAAATATGTCTGTTGTTGGTATTCTTTTTTTGAAATGGCTATAACCATTTCAAAAAAATGAAATCAATCATTTCATCAATGTGAAATCAAATCAATGAGAGCCTTGTTCTTTCAATGATTCATTAGTTAAACAAAATCTTTAGCATGTGTTTAGTTTATATCTTAAGTAAAAATATTATCTTTTTTAAGAAATTGAAAAATATGCATAGTTTAATATCAAATATTAATAAATATCCCTTTTTTTGAATAGTTTTCTTGAAAATCACAATTTTAAATCCCAAGTTTGCTTACATTTAATTCACTTTCATTTATTTACCTAATTTGTTAACAGAACGTCTAATGTATTCCAGACTCTGTGCAGATGCACCAGGGATTCACTGATAATGAAATTATGTGACACTATTTCTGCTACTATGCAGGTAAGATTCTTGTGTGTTAAAAATGCATTATAAACACATAAATTACAATGCAACAGGGTAAGTGTTATAAAATAGTAATAGATAAAATGTTTTAAAAGGAGAAGAAAATGTAATGAAACAGTTAATTCACTTTTTGGTCTTTGGAAAAGTTCTAAAATATGAGGTGATACTTAAAATGGGTTTTAAAAAAGAGTAATTGACTGTGAAGTGTGGCAAAAATGGGCCACCCCAAAAGATACCACTTTGGAATAAGGATTATTTTGAGCTGAAGGCAACTAGGAAGGAGCAAATACAAGAAAACTTCTGTCATTTTTCTATTTGCCTAAAAGTAGAAAAAAAAATTGCAAACGTGTCCCACTTCCTCTTTCTTCAAAGAAGGACAAAAGTTAATTACCAGAGACAACTTTAGACCCTTAATAGCTTGCAAACAGCACTAGAAGAACCTACATAACATTTCATTAATTAGCCTTTATCTAACACTAGTTTTCCACACATATTTGCTTTCCTACAATTTGCTGTCCCTAGAGACTCAAGATACTTTTTTTTGTCTTGTCATTTCTCTAAAAATTTGTTGTTCCTTATTGAAAATGCCATATAAGTCAGAGTTCTAAGCCACCTCTATCAGTTACATTTCTGGGTACTCCTCTATCAGTTACATTACATGCATGATACACATATTGATAAAATTGCTTGTTTTTCTCTTGTTAGCTTTTGTTACAGAGGGCCTACTCAAGAACTCAGGACAATAGAGAATGTCAGAAAGGTGAGAGGGCATTGCAGACATGGTGTGTATGTTTAGAACACTTTATCAAGAACTTTAACAACTACAACCAAATGTCATGAAAAAACAGCATTAATTGAAATAGATTGACCCAGCATTATTTTTCTCACTTGATAGATTTAGACCTTACAGCACAATGGTTAACTGAATTGCATGAGATCACACAGCTAGATGGTAAAAGGGTGAAAACTAAAGTTTTACAACTTCTATTTCTTTCTTCAAAGAAATCATGAGGTTCACAGGGCATGGGAAATCAGAGGAAACACTGATGGAAAATTCAAAGTATAAAAACTTAAGAATAATTATAGAGCTAAGCAATAACTTGGTGTATTTGTTTGCTAGGTCTGCCAGGATTGCCATAACAAAATACTGTAACCATAAGCGGTTCACTATCTGATCCGCACTGCAAGTCAATATACCAACAGACCAGCTTGCAGCAGAGAAAGAGGTTTAATCATAGGATCACTGAACAAGGAGATGGGAGGAAACCTTAAATCCATCTCCCTGAGGAATCTGGGGCTAAATCTTTTAAGCATTTTGGAGTGGGCCTAAATGTGAAGATCACTGATTGATTGAAAAGTGCATCTCTCTGTCAATGGACAGGGAGATGAAGAAGCTGTATTCTCATGTCCAACCAATTTCTCTGTGGGGATCTCCAAACTGATTGGTGTCAGCTGTTTTGCTGGAATTTGATGTCTGAAAAACATCTTAGGCAATCCTTAAACAAAAGCTTTATGATTCTATTGTCAAAGAGCCAGTCTATAAGAACAACGGGGATGAAAATCAATTTTTAAACCGTCTTATAGCCCTAACATCAAAAATCCTATCTATAGGAATAATGGAGATACAAATGGTCAGTATCTAGTGCTTTTACATGACTTTTACAACAAGGAAGTGGGCCAAAGTACAGCCTGAATAATACTTAATTATAACTATATTTCTGTGCAGAACCTGGCATGCAATTCTTGTCAGCGCTGTGGGAATAGTTTTAGTACTTCAGACTAGGTGATGTAAGTAAAAGAAAGAAATTTTCTCACAGTTCAGACGGTTGGAAATCCAAGATCAGGGTGCCAGCAGAGTTGATTTTATTCTGACTCCTCTCAACTTGGAGGCCTTCTCTTTCTTCTCCTGAATTTTTCTCTATGCTCAAAAATCTTTAGTGTCTCTTTGTGTGTGCTACTTTATTATTTCTGTCTTCCAAAATGAATGTGTTAAAGCTCTAACATATTCTTCCAGGCTTGGTTTCCATTTCTTCCATGCTTCATTTATTTACACAGCATGAAAATAAGAATTAAATGAATTAAGTAGAAAAATGGTAAAATACTAATTTGAAAAGTCTAAGCTGGGCATGATGGCTTAAATCTCTAACCTCAGCTACTTGAGAGGCTGAGGCAGAAAGATCACTTGAGTCCAGGAGTTTGAGACTGCAATGAGCTATGATTGAACCACTGTCTGGGTGACAGAACAAAGCCCCATCTCTGCCTAATAATAATAATAATAATAATTTTTTAAAAAAATCAACTCCTGGGAAATAGGATACCATGCAGCTATATTTGTTCTCGATGGAGGGACTCACAAATGCCAGAAAATTCAAATATTTCCAGGTTGGACATCCTGGAACATAATCCATCCTATACATTCCCAAGATGCTGTAAAGAATTATGTCAGCCAGAAGTGACAAACAGTGAGGGTAATAAATATAAGCAACTTTTTTTTTAATTTGTGAAATTTTGGTCATGTAAATGAAAAACAATAAAGTTGAACACAGAAAAATCGGATCTGCTTTAAACTTTCTGAAGAACAATCTACACATGACACTTTGTTAATAAAATGTTATGCTATTAAAACTACTCAAACTTTACATTCCTTAAATCTACAAACAGACTTTTTCCTTAAAAATAATTAACTGTTCTTCTCTAAAGTCTTTATGACCTAAGAAACGCTTGTTTTCAAGCATTGTCAAGCTAACCACTCAAGGAAACTTTAAAATTCATACTTAGAATTTGTTTTCAGCAATGTGAAAAACTAATGCTGTTTACTACAAACCTGTCACTTAGGAAGAGACCATCAGGGAGAATGTTAGATCCATACAACATAATAAAATGATAATTTATATACCATTGCTTTATGAAGATTGTAGTCATTTCAAGATTTCTGTTGCCTGTCTGTATGTATTTATTACGACCAAAACCTATTTGATTAATATTATAAATAATTTTAAGTTGGGAATCTTAAGATTTGTGTAAACAATATACATTTTTACTATAAACCATAAAGTAAATTGTTCAGTTGTGTTCTTATACCTACTGACCAAGGATATAATAAAGTAATTTAAATGATATAAATCCTATTTAAACTTTCAATAAATATTCCTTGGATACCAGGGACATAGAGAACATATTGCGGGACAAAAGGTGTAGCACATGAAACAAAATAAAATTTCATCATTCAGGAGCTTGAAATTTGTATAGACAATGTATAAATAAACAAACAAATAAATATGTAAAGTGCTAATTCTGGATAAATATCAAACAATGTCATTTTATTTCATTTTTTCTATTAAAGCAGCGAAAGTTGCCACAAGAATTTTTTTTTTTTTAATGAGAAACATTTGTCTTTTGGAATAAACCTTCACCCACAGTAGTAAAGGGGATACCAAGAAGCTTGTTTGACAGATATTTTGAATTTGGAAACAAAAACGGAATTTTGAGCAATGATACATACTTTCACAGACCTCAGTAAGAAAGTCTCCTTCCCCAAAAATAAGTTACACAGTGCTGAATGGGCTGGTCAGTGGGCCTGTGATTAGGGTAACTAAATCTAGCAACATGGGTGAGGTGTGGTAATAGGGATACTCAGTTTGTTCTATATACTCCTATAGATACTCTGTTTGAGTCCAAAAGAACAGCAAAATGTAGTTATACTGAAGAAGCTACATTATTCTCAGTCTGTAACCAAGACCATGGTACATCCTTCTGCACCTTCTGTCAGAGGCAAGTGACAAAAATAAAGCAGAATGAAGGAAAACAGGAAATAGCAAATACCAGATAATAGTCATAACAACCTTTGATATAATGGGGATTAGAGTGAGCCACTTCAACCTCACCAATACTAAAAACAGAGGTAAAAAATGTCCCAGGGCAATCTCACAGATTTGATGAGAAAGTGTTTAAGACCACAAACTTGAAGCAAAAGTATAGTTCTTTCCCTTGGCATACTTTATGATGCAGGAAAAATACCCAATAGCTATAAACATTAGAAAATCATTCATAAGACCTATTTACTGATCAAGGTAAAAGAGTGGGAGGGGGAGAGGTGAAATATGCAGGTAAAAGCGATATAAAGATGAATTATTTTTGAAAATAAAGGAATGTTTTAGAAAATGTTTTCTTCATTTACCAGAAATCATAAATATACCAAGAGTTCTCTTTTAAAGACAGTGAGATTAAAAAAAAGAAAGAAAAGTAAGAAAAGAGGAAAGAAATTTCAAAGTGTTGATGCTAGAGTACAACACAGAAAATATAAGTTAACTGTGAGATGGGTAGAGCTCAGGAAAGAAACGTAAGAGTCAAAAATAAAATTTTACCTCAGCTTCTGGGTTGCTGAAGACGTGGAAGTCCTAGAGGGTGGTGTGCCCAGAGAAGGCAGGGATGCTCCTTGCTCACCCCCAAGCCCCTTGTCCCATACTTTGCCCTCTGCATCTATTCATCTGTATCACATCTGTATTCATCTGTATTCTTCATAATAACCTTCATAATAAGCTGGTAAACATAAGCCCTAGCATGATACCTAGTTGTGATCTGAACCCAAAGTCACAGCTGACCTCACACAGGGCAGTGCCTCTCATCTTCCTCATTTGTCACTGCCAGCACTTTTCAATTTGTCTTGCCCACCCAGCAGCTCTCATCAGTTGAAAGAAAAACTCCTGATTCCTGCCCCTAGGGAGCTTTTGCTGTTTAAACAGTTCTCATTATCTGGAGTTGAGCATAGTGTGGGATTGGGGATAGGGTGCTTCATAATCCACAGACTACTGTAACTCATTAGTAATGGGCATACATCTGGCTGCAGGAGGAGGTACAAGTTAACCCAATTAGAGGGAAGATTATTTGAATCTTAAAAATTCAGTTCCCCTGCCTCATTATAAGGTTTTTCTTTAAAATGATGAGGTTTTTTCTTTCTTTTTATTTTTTTTTTTGTAAGAACATAAAATGTAAGAATAGTAAAGGGGCAGAAAATAACACCAACTGTCTGCATGTAGACAAAAAAGAGAAAGGAAATGACCCATTTAGTTGTCTTGTTTGATTTTAAAATATTTAATAGTGAATAACCCAACCCAAAACAAGACACATAATAAAATAAAACAAAGCAAAATTTTACTGTGGTGAAATCTTCTTTAGAAGTAACAAATGAATAAGATCAAAAACACATTGAACAACATGATCGTGAATGCAATCAATTTTGTTGCCTGAAGAAAAAAGCCATACAAACTGAAAATAAAACAAATTTCAAGATACAATAGAATAAAATATTTCTGCAGTAAAGAAAGACTTGAATCCACTGAAGGAGCACAGTATGCTCTTGAAAAATATACTACAAATCTTCAACACTTCGGAATGAGATAGCTTAATGTAGGATCAAGACCATACAAAGGGAAAACATCAAGCTGGTTTTACTCAGTGCCATTCAATGCCCTAAAGAGTGAAAAGTATCCAGAATGCTCTGAAAGAAAAATGTGGATTAAGTCAAATTGTTCTCTTTATAAAAGCAAAATAGGCATTACTAAACATCAGGGAATGTAATGCCATTTTGGCACATTGTCTTCATAACAAATTCAAATAATTCCTAATTTTCATAGTAAGACATATTTGATAAACAAGGTATTGGTGTTTGTCATGTAAAGACAGGAAATGAAACGTGCCATTTTTATGACAAATTTTTCAGTGTAGAAGGATATCCTGACAGATATTGATATAGGGCATTATGCTTCCCTCACAGCAATTGGATATGTGCTTAAGACCAGAAGCTGTTGGCCCTAGGATAAAGATCCTTCTGCTCTCTCCTCCACTCATGATCTAAGGCTTCTATAGACAAACCTTCGATTTTATCCAGTGCTGATGTGTTTAGGTATCCAAATGTGGTTCAACAAAAGTTGGCCTATCTTATCTACCTTGTGCTAGCTGGCTGAAAATATCTTGCTGAAAGAATGCCTCAGAGAAGTGAAGCTCGATCTCTGCTGCCCCTTTAAAAAGCCATGTTTAGACAGGACATTTGTCTATGTTTTTAACAGTTTAGCATGTAGCAAGTGGGTAAGTGAAGATTCTCAAATACAGCCATTTTACCTCCCCTGGCACATGGTACATTTCCATGCTTGCCTTAGATGTTCTAGGCATCAGTCATTTATCTGCACCATCACAATTTGCTTTTTGCCTTCTCAAAATATCTGTCAACACTTCTATAAGCTCCTAACACAAAAGATAAAAGAAATCTCCCTGCGATGGGAAGTCACACTTGGCAAGATAGTAGTACTCAGTTGTTTGGTGAAACACTAGTCGCGATGTTGCTATGAAAGCATTTTGGAGATGTGTATAACATTTATAATCAGTTGACTTTAAGTAAAGGTTTCCTCCCACCTTTTAACTGGAGTAATTCAGCTCCTAGGTTTCCAGCATGAAATTGTCGGGACAAGGGGGAACAGGCTTCACTTCTAAAAATATGTAGAAGACTGTACTAAACACAGAAGATAGAAGATAAAACATGGATCTACCTAATTCACAGAAGGCAAGTGCTGAGGACTGTACGATTATGATTATAATAAGGAGAACCAGTTCCTTTACAAATCTGGTATGATCATGAAAATTCCATCATGAGAATTAGCCATCATCATTGAAAACATTCTTGACTTCCTTGTGCTTGAATCTATTTTTTCCCATTCCTATATCTTGACTTCAGGGCTCTGCATACACACGCCTCCATACCTACTTCCAAAATTTACAAAAACCACTAATTAACTATTTTGAATATTCACTCTACTATAACCTGCTACATCCATATTCCACCTCCTTTTATGCATTGTAGATATGATATGTTTGAAAGGTTCTCTGTTCTAGCCCTTCAGGAACAATGGTATAAACCTGTTCAGACATCTTAAACATTTTAGTTTTTTAAAAGTAAAAAAAGAGAGACATGCATTTTAAATTATACACATTTCTCCATTTGTTAGGAGACTATACATAGGTTTTGAGCATAAGTGCAACTATCTCAACTACTTGAATTTATTTCAACTACTTGAAATATTTTATATATTTCCCTTCAGATGATTCTCCTAAGATAAAGCTTAAAAAATTGATACTGTAGTTGTCATAAATTTTTAATAGCAGAACATAAAGCTACTTTTCTCTCTTTTTTGAATGTATTACAAATCTTGTTATTTGAAGTAAAGTGGTTATTTGAAACTGCTATCAGAAAGAATAGCTCATTTTTCCTGTGTCTACAATCAGAAGTAACTTTCATTGACCACACTTATGAAACTAATTATTTATTATTTGTTTCCTTAGTTTTATAACTAATTTACTCAAATATTTTCCTGGTCATTTTTCTTTCTTTTATTTTTGGATCTGTCATACATTTTTAATGATGTTGTGTTCTTTTGGTTTAATTTTTTATATGTTTACAGTTCTTATGTATTTATATAGATGTGTCTGACTTGTAAAGTATAAACTTATGGATAATTTATTAACAAGCATATTTAGAGACTAAAATAATTTATATATGTACCTTCATTTTTAACTTGGTGTTCCTCTTCTTTCGCTCTGTTTTTTGTGTATCTTCATTTTCTCTGGAAGTCTCTCCGAACCTTGTTAATTGGTTTATATAATCTTTGATGTATACTTCACTTAGAAACATAAAAACTATCTTGCCTTTTCCTGCATCATCATTTTTTCTTTCGAGTATGTCAGAAAATACTAATTTTTCCAAAACTGTTAAGTACTATAAACCCATCTATTGTTCTTCAGTTTACTTTTTTTCATTTCCTATGTTTTTCTTAATTCATACTTCTTAGGTTGGCAGACATAGAAAAAACTGCACATATATTTATTATATTATTACTTTATTTTTACAAATTCCAGTGTAGTTGATTAACTTGCCAACAAAACCCACAGTTAGTTTAAAAAAGTCTTAAAATTCTAACTCTCCAATGGAATATAGTGCGTGCTGTTTCCAGTTGCACGTCGTAATATCCCAACAATATTAATTTGGCAGCTTTCCAAAGGAAGAATTACTCCAGATCTTTCTTTGGACTCTGGCTGCCAGAATTCTGTCTACCCCACACTGTACATCGATTATGTGCACAGATCATTATTGCCTTTTTCCCATTTGATTGTGTAAAGCGTTTCATTCTCTCTGCTGTTATAACTAATCTATCCATGCTTTGTAGGACCAGATGGTAGGCATCCACAGCCAGTCCTAGTTAATCTGTAAAAGTTCTCCATGCGTACTCTATTTTTAGAAGCATTTGGAAGAGTTTAGATCAAGTATTCAACATTGTAGAACATCACATAGAGCAGTCTTCAGTGTAAAACCAAATCTGCTGATCAAGAGATTACATTTATCACCAGAAATTCATATTGATTTGGCATTTTGAGATTTAAAATCTAATCTACAGAATTCCAGTGGATACAATTCTAGATGCCTAAATACAAATTATATAAAAATAAAGAAACTGTATAGTGTTGGAAAGAGTCCCTGCCTAGATATCGAATATGTCCCCATTGGCCCTATGACACCACAGAATGTATCTCCCTTATTAACAATTAATGCTTAGTTTAGATGCCACTTTATTTCCTATTTGCCTTGTTTGCTGTTTTAGTTCTCCATTTATCATATCCCAATGTTGATGATGCTGAAATTTAGACACCCCTGCTGACGTTTGCCAAAGTTTCTGCTATTGCTGCTGCTGACTACAAAAAACATTAAATACAATAACTTTTATTAGACTGATGCCACCCATGGTCTTTGTGGTAGTCTATGAACAAGGTTACGTTTTGGCTACCATGTGGCCAAAATGACACAGTAAGACATAAAGTATATGTGTATACAATATAAGTATGTAACTATGTTGCAGAAAGAAATTCTGTATGATGTCAGAAAGACTTTTTTTCTTCTCCCCAGAAAAAATGGGAACTTCTAGAGAACAGAGAACATCCAAGCATGAAGCCCAGGCAGGAGAAAGGTGCAGGAATATATCAGAACACTAAGAATGAGACCAAAGGTAGAAGGAAAATTAGGACAGCACAGTGTCTTTTAAATGAAGTGAAGTGTGTTTTTCAAGAATGGATAACAATTATTAAATATATCAAAACACTAATTAATAAATATTGAAAAAACTACTTTTTATAAAATAGTGGAGATAAAAATAACTGGATTATTTCCAAGTGAGAATAGGGGAAAAGGAATTGGCAACAATTAGTATAGTCAGGATTTAATAACATTTCACAGTATAGAAGAGCAAAGGTGACAACAGGAGAGGGTTATGAAGTCAAAAGGTAATTTTTTTAAAATTAGAATGTGAGGCACGTTAGTATTTTGATAAGGCTGACATAATAAGGTGAGAAAAAAATTGATAAAGGAGACGATCAGACAGGTTTCTGAATTAATGTCTTTAGTTAGGTGAAAGGAGTTTGGATCTAGGGCACAAATGGAAGGGCTGGCCTTAGAAGAGAGACAGACACTTCTTCTGTAAGAAAAGAAGAAAAGGCAGAGGAAATAGTCATGGATACAAATAGCTGAGCTGATTTGGTTAAAGGTGATCGTAAAATGCTATGGTTATTGCTTCTATTTTCTGGAGCAAATAGGAAACAACATGATAGACTGAGACTGAGGATAGAAGTTGGAAGTATGAGGAGAGAAGAACAAGTATGAAATAAGCGTGTATACTTGAGGGAGACAGAATGGGTTAGAGAAATGGAGTGTGAAAGTTGGCCATTGAGGCTGGAGATCTGATGTCTCTGTATTATTATTTTCTTCAAGCACTGCAAGGAATGTTTGAGTGGGATCAGAGGATCATTAAAGTCAGGACGAAATATAAAGAGTGAGCAAGTTGGAAAGATGGCTAGTGGTGTCTGTAGAGTAGGGTCATTGAAATCGAGAATAGGAGAGTTTGCAGTAGTTGGCCATGGCAGGATTATTGTTGTGACCAAAGGAGACAGAATTCATGACATTATTTCTGGAGGAGTGGTCAAGGAATTAAGGTTCAGATTTGGAGTGAATCATACACAGTTTGAATTAACAAAGAATTCTATCTTTTTTCTTTGACATTATAATAATCTAGGTAATCAACATCATTCTTTGAACAGACTATTTGAAATTGTTTCCTATTTTTTAATCCAATTTTGCTTCCTCTCAGTCTATTTCTTGTAATATATGCATGATTTTCCCCTTTTTTTCTGAGATGCAGATATAAGCTACAGCCATTTCTGCAGGTGCACCCTCCACAGCCCAATTCTCTCATTGCCATCTCTGGGATTACTAAAATTAGAGTAAGATTCCCCAATCAGACTGGGAGGATGCTTTGAATCATAGCTGGCAGAAGCCTCAGAAGTGTTGACTGCTCAGATGTCTCTCTAATTTTGAATGATGAAATCCAGCCCTACACCCATGCTCCTGCAAAGACTACCTCAACAGAACTGAGTTACTCTCTACTGATATCTAGAGAAACAATAACAGCATACATTGTGCATCAAACTAGAAGTGGGGGGTGGGGCGTCCAGTGAATTGTTTCTTGTGATCTTTTCACTCTTGATGAGTTTATTTTTCCTTTTCCAGACCAGAGGTTTTAGGTCCTAAAGAGACAATATATTTAGGATACAGATTCACGCCCAGAAGCCCCAAAGGTGCAGGTTTGTCTTGGCACAGCCCCCAAAACTGAGTATGTGACTTATGCTTGATGAGTGATTGATTCCCAAGTATCAAGGTAGAGGGAAAGCCAAAACTTCCACAGAAAGCTTCAGTAGGTTACGATTAAGTTAATTTAAAGCAATAATTATTCTAAACTGATAGTGTGTCTTTGAGCCCTTTTCAAGAGGCTCTTTTGAGAGAATCTTAAAAGCAGTAAAAGTGAAAATGACATCCCTTTTTCCACCATTTTAGAATTTTGAACCCTTTCCTTTTCCTCATGTCAGTGTTGCCCTACTCTGCCTCAGACATGAGGTTGGGCCCATATTGTCTCCAATTACCTTCAATAAGGAAGAAGAGACTTTAAAGCAAAGGGGGCCGGGCACGGTGGCTCATGGCTGTAATCCCAGCACTTTGGGAGGCCAAGCCGGGCAGATCACCTCAGGTAGGGAGTTCAAGACGAGCCTGACCAACATGGAGAAACCCCATCTCTACTAAAAAATTACAAAGCTAGCTGGGCGTGGTGGCACATGCCTGTAATCCCAGCTACTTGGGAGGCTGAGGCAGGAGAATCCCTTGAACCCGGGAGATGGAGGCTTCAGTGAGCCAAGACAACGCCATTGCACTCCAGCCTGGGCAACAAGAGTGAAACTCCTTCTCAAAAAAAAAAAAAAAAAGCAAAGGGACCTTGCTGCATTCATCATAACCTTAACCATAACCTGAAACTTCTACCCCAGTTTGAGGATTGTAGCTCAAGAACCCAAACTCTCCACAAGTTCTTATATCTCTTTATTAAAGCTTTTTAAGGATTAAAATAGCAGATTAATTTGATCCAATACCTAAAATTGTTTGGTGATTCACTCTGTCTTATTTACAAGGGAATACAGGACTGCATCTCTGAAAAAAATGCATAGGTCCTTTCTCAACATCCTCTTTTCTTCCTCTATAATTGAGATATAGGTTTTGCACATGTGTTTTCCTCTCCTTGAGTGAGCTGTGTCTAATACATAGCACATTTTTCATGAACTGGCAAAACACAACTCATTCTGAAGGTGTCAGCTTATACTTTATTACTCTCGAAAGCTTTCTAAGCTAGGTGAGCTTTCCTAGTAGCCTGTTTCACTGTCTTACTTCTCACCACACATATTGTAAAATTTCATATTTGCCACTGAACTCTAAGTGTTAGAGATAGCAACAGGAGTGTCTGTCTTCTTGACTATACCATGTTTAGCACACAGTTCCTGTTGCATAGTTCTCCCTTTAAAAATGAATTAACAAATGGATCAATAAATAATTGATTCTACTTGTTTATTTTATAAGAAGGTTGTCACTTCTTATACCTGAATATCTGAATTTGATAACCAGTCCTCCGTATTCAACTCCTACTAAAATTGCTAGTGTGATTGAAACCATGCACACCCCACTGGAATTTATAGTAAAACCAATTTTTTTAAGTTACGTATACATAACAGTTGTACATATTTATGTCACAAATGTAATATTTTGATATAACCATACAATATGTAATGTTCAAATCTGAAAAACTGGGATATTCATCAACTTAAATATGTGTCATTTCTTTGTGTTGGATACATTTCAAAGCTATTCTTCCAGTTATTTTGAAATATATAGTAAAGTATTTTAAGTTACTTTAAACTATAGCCTATGTGCTTCTAAACATCAGATCTTATTCCTTCAGTATAACTACATTTTGTACCCATTAACCAACCCCTCCTCCACCCATCCCAGAATGCTCTCTGGCCTCTAATAACCGCCATTCTATTTACCACTCCCAAGATTTTTTTTTTCTTCTTTTTTTGAGACGGAGTCTCGCTCTGTCGCCCAGGCTGAAGTGCAGTGGAGCCATCTCGGCTCACAGCAAGCTCCGCCCCACGGATTCACGCCATTCTCCTGCCTCAGCCTCCCACTAGCTGGGACTACAGACGCCTGCCACCGAGCCCGGCTAATTTTTTGTATTATTAGTAGAGACTGGGTTTCACCGTGTTAGCCAGGATGGTCTCGATCTCCTGACCTCGTGATCCGCCCGCCTCGGCCTCCCAAAGTGCTGGGATTACAGGCGTGAGCCACCGCGCCCGGCCACCTCCATGTTATTAATCTTTGTATTTCTCACATATGAGTGAGAAGAGGAGACATTTGTCTCTCTGTGACTGACTTATTTCACTTAACATAATGTTATCTGGTTTCATCCATTTTTTTGCAAATGACAGGATTTCATTTTTTACGGCAGAATTATATCCATGTATATGACATTTTCTTTATCTGTTCATCCTTTGATGAACATTTAGGTTGATTCCATATCTTGGCTACTGTGAACAGTGCTGCAGTGAACATAGGAGTGAAGATTTCTCTTTAATATACTGATTTTTTTTTCTTTGTGGATAGATTCTCAGCAGTAGGATTGCTGGATTACATGGTAGTTCTACTTTTAGTTCTTTGAGAAATTTCCAGACTATTTTTCATAGTGGCTATACTAATTTACATTATCTCCAACATGTACAAGCATTCCTCTTTGTCCACACCCTCGCTAGCTTTTGTTGTTTTTTTGTCTATTCGATTATAGCCATTGTAGCTGGGATGAGTTCTTCTTCTGGTTTTGAGTTGTATTTCTCTAATGATTTAAGATTTTGATCATTTTTATATACCCATCGGCCATTTGTATGCCTTCCTTTGGGAAATATCTGTTCACATCTTCTGTCCATTTTTAACCAGTTTATTTAGTTGTTTGCTCTGGTGTGAGTTTCTTATATATTTTGGGTGCTAATCCTTTGTCAGTTAAATAGTTTACAAATATTTTCTCCCATTCTGTAGGTTTTCCTTTCATTTTGTTGTTTCCTTAGCTGTTTACAAGCTTTTTAGCTTGATGTAATTACATTTGTCAACTGTTGCTTTAGTTGCCTGTGCTTTTGAGGTCTTAAATAAGAAATCTTTGCCCATACCAATGTCCTGAAGCAATTCCCCAAAACTTTCTTCTAGTAATTTTATAGTTTCAGGTCTTACATTTAAGCCTTTAATTCATTTTGATTTGCTGTTTATACATGATGAAAGATAGAGATCTAGTTTCATTCTTCTACATATGAATATACAGTTTTCCCAGCACCATTTATTGACAAGACAGTTTTTACTTCAATGTATGTTTTTGGTGTCTTTGTAAAAAATGAGTTGACCAAAAATTAGTGGATTTTTTTCTAGGTTCTCTAATCTGTTCCATTAGCCTAAGTATCTGTTTTATGCCATTATCATGCTGTTTTGGCTACTACGGCTTTATAATATAATTTGAAGTCAGGTAATGTGAAGCCTCCACCTTTATTCTTTTTGCTCAGGATTGCTTTAGCTATTTCTGAGTCTTTTGTTGTTTCATATGAACTTTAGAACTTTTTTATTTATGCAAAGAATGTCATTGCTATTTGATAGAGATTGTATTGAATCTGTACATTGCTTCAGACAGTATGGACATTTTAACAACATTGATTCTTCTAACCCATTAACATGGGAAATCTTTACATTTGGGTGCCCTCTAGTTTATTTGATAAATAATTTACAGTTTTTATTGTAAAAGCCTTTTGCTTATCTGGTTACATTTATTCCTAGGTATTTTAATTTTTGGTAGATATTATAAATGAGATTGCTTATTTTATGTCTTTTTCGGAGAAAAAGATGTTTTCTCTGGTAGTATGTTGGCATATAACAATACTGCCTAGTTTTGTATGTTGATTTTGTATCCTTAATATTACCAAATTCATTTATCAGTTCTAATAGTTCTTTTGGTGGAGTCTTTTAAGTTTTTCTAAATATAAGATTATACCATCTGCAAACAAGAACAATTTGATTTCTTCCTTTCTAATTTAGACGCCCTTTATTTTTTTCTCTGTCCAATAGCTCTGTTTAGGACTTCCAGTATTATGTTGAATAAAAGTGGTAAAAGCGGGCCTCTTTGTCTTGTTTCGGATATAGAAGAAAGTGTTTTTGTTCACCTTCAGTATGATGCTATCTGTGGATTTGTCATATATGACCTTTATTGTTTTGAGGTGTGTTCCTTCTATATGTTGAGAGTTTTAATTATGAAGAGATGATAAATTTTATTCAATGATTTTTCAGCATCTACTTAAATAATCTTATGGTTTTTATCCTTGATGTTATTAATATTCATTGATTTGTGTATGTTGAACCATCATTCTGGCATCCCTGAAATGAATCCCAGTTGTTCACAATGAATGATTTTTAAAAAATTTGTTGTTTAATTCAGTTTGCTAGTATTTTGTTAAGGAGTTTTGCATCTATGTTCATCATCAGTAAAACTGGCTGGTGGTTTTGGTGTTGTTGTAGTGTATTCATGTGGTTTTGGTATCAGGCTTCATAGTAGGAGATTGGAAGTATTCTGTCCTCCTCAATTTTTTGGAATAGTTTGAGTAGAATTGGTCTCAGGTTTTCTTTATGTATTTGGTAGTTTTCAGAAATGAAGCCATCAAGTCCTGGGTTTTTCTTTGATGAGAGACTTTTTATTACTGCTTCTATCTCATTACTTGTTATTGGTGTGTGCGGACTTTCTGTTTCTTCATGGTTCAATTTTGGTAAGTTGTGTGTATCTAGAAATTTATCTATTTCTTCTAGGCTTTTCAATATATTGGTATATATTTATTCATAATGGTCTCTAGAAGTATTTTGAATTTCTGTTGTATCAATTGTAATATCTCATTTTTCATCTCAAACTTTGTGTTTTGAGTCTTCTCTTTTTCTCAGTATAACTAAAGGTTTGTCAATTTTGTTTATCTTTTCAAAAAACCCATCATTTTGCTAATCTTTTGTATTATTTTTTAGTGTTAATTTTATTTCTGAACCGGTCATTATTATTTCTTTTCTTATACTAACTTGGGGTTTGGGTTTGTTCTTACTTTTCTAATTCCTTGAGGTGCATGGTTAGGTTGTTTATGTGAAATCTTTTTATCTTTTCGAAGTAGATATTTAGTCTAAAAACTCTCAGTACTGCTTTTTTTGTATCCCATAGATTTTAGTATATTGTATTTTCATTTTCATTTGTTTCAAAAAATTATGTAGTTTTAAAATGTCTTCGTTGACCTATTGGTTGTTCAGGAGCATGTGATTTAAGTTTCGTGCATTTGGACAGTTTTCAGAGTTCTTTTTTAAATTGATTTCTTGTTTTACTCTATTGCAGTCAGAAAAGACACTTGATATAATTTTAACTGTTTTATTTTTATGGAGATTTTTGTTGTTTTTATTTTTGTTCAACATATGGTCTATCTTAGAGTACATTTTATGTGCTAATGAGAATGTTCATTCTGCAGTTGTGAGATGAAATGTTCTGTAAATGTCTATTACATTTATTTGATCTATTGTATGATATTTCTTTGTTGATTTTCTGTCCAAAAGACGGGTCCATGCTAAAAGTAGGTTGTTAAAGTCTACAACTATTACTGTATTTGGGTCTTCTCTTTCCTTGGCTTTAATAATATTTGCTTTATATATCTGAGTGCTCTAGTGTTGGGTGTTTCCATGTTCACACACACTATTATATACCATCTTGTTTAATTTATCTCCTTATATAATGACTTTCTTGTCTCTATAGTATTTGACTTCAAATCTATTTTATCTAATACAAGCATAGCTATTCCTGCTTTTTAGAAAATTTCCATTTGCATAAAATATATTTTTCCTTCCCTTCATTTAAGTCTATGTGTGTCTATATAAATGAAATGAGTTTACTGTAGGCATCATATAATTGAATCTTTCTTTTAAAATCAGTTAAGGTCCTCTATGCCTTTTAATTGAATAATTTATCCCATTTACAATCAAGATTAATATTAATAGGTAAGGACTTACTAATGACATTTTGCTGTTTGTTTTCTGGTTGTTTTGTAACTCCTTCTTTCTGTGTGTGTGTGTGTGTGTGTGTGTGTGTGTGTTCTTTGTAGGTGATTTCTAGGTGATTTTCTCTGGAAGGATGTTTTAATATATATTTTTTATTTTTTGTGTATCTCCTACAGAATTTTGCTTCATGGCTTCCATGAGACTTGCAAAAAAATCTTCTAAGCAATTATTTTAAACTGACGACAGCTTAACTCTGATTACAAAGAAAATTAAAGAACAACAAGCAGGCAAAGAGAAAATTAAAAAAAAAAAAAACCTCTACACTTTAACTTCATGTCCCCTACATTTTTACCTTTTTTGTTTTCCCTCTTCATATATTTTATGTTGTCTCTCTATTAACAACTTGTTATTATTATTTTTGATAGGTTTGTCTTTTAGTCTTCATACTAAGGATACCAGTGGTTTATACATCACAAATACAATATTTGAGCATTCTGAATTTGTCTGTTTACTTACTTTTACCTGTGAGTTTAAACCTTCAGCATTTCTTGTAGGACAGAGCTGTTGTTGATAAAAAGTCTCAGCTTTTGTTTGTCTGGAAAAGCCTTTATATCACCTCCATATTTGGTGAGAAACTTTGCTGCATACAGTATTCTTGGTTGAATAGGTTTTTGGTTTTGTTTTGTTTGTTTGTTTGTTTTTTCCTTCAGCACTTTAAGTACATCATCTCACTCTCAACTGGCCTGTAAAGTTTCCACACAAGTCTCCTTCCAGATATATCAGAGCTTTTTTATTTGTTATTAGCTTCTTTCTTCTTGGTGGTTTTAGGATCCTTTCTTTGTTTTTGACTGTTGAGAGTTTGATTATCATATACCTTGGGGCAGTTTTATGTAGGTGGAATTTTCTTTGTGTTCTTTGACTTTCTTGTACCTAGGTATTTATATATTTCTCTGTTTGAAAAGTTCTGTTATTATTTATATGAATACATCTTTTTTAAGATCAATAACACTTAAATTTTCCCTTTTGAGGCTATTTTCTAAATCCTGTAAGCATATTTTAAAAAATTAATTTCTTTTTTCTCCTCTAGCTGTATAATTTAAAATAGCCTATGAGCTTACTAATTCTTTCTTCTGCTTGATCAATTCTGCTGTTGAGACACTGATGCATTTTATAGTTTATCAATTAAATTTTTTAACTCCAGAATTTCCTGTTTTTCAAAAATTATTTCAAACTCTTTAAGTTTTTCTGATAGAATTTTGAATTTTTTCCTTGTGAGATCTTGAAATTCATCTAGCTTCCTCAAAACGGCTATTTTGAATTCCTTATCTCAGATGTCACATATCATTGCTACTCTAGGATTGGTCACTGTTGCCTTATTTAGTCCGTTTGGTGAGATCGTATTTCCTGGAACCTCTTGATGTTTGTAAATTTTCATTAATATCAGGGCATTACAGAGATAGGTGTTTATTTCAATCTTCGTAGTCTGGTCTTGTTTTAACCCACCCTGGAGAAAGGCAGTTCCCCAAATCCTAAGGGAATTGAATTTTAAGTTCCCTAAGCCTGTGGTCACTGCAGCTGTTTCAACACTGGGGGGCACTCTAAGTCAAGGTACGTTGTGACTCTTGCTGACGCTCAGATACACAGCTATGGTAAATTTGGGGAAAATAAGAGCAAATTTCATGGTTCCCAGGTAAAATCCCTCATTCTCTTCCAGTTCTTTCCCCCTAGGATAAGAAATTTTTCTTCTGGCTAGGCTGCCTGGAGTTGGGACAGGGCTGATGTGGCTCCCAGAGTTGGCACGGCACTGGCTCACCCACAAAGCTGAGAACCTCCCTGACCAACATAGTACCAGGCAGGATTCACCCAAGACCTGTGGCTGCTACTGCCTGGCTTTTGCTAATGTTTATTCAAGGTCCAAGGCTACTTTAGTCAGCAGGTGGTGAATCCTGTTAGGACTCTGTTACACCAGGGCAGCAGATTCCTTTCTGGCATGGTGTGGGCCTAGAATTCCCATTGGGGAGCAGAGGTCTAAAACTGGAGGCCTCAGGATTCTTCCTGGTTCTTTATTTTTCTGTCTGAGCTGGTATCTGGTTGCAAGACAAAGTCCATTGTACTCTTCCCTCTCCTTTCCCCAGATAGAAGTTTCTTTGCACCCTGTACTTCTTGGAATTGGGGGAGGGGTGATGCATGCAATTCCATAGCTACCACAGCTGGTGTTATGCTGGCCTGTACCCCGTGTCCACATGTCCAAGTCTTGCCCAAGGACTGCAGTCCCTATGGCCTGATTACCGTTCACATTTATTTAGGGCCCAGGACACTTTAGTTAGGTGGTAGTGAAATGGGCCAAGACTCAGGTTTCTTCTGCCAGAGAAGACAATTCTCCTCTGGTGCAGGGCCAGTCTAAATGCTCCTTCCATGAGCACCAGCAGAATTCTGTCCAGTACTGTATTCTACTGTGACAAGGCAACACTTAGTTTTAATGCAATATTCCACAATCACTTTGCTGTCCCTCTCCTAAAGGCACAGATTCTCTGCTGTGGCTGCACTGCCTGGGGATGAGAGAGGGGTGGTGTAGGCACTGTTGAAATTGTCCTTCCTATAATCTTCATTGTGTCTTTCCTTGTTACAATGCTAAAACCAGGTACTGTGATCCCTTAGCTTAATTTTTGTTTTTTATGAAGATGTTTTCTTTTTACATGATAGGTGTTTATTAATTTGGTGTTTCTGTAGGGGGAACAATTACTGAAGGGTTCTATTTGACCATCTTGCTCCACCTCCCAAATTTATTCTGTTCACCCTACATCTCAAGCATAAACCCTTCCAAGATAGGTTATGGTTTTGTGATGATTTTGTTTTATTGTCTAGTTCTTGTTATTTTTATTTCTAATTGAACATTTGAAAATTAAATTTTCTAATATTAACATTTCTATAATTTGCAAGTGTAAACTTGATGTCTTCTAACAGCTGGGTGTGATATTTCAAACTCTAACATTTGTGTATAAATATATATAGATAAATGTCTGAGTTTTTAAATAGTTCAGTCAAAATTTTTATCACCTCTTTCTCTACTTATGAAAATAAGATTCTCTCTTTGATGCCTCTTCTTCCTTTTTAAGATATTTTCTGATCCTCATAGAACAGTTATTTTTAATTCTCGTTTTCTCTCCCACTCTGTGTTTGTTGCCAAATTTACCAATTAATTCAGTGTTTCTGTGACTGATACTGTTAACTGGACCTTGAAATTTTTAAGAGTAGGAACCATGTGGTTTTTGCCTTTGTGTCATACAAAATGCTTACTATAATGTCTTGCACATCATTCATTTACAACATTTTGTTAAATGGTTTAATGTTCTTAGCTCTTACAGACTTGGGTAGCACTGAGATCTTGAATAAAAATATAAAAATCTTAATTATATATGTATATGATGGAAAATTTGGAGAAAGTGAGTTTCATCTTAAATGTATTTTCTAGAGTTCAAAATTTGAAATATCATTTCAATTTTACTAAGAAATGATGAACCATAATTGACCACATTATATCACAAATAATGCAATGGTCTTACAGGCTTGTCATTTCAATAATGGGGGATATCAAATTGCTCTTATATAAACTTATTTTGGTGTAAAATTTTACTTCACACAAACTCATACATTTAAAAAATATTTTGTTAGAAAATGACTCTGTAAAGACTGTCAACAAAAACTACAACATATCATTTTTGCCCCCATAAAACTACTGAAATAGCTAAAGCAGCTAATAAGAATAATGAGTGAAACAATTCCAAATATTGGGATTCTAATTGCAGGATGCCTCTTGAAAAACACTGGCCAGGTGGGGAGCAATAAATGATAGATGGTTCTTTTGAGTATAGTTACCACGAAGCATCTGGCCATTTAAAACTTGGGCATTTAATTTCATTTCATTATACATAGTGAAAATACTTCTATTTTACAATATGTTTGAAATTATATATATTCTTTTATAAAATGGCAGACTATTTTTCTAAGATAAAAGTATGTTAAATTTTAAAAGTGTCATGTTTATTATTTTGCTTCATTGTAAGGATTAGTATATATTAATAAACTCATACAAATACTTTCAAATATTCTCTTTTACACATAAGGAGAAATTGCACTTGAAGGTTTTTTTTTTTTCATTTGATGAATAAATTTAGCCATTAGAGTCTCTAGTCTTATTGTCTTTAAATATATGTGTCAAAGCTGGAAATTTAGCATAAACCTGAAGCCTTAATAGTTGTTCTTTTACAAAGTTCTATTACCAGTTATGGAACACTGACATTTGAAATATTTTGGTAATGCCAGAAGCACCACTATCATTAAAAGTACCCTAAAAGAAACAAGGATAACTTTCTTTATTGACCCAAAGCTTTTCAGAAATCATTTTTCTAACAAAACTTTGTATACATTATTGTGTCAAATACAATATTTAATGCACTAATAAGTTGAAGAAACAAAATATAATTAGGTTTAACATAAATGTCATTAAAAGCACTAGAAAGTTTTATATGACAAAGAATTTAGTATATTTCATTGATTTTCAAATACTTTATTTATATCCACAAAGACACCATTGTTTCAAACAGTTTAAAAACTTGCTTTAAAATTGTACTGCATGATAATGAATTATATATCACCTAAGGATCTCTCCCAATACTTTTTAGAAATATCTATTTTTGGACTAATGCTAATGTTACTTACATAAAATAACTGTATTAGTCTTTGAAGTTAGCTTTATGTAATTTTTATTGTATATATTCAAATAAAATATGTTTTGTAGGAATAAAATTGTTCACTATTAAAGCTTTTCAGGGAAATGTTATAGAAACTTTTGCCTCAATTTTCAAGGAAAGTATTTCAAAGTCAGTTGCTTAAGAAATGAAAATATAATTTAAATGAATATTTAGAATGCATTTTTCTACCTCATTGAGGATAATATATTTTTATTTTTATTAAATGCTTATAACATTTTATTAAATGCTTATATTTGAAAATCAATGAAATATACTAAATGCTTTGTCATATAAAACTTTCTAGTGCTTTTAATGACATTTACGTAAACCTAGTTATATTTTGTTTCTTCAGCTTATTAGTGCATTAAATATTGTATTTGACACAATAATGTATACAAAGTTTTGTTAGAAAAATGATTTCTGAAAAGCTTTTTTTAGGTCAATAAAGAAAGTTATCCTTGTTTCTTTTAGGGTACTTTTAATGATAGTGGTGCTTCTGGCATTGCCAAAATATTTCAAATGTCAGTGTTCCATAACTGGTAATAGAACTTTGTAAAATAACAACTATTAAGGCTTCAGGTTTATGCTAAATTTCCAGCTTTGACACATATATTTAAAGACAATAAGACTAGAGACTCTAATGGCTAAATTTATTCATCAAATGAAAAAAAAAACCTTCAAGTGCAATTTCTCCTTATGTGTAAAAGAGAATATTTGAAAGTCTTTGTATGAGTTTATTAATATATACTAATCCTTACAATGAAGCAAAAAAAATTCTATAGGTCATTTTTAATTTAACAATTTATAATTAAATTTGAAAATTTATTAAGATGTCACTTAAAAGTACCAAGTTATAAACTACCAAAAGAATATCAAGGATATAAAAATACATATATGCTATTTATGTTTCTTTTTATTAGAGAAATCTAATTGGTTATACAATTCAAAATAGCCTGAAATTAAGAAATGAAAGAATTAAAGTATAATTCTTAACATAAAATGCACCTTCTCAAAAACTACTCATGGATGCAAGGCCTGATTGTAAACATTCTACTTTCTAAATTTAGTTAAGATAAATTTAGCTATGTTTCTCTCCTCTTAAATTTATTAGCTTCTGCTGTTAAATAAATCATTTTTGTACAGGTAGCTGTTATTCCTTATGAATATACGCATTGATGTGTAAAGAATGTATTGAATGAGCAATTGTGTGGGATACAGGGGCACAAATACTTGACAAAGATGCAGACTTAGTTTTACTACATGGAGCAGATTTACAGAATTACCACTAATATGAGATAAATTATCTAAATGTTATAAGGAATAAACAAAAAATGTGATAATCAAAGGAATGTGTGAATTTTGACAGAGTAGAGAAAATTAGAGGAGCATTCACAGATGTGGCATTTGAGTTGACCTTTGAATGATGACTCTGTTGAAAGTAAACAGCAGGAGAAGAGCATTGGAGCACCAAGAATAACATGAGTGAGTGATAAGTGAGAGGACATTGTGGCTAAGTAAGATGGTGAGGTAGTGGAAAATGAGACGATATATTGGTACCTCATTTTGTTAGGGTTTTTAAGATCAAAGAATTGGCCTACAAAATATATTTTAATGAGGAGTTCCCAAATAATTTTGAGCAAGAAAAATGTAAAAAGAAAAGATGAGCAGATCTATTTTAATAAGAATCAGCTCTAGTGTGAAGGGTTTGTGAGTAAAATATTAGGAACAGAAAGATCAATCATTGGTTTTATCAGTTTGCTATATGCATTAACTTTTAAGAAGCATAGTCTGAATCTCTTTGATGTATTTGTATTTCTACTTTAGAAGGCAACCCACATATACACAAACTCGCATACAAATACACACAATTTAGGAAGGAAGGCGTTCTTTGGTCTCTGTATATATTTCATGTCATTCATTTAGTGATTGAGTCAATGAAGGATATATAACTCATTTTTTTTACTAGTTTTATGAACTACAACTTAGGTTGTAAAACTTGGTCATTCTCAATGACATCTGTTTTAGTGCTTTTAAAAAAAAATCTCTTAATCATTTCTCTAGTGAAATAAAGATGTAAATTAGGAAGAAGAGTATTTAATTCAGAAGCAGCTGTATTTCTTCACATTATTCACAGATGGGATGCAAACAGCAACAGGACATACTAATCTGTAGTTTGGTGAGGAAGTCATATACATTTTTAAATTCTCTCAGTATTTTCTAAGATTGGCATCAGAATTTCTTTTTAAAATCAATCATCTTGATTGTCAAAAAAACAAATTTAACAATCTATTTTTTGTTCAAAAATGTATCAATTTAAATAGATATGTTATATCATTTCAATGTCATTAATTTTAAAGAAAATATTTTATTTTATTTTATTTTATTGGGTATTAAACACGGAGCTTATTTAACTGTCATCAAGCCATTTTACTAATTCCAAATTGGGATAATGGTAATTGTAGACTGTTCATTCCATTTTTTTCCTGAAGTAGATCTCAGCACAACACCTAACTTGGTTGCAGTCTTGTTAACCATCCCTCTTCCTTTACTCATACCAGTTTTCACCTGAAATGTTAATTATCTCAGAATGAGAAATTTAGTCATAAAAAATATTTGACAAATTGTGACAGCAGTAGACTTACTATACTTTGTGGTTTTTCTCCTCCCTCTCTTTTTCTCCACTTTTATTGCTTTTTCTTGCTCATGGGTTGTACTCTCTTCCTAGTATTTTAGGTTTTCTTGGCTACTCCTTTTCCTTTGTTCCTGTAATGACTTTTGTCAGCTTACACACACACACACACACGCATGCACGCACACACACACCATTTTGTCCAAGGTAAATTGGACTTTATTAAATACAATAAGGTTGTATGGAAGGTAATTCGTCTGTAATTTGAGCTCAGCTTTGATTTAATTTTGAAGTATTTCGCAAATGCATGCTGATTTGTAAAGAAAATGCCAAAAGGTACCATAAGCTAACACCTGATATGTATCAAATACACTATAATTTACCAATTAATTTAATATTTAATATAAATAACAAAAGGTATTTATTTCAAAAGAAAATAATAGAATTAGTTTGTCTAAAACTCAAAGAGATTTTGGCAACTGTATTTAATAAGATCTTTCTATTAAAAAATCTAATAAGTAAATATTTTTAAAGTAAACACTAAATAAACCCTCAAATAGATTAAAGCTTTTTAATACTTAACAGCTACTAAAATCTGGTGATGACATTGCAAGGTTAAAGTACATTAAAAATAACTGCACATCCTTCAACATGCTTTCAACATGCTTCAACATCCTTTACATTAACAGGTAAACTAATGTATCTTCCCTTGAATCTAGTTGGATGTAAGGAATTGAACATTATATTGTGGCAGAAGCGATGTCCTGTACATTTTGAGGTATGTCATAAAATACATTGCAGATTATGTCTGGACTCTTGATGCTCTTTCCTTGATGCCCCTGAGTCGCATGCAAAATTGTTGACTGCTATGAGATTGATACATTAGATAGACTACGTGAATGCTGTTCAGTCAATGGTCTGGCTAAACCTAGCCTTCCAGTCATGTCTACTTAGGTACCAATCACAAGGTAAAAACATTTTTGAAATGACCTAAGTTAAAATCTCCTAGGGCAAAAAAACTATCCATCCCAGCCTTGCTCAAATTTCTGATTCACAAAATTATGAGATACAATACACTCTTTTCTAAGCCAGTAAATTTGGAGTGATTTGTTACGTAGCAATAGATGGCAGTAAAAAAAGGCTACTCAACTTGTGCATTTGTTCTCATCTACTCTACTATAGCCAGGTCATTTGTTCCTGTATAACACCTTTATTTTTCAGCATTATTTTTTTTTCCATTTTAGTGGCTGCCCAGTCCAGTCAACATTCACACATGCTGTAATATCTATCTTCATTTTAAAAAGTCTTTCTATGTCTCTTTCCATCAACAATATGTTCCTATTTTCTGTTCTTTATTTCTATTACATTTTATATCAAAGTTTTCTAAAAAAATTATACACAGTTTTTATTTTTCTTTTTTCTATCTCATTTTCAATCTACACCAAACCTTTATCACACTATCTTATCAGAGGTACCTAATACTGCTAAATTTAATTGTTCACTTTTCAGTTGTCAATTCAAACTCTTAAAAGTATTTTATACTATATATTTATACCACTTATATAAACACTTGTATGCTTCTACATTTTTCTTCACTTTGTTTCTGAAGTGATATACTACTTTGTTGTCTCTTCCTACTCTACTAGCCACTCCCCCTCCACCTGCTTTTCTTTTTTTTTTTTCTTTTGCCTCTCTTTCTTGGTACAAAATGGTGGACTGTCTCCAGACTTTGTTTTCAACTGTTTGTGTGTGTCTGTGTGTGTGTGTATGTGTTTCTTAAGTATGCTTACTCTAGGTTATTTGGCTGAAATAAGAACTTTGACCTCTCTACTAAGTTCTACTATATTTTACTTCTGGTATATTTTATTTCTCATTTTGAATCTTGGAAAACAACTATTTCAAACTTAACATGTCCAAAATTGCAATTTGCGGACTTCCTCATCACATGATTCCTCCATAGTCTTCTTCATTTTAGTAAATGAAGTAACTTCATTTACTAGTTACACAATTGTCATGCCCATATATCTCAATTCATATTTGATTCCCCTTTTACCTTCAATCCATAAGCAAGTTTGCTGATGTGTATGTTTAACACATATTATGAGCTTAGCCACTTTTCGTCACTCTATTCTAGGACTACATATTTTTTTACTTCTTTGAATCAATATCTTACTAATTGCTCCCATGTAGTTATTCTGGGCCATTGACTAGAATAATCTTTAAATCTAATTTGGAGTGTCTCAAAATCAACTAAAAGTTCAAATTACACTCAGAAAAATACACTCTTTTTAATTCACACTCCTTATGATATTTAGTTAGATTTATATATAAATATTTTATTTTTGAAAGTATTGTAAGTGGCATAATATTTTTTATTCTCATCTGAAATGTTCTGTGCTATATTAAATTAATATAGTTGATTTTTACATTGACTTTGTATTGTGTTGTATTTTGTAACGTTGATAAATGCACATATTAATTTTAATTGTATATTTAAAGATTCTAATTGATTTTCTACAATGACAGTCATGTCTTCTTTGAACATGTAGTACTTTATTTCTTTTTTCTAAGAGTTAGGTCTTGTATTTCTTTTTCCTTTCTTAGTAAATTGAGCAATATTTCCAGCAGGAGAGGGAAAGGGGTTTCCTTCTCTTGTTCCCAATTTTTGGAATAAGCTCTTCCACCTTTCACTGTTAAGAATAATATGAACTGTAGATTTTTATATAAGTCCTTTATCAGGTTGAGGAAGTTATCTTGTATTTATAGTTTGCTGAGAATTTTTCATCAGGAATAAATATTAAATTTGGATTCATGCATTTTTCTGTATTAATTATATGGTCATGTATTAAACAACATTAAACAACATTTTCTGATGTTTAATATTGTGAAGAACTGCTTTAGTTGTATCCCATTAATTTTGATATTTTGTATTTTTATATTAGTTTAGTTCAAAATATTTTCTATAATTTTTAGTTCCTCTTTGACCCATGGTTTATTTAGAAACAGTTGATTTCCACATGTTTGGAAATTTTGCTGGTTTTTTTTTTCTAGTTTAATTTCATAACGATCAGAGAAGAGAATTTATATATGATTTCATTTTAAAACTGTCAGGGTTTACTTTATCATTTTTTCTTTTTCAACTTTTATTTTAGATAGGGGGGGTACATGTGCAGGTTTGTTACAAATGTATGTTATGTAATGATGAAGTTTAGGGTACAACTGAATTCATCACCTGGGTCATAAGCATAGCCCCCAATAGGTAGTAATTTTACAATCTCATAAACAATCTTATTTGGTGAATGTTCCAGGTACACTTGAAAGGAACGCACATTGCTCATTGAGTGTTATATAAATTGAAATTAGATCCAGGTGGTTGATGGTAGTTTTCAGTTTTTCTGTAGGGATACTCAAACTATGTCTACTATTTCTGTTTAATACTGAGAGATTGGTGTTGATACCTGTAATATTGGATTTCTCTATTTTTCAGTGTTAGCTTCATATATTTTGAAGGATACACAATTACATTTGTTATGTCCCCTTAGTGAATTGATCCATTTGTCATTTTGTAATAATGTACTTTATGCCTGGTAGTTTTGTTTGTTTTTTTTCTCTGAAGTCTACTTTCTCTGTTATTAATATAGCCACTTTAGTGTTCTTTAAATTTTTGTTGACATTATATGTTTTTAGATCCTTTTACATTTAAACTACATATTTTCTATTTTAAGAAAATTTCATGCAGCTATAATTGAGTAATGTTCTTATTCTCTGAAAAATTTATCTTTATATGTATGACAAGTTGTATTTAACATTATTGAAATAGCAGGATTCAGGTTTATCATTTTATTGTTCATATTGTGTTTGTTCTGTTTGGTTCTTCTATTTCTCTATTCTTCCTTTCTGTGGGTTTATAGAATATTATTTGTAGTATTTTATTTTCATTACCTATTTTCTTTTCACTTATATACCTTTGCATATATTTAAGTTGTTACTCTAAAGATTAAAATATAATATATATCTTTAGAGTCTATTTAGTATTAATATTTTACTAACTCAAGTGGAAAATAGGAAAAATACTATATATTGATCCATTTACCTAAACTCTGTGTTATGTTTGTATTGTGTATTATATCTTAATAGATGTAAAGCCCTATCAAAAAATGTTTTATTTTTTCAACTGACAAATTCATAGAACTGAAAAGAAAAAAAATTTATTCAATTTATCTAGCTATTTAACATTTCAATCAAATGTTTCTCATGTTCCAAGTGTTTCAATTTTTCCACTGTTTTAAGAAGTTTTCTTTTCAGTAATTTGTTTAGCACTAGTATGCTAGCAATTAAATCTCTAGATTTTCTACATCTGAGAATGTCTTTACTTCACTTTAATTTCTGAAGGATATATCAAATACAGGAAAAATACAGACATACTTTCTTTACAGCTCCTAGAAAATTATGTACCATTTCCTTCTATCCTCCATGATTTATGATAAGAAATTAGCAATTTGAGTTGTTGTTACCTGATACTTAATGTTCCCCTTGCCCCTTCGGCTGCTATTTTTGCACAAACTAATTTAAGAATTTCAGATAATACTGGTTTCTGGAAAAATTTTGTTTATTTTTGGTATTTTTTTCTTTTTTTTTTTTTGTTTACCATCATCTTTCTTTTTCATATCATCAGGCTACCTTAAATGTCCACCAATTATTACATTTGTTTGCAATAATGAGATATCAAAGCTTTGAAGATTTTGGATACCTGATTGAAGCTTAATATCTATAAGATTTTATTTTATGGCAAGTAATTCTAAAACTGTGAGAAACATAAAACTATGCAGTAAACCACAGTAAACACTTCAAAATTTACTAAAAACAATGATATTCTCTCCCAGGGTGATAGTATGCAGCAGAAACAGTGTGACCACTACAGATTGAAAGGGAGATGTATTAGTCCATTTTCACACTGCTGATAAAGACATATCTGAGACTGGGCAATTTACAAAAGAGGTTTGTTGGACTTACAGTTCCCCATGGCTGGGGAGGCCTCACAATCATGGCGGAAGGTGAAAGGCACGTCTCACATGCAGGTGGCAAGAGAGAGAATGAAAACCAAGGGAAATGAGTTTCCCCTTATCAAACCATCATAGGTTGTGAGACTTACTCACTACTACAAAAATAGTACAGGGAAAACCGCCCCCATGATTCAATTTTCTCCCACAGCATCCCTCCCACGACACGTGGGAATTATGGGAGTACAATTCAAGATGAGATTTGGATGGAGACACAGCCAAACTATATCAGGAGAGAAAATAGCTCTAGAAAGAAAATCTCTAAAATTAAAGAAAAAAAAGAAAAGAAAAGAAAAACCTTGGAATAATTTAGAACATGGGAAAACAATATAAGCCCTCAGTGTTGTGTAAGGAGAAAAACATTCAAATTTGTCCCTAATAATGTTGCAATGAGTTTGAGACAGCCTTAAAGCAAATGGCAGACAGAAAATAACATAATCCTAGCACAATTTTTAGTCCTACGTATAACCGCATGTATACACTCAAGACAATAAAAATAACATTTAAACAAAAATATTAAACACTAATTTATTGAATATTTGTTATTTTCTAGGGATTAGTTAGGTACAAAACAAAATTCCAATAAACAAAAAAATCCAAGTTTTCCTGAAATTCATACGCAAGTAGGAATAGACAAACAATAAACAAAATCAAAGGTAGACAGTGGGAAAGGAGGGGCCAATATGGAAGCAATTTGGCAAACTGGAAGACTACAACAGTAATCCTGGCAAGAGAAAATGGCACACAAACCAGGGTAAAGGCAGTGGTGGCAATGAGAAGCATTGGACCTCTAAATATATTTTGGTGGTAGAAACAACAATATATTGTTGATTAATTAATTGTAGATGTTGAATAAAGGATCCAAAATAACGTCAAATAATTTGACCTAACTACTTGGAAGATGAGAGCTGTCATCAGATTAGTTAGGGAGGACTGTGATCAAATTATTTCACACTGAAGGTGAAAAGCTTTGTTATTAGGTATATAAATGTTTAAGATTGTTATTGGTTCTTAGTGAATCAACCCCTTTGTCATTTTGAAATGAGCCTTTTTATTCCCAGTAACATTTTTTATTCTGAAATCTACCATCTCTGATATAAAATAACCACTGTGCTCTATTATTTTCAAATTTATTTATTTATTCAGAGAAGGAGTCTTGCTCTGTTGCCCAGGCTGGAGTGCAGTGGCACGATCTTGGCTCACTGCAACCTCCATCCCCCGAGTTCAAGCGATTTCTCACCTCAGCCTCTTGAGTAGCTGGGACTACAGGCATGCACCATCACTCTAAACTAATTTTTGCATTTTCAGTAGAGACAAGGTTTCACCATGTTGGCCAGACTGGTCTAGAACTCCTGGTCTCATGTGATCTGACTGCCTCGGCCTCCCAAAGTGCTGCGATTACAGGTGTGACCCACTGTGACAAGCCCCATTATTTTTATTTTTATTTATTTATTTTTTGAGACAGGAGTTTACTCTGTAACCCAGTCTGGCTGGATTGCAAACACAACTCACTGCAGCTGTGAACTCCTGGACTTAAGTGATCTTCCTGCCTCAGCCTTCCTAGTAGCAGGAAGCACAGGTGCACACCACCATGTCTGGGTAATGTTTTTTATATTTTTTAGAGATCGGATCTTGCCATTTTGCCCAGGCTGGTTTATTTTCATTAGTACTGGCATAGTTTATGTTATTCTATTCTTTTACTTTTAATCTAGTTGTGTATTTATAAAGTACAATTTTAATGTAGGCACTGTATATAAGACCTTCACGTTGAGAAGCAGAGAAATGGGATTATTGTTATCATAAACAAAGAAGTCATAGTAGAGTCAAGAAAATATTTAAGGTGGGAAAACAATGTAAGTCTGAATGTTTGTATGCAGAAGGGAATAATCCAGAGAAGAGGGGAAATATGATGCATAGTGGTAAAATTTATTTGCATAAGCTACAATGTATGGGATCTCCTGCACATATGGAGGGGTTGAATTAGACTGGAGAATGGACAGCTTCATAGTATCAGCAAAAACAGCAGGGTATATGGATAGAGGTAGAGGTGGTAGAAGGAGTCAGGGAAGTTTTATTCTGGAAGTAGATGCAAATTCATCATCTGAGAATGATAATAGGGAGGAGGTGTTGGATAGTAGGGTGTGGAATTATTTTCTAGGAAGGCAGAGAGACTGTACAAAAGGGGAGGTAATTAAAATATTGTTGGGAATAATTGAGAGCTTATTTGAGGTGAAGATTCATAATTTAAATTTGGATTGGTTGGCATGTTAATTTTCATGTAGCATTCCTGTGTGCCTGCATAAAGAGATTAAGATAAAGACTTTTTTTTTTAATTTTTATCTAAGAATGCCAAATGTGTTCTCCAGCTTCTTTAATGTATAATCAAATTCTGTGAATCAGCACAAAAAGCCATATGAGGCAGGGTGGGAAGGCCTATAAATATGTCATGATACTGCTTTTCTATAGCATGTATTTCTTTTCTTCCATTTTATTCTTATTGGCACCAATGTCTTCATTTCCTCATGAAACAATTAGGAATTCAGATTTGGTAGATAAGCTTATCAAAACAGTAAAGTTGCAACAATGGCAGTGGTTTGTGGAACACATGTTTTAAGGATTGAGCTATTATGTATTATGTATTATGAATAAATGTCTTTAATGTCTTTAATGGATTCCTTGTACTTTTAACCACACAAAAATAAGTTTAGAAATATTCACATTGTTTTCTTTGTATTTAATACTTAGTGTATAATTTCAAAGCAAAAGCTGAGATAAGAATAACTTCTTTAATGGAGAAGTAATAATTATTTTAGTCACTAACAAAATTTAATTCTAATATAAATAATACCCTTTCTAAATTCAAATGTTGAAATAGTATATTCTGTTCCAGAATCCTAGAGAAATGCTGAAAAAGATTCAATACTGAGCTTATTGGAAATGGAAATGTAGTACTTATCAAATTCTGTGAATCTCCCTGTAAAAGTACATTTTATCTCTACTTAATAAACTCATCTATATAAGATATATAATACCTTGACTGTGGTGTTCCTTTCAGTCCTCTCATCACATTCCAATGTAGCATGTTGGAATGACTTGTAATATGAATGTTTTAAATCACTAGATATTATGAGATATAGCAAAGTTCCTTTTTGGAAAATTCTACATAAAATGTTATCTACAATGATGTAATATACATAAGTGCTTCTATGATTTAAGCTAAGCAAAATTTATGGAACAATAAAGATTGTATATTCATCTAAGGGAATAATTGCCATATAGGGAGCCTCTTAATCTCAAATAGATTGATTTCTAGACTTTAAATTGGCCCCTGATTGTGTTGTTTAATGCCAGCAAACAGTAATGCTGTAATAAAGGCTGGCTGCCAGTAAAGGGTATTTTCAAAGTCACACAGCATGAACATTTTTTTATCAGAATCCACTACAAGCAAAAAAAAAGTGATATTTCAATAAATCATTTATTTTAAAATCTTTACGTAAAAAGGCAGAAAGCAACTGTCATTTGTTTGAGTATAGTCATAAAAAGCATATAGTCACCTGCCCATGATAAGATGTAATATGCAGAAATAATAGCAACAAACATATTATCAATTTGCATTTTTAATTATCTTCTGAGGTGTATAAAGAAGCATTCAACATTAACAAACTTACAACAGGAAAATCTCCATATTTGACTAATATTACAAAATTTATAAGAAGTTGTAACTTTTATTGCCTCCTCAAAATATTAGCTTATTTTGATATCTGAGATACATTTATCACGAATAGTTATTGCAGTTTGCATGGGAGCCTGGACGTTTTCTCTTGTTCCGGGCCCTACTCAAAGCTTGCAGCTTTTGGGGTCACTTTTGAAACAGCTTGCTTTATCATAACCAAATGAGGGCTATATTGCCTCTTAAATCCTAAGAGGCCCACTAGGTGTCATGCTTCTTTTTCAGTTGCAAGAGGAGCCAGATGTAGCAACCTATTTTTCACCTTAGAAGGAATACCTCATAATGCCCTGGACCACTGGACTCAGAAATTTTACTGAGATGGAAGGCCCTTGAATTTTTGAGTGATTTACCTCCCACCTTCTGACACATAAATGCCTTACCCATACATTTAGACTAATTGCTATTTAGTGCTCACCAGGTCCAATCAGCATAATAGCATCAATATAATGAACTGCTATGGTATCTTGTGGAAGAGAAAGACAACCCTTGTGGACTAAATGAGAACAGAAGACTTGCTTACTGATATACCCTTAAGGTAAAATAGTGAAGGTATATTGATGGCTTGTCAGCTGAAAGCAAATCAATTTTGGTGGCTACTAATAGGTATATTTTAAAAATACCAGATCAGTAACAACATACCAGGTACCAAAGAAATGTTAATTTTCTGAAACAATGAAGCCATTCATAATGTAAACTGTGGAGTCACCACATAATTAAACTTACCATACTCTTTTGTCATTCTCTAAAATCTGATCGCTGCATAAGCAAAATACGCAAGTTAAATGCTGATGTGGTAGAATCACCATCCCTGCATCTTTTAAATCCTCTTTGGTGGCACTAATCTCCACAATCCGTTGAAGAATACGGCATTGCTTTTGGTCAACATTTTGGTAGGTAAAGGAAGTTCTAGTGGCTTCCATTTTGCCTTGTCTACCAAAATAGCTCTAACTACACAGTTAGGGAACCAATATGGAGATTCTGCCTATTGCTGAGTAGTTTTATTCCAATTATGTATTCCAGAAATGTAGAAATAATCAATACATGTGTTTGGAGAGCCACTACAACCATTTTAAGACGGACCTAACCTAAAACCTTATTCATCACTTGACCTATGTAGTAACCCCCTACTCTGACTGAGTGAGCCCAGTGACGTTTTGAGGCTATAGGAATTAGAGTCAGAACAGAGCCAGTATTTGGCAACTCCTGGAAAGTCTATGTTCCTCCAACCAATGTACAGTTACCCTGGTAGATGGTGTAAGTCTTTTTGGGGAAGTCTAAAAAAAGGACTAATCATATAATATTTTAGCAGAGTAATGGGGTCCTCCCTTAAAAAGGCCCAACCTCCTCTGTATTCAAGGTATTCTGAGTTAATAAACTAGTTTATATCTAGAAATTGACTGGAGGGGTTTTGACTCTGTTTTTGTTATTCTAGTTAAACTTATGTCCACTCAACCTACAACTCCCTATCTGTACAGATCATGTAAGAATTTAATAGACGGCCTACGTATATATTTTTATGGATACTATGATCATCTGGCCAATTCTATAGGTATCTGTGAGTCAAACTATTCTGACAACTGCTTTGTGTTCACTGTTCATTATGATAAGCACACCCTTGTCTTTGTTAATTAAGTGGCACTACTTGACCCCTGCCAGTCTAGGATCTCATTGTCCCCACTGTGTTGTGGATCCAGCTTTAATTATAGCAGTTCCAACTATAATTTCTGATCTACAGAGACAAGCAACCAGAATGATTCCAGGATTCCAGTGTTCCCTCGAAAATGTATTTCTCACTCTCATGGTAAAAAGTGTGTCTTCTGGAATCTTGTAATTTGAGTAAACAGGACTTGAAAGATAACATTTCAATCTCCCTAAGTCTCTGGATACTTTCTTCCACAAAATACTAAGGTAATTCTGGCATTTCAACTTTATTTAGTGTTGGCTACAATTGGTTAATGTTTCTGCCAAGCAGGCAGGTGGACTATTGGCACCCCTTCTAACCCCTCAAGCTAAAACATTAAATGCAGAATCTCAACTTAGAGGGCCTGTTTCAATAAATTGGACCTGATCCAACCTTATATTTTTTCCACTATGAGTCAACATTCCTAAGATCCCTTTCTATATACATTCCCCAAATTTCTTTCTATATAAATTGAAAAAAATGGATGCAGTTCCTTTGTTATGCAATACATGTTCCCATAGAACATAAATTGTGTCTTATTTTTAGGGGTCTGCTAGGACTAACGTCTATTTATATGTCTAGAAGTAAAGAGGGGTTGTGGAGGTAGATCTTGAAGATAATCAGCAGGGCCTGCCTTGCCAGGAAACTTCTTCAGAGAAGTCTCTTACAGGTTTTTAGGCAAAGGAGAATTAACTTCCTTTCATAGGGATGAAAGGGCTACTTTTACTACTAAAGAAGACTCAGATAAATTAAATATTTGATTTTCCCAGCTTTATTGGGATCTTCCTATTTGTCCTCATTTTATTTTTTCCATTCCATTCCTTCCCAAACAATACCCACACTTGATGGAAAAACACCTGAGAAAATGAGAATTCAATGTGTGTTGTAATTCAATGACTTGCAGGCTGAAACTTTGTGTTTGCTTTTCAGAAATTTCAACTCTGAATCTTCTTTAATAAGAATTTATTTATAGGCAGACATAGATTATTTCAGGTGTTTTATGCAAATATTGATCTGGGAATTTGAAACCCTGAACTCATTTTTTTCAACTTTTTCCAATGTAATTTAGAGCAGTTAGTCAATCCAATTTTATTATATATTCTAGTTTGACTAAAATGTTCTAACTTAGCAAATACGTGGTCGCTGAATACCTCGTATTCTATAGGTATTTAAGTAGGCTATATTTTGTATATCTCTATTGCTACATCATGCCATGAACTACCAATGGTCTCTTTACCACTGGAATTTGAATTATTAGTGACTTTATCATAAATTGAATTAGTGAACCAATGCCAGAAGAGCCAGAATAAATTCACAAAATTTATTCTTAATACTTTGTTCCTCTAGGACCACTGCTGGTACCAAAACCTGTAACTGTCAAGTGTTCAATCAGAAAAAAAACAAAACTAGCAGGGGAGATATATTAAAATGTTTATTGTAAAGAATTAGCTTATGTGAGTATAGGGGCTGATTAGGCAAGCCCCATATTCATAGGGCAGACCAACAGGAAGGGCATTCCAAAATTCCTGGGCACGGGCTAAAGTCCTTATTCATCAACAGGGCTAAAGTCCTTATTCATCAACAAAGTTTCTTTTTCATCGACGAAGCCTCAGCTCTACTTTTAAGGTCATTTAACTGATTGAATCAGCCCAACTTAGATTATCTAGGGTAATCTCCCTTAGTTAGTAAATCCTTTACTATTTACGAGCTTTAATTACATCTACAAAATACCTTCAGAGCAATACCTAGATTAGTGTTTGATTTTACAGCCGAGGACTGTTGCCTAGCAAATGACAGATTCAAAGACCATCATATCCTAAATATTAGGTTCATTTAATAGAATCTTTCACTGACTTATTCCAATTAGGGAAATGATTTTGAGATGAAAATTCTCAAGACTTTATACAGGCAGCCACTTATTCGATTCTTATTATAAAAACAATTTTAAGATTTTGACCAGTAGCTTTATGTTTTAGAACATTCCAAAACCTCTGGTTTTCTTCCTCATTCAGTGATTTCATCCCATCCTCATAGACATCATAAAAAAACGAGACAGACTCACATTCAATTGGCAAGTAATCAGGAAGCTTAAACTGGTTTTTATCAACTTGGCGATCAAGGAAAAGGATTAATGCTTCCCAGTACTCTTAAGAATTCTCCAATATGATTCAAGAACCATTGGTTGAGAGAATATGCTAGCTAACCACATTAAACAAAAAGATCATAATTTATATGAAAAAGTAATTTTTCCCCAGCCAATTTGAATTGAGGATCTAGTGTCTGGAACCAAAATCATATACATGTCTATTATGTTTTAAGCAGGAATCTATGAAGAACTATTATTTTTTCCCGAAAGATACGCTTATTATACTTTTGGCTACTTTGCCCACTTTATTTTGCTGAGTTCTCAAGGACATCTGTGGGTATGTGTGCATCTACATGTGTGCTGGTATTGTTCTTCTTATCCATAATTAAATGAGTTTCTCTTACAATCTGAAAATATGAGTCAACTTGGCTTTCGATGAGCATAATTCAGAGTCATCTCTTAGATTTGACCTTATGTCAACAGACATTCTAATTATCGTTTGAGACAATCATCTATCAGGGAGACAATTGCTGATTTATTTCTACAGTATTATTTAAGAATGGGACAATAAAAGGTTGAGTTAGTATAGGGAAAAACAATAATTCAGTGGTCTTCCTGCTCCTTTCTAACTCCTCTGTCACTCTGGCTCTTCCTTTTTATTTCTTTCTATTGAATAATTTACCAAAATGTTCATTAGATAAATATCATTAGATTTATACAGATCCTTTGTTCCTTTCCCTTTATTGGGACAACATCTTTGTAATATAACAAAATCTTACACTAGAAGTTTCAGCTGAGGTACCAAGAAGCAAAAAGCAAAACTTCAAAGAAGATATTGGAAAATAAGGCAGGGCGCAATGGCCCATGCCTGTAATCCCAGCACTTTGGGAGGCCGAGGCAGGCAGATCACTTAAGTTCAGGAGTTGGAGACCAACCTGGCCAACATGGTGAAACCCCATCTCTACTAAAAATTACAGAATTTAGCTGGGTGTGGTGGTGCACACCTGTAATCCCAGCTACTCGGGAAGTTGAGGCAGGAGAATGGCTTGAACCCGGGAGGTGGAGGTTGCAGTGAGCTGAGATCCTGCCACTGCACTCCAGCCTGGGTGACAGAGTGAGATCCCGTCTCAATAAATAAATAAATAAATAAAATAATTAAAAAAAGAAAATACTCTTAGCCTCCACATCCGTATTTAAGACATAAAGTGTCAGAGTATGCAGAGAAAACAAAAATTAAGATCTATGTATTTCCATGATAGTACTCTATAATTATGTCAGCTTCATGTACATGTGACCACCAAATATGTACTTTATAATATAATTATAGTTCAAGCAAAACAAACTACTCAGGCAACAGAGTGTCTAGTACACATATACATTTAATATTAACATAAGCATACTTGGATAAAATAATGAAAACGTATGAACTAGGAAGATGATCTATTATGACTAAATTTATCTGATAGGTTTATGATTCATAATTTAACTTTCTTTTTTCCTTTTCTTTCAGCATAGAAATAGATGAAGAATGTTTTAGAGACAGCTGATGAAATTTCAGATATCAGTGATGTGAAACTAAAAAAAAAATTCATCATTAAATTTGCTGTGTGTTATATTTTATTTAAAAAGTAGGTTTTCTTAGTCCATTCAGGTTGCTTAGCCAAAGTATCATAAACGGAATAGCTTATAAACCACAGATACTGATTTCTCACAGTTCCGGAAGCTGGAAGTCTGAGATTCAGGTGCCAGCGAGGCTGTGCTCTGGTGAGGTCTTCTTTAGGGTAGCAGTCTCTACTTCTTGCCCTGTCTTCATGTGGTGGAAAGAGACAGCTAGAGAGTTTTCTGGGCTCTCTTTTATGAGATCCATAATCCCATTCCTAAAGGGTCTACCCTAACGACCTAATTACCTCCCAAATGCTCCACCTCCTAATATCACATCGGGGATTAGGATTTCAAACTTTAATTTTTTTGGTGGGAGGAACACAAATATCCACTCCATAACATGGGCATTACTTGATGAAAAGCTATTACTCATGCCCAAGATTATTTATTTGTGGTAAATAAAATATTAGGTTGCTTGTTTAGTTTCATTGTCTTATAATTATATGGAGTGTTCTTCTGAGGGAAAATTTGTTAATATTAGTAAAGCATTTAAAAGATGAATATCATTGAGCTGATTATATGCCATTAAATCAGGACTTTGTAAAAAATGCAATATTAAATGCTGAAAAACAAACGTAATATATGATTTTTAAAAATCTTTCCAAATCACTGTCTGCTTTTTAACAAAAATGATATTTGAAGAAATAAGTTTTTGACCTTTTTCTCACATAAAATTGTTCCTATGTTAGTAGCTTATGGGTATTTACAATTTCAGGTTTTCTAGTGGTTTTACAGAATAATTTTAAAGAAGATTACCATATTTCCAACTAAGACGCTATAAAATGGTCTATTCTTTAGTTTCCTAATATTTCATTTCCTAATATTCTGGCTTCTTTACAGATTTTTAAACATGCCTTGTGCATGTGTGTTATCAAACCCGAAATGATAATTCTATGTAGACCCTCTGAGTGTGTGATAGTAAATCAGGATATATAAAATAAGTGCATATATGGATGTTAAAAAATGTAAAACACTTACTGAAAACTTCAAATTCATCAATTTATTTTATTAAATAAATTTATTAGGTTAAGACTAGGCTAATGTTAAAAAAAAAAAGAGAGAGAGAGAGTGGGAAAGACCCAATAAAACAACAGTTAATGAACCAAAATAAGGTTTTGTTATTGTTGTTGTTTTTCAAACAATAATACTGAAGTATGTATTGTAAATCCAAGAAGAGGCTTTGTTTCTCTCCTAGTATTCTATACAACTGTAGAGTGACTATAGTCAACAACAAATTTATTACATATTTTCAAATGCTAGAAGAGACAATTTTGAATGCTGCCAACACAAACAAATGATAAATGTTTGAGGGGATGAACATGAACATGTTAATTATCCTAATTTGATCACTGTACACTTTATGTAATGAAACTCACTATGTACTCCATAAATATGTACATTTATCCCTATGCAAGTTTAAAAAATAAAATTAAAAAAAGAAGAGACTTCACTTTTTAGTTGTTCAGTTGCTTCTAATACTTTCTCCATTATCCCCAAGGGATTCTAGTTCTCTGTCCTGGGAGGCTGAGACATAGTCAGGAGGAGGGATTTCTCTTTAAGAAAGTAAATGTGAAATTCTCTAAAGCAATTCTGTTCCAATCCATTGGCAAGAATTCAGTCACACGGTCAGAAGCAATTGTAACGAAAAATGTAAAATGTAGTCTCCAAATAGGAAACACTATACCCATAAAATGAAGGCAACCAATCTTGCTTTCAAAATTATATTGAACATCTGTTATATGCTAACCTTGGTATTAGGTACTATATTAGGTACTGCATTATGGTGAGATATGACGATATTTAACAATTGGTTCCTGCCCTACCAAGGAAAGGAGGGATCAGATTTCATTCTAATTGGTAATAGGAAGGGTCACTTGTACAATATAGACATTTATTTCAAAGGAAAAGTTATGTGGAACCTGAAGTATCAAGTAAGTTTTGTGGAAAAACCATTATAATAAGCTTTAAAAGGAAGGGTTTTTATAGTGGGAAGTAGAAATGTGAGGAGTTAAAAGATATCCTTGTTAGAAAAAAGAAGATCAGAAATGGAATAGATATGGTGAAATATAAGTTTTTATTTTAAAACTGTGTGTTACACAGTTTAATTTTAGAAAGGATTCAGTTGAAATTTTAGAAAGTAGAAAACATGAAAGAAATAAACAATATAAAGTATTAAAAGCTTGAATACAAATTTAGGATACCCTGTAATAGGCAAAACTTACAATGAATCAAAAGAAATAATCAAAATAGCACTCATAAAAATGCCTTTAAAAACATATATATTTGAATAAACACTTAAAGCAATAGACTCACACACAAAAACAGCTAAATAAAACCTAAAAGAAAAAATGTTTACAACTCAAAGTAATACCTCAGTTAAAAACAAATTTTAAAATGTTTCAAGCATTTATATTTTGTGTTATTCAAATAACAAGCCATTAGAGCAGATATCTATATTTCTCTGTGAAACTTTGTAAATCACATGATAAAATAGTGTCACGGGTTAAATTTGTTATCTCATTATAGGGAGTAACAGTAGGGTCCCTAGTTTTTATTAAAAATACTAGCTTGCTGCTATAGTAACCCAATGTGTCTCAATTATGAAGCTATCTTGGTGAGTATGAAATTAACCCATGTCACTAAATAAAATGTCAAAAACTCACCAATGACTTAGAATTAAAAATGGAAATAGTTACTTTCTTGTTACTTAAGTAGACAGCATGAAAACATGATTAATCATAGCTTTATGGGGAAAAATTAAAATCATTTGAAAACTTCTCTGCAATTGAAATGCGCCAACATGCCTCTATTCAACCTGATCATGTTCAACTGCAGTAACTGTTGACCCATGCAAAACATAAGTATTATCTTACCCTAAACCTCTTAAATCCTCTCCTAAAATGTTATGCTTCTTTGAGATGAACCTGACAGAATTTGACACCCACAAAAAAAGCCCTGTATGGTAGACATGTACCAAGCATCATTGTGACATTCAGAGATATTCTGGTTTTGGCAACTGTTTGAGATTTGTGGCTCTCCTTTGACATTTACAAAGACTCTGAGACTATTTCTGAAAAGGGCTGGAGCATTTCACTAGATATGTGGTTTCTTCAAAGGCCACTTTCAGATTGAACTATCTCTGAAACTCTGAATGGAAGTAATGTGAGACTGAACTAGAAAAGTATTTATTTTACTTCAAATAGAAAGAGAAAAATAAGCAGATGACTGATTCTACAAAAAAAAAGTGAAAAATAAAAAGTCAACATATTCTTCATTGCTTTGTCTTGGTTATTGCTAAAGTTCCCAAATTACCTTGTTTGTGTTTTGTGGGATAACATTCATCACACAGAATAATTCACATGGCTCTTTGGGTACACTAATACTAATTACTACACCTTTTTGGGATGCATTCTTGTTATTGTTTTATTATCAGTTAAATTATTGCAGAAATTTGTTTTGCCTTGAGGTGCTGATTTAAAGTTAGAAATCTTTGAACTTCCTTGCTGTATGTACCACATTTTGGAAGTTTATATGAGTATTGAGATTTGAAAATACAGACAGAAGTCCCGAGAGGATGTATAACGCAGTGAGCGAGCAGGTTAGACTTTAGGCCACATTTTTACCTCTTTCAGCCTTGGTTTTTTGATCTGTGAAAGTAAGATTTTGGTAATTAATAACTACTATGCATTTAATTAGGTTTAGCAATTAGTGAACATGTAGATCTTTCAAAATACACACACAACACATATGCATGTGTATGTATGTATAAACTTGCACTATAATGAAAGCTAGTGAGGTACATATTTACAAAGATGCTAAGTTGGGTGTCTGTTGTTCTTGAGAGACTGACTGTTCTCTTTCTAGCAGAGACAGTACCTATGAATGCATGGTATTTAGCAGTGTTGCAGAGCCGGATCACATATCATTCCTGACCCCCCTATACTCAGACCCCTCTTAAGTGGATGCTACCTAGAGCTAAAGTTATTCTAGGTCCACTTGGTGATAAATTTAATCTATAGTGGGGCTTACAAAATCAGATAATATATTCTAATAAGTCTCTACTGGGTCAGACAATATTTGAACCAGACTATATTTGAGAGGTAAATGTTTCTTCCAGTATAATGCTATGAGTTTCTCTCCTACTCTGTTAACTACTTTAAAGGATAATGATGGCAGGTCAAGGCTAGTTTCATCCACCCATATACATTTATGTATATGAATTGTGCATCTGAATGAGATGTATATTCCTCTTCTCATAGGATTTTCTCTATGTCCTTGCAAATACTCCTGCCTATAGGCAACAGTGTGCTGTCTACACTGACCATTTCCATTAGCTTTTGGATTTTAATGACTTTACAGTGTTCTAATTGGATAATCTCCTAGGTGAGAACCATGAAAATAAAGTACTAGGGCTATTGAGTTATTGCCACATAAAAAAAATTTGAAAACGGTGGCAGGTTTAGTTTTCACCTCTCAGATGCAGATGTTAAAACGAGCATACAAACAGAAGTAGTATATTTGGGAAGAAAATCAAGAAACATCATTAGAGGAGTAGATGAGTAAAATTGGAAGTAAGCCCCCATCAATAAAGGATGCATCATCAAGCAAATCACCAAACCACTGTGGGTAGCTGGAGCTTAGTCTTGCTAGTTGCTAACACAAAACACAGCACAGGATAAGAATTGTGGCCACAGCTGACGTAACAGAATTATCTCAATTCATTAACACCTGAGTATATGGAAATAGACCAGAATTCTAGAAAAATACAAAGACTTTATCTGTCTATCAAAATACTGAAACGGCTTCCAGAATAAAAGAACAAATTCTCTTTTCTTGAGGTCAATTTAATGACTTACATCAGAAAAGCTGGAGGAAAATCCCCAGCAATATTTGCAAAACCCTGCAAAATATATTATTTGATCTAAAGAAAGAAAAACGGTTCTACCTTTAAAACTCTTTAAAGCTCTTATCTTGTCATCACTGCAGTAAGTCAGAGAGATTTAATATTATAGAAAGTGAGCAAAAAACAAATAACAATAAAGAAAAAGAGAGATTACATTATTTGATTTAAATTCACAAATACATTATATAAATTAAAACAAAATTAAAAAAATAAAAGACCTAAGTCAAAAATATCACTGTGAAAAATATCTGACAATATATGGGGGAGGGGAGTAGATAGAGATGACGTGCTTTTCGGGAGTTATTGTTTGATGTAACTCTTTTAAAAACGTTATCAGTTTGGCTGAACATAAGTAATATGTAAATGACTAACTATATTTTGTTAGTACTCACCACGGTTATCATATCTAGAGCACTGAGTCTAGAAATGCATGTTCTTGTATGTATTTTCACCTAAGATATCTATCCTACCTCTACCCCTTCATATGAAGCCAACCCTCCCACAGACTATGCCCCCATAGGCATACAAATATCTGGTACTTTAATCTGGCCTTCAGTGTCAGTTCCTAACCTTTTGGCTTTGGCAAACATTTCAGACACTGTTTGTGATCTCTGGCTTTTCACTACTTTAAAATTTGTATGATTAACTAATTTTAGTATCTTTCATATTTTTGGATGAAAGATCTCCACTTTTCACTAGCCTCTCCAGTCAACTTAATCTCTTTATTTAAAGAATAGAGTGCATAGAGATATTTGACTGGGCATCCAAGTTAACCAGGACTCCCCTTTACTATGCAAAAACAATAGGAAGAAAAGCAGAAACACATAGCAGCATCACACAGTGGGGGGCAAGTCAGGTGACAGCACTGTGTGTACTGCCCAGGTCATCAGTACTCCCACTTTTTGAGGATTCACAAATGATTCCTTTCTTTTTCTATAAATGCAGTTCTGTATGAAATCCCTGACTAAGGGGCAGACCATGTGATGAAGGCCTTCCTTAATTAGATGGTATTAGAATATGACAGATGCGTGGGGTGTTTGCATTCTCAAGTGCTAAGGAGAATTGATATTTTCTTCTGATCTTGGAGATTAGACTATAGGACATTGGGAGCATTGAGAAACACACAAATTGTCCACAACCTCAACTCTGCTTTAAAAATAATCAAGGCAAACTAATGGGTTTTAATGCAACAGTGTATAAAAAGCTTCTGTTATATGGATTTTTAATCCAATATCACAATCAGCCTTTATCAAGTTTGATGTAACATTAAAGCCACAGAAAAGTTACTAAAATATTATTATTTCCAATTTTATGTATGTATTTATATGTATGTAAACGAATACACTTATAATGTCTGATTTATGTGCTTCATTTAAAATAATACAGCACAAGTGATTACAAGCAGAAACAATTATGAGACGTTAGTAACTGTGGGTTTTGCCATTTAAAGTAATGGCAAAAACCTCAATTACTTTTGCACCAACCTAATATTAAGGAAGTTCTGTAAATATAACTAAATGACACATTTGTCACTACATTTATTTGACTTTGAATACATACTTATGTTAAAATATATTCTTTATTTAACAAGTAATAGTCATATTTTATAGTTAAATTAATTCATAAATGCTTTTTAAGTGTTGTTAGTTTTAATTTCCAATACAATATGATAGGAAGTGGCCTTGTTACTGCAGGGTGATGGTGAAGGATCTGACTCTCCTCTAGCCCCCCTTTGACACCACCCTTATGGGATGCGGACAGGTGCTTTGTTACCACTGCTGCAAGTAAAATTACAGTCTCTCCACGTGGTCTACATTGACACTGTGAAAAGACAATCTCCTTAATATAAAAAAAAAAAAATGAAAGTCTCGGTTCTTTAATTGTGCTTCTCTGACATACACTGGAGGACAGATCAGCATGCCTCATTTAAGCCTGGAGAGGGTGGTTGTCCAGTTTTTCCTCTCTGCTTTTGCTAATTGAGGTAGGACTGCAATTTTTTTCCGTGTTGTTTTACTGATATACAGAGGTACTTGTGGTAAGTTTTCTGTGTTGCTTGGTTGCCCTTTCCTAGAAGACTGGAAATTTATTATCACTATGCCCATGGTGTTTCTGTATTTATAATTTCTATTGTCTCCAGTCTGGGTTAAGGGACACAAAAAGAAAATCCAGGGGACTTGCACTGTGTCCTTCCTCATCTCCTAAGGTCTCAAGTACTGGAACCACATGAATTTCCATTAATGAAAACATACACAGATGATGAAATTAGAAACAGTAAATGGGTCTGGTTACATCTCAATTTCCTAACAAAAAAATCATAAGAAGTCCTTCCAAACAAATTTGTAAATATATCATGTAATTATTTTGTTTGAAAAAAATTATATTTAAAATAGAGCAAAGTTAAAGTATGTCTTCGATGCCATAGAAAGTTTACTATAGGAAAATTAATAGTGAAGTATTTTCCAAAATGTAAAATGAGTCACAGAATTAGTTTGGGTAGAAATCAGTTAATCATCAAATGTCTCAGATATCAATAACTTTTCTGTCACATTGACTTTTCATGTTAATAACTTCATCAGTCAATAAGAAAATAACAATATGTTCACTTTGACTTGTATAAAAGTTTGGATATTGATTATGTGTGTGACAAATACACGTTTATACATTGTAGCTAAAAAAGAAAATGGTAAAATTCCTGAAGTTTCGTAGAAGATTGTGAGTGCAGATAATAAATGTACATTGATCCTTCTGTAGAAACTTGCATATCTAGATACTTCTATCAATATTTGATCAAATGTTGCACTACTTGTCGTTGAGTTTTTCTTTTAAGGCTCTAGAAAAGTGTGGTAATATGTCTGGTTGTAGTTATTTTCCTGAAACCAGTGTTTGTGAAAAAAATCAAATTGGATTTACGTAACAGACAAAACAACAGTATTAGTCATGTGCAGGTCAAAGAATAATGCTCATTTGCTGTGTTTCCAAGGGGACTTTTTATAGTATACTGAGATGTCATAGGACAGTGAATAGTTAGAAATTAATATGCCAAACAGAAAGACTCATTTTATTCTAGATACTTAAAAATTCATCTCCTATTGCAATTGAGCAGTCAGAAGCTATTGTAGCCAGAAAAACACAGCTGTGAAAATAACACTACTTTGGATAGAGGGCTTCATTTAGAAAAATATAAGACTGCAACATCACAGAGTCTGAGCCAGGAGTGTACCACTCTCTCAAGGAACAAAAGAAAATGTGTATTTTCTTAAATACATTGCATCATAATACGTGTATTAAAAAGACTAAAAGACATAATAAAACCTTCAAATCACCCATGTAGATGTCATGTAAAAAGTCCAGGTGGGGTACCAAGAATAAATATTCTGTAGCCAGAATCATTATGCATTTCTTGTGGACTCAGAATCAATTCCACAAGCAATCTACTTTAATGTAGGCATCGATAAATTTTTCTGTAAAAAGGATCAGAGAGTGAACATTGTCAACTTTTCAGGACATATGGTCTCTGTGTTAACTACTCAACTCTGCAGTTGTAGAGTGAAAGCAGTCATAGACAATGTGCAGATATTGAGTGTGGCTATATTTCAATAAAACTTTGTGAATGCTGAAATTTGAACTTCATATAATTTTCACATGTTACAAGATAATTATTGTTTTAATTTCTTTTCATGAATGTAAAAATGTAAGACCATTTTTATCTCCTGGGCTCTGCAAAAACAAGAGATAAGCCATGTATAGCATACAGGGTATATTTTACTGACCCCTGCTTCAGGATGTATTATCATTTAGATTAAAAAGGTATATATGGGTTGCATTATCCAGGAAAAACCTTTGTCATAGTTATATCATCCAATTTAAAACCAGTTTATATTTGTTATGCAAAAATGCTTCTACTGGATGGATGACACCTGCTTATTTTTGACAACTGTGGTTCTTAGATGTTTTAAAAGAAAAATCACAGGTGGTAAATCCTTGTAGTATTATATCTTTGTGAGGCTTAATCTGTCTACAAATGAATCACATTACGGATTCATTCCTGAAATGTTGACTATGGAAAACAACAACAACAATAACAACAAGAGATAGCTTATAAGATGGGATATGTATTCTACGTAGGCTTTAAGAAGTGATGGTATCATAATCATGTCTTAACACACAAAAATTCATTTTAGCACCAGTTGCTTCACCCAGGGCAGATAATGACAGCAAGAAAGATCCAATAACCATAGAAGAACTGGCTCTAGACACGGGAGAGTCAGGTAGGAAGTTTCACATTTGTTTGATTTGATTTGAATCTAATATACATTATTTTTCTGATTGTTGAAGACATGCATACATAGTAAAGAAAATTTATACATAAAAACTGTGTAAAAATGAAAATTCTTCATAATTCCAATAGTGACAAATAACACAGTTAATGGTAGTTTTAACTGTTTGTTACTTACCTGTCTAGCTATCTAACATTTCTCCAAGTATTCTGATTACACTAACTTTACAGTTTTGAAAGAACTTATTTTCACTTTCCAATATTTAAACATTTACTTCTATTTATAAATACTGCATCATACTTTCTTATCTATGTATTGTATCTCTTATACATGTACAGTAGTATATAACTATGACCTTATTTTTGAACAAAATATTAATTTCTAATATACTGTTGTTTAAAATAACTGCAATATAATGTAATACATGGATATATACATAAATCTTCTGCTTTAACTGGGTTATTTATTTAGTATGTATTCATTGGAGAGGAGTATATGATTGAAAGACTAATAAAACTTTCAATTTTTCTCATACTTATTAAAATTTACCATTCAAAAATCTATATACTAATTATGTTCTCATTAAAATTGGATAATAGAATTGTGCCTTTGCATTCTTTTTTCCAATCTGATAAGAAAATATTGTATATCATTTTTGTATTTACTGAATGCTTGAAAAAATCGAATTTTTTTTTCTTTTCTAAAGATATATATTTCTTATATATCCAAAAGGACCTTTACAATTTCAACAAATTATGCATGCATTATATTTTAAAAATTGTAGAATACTATAAGCTTATATTGGTCTGGTAAGTCTACAAACATGTTAATACATTAAGAATCCTAAAAATTTAAAGTACTTGACAGACAGTATGTAGTTTTATACTGCTACTGTATTTCGTTTAGGGATTGTTCAAAATTATTTTGACACTCACTCTAAGTCACTTTATCTTTAAGTTTTATGAATGAGACTGAAGCAAACACCAAAAAACAAATAAACAAACATAAAGGTGATCATAAAAAGAAAACTCCTAGGCTAAGGAATCTTCATCAGCCATAAATCTTATCAAAATACATTTAAATTTAACAGGAAGAATATATCAGATGCCTGATTGACATCTCTGCCAAACATCAATTTGTGTGTTCCTTTTACATGCCTAATACTAAAGCAGATCAAAAAATGCTGTCAAATAACACTAAGGCTGTTGAAGCTGGTTCTAAAGATGGCTTTAAATCTCATTAGCAGCTACTGACAAGAGGGGCACTGAACCACATTAATTGTAGATGTAATGTATGAGACAAAAGGTCAGGCATGTAGAGGGAAGTCCACAGTCTGATTTAAAGATGAAACAGTAGCAGGCTGCTAACTTTGGCTATTCCTTTTCTTCAGAAACTGTGTTCTCTAAGATAAGCAGAATTAAATATAATATTTAACCAAACTTATTTTTTTAATGATTAAATATCTAGATTACTGAGCTGAATTTATATTTCTAAAAATAAAAGTTGGCCATAGTGGTTGTGGTGATAATGATGATGACGATGTGTGTGTGTGTATGTGTGTGTGAAAGAGAGCAAATATGTTTTTTTGTGTGTATGTATTGTTGTCTCTGTATAAAATCTGGCTTTATGGTTATTATACTGTATAATTTTTATCTAGTCTATGCATTTAAGTTACTTTAAAAACCTTCTGTTTCATACATAAAGCTAAAATGTTAGCTATTTGATGGGCCATGTTAGAATGTGAAATTTCCCTTCTTTTACCATAATGCTTTTCGATTGCCTGTCTGAAAAGAGGATGAAAAAAAATAAAAGAAACCAAAAGAAAAGGTTAGTACTTTTGATTCAAATGGTCTTAAGAGTGGGTACTTCTAAATTTAATTGAGCGATATAATAACAAACAAGTTTATGTGAGAGATAGAAAGCCCAGTAATTGATTTTAAAATGACAACTGCTTTATGTGAAGTTTGAACGTTTAGAAATGCTAATATTTCTGGTATAAAACTCCTTAAACACTCTAAATGGTAACCAAAGGAAGTAAAATATCATTATACCATTTAAAACTTTTAAAATGAAAAAAGACAATGTTTATTTTATAATCTGTTATATTTCTTTCAATGGCTTTTTAAAAATAATTGATTTTTACACGTATATCTTGGTAATAACTGTAAGGTTACAGGAACATATTACTTGATTTCTTTCTTCTTTCAACAGTGTCCTATCATGATTTAGTTGTGGTCCATTCATAGATTCTTAAATACATTTAGACATTTTGATCTAGTTTTAGTTACACATTTTGTTAGAAATTGGCTTATTTAAAAATAATATTGTATTGCATTTATATCCAAATATCTTAATATAGTTTCAGGAGCTTTAATTAGAATTTACATTTATACACACACACACACACACACACACACACACACACACACACACACACACATATATATATATGATAAAAGAGAATGAGTCTGTAATGTAAAAGCAGTTTAAGTTTGTAGTGATACAGTAATTGAGGTATCTAATTTTCAGGAAAAAGTACTTGGAGTTAACCAAACAAAAAAGATGTTGAATCTGCTATACTAAACCTACAAATATTGCTGAAAAATTATTGAAGAATTAAGTGGAGAAATATACCATATTTAATGATTTGGAAACTCAATGCTTTTTAAGACATCAATTTTCCCAAATTATCTATAGATTCAGTGAAATTACAATAAAATTTTGGGCAGGTATTTATTTAATGTAGTAACTGACAAGCTAATTATAAATTTGGACACATAGAGTGGAACAACACACACTGGTCCATTTCAGAGGATGAAAGGTGGGAGGAGGAAGAGGATCAGGAAAAATAAGTAATGAGTACTAGGCTTAGTACTTCGTTGATGAAATTATCTGTACAACAAACCTATATGACACAAGTTTACCTAAGTAACAAGCCTGAGCTTGTACCCCTAAACTTAAAAGTTAAATAAATAAACACATAATTTTTGTAGAAGTATAAGTAATCTAGGTTAGAGAAAGAAATTATAAAGAATAAAGTTTATATAATTAATACCTTTTAATTTCAAGAGTTATTACAATGCTACATTAATCAAGACAACATGTTATTGGCAAAAAGACTGACATATAGGTCAGTGGAACAAAATAGAAAATATAGAAACATACAAATTACATATTTTCAGATGATTTTTAATAAAAGTACTAAAGAAATTCAAATGGAAAAGGGAAGCCTTTTTAAGAAATGATGCTGGAACAACCAGATATCTGCTGTATAAAAAGAGGAGAGAGACATTAACCCATCCTTCACATCCTTACTCAAAAAATTAATCTCTAAATGCCCCAAAGATTTAAAATTAAAATCTAAAACCATACAATTTATAAAAGAAAGCAGAGGAGAAAATCTCTGTAACTTTGGCTTTCTCTCTCAATAACAAAAATTACGGCCTCAAAACGATCATTAATATCAAATCAATTACTAGCCATTCCATAATGCAGTAGAATGGCTCAATGGCATGGGAAAATAGGTGGCCAAATGTGACTGATGTTATGTTTATTTTTCCCCTTTGTGAAACACAGAATTCTAACAAATAGGCCTTGTTTATTTTAATGTCTTATTTATCTTAAATACGTAGGCCTTATTTATTTTAATATCTGATGTTAAATATACTCTATCTGAGTTTTACCACTAGTTATGCAGTGTTGCATATGCATAAACTTGTTAGCGATTTGAGCTAACTGTAGTAAATTGTTACCTTAAGTGTCAGTCTCCTCTTCATTGAAGTTAGATACCACCTTTTACACAAGGTGCCTGGGACAGTGATTAATACATTATACATGTATTTAATATATATAATATATTACATATAATATATTATACATGTTCAATAAGTATTTTATTACAAAAATATATTGTAAATTATATCTGTGATTTTTCATTTTTTTACTGTCTATTCTTAGATTTAAAATGTGTTTATTCTTTACTCCATTTTCTTTTTTTAACTTTTTTGCCACTAATATTTTTATTTTTTAAAATATCTAGATATCTAAATCTAGATATCTCATTTACAAAATCTAAAATATCTAGTTAATCTATCTTTCAGTAAACAGATATTTGAATAATATAAATTTAAAAAATTGCCTATTTCCAGGGAATATAGAGAGGTTGGTCTTTAATGTGAATAAATAAATGCATTTCAAACCAAAAGAAAAAAAAGGTTCTTTGGTATTGTAACTTTTGACTGAAATAGGTAGTTTAAAAAAAAAGGCAAATGAGAAAGAAGTAAATAGAATAAATGTGTACATGTATTCAGGTTTTTAAGAAACTCAGTCGTTTTTATTCGCTCTTTTGGCAGTTCCAGTAGGATTATTTAGGTTTGAGTTAAGTGTATAATCTAACAAAATAATAAGAGATAAACACATTTCACTCTTGGTATTTCAAGAAGAGGACTATATTAATAAATTATCATAGGATCTCTGGCTTTTCTCTTACACTTTACCTTTCCTTATCAGTGGTGGAGCAAGTTATCCTATACAAGCTGTATTAGTAATAAAGATGATATTTATGTTCTTCATTTATTCTACTTGAATGAGTTGGTTCAGAACTTAAGCAGGGAAATGTGCTGTTACATTGAACATATTCATACCGTAACACATGTGCAGGAAGATGGTAGGGCTCCAGCTACACAGAATAATTTTAGAGCTAGTAGGAATGAGAATCAATGTTTATATCAATCATTATTTCACAAACAAGGAATGTACTGTCTAAGCAGGTTAATTAACAGTTAATTTGTGGTAGAAGTATGCACTAAAACTCCAATTTGTTGACCATCAAGGTCATGGGTGTTAAAGACTCCTTCCAACTGGCTGTATTTGAATATTCATGACCTACAAAGCCAGAGGACCTCAATTTTATATGTAGTTCCTTCTCTTATTACTTGTTATACTATTCAGTTTTCTTTTCTGCAAAATGTAAAAAGCATTCTGAAATAGAATGGTCTGTATATGTGAACAGTCATCTGTAAACTGAACTGTTGAATAAATATCCAAGCTCATTATATTATCACACTATAACTCTTTTTCTAATCTGCATCATAAAGAGTAAAATATGAACTCTTAGTAAATATTTTAAAATATTAGTAGCATTTAGCAACGTTAAGATAATAAAATGTAACCAGACAGTTAATTTTAACTACATAAGAGTTTAAAATACATTCATTTGAAAGGTATAAAACTTACGATAAACTTTATGATAATGTGAAATTAATATTTGTTATATAAGATGAATCTAAAGCTTTACTAATATGCCATGTAGATGTTTTCCTAGCTAAACAAATAAGCAAAAAAAATCCTTATTCACCCTGCCATTCATTTTAGATGCTATCTTTTCTGTCCCTTTTTTCACCTTCTAAACAAATTTCATTTGCATTAATTCAGCATTACCTTCCATTTAGTTACTATATTTGACAGTTAATTTAGTAACAAACACAAATCACAAAAAAATTTCTCTTTAAGTAAAAATAATGTCTTTAATTTGTTGTATTCTCGATTAAATAGTTTGAGAAAATAGGCAGTTTCAAATGAAGAAATGTTATTTATTCACTTTTTTAATTTCAATTTTTATTCTAGATTCAGGGAATATGTGGCAGGTTTGTTACATGGGTATATTGTGTGATACTGAGGTTTGAGGTAAAATGGCTGATACACCCTTCTTTCTACCTATCAGTGTTACCTATGGGATGATTGTACTGATGGTGTCTCTGCATGCATGATTACATTCCTAATCCCAACTTTACTTTATAACCTCACATCAAAGTAAAATAATTTTATATAAAGGAAAGAAAAAAACTGGATATATTAACTTAAAGCAAGTCTTTTCTTACAAAGTGAGATTCTACTAAGAAGTATTTTTTTAAAAATCTAAAAGGCAAGTTACTATATTTATTTTGTGAAGTATTCGATCTAATTTTGATAATTTGTTGTAATTTTCAGAGCATTCTCATCAATATTTTTTATTTAAAATTAGACCCCAAAGTATGCATAGTACTTATTTCTAAGATGTTGAAAATTGACAAACAACATTCAAAACTGGGTTCAAGCCCATAATGTAAGTCATATCAAATTTAAATTGCTATTGAATATTAATGTTGTAATCACGCAAGTTAACTGTAATTATTTCAAATGGGGCCAATAATTTTTCGTCAATTTTTATTTATTCAATTTTAACGAATATTTATTGAATGCTTACTATGTTAGAAATTTACCTCTCCTGAAAATGACGATATCGTAGTCTCACTGATGCCATCACTATTCTTGAACCATAGGCAAAGAATCAGGAAAACTGCTACTTTAGGTTAATCAACATATCAAAACTGTATATAATATTGGGGCATACACTGAGATTCTTGAAATACTAATACCCAAGTTGATTTCTGTTTTGGCCATTTGTTGTCTCATTTATTGACTCTTTGTGCTACCCTAGAGGGCCAGAAATGGCCGCTACATAGAGTCAGTTCATAGAGTTCTTCACATAACTCTTGTGGAACTCACCCTGTATTTCTTCTCTTTTTCTTGTGGCATGAAATGAGGTAAGAGGGGCAGTAAGGGCCAGAACAAGCTGAGCTTTCTAGGCCATCCTATATATGTCTCTGGACTGAAATTGGAATTAACAGGAAATGGCGGCCAGGCACGGTGGCTCACGCCTGTAATCCCAGCACTTTGGGAGGCCGAGGTGGGCAGATTACGAGGTCAGGAGGTCGAGACAAGCCTGGCCAACATAGTGAAACCTGTCTCTACTAAAAATACAAAAATTAGCCAGGCGTGGTGTCGCACGCCTGTAGTCCCAGCTACTCGGGAGGCTGAGGGAAGAGAATTGCTTGGGCGGAGTTTGCAGTGAGCCCAGATTTTGCCACTGCACTCCAGCACGGGTGACAGAAAGAGACTCCGTCGCAAAAAAAAAAAAAAAAAAAAAAGGAAATGGACTGCAGGGAAGAACAAGGTACCTGAGGCATCTCATCAGTAGGCTAATGAGAAAAGTGACTTAGCAGCAGTTCTAAAACAGCCTACACAGTTACTTCTGGAATTTGCTGCCAGAAAAATATTATTGTATCCTGAATTCAAGTTCTGTGATTGCCACGTAAGCAGAGCAATAGAAGCAGAATACCAAGTACAAAACAGTCCATCAAATGTTTCCTCTTTTATGCTTCGCTAGCACCCACCCACTTTGTTTATGTTTTTATACTATCCATCTTATATACACCCTCAGGCAAATGTGCACATATCCCAGAATAGTAATACACAAAGTGCTACAGTACACATAATTATTCCATCACAGCTTAAGTTGATATTTTTAGAGTGTAGAAAAGAATGTGAAAGATTCCTCTCCCGCAGATGAAATGTTCTTTGGTACTCAGTCTTGAAAGATTATTAGCGCTAATAAAAACTTTATAACTAGGGAAACTTCTATAAACTATCCCATCTATATAGTGTTTGGCAGATATATAGAAGAATAAATTTTAGAAATTCCAGGAGAAGAAGAGAACTTAAAAACATTATAGTGTACCACATTGATGTCAAGATGCTTAACCTGGAGGCGACATCCAAACATGCACCATCACGTTGGAATTATTAGGTGAAATTTGTGATTTTGTGGAGGACAGGACAAGTAACATTCTTAGAAAAGCAATGTGAGGTTCAAGAACCTCTAGCTTCAGAACCTCTGAGGCAGGAAAAGAGAAATGTTTGATTCAAACATATTTCTCTCCTCCTATTTCTCCCCTCCCTTTACAAGGAGAATATGCACAGATTAAACATGAAAATAGCAATTGAAGAGAAAAATGTCTATTGTTGAATAAGTTGAGATGAGATTCGACAATGAACAAATATTCACTGAGCCTCTTTTCTGTTTCAAGGCTCTGCACTAGGCACCAGGGATACATGAAAAAAAATGACACACACAGTTCCTGCTCTGATAGATTTTCTAGAGTGCAGACAAGTAAGATGTTTGGATAATATTCTGTGATAAATGCTAGCTTGATTTTCAGAGTATTCGAGGAGCACTTAGTCTCACATGAACTTTAGAGGAAACGGGAGATGGAGGGATTGACTGTTTACCCTACCTTGGCCCAGTCTTCTTCTATAATTGCAGCCTATTCCTGAATTTTGGTCTACCTTGAATCTTTTGCCACACAGATATACAGATATTCATATGCAAACATAAATACATTTCAGCCTGTGATAGCTTTAATTAGAATCTATAAGAAGGGCTAGATCTCATTTGCCTTATTTCTCTCCCTCATTCTGCCCTATACATAATATCAGAGGTCATTAGAAGATAATATCTATTTCTTAGAACCCCATTTCAGTGCATCCTGTCCCTGTCTTTTTCCCTGCATTTTAAACTCTGCTGTAGCCCTTTCTTACTATGTACACATAATTTATTTTAATATGTGTTCTGCATAATCTCATCTAACATGATTTGCTGTGTGTTTTCTATATGCCAGTAATTTCTTTTTTTTAACTTTTATTTTAGGTTCAGAGGTACATCGGCAAGTTTGTAATATAGGTAAACTTGCATGGTGGAAATTTGGTGTACAGATTACTTCATCATTCAGGTAACAAGCCAAGCACGCAATAGTTGTTTTTTGTTTGCTTGTTTCTTGTTTTTTCTCTGTTTCCTCCCATGCTCCACCCTTAAGTAGGCCCCAGTGTCTGTTGTTCCCCTCTTGTATCCATGTGTTCTTATCATTTAGTTCCCACTTATAGGTGAGAACATGCAGTATTTGATTTTCTATTTCTGTGTTAGTTTGCTAAAGATGATGGCCTCCAGCTCCATCCATGTTCCTGCAAAAGGCATGATCTAGTCCTTTTATATGGCTGCATAGTATTCCATGGTGTATATATACCAAATTTTCTTTATCCAGTCTGTCATTGATGAGCATTTAGGCTGATTCCAGATCTTTAATATTGAGACTAGTGCTGCATTGAAATTGCACATGCATGTATCTTTATGGAGAACAATTCATATTCTTTTGGGTATATAGCCAGAAACAGGATTGCTGGGTTGAATGGTAGTTCTGTTTTTACCCCCTTGAGGAATCACCACACTGTTTTTCATAGTGGCTGAACTAATTTACATTCCCACCAACCGTGTGTAAGTGTTCCTTTTTCTCCACAATTTCACAAGCATCTCTTATTTTTTTCACTTTTTAATAATAGCCATTCTGACTGGTGTGAGATGGTATCTCAGTATGGTTTTGATTTGCATTTCTCCAATAATCAGTGATACTGAGTTTTTTCATATGATTATTGGCCACATGTATGTCTTCTTTGGAAAAGTATCTGTTCATGTCTTTTGCCCATGTTTTATGGGATTCTTTGTCTTTTTGCTTATTAGTATGTTTAAGTTCCTTAGAGATGTTGGATATTAGATCTCTTTCAGATGCATAGTTTGCAAATACTTTCTCCAAATTTTTTGGTTGTCTGTTTACTCTGTTGATAGTTTCTTTTGCTGTGCAGAAGCTCTTAAGTTTAATTAGATTCCATTTGTCAGTTTTTGCTTGGGATTGCGTTTAGCTCTTAATAGTGAAATCTTCACCCACTCCTATGTCTAGAATGGTATTGAACATGTTGTTTTCAGGGTTTTGGGTTTTACCTTTAAGTCTTTAATCCATCTTGAGTTGATTTTTTAATAAGGTGTAAGGAAGGGATTCGGTTTCAGTCCTGTGCATATTTGGCTAGCCAGTTATTCCAGCACCATTTATTGAATAGGGAATTTTTTTCCTATTGCTTGTTTTATCAGTTTTCTCAAAGATCAGATACATATAGGTGTATGGCCTTATTTCTGGTTTCTCTATTCTGTTACCTTGGTCTATGTGTCTGGTTTTGTAACAGTAACGTGCTGTTTTGGTTACAGTAGCCATGTAGTATAGTTTGAAATGGAGTAACATGATGCTTACAGCTTTGTTCTTTTTGTTTAGGATCACACTGGCAATTTGGGCTCCCTTTTGGTTCCATATCAATTTTCAAAAAGATTTTTCTAGTTCTGTGAAAAATGTCATTGGCAGTTTTGTAGGGATAGCATTGAATCTGTAAATTGGTTTGGGCAATATGACAATTTTAATGATATTGATTCTTCCATGAGACGGAATGATTTCCATTTGTTTATGTTATCTCTGGAGCGTTTTATAATTCTCATTGTAGAGAATTTTACCTCCTTGGCTAGCTGTATTCTTAGGTATTTTATTCTTTTTGTGTAGTTGTGAATGGGATTGTGTTCCTGGTTTGGCTCTCAACTTGGATATTGTTGCTAAATACGAATACTAGCCATTTTCGTACATTGATTTTGTATTCTGAAACTTTACTGAAGTTTTTATCAGCAGTAGTAGTTTTTTAGGTGTGGGAACGAAGGGATTTTCTATTATACTTATAGAATCATGTCATCTCCAAACAAGAATGGACTTCCTCTCTTCTTATTTGGATGTCCTTTATTTCTTTCTGTTGTGTGATTGCCCTGGCCAGGACTTCCAATACTATATTGGAATATATAGGAGTGGTGAGAAAGGGCATCTTTATCTTGTGCTGCTTTCAAGGGGAATGCTCTGAGCTTTTTCCCATTAAGTATGATGTTGGCTGTGCATTTATCATAGATGGCTCTTATTTTCAGGTATGTTCCTTCAATACCTAGTTTATTGAGAGTTTTCATATGAATGAATTTTGAAATTTTGAAAACCTTTTCTGCATTTATTGACATTATCATGTAGTTATTTCTTTAGTTATGTTTATGTGATGAATCAAATTTATTGATTGACATATGTTGAACCAACTTTGCATCTCAGGAATAGAACTTACTTGATCATGTTGGAACAGCTTTTTGATGTGATGCTGGATTCAGTTTTCAAGTATTTTGTTGAGAATTTTCGCATCAATGTTCATCAAAAATAATGGCCTGAAGTTTTCTTTTTTTGTTGTGTCTCTGCCAGGTTTGGGTATGAGGATGATGCTGGTCTCAGATAGTGAGTTGGAGATAAGTCTCTCCTTCTCATTTTTTTGGAATAGTTTCAGGAGTATTTGTACCAGCTTTTCTTTGTACATCTGGTAGAATTTGACTGTGAATCCACCTAGTCTTGGGATTTTTGTGGCTGGCAGGCAATTTACTACTTATTCAACTTCAGATTCCAGGAATTTATTCATCTCTTCTAGGTTTTCTAGTTTGTTTGTATAGAGGTGTTCATAGTAGTCTCTGATGGCTATTTGTATTTCTCAGTGGACTCGATGGTAACATTCCCTATGTCATTTCTAATTGTATTTATTTGGGTCTTCTCTCTTTTCTTCTTTATGAATCTAGCTAACAGCCTATCTATCTTACTATTTTTTTTTCAAAAAAACAACTCTTGGATTTGTTGATCATTTGAATGATTATTTTTGTATCACAATCTCCTTCAACTCAGCTCTGATTTTGGTTATTTCTTGTATTCTGCTAGATTTGGGGTTGTTTTGCTTCTCTGATTATTTAGGTTGTGATGTTGGGTCATTAATTTGAGATCTTTCTAACTTTTTGATGTGTGCTTTTAGTGCTATAAATTTTCCACTCGACACTGCCTTAGCTGTGTCTCATGCATTTTGGTGTGTTGTATCTTTGCTCTCATTAGTTTCAAGTAACTTCTTTATTTCTGTGTTAATTTCATTATTTACTCAAAAATAATTCAGGAGTATGTTGTTTAATTTTCATGTAACTGTGCGGTTTTGAGTGATGTTTTTAGTGGTGATTTTTTTACTGCACTATAGACTGAGAATGTGCTGTTATGATTTTGGTTCTTTTGATTTTGCTGAGGATTGTTTTATTTCCAACTCTGTGGTCAATATTAGAGTATGTGTCATTTGTACACCAGAAATTTCTAAGGACTCTATATCCATTATTTTTTCTTGTACTCTATCCCTAACAAAAAGTACAGCATCTAACATATAGGCCCAATAAATACTTCTTGAATACTGTTATGAAACCATCCCAATTTGCAGTTGTAAAATTGACTTAGAGTGACTAAGTAACATGACTGTGTCCCAGAACTATAGCTCTCAGCTCCCTTTTCCAAGACAGTATCTGAGCTTCACTTGCTATCTCAGCTTTGTCAACTACTCTTGGGCTGTTCTTTTGCTGATTCTCGTATTTAAGTTCACACTATAACAACATATTATTCTTTTTTCCCATGATTTTGCTATTATAACTGTCAGAAATGTAATCATTTTTCTTAACGAAGCTATGTCTTCTTTCTTATAAACCAGGATATTGTTTTAAAATATTATCTGATAAATTTTCCTTCTCAATAGTTCTAGCAGCAGTTTCACCATTTAACTACACTAATATATCCAGTTGCAAACATACAATTTTGTTTTGCAAATGATGACATATAAATTAGAACTCACTTTTAAAAAAGACTCACAGTCATTGCCCTAGAGAAGAGAGTAAAATGAAGACTTTGGGGGAACCAAAACTTAAACTGTTGGCTTTGATTTTAAATAAAATCAAATATGATACCTGATTAAATGAAGCTAAAGGAATAAAATATAATAAATGATAAGCGTCAGTATAACTCATATATAAATTATCTTCAATTACATTTCTTTATTATAATTATTCACTATTTAAAACTTTTTAGTTATTATTAAAACTACTACTTATTTAGAATTATATCATTTGAGCTCTTTAAGGATGTGTATATACATATTTTATTCACAGCGTTTTTATAGACTGTGGCAATATAATTACTGATGAAAAATAAAATTTCACTAAAGGGAAAAATAAGTGTACCATAAGATTCTGAAGAAAGCTCGATTGTTTATGTATTTGATAGTTTCACTGGTATAAATTATAACAGATAACTTTACCACTCCAGTCAGACATTTTGTTTTAATTTTATTGACTTATATAATTCAAGGGTTATATATCTCTCAAGTACACAAAAAGTCCTAAAAGCTTATCAAAATTCTTCTTTCTAAGCCTCATCATCGAAATTCAATATCAGCAAGTCTGCTTGGGGGCTTAGAAATCTGATTATTAAACAGTCACAAGACAGAGGTGATGCTGATTATGTAATCCAAGGATCACACCTTTAAAATATAGAATAGTCAGTAGGGCCTGTGACAAGGAAAGAGAAGGAGAATTTTCTCATGACGACAGGACCAGTGAAATTAAAGTACAATAAAGTACAATGTAAAATGTACTTTAATTTCACTGGTCCTGTCATCATGAGAAAATTCTTTTTTCCTGAGTGTATTCTTCTTGCTTGAAATATGAAAGAATAAATCAAATATGAATTTTCAACACAAAATAAATTCTAATTAAGCTTTCAATTTTTAACCTAATCTATTGCATAACATTGTCCATTAAACACAAAATTAACATATAATCTTTTCCTCTTCCTGATCTTTTTTACTATAAAGAATGTGATTTCAAGTTGTATTTTGTCTACAAGAAATATGTCCCTGAATTTCCTAGAGTTGAATGTAAAACTATGAGGACTATGCATTTGTAGTCTTGTGATTTGGGGAGATTAAAAGTAATGATAAGACCTTTTGGAATTATTAAAATAGAAACACTTATTTCAAAAGTTCTAATTTATAGTATGCTACAGAAAAAAAAGATTTCTGATTAGCCCAGATTCTGTTTAGCTAAAATTAGATACTTTTTTTTTTAAATCAGGAAGAAGAAAAAATATAAAAGAGAAAAATAAGCGCAAGCTAAAAAAGGAAGTCTATCTAGCTTTCTAGATTTATCCTAGGGTAGTGTTCATTGAAGCTCAACTCCTACAATTACATCTGCAGAATGACTATGATAGCATGTATAAAATGACAATCCAGACATATTTTTATGAGCTTTTATCAAAGACAGCTTGACTTTTACCACAATACTTCATAAGGATACTAATGCTTATAAAAAAATCCATATTATAAAATCAAAAACAAAAGATAGTCATGTCAACTTTTACTTTAGCAGAAAAGACACTGGTTAACAAGAACTCTGGTAGTTCAATTGCTACTACTAATCACATTTAACCTTTATTTTGTGTTCCACTATGCCAAAATATACTTACAGTATGTTGGTATTATTATTAGAAAATATATCCATCAGTATGACAGAGAACGTGTGATTACCTACTTGCAAATTCCTCAGAATGAATAGGTATCAGGTCTATCACTGGAATTCAGGACTTCTTTCACTAAACCATGCTCCCAGGTTCAGAGTTAAAAAGGAATTTTTATCACCCTGTCTAATGTAGCTGTCTGTTAATTACAATTATCCCAAGAATGTTCACTTCTTTTACGTTATATATCATTATCTGTAATATTGTTCCTTATATATAACTAAAAGATGTATTCCATAAAAGTGGTACCATGTCCACTCTGTTCTCTGCTGTATTATCTTAAAGTATGAATGGGATAGAGTACACACTCATTATATCTGTTTAATGATTAAATAGCAAAGGAAAAGTCAGTTGTTCTTTTCTCTTTTTCTTTCTTTGTGTCTCTCTTTCTTTCTCTCCTCTTTTCTCTCTTTCTTTGTCTTTATCTCTCTTTCTTCTGTTTTTTAAATGAACAACTTAGCTTATTTCTATTCACAACCTAATTTGGCTTCTACAAAACAGTTACATGAAGATACATTAATTATGAGTATAGTGGAAGATATTCTTTTCTTTTCTTTTCTTCTCTTTTTTTTTTTTTTTTTTTTTTTTGATGGAGTCTTGCTCTGTCACCAAGCTGGAGTGCAGTGGAACGATCTCTGCTCACTGCAACCTCTGCCTCCCGGGTTTAAACAATTCTCCTGCCTCAGCCTCCCGAGTAGCTGGGACTACAGGCACCACCATGCCCAGCTAATTTTTGTATTTTTGATAGAAACGGGGTTTTACCATGTTAGCCAGGATGGTCTCGATCTCTTGACTTCGTGATCCACCCGTCGGCCTCCCAAAGTGCTGGGATTATAGGCATGAGTCACCGTGCCCGGCCAGAAGATATTCTATGAATATATCTGCTTACAGTTTTCAGGAATTGCAGAGTCTGAGATTTTATTCTGCTTGCAAGCTCACAATTTAGCCAGCCACTGTTTCATAGATGTTGACAGAAGCTGCAACTCCTGGGCCAGGGACAAAAGACTCATGGTGTAACAGACGGATGAGCTTCAAGTTCATATCAGTTCTCCTTGTACCCCACAAGTTATGTTCAGATATATATGAATAAATAATCTTAGTAATAAAGACTTCCAAAGTCAATATTGGTAAAATGCTTTTCAGATGAAAAATTGTTGACTGTCACTTCGCTAATAGTAATAATGTGCCTTACCCTTGTGGTGACGATCTAAACAAACACATGGAAAGAGAAACCAACTTCAAACAAACTTCATTTGATAAGAATATATCAAAACAGGACTGTAATCAGGGAATAGGCTGATCACCTGTGAATGGAAATCATTATTTAAAATGTTGGTCGTATAGATTCAACAGTGCAAAAAAAAGGAAAATTTTCAGTATCATATTTGTTATACAAACTTAACAGTTGGATTAAAATGAAAGGACAGTTATTAAAAGTAAGGGAACAGCTTATTTTTTTTTAATTCAAAATTGATGAGTAGGGACATTGCATGCCAGTACTCCTCAGAAGAAAGATCAAAGTTACCAGTGAATGGTCGGGATTTGAATGAAAAATGGAGAGAAGGCAGCCAGGAACTCTCAGAGAGCTTATGGGAAGAGGCTAGGGAGCAAAGAAAGAAAGCAGCAAAAGTCTGGCTGAGACTAACTCCAGAGGAATTCATAGCTCAGTGGAAAGGATACGTGGGAGTACTTCTTGTCTTCCCTCACCCCTCTGACAATCTGATCATTGCTATTGGGGAGTCCCTCCACCCTCATGAGCCAGGTCAACACAAAGGCTGGTGATAAGAGAACTTTCTGGGACCAGAGAACCTGGTGGCCCGCTCAAGCAGGCATGCTACCCCTCCCTCAGACCCAAGTTGAGATGGTAGGCACCACACTGATAGTGCACCTGAGATGCCACTGCCCAGCCTGGAAATCCTCTGCTCTTAAGCCACTGCACCACCAAACCATATACAAACAAACCCCACAACCTGCTCTAACTTTGGCAAGCACAGGGATTGTTAGTTCCCTGGGTAGTTGTGGGACCCCTGGGTATGTAACCCTCAGTGTAGATCACCCCTAAGAAGAAAGGAGTATAGCCCACCAAAGCACCTCTTGGGACAAAGAAAACATGGGTGTGGTGCCAACTGCTAGAGGAGGAACCACAAGTACCCAAGCAAAAACATGGAGAGGGGGTCATCTCTTGCCTCTCTCCCTCCCTTGCACTGTTTTAGCTGCAGCAGCAGTTCTTGCCACTGCATCCCTATGAGCATGCACAGAAAGAAAGCACTTTTTGACTTTTCTGATGGCTTCACCCTCATTGAAAGTGAGCATGCACTGAAAGAAAGTGCTTTTTATGCTTCTCTGGTGGCTCCAAAACCACTAAAGATACTGAAAGAAAGCACTTTAGGGCTTTTCCAGTGGCTCCATCCCTGTTGAAAGTTAGCCCATGGTGGCTACAGCTATTACAAAGGGTGGGGTCCAACTCCTCCTCCCTAAACTGAGCAATAGTATCCTGGCAATGAAGTACAATCCATGGAGCTGCCCGACCCAAACTAGGGAAAGAGGCTGTGTCCCCAAACCTCATCCTACTGGTAGCTGTCAGAGAGGTGAGACCATGGCCCACAGCCATACTCTGGCCGGGAACCAAAAGACAAAGCTTTTATAAATGGAAATGTCATGAACCCTGCAACAGGGGCATGATAGGAAAGTGAATTATGCTCTTCTGGGTCTGGAGGAGGAGCTGATGCACACCCTCATTCCTTCAACTGAGGCTTCAGAATATCACATTCTCTTCCTGTCACCAACTGTTAGGGAGAGTGCATCCACTGGGGCACCAGCTTACTGGCCAGCACTTATGCTCAAGCACCATCTGCTGGACTTCAGCCTGAATTGTACCATCAAACAAAAATACATCCTTACAATGAGAAGCATGTGAAAAAGTCACCTTATGAAACTTTCTGGAACAAAGGAATCAATAGAGAACTTTGACCCCTGAAAGCACCCAGAAACAAGCCAGTCAATCATATACAACATACACCACAGTCAGGCATTTAAGGGAAAAAAGAAAAAAATAATAAAAAGCTTCATTCAAATGACAGGAAATTGTCAGCTTCATTGGAAGTGAAGTCATTAGCACAAGAACTCTGGCAGTACAAAAAGCCAGGGTGTTTAATCTTTTCCAAAGGATCACATTAACTCTTTAGGAATGGGTGCTAACCAAATGGAAATATCTGAAATGAGAGACATAGAACTCAGAATGTGAATGACAAAGAAACTCAATGAGATTCAAGAGAAAGTTGAAATCCAATACAAAGAAGTGAGAAAAACAATCCAGGATATGAAAGATGACATAATCATATTAACAAAGAAACAGACAGAATTTCTGGAATTGAAAATTTCACAATGGGATTTCAAAATATAATTGGAAATGTTAATAATAGACACAACCAAGCAAAAGAAAGAATTTCAGAGCTAAAAGACCAGTCTTTTGAATTAACACCATCAAATAAAAACAAAGAAAAAATAATTTTAGAAAACAAAACCTTTGAGAAATATGGGATTATGTAAAGAGACCAAACTTACGACATTTTGGTATTCCTGAGAAAGAAGAAAAAGTAGACAACTTAGAAAAACGTGTGAGTGTATACTTCAGGAAAATTTATTTGATCTTGCTAGAGAGGTTGACATACAGGACAAGAAATTCAGAGAACTGCTGCAAGATTCTGTACAGGATGATGATTCTCAAGACACAGTAATCAAACTACCCAAGGTCAACACAAAAGAAAAAAAATCTTAAAAGCAGTTAGGAGAAAAGGCCGAATTGCCTATAAAGGGAATCCCATCAGACTAACAGTGGATTTCTCAGCAGAAACCTTACAAGCCAGAAGAGATGGGGAGCCTATGTTTAGCCATTGAAAGAGAAAAAATGCCAGCCAAGAATTTTTTACCCTGCCAAAGTAAGGTTCATAAACGAAGGAGAAATAAAGTCTTTCCCAGACAAGTAAACACTAAGTAAGTGAATTACCACCAAACCAGACCTACAAGAAATGCTCAAAGAAGTTATAAACGTAGAAATGAAAGAACAATACTTTCTACCACAAAGCACATTAAGTACAAAGCCCACAGATCCTATAAAGCAACTACATGAGAAAGACTACAGTGTAACTAGTTAACAACACTATAACAGAAACTAAACTTCAAATATCAGTATTAATACTGAACATAAATAGCAGAAATGTTCCAATTAAAAGACAGAGGGGCAAACTGGTTTTAAAAAAAATAAGCCCCAAACTCTGCTGTCTTCAAGTGACCCAGTTCACATGTAATGACACTCATAGGCTCAAAGTAAAGAGATAGAAAATGATTATCATGCAAATGGAAAACAAACAAAAAGAGTAGAGGCCAATTTTCTTGTATCAGATATAACAGATTTTAAAACAACAAAAGTAAAAAAAGCACAAAGAATCATATTTCATAATGATAAAGGGGTAAATTCAGCAAGATTTAACCAATCTAAATATATGTGCAACCAACACTGGAGCAACTATATTTATTAAAAAATTACTGCTAGACCTAAGAAAAAGACAGCCACACAATAATAATGGAGTACTTCAAAACCCAACTTACAGCGTTAAACAAATCCTCAAGAAAGAAATCTAATAAAGAAATTCTGGACTTATATTGAACACCTGACCAATGGTCTTAATGGATATCTATGGAATACTCCACTCGGTAACTATACAAGATACATTCTTCTCGTATGCACATGGAACATACTCCAAGATTTACCACATGTTTGGTCATAAAGCAAGTCTTAGTAAATGTTTAAAAATTGAAATCATACCAAGTACCTTCTTAACCACAGTGGAATTAAAATAGAAATTAATAGAAAAAAGAACTCCCAAAACCACTTACAAAAAGCAAACAATTTACCCCTGAATGACTTTTGGATAACCAACAAAATTAAAACAAATCAAAAAATAATTTGAAACAAATGAAAATAAAGACACAACATACCCAAACCTCTGGGATACTGCAAAAGCAGTCTTAAGAGAAAAATTCATAGGGTTAAACACCTACATCAAGTGGTTAGAAAGATCTCAAATTAACAACTTGACACTGCATCAAAAGGAATTAGAAAAATAAGAACAAACCCAAAGTTAGCAGAATAAAACAAATAACTAAAATCAGAGCAGTTCTAAATGAAATTGAGACAAAAACAACAACAAAAAATACACAGTATCAAGAAAATGAAAAGGGGTTGTTTGAAAGGATAAACACGATTGATAGGTCACTAGCTAGGTTTAAAAAGGAAAAGAGAAAAGCATATTCTCAAATCTTTATAAAACTAAATTTAGAAATCAATAACAAAAGATAGTTGGAAATCTCAAACTATTTGGAAAATTGATAGAAGCCTAATAAATAACTTATAAGTTAAAGAAGTCCCAAAAGAAAGTTAAAAATATTTTAACTAAATAAAATTAAAAATACAAACTGTAAAACTACTTGTATGCAGCTAAAGCAGTACCCAGAGGGAAATGTATAGCATTAAATGCATATCTTGCAAAATAAGAAAGACCTGAAATCAATTACTTAAGCTTCTATTTTAGAACACTAGAGAAAGAAGAGAAATATAAACCTAAAGCATGTAGAGGAAAAGAAATTATAAATATGAGTAGACTAATAAAATTTGAAATGAACAAAACAATAGAGAAAAATTACAAAACAAAGAACCAGTCCCTTGACAAGATGACTAAAATTGCTAAACCTTTAGTTAGATTAACAAAAAAATGAGGATCTTACTTACTAATAGCAGAAATTGTAAAGGGTCATCACGACTGATCCCATGGACATTACAGGAATATTAAAGGAAGAGTATAAACTATTGTATGCCTTCAAATTTGATAACTTAGGAAAACATGAGCAAATTCCTCAAAGATAACACTATCAAATTGTACACAAGGAAAATCATTATATTAATAGGCCTATGTTTTTAAAAATATTGAGTCAAGAATAATCTCTGTAAAAGAAAATATCATTTTCTGATGGTTTTACTGGTAAATTCTACCAAACATTTAAGAACTAAGTAATACTAATACTCTACAATTGTTTTCACAAAATAAAAGCAAAAGGAACTCTTTTTAGCTTGTTCTATGTTACCAGCATTACTATAATATTACTCTAATACCTAAATAAGGTAAAGACATTACAAGGAAGGAAAACTACAACCTACATGTCTTGAGTTTAGATGTGGAAAAAAGTCAACAAAACATTAACTAATAGAATCAAGCAATGTATAAAAAGAATTATATATAACAATCCAATGGGAATTGTCCAACTTATGGATGGCTGGTTCATTATGGAACAGTCAATCCATGTCACTTGCCATACCAGCATAATTATATGACCATATCAATTGATGCCTATGAAGCAGTTAATCAATTCCAAAACCCCTGCAGAAAGAAATAAAACAAACTCTCTAGGAGTTTCACACTAGGAATATAGGGGAAATTATTCAATTTGATAGATAACATCTGTAGGAACCCACACTAACTTGATACGTAAAGGTGAAAAGAAGAATGCATTTCTCTAAGATCAGAAACAATGTAAAAATACATTTCTCATCATTCCTATTCAACACTGAATTGGAAGTACTAGCCAGTCCAATAAGACAAGAAAAGGAAACCAAGAGATTAAAAAGGAAGCAATAAAATTCTTTCTATTAACAGGTGAAATGATTATCTATGTAGAAAAATCTCAAAGAATAATGAAAAAGAAAATCTCCTAGAACAAAGAAGCAAGAATAGCAAAGTCAGAAATCATAAGGCTAATATACAAAAGTCAATTACTTTTCTACAAACCAGTAATAAACATTCGGAAAATAAAATTTTTTAAATATTTGATTAGCATCAAAATATAAAATACTTAGTTATAAATCTAATCAAATGCATATAAAATCTGTAGACTGAACACTACAAATCTTGAGAAAAAAGGTCAAATAAATGGAGAGATAGTCTATGTTCGTAAATTGGAAGGCTACATATTTTTAAGATGTCATTCTTTTCCACTTTATTGACTCAATGTCACTTCAATCAAAATCCCTGTAAGCTATTTTAAAGATATTGACAAACTGATTCTAATGTTTGTGGGGGACAGCAAAAGACTTAGAAGTATCAATACAATACTGAAGAACAATAAAGTTGGAGGATACAGACTACCTGACTTCAAACCTTACTATAAGCCAAAGTAATAAAATTTAGTCTCACACAAATATAGTAAGTTGATCTTTGGGAGAGGTGCAAAGGTAAGTCAGAAGAAAGAAAAGTCTTTTTGAAAAATTGTTCTGGGCAAAATGGACACCAATACAGGAGTTGTAGTAGTTTCTGAGTATACTTCATCTAATAGCACACACAAGAACTTCAGAAATGACTACATTGTGTGTCTCTCACGGTATCTTACCTAAAGTAGAACTTATGTTAAAAGTCTATTTATCACCCACTCTCCATCAAAGACTACTCCTCCTGATGAACTGCAGTGGCATTCAAGATCCATGGGAAGTGTTTTACAAAAACCTTCATAAGGTCTGGCTATTTTTCTTTTTCTGATGTAGATCCCTTTGAGGAAAGCTAATAGATGATTCACAGATTGTGCTAATGACCAACTTTACATGCCTTCCTCAAGGGTATTTGTCCTCCCATTTATAGGGGCTGGGAATCTATTAATGATGTCTGGAGTTTGGCAAAGTACTGTCACCTTATAATAGTGTATAAAATTTGAATTCAGTTTGCCAGATCAAGAATGATTGCATTTATATAAATCAAGTTAGACTTTAGTGTACCATACACAATTTTATTATTTAATATTCCATAAATACTTTTATCTCTAAAAGATACATTTATGAATCAAACCATTTTACTTATCATGGCACTGCCACCAGAGCCACTTCTGTCCTGGGAACTTAACCATCCTTCAACAGAGAATATTTGTTATTATTCTGTTTCCCTTTCTCACTAACTTCTAAATAAAAATCCATGATTAATATCTGATTGGTGGAGCCAACATCCTAGTTGTAAAGAGGTAAAAAAGTAATTTTTTGATAACAGCAATGCACACAAATTAAGAGATTTTCCTGAGATCTTGGATTTACTGTTTATAAGCTCTGTGTCTTGGGAGAGTTAGTTACTCGTTATGCCTTACTTTATTCACCACAAAAATGGAAATAATACTGTACTTACCTAAAAATGTTGTATGGAAGATTCAATTCGTTAATTATCATAAAATTCTTAGACAAGTGCCGACAAGAAGAGCTAAATTAGTATTAGTTTCTTAACAAGATTATCATTATCATAAAGTTATGATTTTGATCATCAATGTCATGAATATTTGACATGTTCAACCTATTTATGGGACACAAGTTCTGCCTTCTAGCAATATTTGTAAAATCAGAAGTTTCCAAATTTAGAAGTGCAATTTAATTAAGGGAAGTCAAAAAGAATAACAGCATTATATAAAATTGTTCCCAACTCATAACCTGTTAATCAAATTTTTATTAATTCCTTTTATCCTACAAATCAGAAGAAAATTTACCCACCTTTCAATTCTAAATTAGAACCATCAAGTTGAATTTTTGTATCTGGAGCTATTGATCATCTCTGGGTACTCACTTTGCCCATAGAGTTAAAATTCCAGTTTTAGGAGACTTTCATGTCATTGTATTATTCTATCATGTAAGACAAACCTCATTAATTATGTTATTTTATTATACCATCCTCCATTCTGTCTGGGTGGGATATTATTACCCACAAATAAATGGTGGTTTGAAAAATTATTGTGAGCAAAATCTTTATTATTATTATTATTATTTTGGGTAGAGATTAGGTCTGGCAATGTTTCCCAGGTTGGTCTTGAACTCCTGGCCTCAAGGGATCCGCCTGCCTCAGCCTCCTAAAGTGCTCCAATTACAGGCATGAATCACAGCACCTGGCCCAAAATACTTGCTTGAAAAGTGAGTGATTATACCAGATATCCTGGGAAAATGGCTTAGTCCAGTCTGAGAGAGGGTAGGTGCAGAAGACCCTGACATACATATCTTGTTATGACAGAAAACGAAAAAGTGATCAAAAATATAATTCAAGCATGTCACAAAGACCACGAAACCAAACCTCATCATAATTTGTAAAAGTGTCTGGAACTTGAGGATATTTAGGAAAATAATACGAGAAAATGGATTGAAGCCCACCTAAGAGTACAGCATCTTATATGCATTAATCTGCTAATGGTGTATATAATTTATTTCATCTTTACTTTGAAAAAGTAAAGTGAGCAGAGTGGAGAGGGTTGTGTGAGCGAGCGAGCAAGCATGGAGTCCTGCCACTGCGCACAGCCAAACGTGCCAACAATGTGCAAACTCCACACAAGCAGTGACCACAGATAGAGGTTGATTTTTTTCATCAACACTATAAGAAAACAATGTTATTCAAGGACCTGCTGTACCTGTATTAAAAGTGAGATTTTCTCCTCATGAAAACACTAGAAATGATAGTGCTTAATAGTTTTTTTCTGTGTGTTAAATGTCTGTTGTTTTTCGGTGTTACCATTAGAGACCAGAAGATTTACTCAACACATCATTCTCCTATGAAACAATAGATAGAATTGGAAGAAATAACAGTCAATACTTTTCATTAGAAAAAGGTCACATGCAAAGTAAGTATACACCTTGCCACTTTGAAATATATTTTGGATTGAGGGACAGATCATTTGCATGTACCCCATTAAAGTTCAGGTTTTCAGGGTTGTGTTTTTTTTTTTTTTTGAGCACAGGAGTAAGAAAAAGGGAATTTGCTTTAGGGGCATGAAACTAAAATATCAGAATGATAGGACTAAAATCAACAGAGTTTAGACTTCAGTAGTCAGAATAAAATACTTCTGAAATATTCCAGATATCGTATAAAACCACAGATAAATATGCAAAGAAGTCATTAAGCATATTTTATTATAATTAATGAATATGACTTTTAAAGCTATATGTATTCTCCATGTTAAAAACTTCCTTAGTGAATAAGCCCAGGGCTGCCCATAAATACACAATGCAAATGTTGGATCATCTCAATGGAGAATTAAATACCATATTTTATTAAATGAAAAGAATACAATACTGAGTACCCTAATGGTGGATTTCCCTACCGAAATTGGTTGACAAATCTTCAGTGGTGATGATTATAATAAAAATTAAAAATCATTGCTGATTTTATCTGTTATATCATTGTGGAGACCTATAGTTGTATTAATCATATTTAAACTTCAAAATTTTAATTTATTGATTATCAGTACAAAACCATAAAATATTTGTTGAAATTATTAAGAGCTAACTAGCTCATGTGAGTTTTGCTAAACAAAAATCATTTTAAATCATTGCATTATTTTTTTTAATGAGATACATGGCAAGTTCCCAGTCTTTCATGCATTAACATAACAAATGAGTTTCTTTGTAATTAAGTCCTTAAAAAAATCCAAAGATGTATTACTTTATGACTTCACATCTAATTTCTCTTATTTGTTGGTAGTAGGCAAGGTGTCTGGCTGGCTCTCTTATGTGAATGGTTGAACATTTGTTGTAAAGGATGGAATACAGTATGCTGTAGGAATTACGTAAAAAATCCTCAGTGAAGGGAAAAAGGCTCTGGAACCTTGGATGTCAGTTCCACGAGAGATAAATTTATAGTTTTAACAATCTGTCTTTTATAACTGACATATAAGGTCCCAGAGGTCTTTTTTCCTATCACTAATAATTTTTCATGCATTTCCTACAATATGAAAAAACTATGTGTAACATTTAGATATTATAGCTGCACATTAAATGGAATCTTGTTAAGTCTGCTTTAGGTTCATACTCAAAAATCAATTTTAGTATTAGATTAAAATTTTGCTTTTAATAAAAATAAGACTTCTTAACCATTGCAATAAATATATGTTAAAATTAGGCTTGCTCAGCAATTTAATATTTCACCAGTAACCAGTAACAAAGCAGCTCTCTGCTTTTGTGGTATAGTAGGCATCAAATGAGGTATGTTATCTTTGGGACTCATTTTTAAACGTGTGGTTATAGCTCTCAGAACTGCAGCAGAAATGCAAATGACGTGGACTAGTGGACTGAAGTGCTAAACAAGTTCTTCAAAGTGACATTTACCATGTACTGTCTAAGGCACTGATAGAAAATAATAACTGTGTCTCAATGAGGCTAAAATATTGGACAGTACAGTGCTAGAAAATTATCCTAAAGCTGCCTGAAATCATATAAAAATATTGATCAATCAATGGGGCCATTTAGGCACAGGGGCCCATTCCATCTATACAGTAATAATTTCTTTTTAATGATTCATTTCTACCTTTGACCAAAATGGTACTAGTTTGTCAGATTTAAGCACAGGAATGTAACAATATGGATTTCTCTGGTCCATGAGCGTGGTATATATAACTTAATTTATTATTATGCTTGCTTTTGTTTTTGTAGCAACGTTTTGTAATTTTCGTTGTACTGAGTATGCATATTTAGTTATCACTAAATATTTTATACTTTGAATGCTGTTAAGTTTATTTTTAAATTTAAATTTTATATTTTATTGCTAGTATATTAAAGTACAATATCTTAGTAGTGTTGGTTAGTTAAAGGTATATACTTTTTATATTTCATTGAACTCTGAACTTAAAATAGGGAATTTTATCATATGTAAATCGTGTCAATAAATTTGATTCAAGACTAATTTTAGTAATCTACTGCACAGGCTTTTAGAGATAAATAAGTGAATTAATGCATGTAACATGCTTATCACAGTCCTTAACAAAAATATAGACTTGAAAACAATTATCTATTATTATTTTTGAATTCTGTATTTAGATAGATTTTATTTTACTGTAATTTTTTTTGTAATACATGTACTTGGGAATTCAAGCAATATAATTTTTTATGCAAACATAACATCTTGCTGGACAGTTCTTAATATCTTAACTCTTTTCATATAGAATCTGTGTAAAGACAGGGGATGTTGCTGGCTTATGTTTTTCAGTATGAACCCTTGGAAATTATTGTTGGTTGAATCCTTTTAGCTTTCTTGCTCACACCTCTTTCTTGCTTCCCAGAATTGAGCCACAATTCACTTCTAACTTGATAATAGTCATGTTAAGAAAAATATTATTTGTGTGCTTAGCTCACTTTTCTTTTCCTCAAAGTTATTTGCTAATACAAAACACCTCTTAGAGCAGGATGACTATTTAGTGTTGGACACAAGTTTTGTTCCCTTCATGAACTTCATCATTTATTATTACATCAACTATCTCTTCTTTCATCCACCATATACTTGGCATTATAATTCAAACACCTCTAAAAGTGTATTTATATGCAGTGTTAATTATAATAATAAATAGGAGCAACAGTAATCATTATATATAATGTGCAAAATTTCAGGCAGTTTTAAGTGTTTTACATATATGTAATATTTATTATACACAATAATTAGGAAGTGAGTGCTAATTTTACTCCTATTTGCAAATGAATTTGTAGAACACAGTAATTAAAGTACTTTTCTAATGTTTTATAATTTTTAATTATCTTCAAACCAAGGGAGTTTGAGTCCAGCAGCTAGGATCTGAAACATTATATTCTACTACTCAAAATTCCATTCGTTAATAAAATGAGTAAATTAGTTACAATGAATTATGGAACTTAAATTTTCCATGGTTAAATTCATTCATTTTTTATCCACTAGTGAAAACATAATGATAAGCATGGCCTTGGGCTCAGATATTCACTGATGAAATATATATCTTATCACTGCTAAAAATGGAATCGGGTACCAGATCATTAATGTGAATCAGATCAGTTATGTGAATCTTCCTAGCTTATAAGACTGGAACCTGACAGCATGAATATGAGAAATGGAACAAAGATCAGTTACTCAGCACTTGATTCAGTCCTCATTGTGGATGAATGCTTTGGTGTGAGCCAAGTGAATTCCTCTTAAGCTCACATGTGATTTCCACTTATGGTGATGAAATCCAGTTAAATTGAATATGCTACATTTAAACTAGTTAAAAAGATGCAGGTATGTTATCCCTTTTCTATAAGGCATTTGATTAGTGACCAATTTGAGCTCAGTTTTATTATCTTCTTTATTCACAAAATGAGCTTATCTACAGTTTTTAAAAAGCAGTGGGGGAAAGGCTCTGATTCTGTCATCAAATCCTGGGCTGTCCAATTTTTTTTTTTTTTTTTGATAATTAGATAATGCTGTTTCAGAGGTTTCTACAAGTAAGGCTACTGGAAACAGCTTGCAGCAATAGAAGTATACTGTAGTAAATACTGACTTTACGTTTATTCTTAATTTTAATTTTGTTGATAAGGACCACTAAAAACTGACAAGGAAGGATATTTTGGTTTCGTTCAGTTATTTTAAAATTTCAGTGCCCCTTGTAACCTGGTACATAATAGAGAATACCTCTAATGATTGGAGCAAATTTACAGAAACAAAGTAAAATTCAAATAGATGGATTCCATTATTTGGAACTTTAAATCATAAAATAAATCATATTTTGAAGAATAACAGTTATACTAACACAAAGCCACTAAGAGTATGACTTAAGAGAAAAGTTAAGAAAGCCTATAAGTACGCCTGAAAATGTTAACATCAGAAATCAAAATAAGTAAATATCGCTTTGTTAAATATTTTCCAATTAATGAAACAGAACAGAGAAAAAAATAGAAAATTGTTACTTTTAAGATATCTATGCCATAAAACAGAAAGGTAAATATGATGCCATTGTAATTCTACTTGAATTATTGCTAAATTTATTTACGCTCTTTATTATTTTAACCTGAAAGAAGCCCTTGATGTCATAGCAACCATTTTAAGTTGCCTACTTTTAGCCCTTTTCTTCAGTCTCAAATAAAAATTTGGGAGTCATCCAATCTTAGCCCTTAATTGGGACTTTAATTGGGCCTTTGGTGCCCTAATTATGATAAAGTAATTATAGCAATTATAGATAAATTAGAGTAATAATCAGTAATTATAAATTAAGTCAATCCGAAGTACATTTGAAATATACTTACAAATGGCTCTTTAAAGTGATATTACCACCTCGAACATCATGTTGTATTATGATTTGTATCTCTCATGCCTGGGTTAGACTTTCAAGAAATTAAAGTTTTATAGATACATATATATATATATATATATATATATATATATATATATATATACACACACACACACACACACATATTTCACTTAATTCTTAATCCATTCTCCATTCTATTAAAGAAAAGTAATACATGTTTGCCTTTTGTGGAATAAAGATATTTTTTCCTAAATTATGTAAACAATTCTCATAAATTACATGGGAGTAAATAGTGATAAGTACATTTGCATTGTTACAAGTATTGAAATGCATGCACAGTTCTGACAAAAAATATTTTGGAAGTAATTTTAATATATTTTAAAATATTAAATTTATAATCATAACATTTTTAAGAATTTTTACCATACAAGTTATTTTGAGCCATAAGTATGATAACATTAATTAATTAAGAAGAGACAGGTCTGAAGTCAGGTGATTTCCATGCATCTAATACCTCATTTAATCTCACAACAAATCTACTGGAGATGGGATGACATTAATGGAGCTGATATTATGCCCGTTTCAAAGATGATTAAACTTATGCTACAAATGCTTAAATAGCTAGCTCACTGTCTATCCCACAGCTAAAACAATAAATGGCACAGTTGGGATGTAAGCAGAGATAGATTTAATTCCAAAACTGATCATCTTTTCAAAATACCATACTATTACTTTTATAGGTGAATTACTAAAAGGAAAAATGAATGCTTCCTCTAATTAGTTTGAATTTCTAGATATTTCTGAAAATAAAAAATACATTTTCTTCCTTACCACTGCTTATTTAAAATGATGAAAATATTTATAGTTTATTCAACCTTTAAAATGATTGCCTCTGTTTTAATTCATCTTTTAGGGATGTCTCACTTATTTTTTAGCTTTTAACTACCAGTGTTTGTTCCTTTCGTTTTCCCCCATATGCTCCTTCTCCTAATTATATTTCTAATGAACTAGAACGCAGTTAGTTTACATTCTATTTAACTAAATCTGTGTGTGCTGAATAAATGCAACTAAAACAGAGGCAATCCATTTATTACAATTGTCTTGACTAGAACTTTGACAAAAATAATTAACTAACATATATTCTGGTTCATCATTTTAGACTAGATTTAGTTTCTATCTGGAAAGTATTGTTAGGGAAATAGTTATTGAACTCTCAGATAACTATCAAACCCTGGCTTAGCTATTTGCAACTGTATGTAATAGTACTGCAATTTTCTCTTCTGAAAAATATTTCGTATTTGCTGAGAGTAAAAATAAAGAATAATGTAAACACTACCTAACTATGCTAGGCACATAGATGGAAGGAATGCTAAAAGAATGGTAGGGATAATTATGGAATGGCTCTACTGAAGTAGTGATGAGAATGTAGGCTAGTAATTATTTATAGCCATGAAATCCACTCCCAGTGCATCTAAACTGGATACTTATATTTATATTACCAAGCTTGATAATACTATGATTTAATTGAGCTTCAGAGAAACCACTTCTTTCAAAACTTGTTTCAAGATCATATGTCAGAGTAAAGGGCAATTGATTTCATTTAAAATAATTAAATATACCAACAAGAATAAGTGGTTTTTTATTAGACTCACTCTTGACATTTTAACTGAAGATATTAAAAGTACCTGAAAATGTCAAAGATTAATTTCAACATGAGTTTTAAAAAGAAAGCTTACATTTCATATTTTATATTGACCTATTTTCAAGCTTACAAATAATTTCTTCAGGTTCGTCTTAGATACTGATGAGCACATCAAAGGCAATCAATCTTTATTTATCTAACTGTTCTACTGATTTCCATCATTTTTCATTCTTTTTCTTAATTTTCATACCTCTGCTAAAATTATCTGATCTTGCATTTTGTCTATCTTTTCCATTATAATCTCTAACACATTAATCATGGTTATTTCAAATCTCTTGTCTGATATTTTTAACATCAGTGTCATATTTGAGTCTGGTTATGATTGTCTTTTCAGACTGCTTTTTTTCTTTTTTATTAATTGTATTTTTTTATGAATGCTAGAAATGCTGAATAGGATATGTAAAACCAAAAGTTTATTTGTTTGTTTTAAACCCTTAAAGGTAACCCTTTCCTTCTACTGGGTCTTTAGTTTGTAGGTTTGTATTAACCTTGTCAGAAATTGAGCTTCAGTGTTTAAGATGTTGTTGCTATTATTGACATATTCGAAATTTGCTTTTGCTATGGACATTAGAGACTTCAAATTTTCTAGTGATACCTTGTTTTTATCAGCCCCATTTGGCTTTGGATCTCACTTTGTGATGGTCTCCAGGGAGAGGATGCCTTTTATAACTCTTCCAATTGTACTCTATCATTATTTTTACTCAATGCATATTCATGTGATAGGGGAAAGTGAGAAAGGGGGCAACTATTTTTGATCTTTAAGTCGACTCAGTCTAACCCATGCACTATAAGCCTAGGTTTTAGAAGTTAACTTCACAAATATTTCTTCCAAATCTTCAGACATAATTCAGGGCCTAACCTATATGCTTGTCCTTCCCCCAATGTGTACTGTCTAAATTTTTTTTCTTCTCCTTCCTCCCTTAGCTCTAGTTGCTTTCCACCAGTGCCCTCCAACTACCACTTGAATACACTTTCCCTTGCAGAATAATGCTTTTTTTCCTTTGAGATTGGTAGAGGAGATGAATCTTAATGGTGGTAGTCCCTGTTCTACTCCAGGAATTACAATGGGATTACACCCATGACTTCACAGTACAAGTTTGGATAACTTTAAAAAAATTGTCTGTAAGTTATTGGGGTACAGGTGGTATTTGGTTACGTGAGTTAGTTCATTAGTGGTGATTTGTGAGATTTCTGTGCAATTATCACCAGAGCAGTATACACTGCACCAGATTTGTAGTCTTTTATCCCTTGCTCCCTCCTGTTCCTCCCCGCAAGTCCCCCAAATCTATTGTATGATGCTTATGCCTTTGCATCCTCATAGCTTAGCTTCCACCTATCAGTGGGAACATATGATGTTTGGTTTTCCACTCCTGAATTACTTCACTTAGAATAATAGTCTTCAATCTCATCCACATAACTGCAAATGCTGTTAATTCATTCCTTTCTATGGCTGCACAGTATTTCATCATATATATGATATATACATATTTATATATGTATGTATATCATATATATGTATGTACATCATATAGGTATGTATGTATACCTATACATACACATATACCTATACATATAGGTGTGTGTGTGTGTGTGTGTGTGTGTGTGTGTGTATATATATATATATATATATATATATATATATATATATATATATCACAGTTTCTTTATCCTCTCATTGATTGATGGGCATTTGGGTTGGTTCCACAATTTTGCTATTGTGAATTGTGCCGCCATAAACACGTGTGTGCAAATATCTTTTTCAAATAATGACTTCTTTTCCTCTGAGTGGATACCCAGTAGTGTGATTGCTGGATCAAATGGTAGTTCTACTTTTAGTTCTGTAAGGAATAGCCACACTGTTTTCCATAGTGGTTGTACTAGTTTACATTTCCACCGCAGTGTAGAAAGGTTCTGATGACCGTATCCACGCCACCATCACTGTTTTTTGCTTTTTCGATTATGGCCATTTTTGCAAGAGTAAGGTGGTATTGCATCGTGGCTTCTATTTGCATTTCACTAAAAATATCACTTTACCATCATCCTGTCCAATTTGCTTTATTTTAATTATGTACTTCAATTTACTAATGCATTATTTACATGAGGTTTTGTAATTTCCAAATGTATTTTTAAATCATTACTTTCTAACCCAGTTACAACATAGACTCAATAACAGTAATCATTTGAAATTTGTTAGGCTCAGTTTTACGACTTAGCATATGGACTCATTTCTATAAATATTCTATATGTGCCTGAAAATGTATAAGTATGTTCTCTAATTGTTTGATGATACATGTTTCAGAGATCAAATTTGTTAATTAGATTCCTTAAAACTGCTATATAGATTTTTTCTTGTTTTTGTTTTGAGCATCAATCAATATAATATGGAAGTGTTTTAAATGTTTTTTTTTTGCTGTATTTGTCAATTTCTCATATAAAAGAGCTACAAATTTGCTTTTCATATTTAAGGGTATTTCTTACTCATATATTTATAATGTTTATATATTCCTTGTAAATTGAGTTTTTCATGTTGTTACATTCTTTAGTTCTATATTTTTCTTTTAAAATTTACCTGCTTGAAATTGTGTATCAGTTTTATTTGCTTAAATTTGCTGGGTAAAACTAATTTGTATTTTATAATTTCAACATAACTCAGTCTTTTTAACTTAGATGTGTCCTTTTTTCAGCAAAATATAACTAGATTTTGTACTTTGTTTACACTAAACATTTATATGATTTGAAAGGAGAGTTCTTAATTCAATTTGTTTTTCAGTCTTATGCTTTCTATTTACCACTCTTTAAAATCATATATATTTTCTTCTTTTCTGGGTCTTATTTGTTTTGGGTTTCTTGCTTCTTTTTCTTATTTTGTTTGTCTTCAATTTCTTTTGAGGTTATATTAATTATTGTTTTGTGTGTGTGTGTGTGTTTTTTTTTTTGTTGTTGTTTGTTTTTTTTTTTTTTTGATACGGAGCCTCTCTCTGTTGCCAGGCTGGAGTGCAGTGGCATGATCTCGACTTACTGCAACCTCTGCCTTCCAGGTTCAAGTGATTCTCCTGCCTCAGCATCCCAAGTAGCTGGGATTACAGGCATGTGCCACCATGCCCAGCTAATTTTTCTATTTTTTTTAGTATAGACAGGGATTCACCATGTTGGCCAGGGTGGTCTCAATCTCTTGACCTCGTGATCCACCCTCCTCGGCCTCCTAAAGTGCTGGGATTACAGGCATGAGCCACTGTGCCCGGCCATATTAATTTTTTTTAGTGATTAACATACCTATATAAATATGCATATTCAACCATATCTAAAGTTATTCAAAATCTTTATCTTATCCTAAAATGTACACAGATGTTAGAACATTTAAACTCCAATAAACTATTTTGCAACTCATGTGCCCTTTTGTCCCAGTATTTTAGTTCTATCTTGTTTTTCTTCAAAAATTAGAATTCTATGGAATCAACATTTATCTTATTTCATGAAACTATTTTATAATGTCTTCACTTAATATTAAATTTTTACCTTTAGATTTCCACTGACAACTATTTTTCTCTTATGTAAAGCACACCTTTTAAAAGCTAGTTTACTGGAGACTCTATTAGAAATATGTCCTATGTTTCTACTAACTTCTGAAAATACTATAGGTGGGAAAATTTTTTTTTTTTTTTTTGAAATGAAGTATTGCTTTGTCATCCAGGCTGGAGTGCAGTGGTGCAATCTCTGCTCACTGTAACCTCCGCCTCCCGGGTTCAAGCAATTCTCCTGCCTCAGCCTCCCAGGTACCTGGAACTACAGGCACATATCACTACAGGGGGCTATTTATTGTATTTTTAGTAAACAGTGTTCATCATGTTGGCCAGGCTGGTCTTGAACTCCTGACCTCAAATGATCTGCTTGCCTTGGCCTCCCAAAGTGCTGAGACCACAGGCGTGAACCACTGCACCAGACCAGATAGGATAATTTAGCCCTCTATAAAATTGAAAATTGGAGACCATTTTCTCTTAGAACTTCAAACATTATTTTTTGTCTTCTGGCCTCTATTGTGCTATTAAAAAATGTGTTATAATTTTAATTGTAAACCCATTGTAGATCATTGTTCCCACTTTAACTGATTTTAATATCTTATTCTCTTTATAGTATTTAGTTTCAATGATGTATCTATATTTTAAACAACTTATAGGATATTTGCTTATCCTATAAGTTTTGATAAAATTCTTAGGTCTATGACATCTTTGAATAATCTTGTCAAATTCTTATCTATTATCTCATTAGATATTTCTGCTTTCCCATTCTTACTTTTGTTTGTATACAACTTCAATAAATTATATATTACATCTTCCCATTCTAACTTTCATTTCACCATCTCTTTTTCATATTATTATTCATATTGTCTTCTCTTTTTTTCCTCTCTCTGAGTGGCATAAAAGATAATTTCTTCAGATCTCGACATCATCCCCCCTTCAGCTTTAGCCCACCAGTTTCCTAGTTACCATTGTCCCTTTTCTTATGTATATTCCAATCCCTCAATTACATGCTTTTAACAACATAGAATGTTATTACACGTTTTAATTTCGACTGTATGATCCACCAATTGAATGATTATCGAATCATTATATTTTCTTTTCTAAATTGGGTTTCTTCCCCCAAAGTATTTTACCACTTTTCATGTAGAATTCTCTTCTTAGCTTATATTATGTTCTGTTATCTTTATATGTATTAAATATATGTACTTTGTACTCTATATCTGATTATTTTAGTGTCTAACAATTTTGACTCAACTTATTGCCTTTTTTTTTGCCCTGACCTTCATTTTTGGTACATTATTCTACATGGTTTATGATTTTGTTTTTTATTTTACATAACTTGTTTTCTTGGAATTTTTGGAATTACTGTGATACAAGAGTTAAGTTACATTCTTTCAGAGAGGATTTGTCTTTGTAGCCATTAGTTATTCAAGAGTATTGCTTTAGAGAACTGCAATTAAATTTTCACCTTGAAAATAATTGTATTTTTATAAGTTTGGGTTTATTTAGATTTTTCTGGGTATGTACATTTTTTTCTACAAAGTCTAGAAATTTTGGACTACAAAAATCATATATGGTCCACTAGGTATTACACATCTCAAGGTGAATGTATTTCTTTTCTCCCCCTTCTCAGTACTAAAAAGTCAAATACATAGGTTTTGTTATGTCTTCTCTTTGAAAAATAGTTTATTTTTTGCCCACTTTTATTTTGTAGACCATATTGATTACAGCACTGTGTGTGTGTGTATGTATCTGTGTGTGTGTGTGTGTGTGTGTGTGTGTGTGTGTGTGTATGTGTTGTGGGTGTAAGGGTGAGGGGCTATATCGTTTGTTAAATTTCATCTTGGAAAGAATCTAGGTTTTGTCTCTGTCCATTGCACCGCAGGTGGCCATCATGCCACAACCTTATGTTTTCCCATAATTTCTCCTTTAACTTTCTCTTTGTATTCTATCAAATCTTTACTTTTGTGACCTCTCAGCAGTTAACCTGAAGAAGTTTAATTTTTACTGATGGCAGCTATGGTGAGACATGCAGTTTTATACAGTATTATCAACAGAAGTAATAAATGAGGTTTTAAAATTACAAAACAAGCATTTTAAAACTGAAAATGTTAATATTAGGGAATTCTTAAAAGAACAAAATTACTTTGGTGGAACAACCTAACTTCAAAGTGCAAGTCAGATTAGAAAGTTATTTGTAAGGAAGCAAAAATATCCCACTGTCACTGCCTTATTTACACTTCATTTTTCTCCAATTTTAGTGAGGTATAATTGACAAAAACGGTTTATATTCAAGGTGTACAACATGATGATTTGATGTATGTATACAATGTATACATTGTGAAATGATTATCCCAAACAAATTAATTAACATATCCAACACCACACACAGTTACTATTTTTGTATGTGTGTATGTCTATGGTGAAGACATGTGAGATCTACTCTCTTAGCATATTTTAAGTAACAGTATTCTTAACTATATTCACCATGCTACACATTAGGTCTTCAGAACTTATTCATTTTATAACTGAAAGTTTATAGCCTTCAACAAACATTTCCCCATTTCTCCGACCTCCAGTTCCCGACAACAACCATTCCACACTGCTTTTATAAGTTGCACATTTTTAGATTTCACATATAAGTGAGGTCATACAGTATGATGAACTTGAGATACACTATGCTAAGTGGAATAAGCCAGGCATAGAAAGACAAATATTATTTTCCAATGAGATGACCTAGTGAAAAGACTTAAAAATGTTTTCTACTTTAATAATATATTTAGTTGTCAAATGAAATTACCTATACCTATTGTGTACAGACTGTTTTGAAAGATGTGTAAAATGGCTAAATCAAGCTAATAAACATATACATTACCTCACACACTTATCCTTTTTTTGTGGTGAGAACACAAAATCTACTCTCAGCAATTTTCAAGAATATGTTTTCCACTTTTAGGAGATTTAATTGCTGAAGGTAATGGCTCTGAAAAGAGAGTATATTTTTATTGCCAGGGATGTTACTTCCATAGCAGAATCTGTTCATCATAGTAGTGCAAGTCCTGAGGGATTGTGTTAATGGACCATGCTGCCACCAATAAACACCTTGTTGAATTGGTAGTTATTTCAGGAAAAAAGGGAAGTTACTCTGAACCTTTTACAGACTGGATATTTTAAATGTACTGTGAAATGAAGGACACACAAGCTTAAAAGTAATTATTCTCATTATGCACACTTTTATGACTCAAGATAGTGAGATAGCAAGAAAAATATGTGTAAAATAGATAAGCATGCAAAGTGTACCAAGAATGAGATTCTCAATGAGAATAGATAACACATTGTATTAGTCTGTTCTCACATTGCCAATACAGACGTACCTGAGACTGGGTAATTTATAAGGGAAAGAGGTTTGACTCACAGTTCAGCATGGCTGGGAGGCCTCAAGAAACTTACAATTACAGCAGAAGGGGAAGCAAACATGTCCTTCTTCACATGGTGGCAGGAAGAAGAAGGGCAGAGCCTAAAGGGGAAAAGCCCTTAAGAAAACCATCCACTCTCATGAGAACTCACTATCACAAGAACAGTATGAGGGTAACTTCCCCCATGATTCAATTACCTCCCACTGGGTCCCTCCATGATATATGGGGATTATGAGAAGTACAAGTCAAGATGAAATTTGGGTGGAGACACAGCCAAACCCTATCATTCAACCTTTGGCCCCTCCCAAATTTCATGTTCTCACATTTTAAAACACAATCATAACCTTTCAACAGTCCCCCAAAGTCTTACCTCATTCCAGCATTAACTCAAAAGTCCAAGTCCAAAGTCTCATCTGAGACAAGGCAAATCTCTTCTGCCTATAAGCCTGTAAAATCAAAAGCAAGTTAGTTACTTCCTAGATACAATGGGGATACAGGCATTCCAATTGGGAGAAACTGGTCAAAACCAAGAATCTACAGGCCCCATGCAAGTCTGAAATCCAATAGGGCAGTCATTAAATCTTAAAGTTCCAAAATGATCGCCTATGACTGCATGTCTCAAATCCAAGGCATGCTGATGCAAGAAGTGGGCTCCCATGGCCTTGGGTGGCTCTGCCCCTATGGCATTGCAGGGCACATCTCTGCTACTGGCTGCTTTCACAGGCTGGTGTTGAGTGTCTGCAGCTTTTCCAGGTGCACAGTGTAAGCTGTCAGTGGATCTACTATTCTGGGGTCTGCAGGATGGTGGCCCTCTTCTCACAGCTCCACTAAGCAGTGCCCCAGTGGGGACCCTGTGTTGAGGTTCTGACCTTATATATATCCTTCTGCACTGCCCTAGCAGAGATTCTCCATGAGGGCTCTACCCCTGCAGCAAACTTTTGCCTGGACATCCAGGTGTTTCCATACATCCTCTGAAATCCAGGTGGATGTTCCCAAACATTAATTCTTGACTTCTGTGCACCAGTAGGCTCAACATCACATGGAAACCACGAAGGCTTGGGGCTTGCACCCTCTGAAGCAATGGCTTGAGTTGTATCTTGGCCCGATTTAGCCACAGCTGGAGCTAAAGCAGCTGGGATGCAGGACACTATGTCCCGAGGCTGCACAGAGCAGGGGTCCTGGACCCAGACCACAGAACCATTTTTTTCTCCTAGGCCTCTAAGCCTGTGATGGGAGGTGCTGCCAGGAAGGGTCTCTGATATGCCCTGGAGACATTTTCACCATTGTCTTGGTGATTTACATTTGGCTCCCTGTTATTTATGCAAATTTCTGAAGCAGTCTTGAATTTCTTCCCAGAAAATGAGTTTTTCTTATCTGTTGCATCATCAGGTGGCAAATTTTCCAAACTTTTATGGTCTGCTTCCTCTTGAATGCTTTGCTGCTTAAAATTTATTCCAACAGATACCCTAAATCATCTCTCTCAAGTTTAAAGTTTTGCAGACCTGTAGGGCAGAGGCAAACTGCCACCAGTATCTTTGCTAGAATATAGCAAGGTAGCCTTTACTTCAGTTCCCAACAAGTTTGTCATCTCCATCTGAAACCCCTTAAACCTAGACTTCATTGTCTTTATCACTATCAGCATTTTGGTCAAAGCCATTCAACAAGTCTCTAGGAAGTTCCAAACTTTCCCACATCTTCCTGTCTTCTGAGACCTCCATGTCTCTTGGACATTCCAAATTTTCCCACATTTTCTTGTCTTCTTCTGATTCCTCCAAACTATTTCAACCTCTGTCTATTGTCCAGTTCCAAAACTGCTTCCACATTTTCAATCATCCTTATAACAGCACCCACTCTCTGTGTTACCAATTTACTATATTAGTCTGTTCTCGTGCTGCTAATAAAGACATACCCAATACTGGGTAATTCATAAAGAAAAGAGGTTTAATTGACTCACAGTTCCACATGGCTTGGGAGGCCTTGGGAAACTTACAATTATGATGGAAGAGGAAGCACACATGTTCTTCATATGATAGCAGGAAGGAGAAGTGCTGAGCCAAAGGGGGAAAAGCCCCTAAGAAAACCATCAGATCTCATGAGAACTTCCTATCATGAGAACAGTATGGGGGTAACTGCCTCCATGATTCAATTACCTAACATTGGGTTCCTCCATGATATGTGGGGATTATGGGAACTACAATTCAAGATGAGATTTGGGTGGGGACACAGTCAAACCATATCACACATTAAGAAAAATTTTAAAGAGTATTGATTATTTTATGATATAAATAGGAACAGAAATATTTTATCAATGAATGAATATTTAATTTAAGCCAATGACTAAGCTGCTCCCTATTATAGATTATATATTATTAAGGAGTGTGGTTTGTCTTTTCCAACTTGTTTCCATCCTGAATGTTTATTATTCAGGAAACTTTAAGACAATGAGAATTTTAATATTAACATTACATCTTTGACACCTGAGGGAAAAATAAGATGTTAACATAAACTAAAGTCTCACAGAAACCACTTTCTGAGTAATTTCATTGCTCTCCATTATGCCATCTTCTCACAAACACTTTTTAAATTAAACAAAAAGAGATAAACATTATTGCCATGTTCTGTTAAATGGGATGTGTTGGTTAATATTGTATAATTTAAGAATTTTCTTACCCTTCAATTATATATTTGATGGTACTGTAAATTAAGACATGGTAGAAGACATTTTCAAATAAACAACTATTTATTATTGAAGGGAAGTGAGAAAACATTTTCAGTTTGATTAAAATTCATTGAGAGTCTAAATGTATAATACATAATTATCAATATACTTACAAATTGTGAAAATATACATTTGAGAATTTGTAACAGTAAAACCAGCCACCTTTTATTAAAGAGACTGAATATGTTAAAAGGCCCAAAGTTAAATTCTTTTTCCTTTTAGGATAGCCCTTACATTAATTTTCTATTTCTACACAACAAATTGTCACAAACTTAGTGACTTAAAACAATACCTATTCATTTTTTCAGTTTCCATAGGTTAGGATTCCAAGTACATGCTCATGTCCAAGAGGCTGCCTGCACTTCCCTGCCATGAAGCCCTTTCTGTAGAAATTTTCACAACCTCTCTGTTTTGTTCTTTAAGGTCAGCAAGAGAAGAGCTATACAACAATTTATTAAAATGAAGTCTTATAAGTGTATTGTAATCTAATCACTGCAGAGATACCCCAGCACGTTTTGTCATATTCCATTAAATGCAAGTTCCAGTTTTGCCCACATTCAAGGGTATGGTATTATACAATAGGTGACTTCCTGGGGGTTACACTAGAGTGTGTCCACCCACAGCTCAGATTGACTCACATATGTTTATATTTGAAAGGTTGCAATACTAAGGTTGTTTCTGGTATCATAGAATACTTAATAGCATTTACTCAGTATGACTCTTTCAATATCCCTTGAGTAAGTTACTAGTGAGTACTATAAATCTCCAAACCACATAACGTAAAGGAGTGCTCAGAATAGTAAATTACACATAGTAAATATGTAATAAATGTAATGTGTCAACATTATTATTATTTGTATGATTACTGATATATGCATTGGGTTTGAAGATCAGTGTGATAAGCCATACTTGAGTTTCAATGGGACCTGCAATAGATGCACTACAACAGAACAAATAATATGATTGGAGTGACAGAAAAATTAACAACCAAAGATAGATCAAAATCTGAGCTTCCTGATGAACTAGAAACATTGTGAATGCTTAGGTTTCTTGTAATTCTGTAGACTCTCAAACAGTGCTTGTTTGTTTAATTAGTTAATGCAGACTTGGTAGGTGGACTGGAAATGTAGTGACAATGAGTAAAAGATGGGTTTTTAGAGAAACATGTAGGCGGCATTGGGTATGTCTTTGGGATATGTCTATAGTAGGTGAAATTTTGCATCTTTTCTACAGACACTAGCGGAACCAGGAGAGAAGATAATTTCCCTATTATAGCTGATGTCAGCTTACTATTATAAGTAGAAAGGCATGACTCAAAGATAGACTAGTAGAAGAGGGGTATCTCATTAATTATGTCCCCAATAGCTATAATCACTCCTACTTAAAATTTTTTATCCTAACATTACTTTTTTTCTAAGAAGAAATGTTGATAGGCTGTGAAAATAAGACGATCACAAGAAAAAAATAACTCAAACCATCAAATTTACTGTCTTATTTAATGTCTAGCAATTCTTGCCATTTTCAGGGATTCTCTCCTACTCTGCCTTTTACATTGAAGAATATTTATTCTACGTTGTTAGTTCTTGGCTACTGAGCTTTTAGTTTTGACCATATTTATTCGTCGAATCATTAGTTATCACTGGGGTAGTAAGACTGGATATTATATAAACAGTGAAGAGACATCCCTAACAAATATGCTTGTAGAACTGGGGATAGTTAATTATCAGCAGGTTACAAGTGAGCTTAGTCTTTGAAGAATAAATGAAGAAACAAAAGTGAAAACATTGAGGAAAGCATTCCAGAAAGATGAATACAAATGTGCAAAACTTTGGAAACATGAAAATGCATGATGTTTTATAAAGAGAATTTTAGAAGAAGCTTTATGTCTGGAAGGTAAATGAGTTTTGAAGATTTGGCAGCCATGTGAGGCTAAAGGGAGAATCTGGGGCCAAAATATTAACAACTTGGGGGAGCTGAAAGTTTGCAAATATAGAAGTGACGAAGATCTACATTTTACAGACATCTCAGGAGATGAATTTAGGGTTGGTTTTAAATGACAAGAGTTCATTTAGAAAGATGGTACAGTAATACAGGTGAAAAAAATAAAAATTTAATTAAAAGAAGCATTCATCAGTATAAGAAAGAGAAGGCTGATTTGGAAGATATTTGAGGGATAATTTTTAACAGAAATTATTGACTAATTAGAGTTTGGTTCATATGATTTAGCTCTGTGTCAAACCATATCAGCCAGACTCTAATTAGTCACCAAGGTTTACCAAATCTCATGTCAAATTGTAATCCCCAGTCTTAGAGAGGGGTGTCCATTGGGAAGTGACTGGATCATGAGGGTAGAGTTCTCAAAAATGGTTAGGCACCACTGCCTCAGTGCCGTTCTCTGATAGTGAGTCAGTTATCACAAAGTCTGGTTGTTTTAAAAGTGTGTGGCACCACTCCCCTCTCTCTCTTCCTTCTGCTTCAGCCATGTGAAGTGCTGACTCCTTGTTTGCCACCCACCATGGTTGTAAATTTCCTAAGGACTCCCTAGAAACCAAGCAGATGCTGTCATACTTCCTACATACAACCTTCACAACCATAAGCCAATTAAATCTCTTTTTTTTAATAAATTACCCAGTCTCAGGCATTTTTTTATAGCAATGTGAGAATGAACTAATACACTGGCTAAAGAAGCAACATTTACCTCAAACTGCACTGCCCAATAAGATATTCTTGAGCCCGATGTGGTTATCCACTTTTACTTTATATTGATTAATAGGTAAATTTAATTCCTGAGCTGGCATGAAGGAATCCTGAGTCTCAGCAACTCAGGAGATTGAGGCAAGAATTTGAGACCCCCATCTCTAAAACAAAAAATTATATCTCAGTAGAAATAGTCAATTTTAAGTACTCAATAGCTTCATGTGGCTTGTGGCTACCATATTGGAAAGCACAAATAAACAAGATTTTCTTCCTTATTGAACGATCTATTGGACAGCAGTAATATAGAGTCAATTCCTGGTATCCTTTGTGTTTATCAGAAGAAACTTATGAAAAAATCCAATTGGGAAATAACATAATGAGATAAGTCATAAATTTATTATGTTTGCATTAAATGTGGGTATACAATTGTTTTCCACCACTCTTCTGCTTTTACCAATAATGCATCAAGAATATCTGTGTTCTTATAGCTTTCTATTGAGATGCAAAATTGTAGGCAAAATTCCTAAGTGATTATTTATTATCTGCAAGAACATGTAATATTTAAAACAAATAATGATTGCAAAGTTCTCCTCTAATTTATATTATCTAGTTAAATGAGAAATCTTATTTCCCATGCAATAGCTTACAAAACTATATAATACAAAAAATAGAGATTTTCCAATCCAATCTCAGTGTAAAATTGCATATTTTACTTCATATGTATCTGACAAGTGATTCTAAATATTATTACATCTTTATAAGCAATTTGTATAGTTTTTTAGGTCTGACTTTATTATATTTTAAGCTTCTTTACTCCATTGGTATTGATTTGTATGGCATTTTTATACATTTAGAATATAAAATTAATCACAAAGTTGTCTTATAAGTTAAAAATCCCATTTCCCCATTATTTATTTCTTCATTTACTTTGTTTATGATGTAAGTGTAGCCCCTTTAAAATGTTGTTAAATATATCAATATTTCCTTTATGATTTGTGGAATATAACTCTTATTTATGTATAAGATCACTCTTGCCTTCTAGTATCTTGATAGTTCTTATGTTAAAGTATGAATATTTGATCTCCCATTTATTTTTCTATAAATTTATTTTAACCTACTAAGTGGTAGAACATTAAAAAATTGTAGCTATATACAATTGTATGAAAAAAAGAAAAGCACTAAGATTTCTTTGTTTTGTTTTTGTTGTTGTTAAGTGGCAAAAAGTGGCTAAAAAATCCCCTAGACTTTGTATGTTTGCATGCAAAGGATAAGCAGTAGAAATCTAATGTTTATAATAAAATATTGGAATGATTCCAAATAAATTAAAGAAAAAGTAAGTAATATTTTTCTCAATACTATACTCAGGCATTACAATAAGTCAAAAACAGAATAATTTAAGTTTATTTTTTTTAAAAAAAGCAAAATATTCATGCTTTTAAATTTGTGGAAGACCTTATAAAAATAATAACCTAAAAGAATTAACTGATACAATGTTGACAATTGGATTAATGTGATTGAAACTTATAGAGAAATTAAAAGATAAACTTGGCTTTAAGCTGTTGGAAAAATACATAGTTTATATGACAGAAATAAAACCAAGAATAGTATGTTAGAAAATTACGGAATCAAGGTTGCTTATATAATCTGTTCCTTAAGAATAAGTATCAATTAATAACTATTAAGGAAATAGAAACTGCATTGGCAATACCAGCATATCCTGAAGAACAAACTGTAAAACAGACTGAAGTGTTTTATTTCTAGTCAACTAGTTGAATGAAACTCCCATAAAGCCGTAGGTGTGAATGGTTGGAAGGGAAGCAATGCAGAAAGAAGCAGTGTCAAAAGACACTCTATCCCCTAGCCCTGCCCAAACTCATTTTCTTACATATCATTTTTACTCAATGATAGATTGGTGCTGCACATATCCAACTTTATTAATAGATGCGTTTGACTTGGAAAATGCAGACTGTATGGTCACCTGATGTCATCTTCAGTTTGTTCTCTTCTAAGGGCTAATAGTAAGTCAGAAGCTAATTCTCAAGAAGTAGGAAATTTACTTTCAGAAGAGAACATTGATTTACTCCAAAATCCTAGAAGTTGTCCTTGTGGTTCTTCTATTAGTGTCTATCAGAATGGCCTATAAAGCATCTCTATTTACCACAGATACTTTGAATATCAATGGATTTACTGAATCATTAGGCCATGGAGAAGAGCATCTTGTACTTTGGCCTGTATTTATTGAAAAGTCACCTCTTACTATATAGCTCTCAAAGATATAGGCAGCCTTAATATATGATTTGGTAAATATGCTGAAGAAGCACTCTCAACTGTGGTATGTTGTCTCCAAAATCTTGAAAACCCTGCCATGCATTGAGCTTTTACATTTTTTTTGTGACAGTGCAAAATGAAAAAATATATTTGCTACCTTCGAGGCAAGTATAGACATATTCCAGACATTTGAAACCACGAAACTTTAATGAAGAGGTGGATCCATGCATTTTTGTGGAATTACTGCCCAGATTCTGGCTAGAATTTACCTTACGAAACTATGTCATAGTAATTGCTACCTCTTACACATCAGATTCAATAAACTCAATGTCATCAATGTAGTGGACAAGACTGGGGCTTTGTGGAATGTCATGATGATCAAACTCTCTGCAAATCAGATCATATCTAGAAGAAAAAAAAATGATACAACCCTGAAACAAGGCTCTGAAGGTTTACTGTTAGCACAGCTAGGTAAAAGCAACTGACTTCTGAGGATCTTTACAGTATGGAGAAGAAAAGCATTAGCCATATCAGTAGGAGTTTATCAAGTGTTCAATGATGTATTTCATCATCCTGGTAATAAGTACAGTACTTAATAGGTAATTTTTCAATCATCACCCTCCTCCAACCCTCTACTCTCAAGTAGGCTCTGATGTCTATTGTTCTCTTCTTTGTGTCCCTGTGCACTCAATGCATATTCCTGCTATATAAGAGAGACACGTGGTATTTGGTTTTCTGTTCTTGCATTAGTTCACTTAAGTTAATGGCCTCCAGCTTTATCCACGTTGCTGCAAAGGACATGGTCTTGTTCCTTTTCATGTCTGCATAGTATTCCGTGGTATATGTATCCTATTTTCCTTATCCATTCTACCACCGATGGGCATTTAGGTTGATTCCATGTCTTTGCAATTGTGAATAGTGCTCTGATGAACATTCACATCCATGTTTCCTTCTGGTAGAATAATTTATATTCCTTTGGGTATATACCCAATCATGGGATTGCTGGATCAAATGGTAATTCTGCTTTAAGTTCTTTCAGAAATCATCAAACTGCTTTCCATAATGGTTAACCCAACTCACATTGCCCCCAACAGTTTATAAGCATTCCCTTTTCTTTACAACCTCACCAGCATCTCTTATTTTTTTAGTTTTTAATAATGGCTGTTCCGACTGGTTTAAGATGGTATCTCATTGGGGTTTTGATTTATACTTCTCTAATGATTAGTGGTTTGAGCATTTTTTCATACATCTGTGTCTTCTTTTGAAAAGTGTCTGTTCATATCATTTGCTCACTTTTTAATGGGGTTGTTTGTTTTCTTGCCTGTAAATTTGTTTAAATTCCTTATGGATTGTGGATATTAGGCCTTTATTGGATGCATAGCTTGCAAATATTTTCTCCCATTTTGTAGACTGTCTGTTTACTCTGCTGACAATTTCATTTTTTGTGCAGAAGCTTTTTAGTTTAACTAGGTCCATCTGTCAATTTTTGTTTTTGTTGCAGTTGTTTTTGACATCTTCATTATAGAACCTGTGTCAGGGCCTGTGCCCAAAATGGTATTTCCTAGGTTATCCTCCAGGATTTTTATAGTTGTAGGTCATATTTTTAAGTCCTTAATTCATCTTGAGTTTATTTTCTTATGTGGTATAAGTGAAACAGTGTCAGTATTCTGCATATGGTTAGCCAGTTATCCCATCATCATTTATTGACTAGGAAGTCCTTTCCTGATTACTTGTTTTTGTCAACTTTGTTGAAAATCAGATGGTTGTAGGTGTGTGGCATTATTTCTGGGCTCTCAGTTCTGTTCCCTTGTACCAGTACTATGCTGTTTGGGTTACGGTAGCCTTGTAGTATAGTTTGAAGTCAGATAGACTCTAGCTCTGTTCTTTTTGCTTAGGATTTTCTTGGATATTCAGGCTCTTTTTTGGTTTCATTGGAATTCTAAAATTGTTTTTTCTAATTCTGTGAAGGTTGCTATAGGTAGCTTGATGGGAATAACATTGAATCCATAAATTGCTTTGGGCAGTATGGCCTCTTTAATGATATTCATTTATCCATGAACATAAAATAATTTTCCATTTGTTTGCAGCATCTCTGATTCGTTTCAGCAGTGTTTTGTAATTCTCATTGCAGAGATTTTTCACTTCCCTGGTTAACCATATTCCCAGATATTTTATTCTTTTTGTGTCTATTGTGAATGGTATTACATTCTTGATTTGGCTCTAAGCTTGAATGTTGTTTCTATATGGGAATACTACTGATTTTTGTACTTTGACTTTGTATTCTAAAATTTGCTTAAGTTGTTTATCAGACCTAGGAGATTTTTGGCAGAGATTATGGGATTTGATAGAGATTATTTGGCAGAGATTTTGCACATATAGAATCATATTGTCTACAAACAAAAGTAGTTTTACTTTCTCCTTTCTTATTTGGATTTTTTTTTATCTTATTCCCTTGGTTAGAAGTTTCAGTATGATGTTGAATACGAGTGGTGAGAGTGAACATCCTTGTGCTGTTCCAGTTCTCAAAGGAAATGTGTCCAGTTTCGTTCCATTTAGTATGATGTTGGCTATGGGTTTGCCATAAATAGCTCATTATTTTAAGGTACGTTCTTTTGATATCTAGTTTTTTGAGAGTTTTTATGATGACGGGATGCTGGATTTTATTGAAAGCCTCTTCTACATCCATAGAGATGATCATTTGGTGTTTGTTTTTACTTCTGTTTATGTAATTAACCACATGTACTGATTTATGTAGGTTGAACTAACTTTGCATCCCAGGGATAAAACCTACTGGATTGTGGTAGATTCATTTTTTTGATATGCTACTGGATTTGATTTGCTAATATTTTGTTGAGGATCCTTGCATTCATGTTGATCAGTGATATTGGCCTAAAGTTTACTTTTTTGTTGTATCTCTGCCAGGTTTGGTGTCAGAATGATGCTGTCCTCATAGAATGAGTTAGGGAGGAATCACCTCTTCTCAATTGTTTAGAATAGTTTTATTAGGTATGGTACCATCGCTTCTTTATATATTTGCTAGAATTTGGCTATGAATCCATCGGGTCCTGAGCTCTTTCTAATTGGTAGACTTTTTATTACTGATTCAGTTTTGGAACTCATTATTGGTCTGTTCAAGGTTTCAATTTCTTCCTTGTTTAATCGACAGAGGTTGTATGTTTCCAGAAATTTATTCATTTCTTGTAGGTTTTCTAATCTGTGTACATAAAGGTGTTCATAATAGTCCCTGAGGGTTTTTGTATTTCTCTGGGGTCAGTGGTGTTATCACCTTTGTCATTTCTGATTTTGTTTATTTAGTTCTTCTCTCTTTTTTTCAATGTTAGTCTAGCTAGTGGTCTATCAATCTTATTTATTCTTTCAGAGAACAAACTTCTAGATATGTTGATTTTTTATGTGGTTTTCACACCTCAATTTCATTCAGTTCAGCTCTTATTATTGGTTATTTCTTTTCTGCTGACAGCTTTGGTGTTGATTTGCTCTTGTTTATCTAGTTCCTCTAGGTGTGATGTTAGATTGTTAATTTGTGGTCTTTCTACCTTTTTGATGTGTTCATTTAGTGCTATAAACTTTCCTTTCAACAATGTTTTAGCTGTGTTTCATAGATTTTGATATGGTTTATCTTTGTTCTCATTAGTTTCAAAAATGTTTTTTACTTATGACTCAATTTTATTGTTTACCCAAAAGTCATTCTGAAACAGATTATTTAATTTCCATGTAATTATATGGTTTTGAGAGATTTGGGTGTTGGTTTTTCTTTTCATTGCACTGTGGTCCAAAAATGTGGTTGGTATAATTGTCTTAAAATTTGTTGAGAATTGCATCACAGCTGCATTTGTATTCAGTTTTTGAGTAGGTGCTGTGTAAGGATAACAAGAATGTATATTCTGCTTTTGTTGGGTGGAGTTTTCTATAGATGTCTGTTAGGTACATGAGGTCAAGTGTCAAGATTAGGTCCCTAATATCTTTGTTAGTTTTCTACCTGAATGATCTGTCTGATACTATCAGTGTGATATTAAAGTCTCTTGCTATTATTATTCATCTAAGATTCTTCATTGATCTCTAAGAACTTTTTCCATGAATCTGGGTGCTCCTCTATTGGATACATATATATTTAAGATCATTAGGTTTTCTTTTTTAATTGATCCTTTTAACATTATGTAATGCCCTTCTTTCTCTTTTTTAGTCATTGTTGGTTTAAAGTCTGTTTTGCCTGAAATTAGAATACCAACTCATGCTTTTTCTCCATTTTCCATTTCCTTGGTAGATTTTTCTTCATCCCTTTACTTTGAGCCTATGGGTGTCTTTACATTTGAGGTGGGTCTCTTGAAGACAGCATTCCATTGGGTCTTGCTTCTTTATCTATTTTGCTACTCTGTGCCTTTTAATTGGGGCATTTAGCCCCATTACATTGAGCATTAATATAGATATGTGTGGATTTGGACCCCTCATCATGTTTTTAGCTGGTTACTAAGCAGGCTTAATTGTGTGGTCGTTTTATAATATCAGTGGTCTATGTACTGTAGTGTGTTTTTGTTGTGACTGGTAATGGTTTTTGTTTTCATATTTAGCAGCCCCTTAAGTATCTCTTGTAAGCCAGGTCTAGTGGTAATGAATTCCTTTAGCATTTGCTTGTCTGAAAAGCATCTTATTTATCCTTTGATTACAAAGTTTAGTTTGGCTGGATCTGAAATTCTTATTATTTCTTTCCTTCGAGGATACTGAATATAGGTCCCCAATTTCTTCTGGTCTGTAGTATTTTTTTGTAGAAAAGTTCACTGTTAGCTTGATCGGGTTCCTTTTGTAGGTGACCTGTCCCCTCTGTCTCAGTGTCTTTCATATTTTTTATTGCATTTTGACCTTGGAAAATCTGATGACTATGTGTCTTGGCAATGCTCATGTTATACTGTATCTCTCAGGCTTTCTCTGCATTTCTTGTATTTGAATGTTGGCCTCTCTAGATAAGTCTGGAAAATTTTCATGGACAATATATCAGAATATTTTTTCCAAGTTGCTTGCTTTCTGTCTCTCTCATTCAGGAATATCAATGAGTCATTCATTTGGTTCTTTACATAATCTCATATTTCTTGGAGGCTTTATTCATTCTTCTTTATTCTTTATTTTTTCTGACTGAGTTAACCTGGAGAAGTGGTCTTCAGGCTCTAAGAGTCTTTTTTCAGCTTGATCTATTCCACTGTTAATGATTGCAATTTTATTATGAAATTCTTGTTGTGTATTTTTAGCTCTACAAGGTGAGCTTGCTCTTTTCATAAAATGGCCGGTATATCTTTCAGCTCCTGTGTAACTTTATTGTATCTCTCAGATTCCATGGATTAGGTTAGACTTTCTCCGGATTCTTTTTCTTTTTTCTTTCTTTAGATGGAGTCTCACTCTATCACCAGGCTTTAGTGCAGTGGCACAATCTCAGCTCACTGCAACCTCTGCCTCCCGGGTTCAAGTGATTCTTCTGCCTCAGCCTCCTAAGTAGCTGGGACTACAGGAGCATGCCACCATGCTCAGCTAATTTTTGTATTTTTAGTAGGGATGGGGTTTCACCATGTTAGTCAGGATGGTCTTGATCTCTTGACCTCACGATCCACCTGCCTCGGCCTCCCAAAATATCCTGATTCTTGATTTTTATTTCTATCGATATTCTGAATTCTATTTCTGTCATTTCAGCCGTTTCATCTGGTTAAGAACCATTGCTAGGGAATTAATAAAATCATTTGGAGGTAAGAAGATGCTGTCATTTTGAGTTTCCAGGGCTCTTGCAATGATTCTTTCTCATCTGTGTGGGCTGAAATTCCTTTATTCTCAAAGGATGTTGCTGTCCTTTGGATAACATTTTTTTTCTTTTATCTTCTTTGATATACCTGGGAGTTCAATTGTGGTATAAGGTGGGTTCAGCCAACTGGTTCTGTTTCTGGAGGATTTTAGGGGTCCAAGGGTCAGCTCAGCACTTCTGGACTGTGTGTTCTAATTCTGGAGGGCTGGTACCAGGCCACCAGCTTTGTTCTCTGGCCCCTCAAAGTTAGTAATCTCTTGTGCTAGAAAGGCAAGATATTCCTAGTCTTCTGGCCACAACAATCTGATGAGGGGTGCCAGCCAAAGCACTGTGTTGGGGCAGTGGCAGTGAGATACATTCTTGCTTCCACATGCTAGCAGCTGTTGTGGCGCAGCAGGGGCAGGGCACCAGTAGGGGTGGAGCAGCTGGTGTTTGTGTTTGCACTTGCACTGGCAGTGGCAGGAGTATGGCAGGTTACCCACACATCACTATGGGCATGGCACTGGTGGAGTGCAGCAGGTGGCATTTGAGTGTGTGTTCACACCAGCAGCAGCTGCATGGTGGTGTGCCCACCACATCAGCAGTGGCAGGGCAGTGGAGTGCACTCATGCTGGCAATAATGTGGTGGTAGGATACATGTACACATGAAATGGCAGCAGGAAAGAGGAGACAAAGTCCTCCCACACCTGCACACCAGTAAATAGGTGAAGTGCAATCATGGGTGAGTGCATGCTGGAAAAGTGGCAGAGGGAGTCTGCAATGGGGGGAGGCTGCAGGTGGGCTGGTGTATGTCATCAGAGGCTGGACTACTGGAGCTATCTGACAGACAGTTGTAGTCTGCTGGTGAAGGAGCTGTGATTAAGTTCCCTGAAAAGCACACAAGCTCCTACTCTGTGCAGGTCTGACAGTCTCCCAGGCTAAAGTCTTTAAGAGAAAGATGGCAAGCCTTGGGGGTTGGGCGACCCTGGCCATGCTCCACTGTAGCCATTCCTCTGCCAAAACCTCTAGGCTCCACACAGGCTGGAGTTCTGCCCTTGCCTCCCCTCTAAGCAGCTCTGCCTGCCAGCTTAAGTGTCTGTGAGGTTCTTGGGGTCTTTTGCTACCAGGATTCAAGAGGCCTGTGGCAAGAGTGGTCCATTCTTTACCTGTTCAATTTACCCCTTCCCCAAGAGTTTCTGGGGACCAAGAACAAGTCCCAGTGCTTGGCAGCCCTGTCCAGGGTTCCCAGCTTCGTCCCTCTTCAGCCTAGTATTTGTATCCTCCCCTGCCCACTCTCAATGCCCTCCTTTCAAAGATCTGCCAGTAGTGTGTTGGTCTTCCCAATGTCCCAGTCTCAATGGGAGATGTTCTTGCTGGCTATGTCTAGTTGACCATATTGGCTGAATATACCTAAGAGTTGGTTCTGCAGGCTGAACAAGCATGATACTGGTATCTACTCAGATTCTGGGGAGGCCTCATGAAGCTTTTACTCATGGTAAAAGGGAAAGCTAGATCAGGCATGTCACATAGCAAGAGCAGGAGCAAGAGATCCCACATTTATTATTACATGAAAAAAGGCAATTCAATATTTTACAAATGTATTACCTTAAGCCTACATTTTTGGGACTGTTTCACGGCTGTAGGACACATTTGAATTTCCAGGAATGAAAGTTGTATGACCTCCCAAATAATTCAGGATAACAAAAACTTAGCATAACAGATACTGGCTTTCTCAGAAAGGAGCCATCAAAGCAGTTACTATGTTTAATGTTTTAAATATATTAATTTGTCTGGCAGCACTCATCATATTACACAAATTACAATACATATATATTATATATTCTACATTCATATGAATTGTTATGAGTTTGACCACAGCGTGCAAGGCAATAGATACTAATCATAATATTACTATGTTATATATCATTTGATGCTAATTTTTATCTCAATTTCCATGGGAAAATAGATATATTCCAGTGTGTGTGTGAAACATAGAAATGATTTTTAGGTCATAGTTTACCAAAAATAGGAGAATATGAAATAAAGAATACTTTTCTCTTAGGCCAGTTGAATATACATGAACATTTTTAATATATCCTTTTAATCCATCTTCCATTTCATGCTTTAGTGCATCAAATGTTTCACTCCTTCTCAGTCATTTTTTACTTACAAAATATTATCCATATCCTTCTATATTAACCCAAGAGCCCTGGCATATGCACTGCTTCAGTGCTCACCTACTAGGATAAAATGTCCAGCAAATTTAGTCTGAATACTGCCCTTCTGCCTTCTCATTCATGTGTGACATCCATTTGTTATGCTGCAAGATACTGGCCTCTTCCCTGCTGTGAGTACCCAAAGACCTCTCCACCTTGAGGTTATGATGCAAAGTAACCTAGCTGTTTTGTGTTCATCCATATTTCTTTTGTTTCTGTCTTCCTTTTTCTGCCAACATTAGAGCATGAATAACAACTAAAATATAATTAAAGTCAATATTGTTTGTGGTCAGAATGCTATTTTAGTAAATCATATTGTTGATAGATTACTTCTAATCCAATGTGACTAATAATCATAGTCATGATAGTCATTTGTGTTCTTTCCAAGACAAAAAGACAGAGGAAAGAAACAAAGAAAGAAAGAAAAGAGAGAGAGAGAGAAAGAAAGAAAGAAAGAAAGAAAGAAAGAAAGAAAGAAAGAAAGAAAGAAAGAAAGAAAGAAAGAGAAAGAAAGAAAGAAGGAAGGAAGGAAGGAAGGAAGGAAGGAAGGAAGGAAGGAAGGAAGGAAAGAAAGAAAGAAAGAAAGAGTAAAGAAAAGAGAAAAGAAAAGAAAAGAAAAAAGAATTTTCCTACACTGAGCATATTTTGCTTTTTTGCTGTCAGCTGTGATCACATGCACATCCTGAAGGGCATTTCCTGGAGAGCTACATGTACATGTGGATTAATTAGGGGGAACTGTAGCCCCTGGTGAGGATTTCAGACCAAATGTACAAACACAAGTCTCTCTCCATATTCTGAGGCTTAGAATAAGGGAAACATACGCTGCAGAGTATGCAAAACTTTTTTTTGCAAAATCACCTCAAGCCTCCATTCGTGATCTAGGAATCAATAGCATTAGTAGTCTAAATTGAGTTAGATGTGACCATAAAATTCAATTTCCTAATTTTAGTTAAACTTAAATATAAAAAAATATAATAACAAGAATACTATTAATTATAAACAAAAAATACATGAAGCACAATACTCTTTTCCATAATTATTTCATTGATACTCATTACTATGCTATTTATAAAGAAACTGAGAATTAGATATATTAATTGTTCATAATTGTTATGTACAATGAGAAGTATTGTCATTAGCTAAATTTTTGAACAATTCCACAAAAAGACATTCCATTATTGCTTAAAGACAGGAGATATGAAGCTAGGGAAAGGCAGGTGTACACTGTAAATTATTAAGTGGATCATTTTACATGTGAGAAATAGACTCCAAAAGTTAAAGAGACCAACTATGTGTCAAGCTTACAAAAGTGCAAGTTAGCACATAATTAGAAGACTTAATATACCTTGAACACCCTGTCTTTATAGAGGAGACAATTCAGAATAGTTTCTCTTACTTGTTAATTCAGATTAAATATCTCTATATGGGACAATAATTCAATAAAAAAAACCTCTTCCACCACTATATTTATATACCATGTCTATTTTTATATATAGGTATATTAATGAACTTCAACTGATACAAGTTTCTTGGTGTGGGGATCATGGCTGTATCAGAAGCTATCAATAAGCAATCCTTATGTTCTTCATTTACTGCTTTAGTAATAATAAGATCCATGTGTCAAGCATTGCACTAAGAGCTTTACATATGTTTACATATATTTTCATACTCAATTCTCAGAACTACCAGACAAGGTAAATTTTATTATCTCCATTTGAAGATAAGGAAACTTAACATTCTGTGAAGTTAAATAACTTGTCCAAGATCTTGCAGCTGGTATGTAGCAGCCCAGATTTAAAATATAATATTTCTCTGAAAAAGCCTTTGATCTTAATAAGCATTGTATAACAATGTCTCTTTTGACTATTTTGAGGCAATTGCATTGTTATTCTGACAGACACATATCACTGTCAAAATTATGCATCATATTCTCTATACAAAGTAAATGCATAAATATAATTCATAATATATATTACAATAGAAATTTAGTTCATTTTAAAAGCAGGAGTTACATCTTATTTATAGTCCATATAGTTCCTAGATTACTGTGGACTCTCAGTAAATATTAAATTACAACCATAGATCATTTAACAATAAAAATTTTAACATCATGCAGTTAAAAACCAAAACAGTAGAATTCACTTTAATGTTGCTATACACAAATTATCTGTCTTGTTTATTTCTGATCCACACATGGTGTGGCTGTACAAACAGAAGGACAGATGTTGTAAGATAATTCACCTTTATAGGTAGATTTAATTTACACGACGCTGGAGTGAAAATGTTTGACAGAGCTTTTTATTTTTTCTTTTATATGAGAATATAATAACCAGGGAGAAAATCCCTATTTTTAAGTGAAAGGTCTTTACATAGTCTAATGTACAATACCTGATGGGGGTCATGGTGGTGAGGGCTGGAGGATGCTACGACCTGTTTTATAATACTGTAGTGATTTGTGATGCAATTAAAAAAAAACATTTTACATGTGAGTTTCCCTAGTCAGCAAAGGCAGAGTTTGTTTCAGGCATAAATACACTTGGTCCCTGTGTCAAGAGAAAGAACTCCACATTGCTTTGAAGCACCCCTGGCAGTTGATAATGGAGGGCTGTTGGCAATGATTATGGAGGCAGATGCTCACCTGTACTCCTACAGTGTACAATCTTGGCTGGATGACAAGGTGAGGAGAAGGAGAAGCTGTCACAGAATGGGGGCAACTGGCAGCTGGAACCCTCGCAGGGAAGGGTAAACTGGTCACCCAGGGCTGCTTGCTTGACTGTAGCAGATCTCATCAATCATGCCAACATATGCAGCTGCCTGAAAATAAACAGGCTTCTCAGACAGGAGACGAAATGAGGTAAATTAAAAGGCCAATAATTTAAACAAATTCGTTACCAGTTTCACAGCAAAGATGGATGGATAAATTCTGCTGATAGACCCAGATTTCTGGTTAATTGATAAAAGTCACTGGTACATATTAATGTGATTAATTTAAATAATTCTGAAACATAATCCTTTTGTATTTTTTTAAAGTTGCTAACCTTCTTAAAAATATAGGTAAGACTTTTTTTTTACATTTGTCAAGTAATATCTTCTCTTTAATTTTACAAAATGTATTACTAATGAATATGCAGCTAAAATAAACATTGTAGTTCTAGGTAATATACCAAAGCACATGTCTTCTTGTTTTGTCCAAAGCCCCAACTGAAATCCGTGAGAATTTGTCTGTAACAATGACTGCATGATGATCCACATAGTGTAAGACAATTCTTTTTATTTTCATTTCATTTTCCTTTGTTCTATTAGTTCATAGCTGATCTTCAAAATACTTATCACAATATTGCCTTAATCCATTACTTCATTATTATACTTTCTCCTTCACTCTTTTATTCTGATTAGATTAACATTAGTTTATTTTAACTTTTTTAATATACATAGACACTATAAACATAAATGTACATATATATACATTTTATATGTATGTAATTTTTTGAACATTCTTTTCTAATTCCTCATAGTACTGCACCAACATTCTATTTCACATCAAGAAAATAAATCACTTGCAGTTCTTTCCTTTTTGGCTGAAAACAGACCTCTCCTGGGAACTCTTGACTAATAACCACAGATTCCCTAAGGTTAGATGATGATGAACTCCACCATTAGACACTTAGTCGTTTTTACTCCTTGTTATCACAACTCTACATTGAATCAATCCTTCATCCTCCATCTAATTTAGATTTATCTAAAAGGACCAGAGAGCTCAGGTCCTTTTTTCTGATGGATTTTATATTTATATGCTTATGATTTCTACCCGGTGCCCTACAGAGAGCACTGTGTGGTGGGGGTCTGACGAAACAATATCAGAAGATGGTGATTTACTTTCTCAAATCTGACAGTGGTGCAGAAATTAGAGAAAGACAAAACCAGCCTGAGGTCAATGTAATTCTCTCGTCTCTCAAGCACATCTCCTTACACAGGTGGCATTACAGCTGTTGTTATGTCTGCAGGGGAATCACAGTCTTTGGCAGCCCCTTACACAGCTGGCAGCCCAATGCAGGAACATGAGAATCAGGTTCGACACTGCTAAATGGGAAGTGTCCACCTTGTCTTCTAAATGTCCGCTTTTCTTCAATCTACATTATGAGACAGTTGATTGTTGCTGTGTTTTTATTATTTTAATCACTGCTGAGAGTTCAAATTTCTCCTCACCTAGTAAGTTACTTAGTGGTCTGTGATCTAATATTAACAGCTATCTCCACCTTAGGAACATATAGGCATCTCTCCAAATGAATTAGCTAAAGATTTTAAATCAGATATTAAGCTGAGAGTTGATTTTAACCTTTCTTCAGAATTTGTAATTGCTTGAGGTATGTTATAGAAATAAATCCTCAAGAGAAATAAATTATTTGGATTTTAATACAGTTGTTTTTTGTAGTAGCAATTATTGCATAAAACTACAGAAAATGTGTCATTTGTGGGAGGGAAAAGAAGATATAAATTCAGTAACTACAACATTGACAATGACATTTTATAATGTCCAGGTACTACTTAGACATCTGGGTACTCGAATTTTATTTATTGTTTTGAACATATTCTATATATATATATATATATCTCAGATTCTTTCTTGCATACATTGGATTTCATCTGCCTGTTAGATGGTTACTGAAGCCGTTGTGGAATCTCTGGGACTAATTGCAACAAGCACATTGAGAGCCATGGCTTTTTTCAGGCCTTTATGTTAGTACTAGTGGTAACCTGGGCTCCACAAATCTTTCCCTTTATCTCAATTTACCTTTAACTTCAAAGAATATCCATGGTGTCTGTATACTCTAAGCTCAATTAACTCTGATGGCGTTGGCATATGTTTATAATCAAAATGATATTATGGACATAACCGAGGCATAGGTTAAAAGTGTCTCTATTACAATAATATAATAAAATAATAAAAGTGGTCCTGCATATCATCTCATATTTCAAAACACTTCAATGTAATCATTTTTGCCACATTTTGTGTGACATATAATAAGAGCATCGTAAATTGGCTCTAAGCTACAGTGCATGAAATTCCACCATAATTAATTAGTGTTGTTATAGCAACACGTTTTATAGCCTTTCTTAACACCCAAAAGATGCAGTGGCTTGGGGTAAACTGTCTAAAAAACATTTTGTCAATTTCATCTTCAACCACTCTCATGCTACTATTTGTTCCTCTTCTTATTTTAATCATGTTTCTCTCAACTTGGATCTCCCCTTTCTGCAGGAATTGAGTAGTCAAACCCCAGCACAGTAGCACATTTTAATATCAGTTTGCTTGTGTGAATACTGAGAAGATAGCACTAGTTTCCTGTCAGGCAGAACAAACACAGTTTGTCTTTCAGTTAAAATTAACTTTTATTTAGCATGACTGCATACAGCATGGAGACAGCATGCCACATTTGACTGCAAGTCACATTGCCTTGCATCCACAGTGCACTATTAGGAGAAAAATTGTGTATTTTTTTCTTTATAACATGACCTACTGAACTATGCTTGTTGGCATAGTTGTAAAAAAAAAAAAAAGGCTGTGTTGGAGGGGAACTAACAGGCCATTTGTATGGTCTCTCTAACTTATAGGCTGAGAAAGAGGAAGAAGGAGATATGCAGAGGTCTCATGTGTAGTTAACTGCATAACTGAGATGTGAAGTAAGGTCTCCACATTTCCTAATTGGTCAGCTTTAAACTAAATTACAAACTGCCTCCTGTCATGTAGCTATAACACACACAGTATCCTTATTTAAGATATAAAATAAACTTGAGGAAAGCTGTGTTGTAATGCTTAAATGCATGACTGTCTTCCCTGGTCAGTGGTAGAAAAGTCATACTAGTGATGCAATGTACCATGTATCTGTCTATATTCTAAGGCAGGTCTATTAGCCCATTCTCATGCTGCTATAAATAAATACCTGTGACTGGGTAATTTATACAGAAAATAGGTGGTTCCATAGGCTATACAGAATGCATGATTCTGGCATCTGCTTGGCTCCTAGGAAGGCCTCAGGAAACAGTCATGATGGAAGGCAAAGGGAGAGCAAGGTGTTTCACATGATGGCAGCAGGAGGAAGTGGGGAGATGCCAAACACTTTTAAACAACCAGATCTCATGAGAACTCTATCACAAAAACAACACCAAAGGGATGGTTCTAAGTTACTCATGAAGGATGCATGCCCATGATGAATCTAATCACCTCCCACCAGGCCTTACCTCCAACACTGGGGATTACAATCGAATATGACAATTGGATGGGGACATAGATCCAAACCACATCATTTCACCTCTGACCCCTCCCAAATTTTATGTCCTTCACACATTGCAAAATAAAGTCATGCCTTCCCAACAGTCCCGCAATGTCTTAAGTCATTCCAGCCTTAACTCAAAACTCCAAAGTCCAAAGTCTTATCTGAGAAAAGGATAGTCCCTTCCACCTATGAACCTGTAAAATCAAAAACAAGTAGTTTACTTGCAAGATACAATGTGGATATAGGCAATGGGTAAATACTGCCATACAAAAAGGGGGAAATCAGCCAAAAGAAAGGGGCTCCAGACCTCATGCAAGTCCAAAGCCCAGCAGGGCAGTCATTACATCTTAATGCTCCAAAATAATTTACCTTGACTCTATGTCTACATCCAGGGCACACTGGTGCGAAGAGTGAGCTCTCAAAGCCATGGGCAGGTCCGTCTCCATAGCTTTGCAAGATTCAGCCCTCATGGCTGCTCTCAAGGCTTCCTTTTTAGTGCCTGTAGTTTGTACAGATGCAAGGTGCAAGCTGCTAGTGTATCTACATTCTAGGGTCTGGAGGACAGTGGCCCTTTTCTTGCAGCTCCACCAGAGGACAGTGGTCCTCTTCTCACAGCAGTATCCCAGTGGGGACTCTGTGTGAGGGCTCCAACCCCACATTTCTCCTCCACACTGGCCTAGTATAGTTTCTCTGTGAGGGCTCCAATAATGCAGTAGGCTTATTCCTGGATATCTAGGCTTTTCCATACATCCTCTGAAATCTAGGTGGAAGCTCCCAAGCCTCAAATCTTGTACTGTGTGCAAGCGCAGGCTTAACACCACATGGAAGTCTCCAAGGCTTATGGCTTGCACTCTCTGAAGCATCAGCCCAAGCTGTACATTAGCCCCTTTTAGCCACAGTTGGAACTGGAGTGGCTGGGATGCAAGAATCAGTGCCCTGAGGCTAAGCAGGGCAGCAGAGGCCTGGTCTTGTCTCAGGAAACTATTCGGACCCCCTAGGCCTATGGGCCTGTGATGGGAGGGGCTACCATGAAGGACTCTAAAATACCTTCAAGACCTTTGTCCCATCATCTTGGTTATCAGCATTTGCCTTCCTTTCAGTTATGCAAATTTCTGCAACCTGCTTGAATTCCTCCCCAAAAATGAGCTTTTCTTTCTACCACCTGGCCAGATTGCAGTGTTTCCAAACATTTATGCTCTGCATCCCTTTTAAATATTAGTTCCAATATCTGGTCCTTTCTTTGCTCACGCACATAAGCCTGTGTTGTTAGAAGCACCCAGGTCACATTTTCAATGCTTTGCTGCTTAAAATTTTCTTCTGCCAGATACCATAAATCAGCTCTCTGAAATTCAAAATTCCCTAGGGCAGGGACAAAATGTACTAAGGTTCTAAGCTAAAGCATAACAAAAGTGAACTTTGCCACAATTTCCAATAAGTTCCTCATCTCTGTCTAAGACTTAATCAGCCTTGCCTTCCCTGTCCATATCACTATCAGCATTTGGGTCACAACTATTCAACAAGTCTCTAGGAAGTTCTAAATTTTTTCTCATATTTCTGATTTCTTTTGAGCCCTCCAAACTCTTCCAACCTTTGTCCATTACCCAGTTCCAAAGTGGCTTCCACATTTTCAAGTATCTTTAGAGCAATGCCCCACATCTCAGTATCAATTTTCTGTATTAGTCCGTTGCCATACTGTTATAAAGAAATACCTGAGACTGGGTAATTTACAAAGAAAAGAGGTTTAATTGGCTGCTGGTTCTGCAGCTGTACAGAAAGCATGATTCTGGTAACTGCTCAGCTTCTGGGGAGGCCTCAGGAAACTTACAATTATGACAGAAGGCCAAGGGAGACTGAGGTGTCTTACATGGTGGGAGAAAGACAAAGGTGGGGAGGTTCCATACACTTTTAACCAGATATTTTGAGAATTATATCACAAAAACAGCACCAAAGGGATGGTTCTAAACCATTCATGAAGGATGCACCTCCTTGATTCAATCACCTCCCACCAGCTCCACATCCAACATTGGGGATTACAATTGAACATGATACTTGGTTGGGGACACAGATCCAAACCATATCAACAGGATATTAGTTTCAAGTAGAATTGGGTATGAGAGAGCAAATAAAATCTGAAGCAGCGGAACATTTCAGCATTAGGATAGTGTAACTGTGAGTGAAGGATAGAAGTATTCAGATAGTAGGAGTATTATGGAACTCCAGACAAAGATAATAAGTGGATACTGGCAGACTTCCAAGTCCAGTAATTTGAGAAGATGCAGAAAACTGTGATTCCACCAACAGTCAGCATCAAGAAACAATATAACAATAGAATCCAGGAAATTGAGATTTAGAGGGACAAGTAATAAAAGAAATACCCTAACAGATATCTTTGCAATATTAGAACTTGGTAACATGTCAGAACTGTAAAGATTATTAATAGTACCAGCTCCATAATTTGGGGGACTCAATGCAAAATAAGAATATTGGGCTTTTTACTCAATTCTTAAGAATTCCAACATGTCAACAGCAAAGCATGAAACCAAATGTAAGGCAATTGTACATGTAGGGAGTTGAGAAGCTAAAATATACATTTCACAAAATTCTTTGTAGCTAGAATTCTGGACTTGACTTTGGTTTTACCAATTAGATGCAGTCACAACTGATTTAAAAAGCAGAAGTAAGGTTTTTGGCTATGGCTGCTAGTAAGCAATTTGACTTGTGTTACTTAAACCAAAGCTGTGGTTCTTCATTCTACAGCTTTCTGAATATTGAGAGACAGGTGTTATAGTGGTGAAGTTTTTACTGTAACCAAAACTCAAAAGGTTGCCTTAGGGCATAAGTACCCACAGCAAATCATTGTTTAATTACATGGAAAAATTATTCAAGGGGATTCAGACAAGAAAACACTGCCTCTACCCTCCCAACAATTTTGTGAACATCTAATTCTCTTAGAGATATCTTTCTTAAAATACCTAAATTGGTCTGTGTTTGTTTGTTTTTCTTGTTTATAATTGAATTCTGTCTGATTCAATAAAATTGAGTTGATTCTAAAGGTGGAGACATTAAGAATCCCCAGCAAAATTTTGTAACAGAGATTATAATAAACTTTTCTAATGTACAAGTGATGTAACTTCAATTTACATCTACAGAAATGTACTTGGTGGGCAATGAATGATGGACAGATAATTTTTTAAGTATTGACTTAGCATCTATAATCAATGTATTTATTTCCTAGGGCTGCTGTAACAAATCACCACAAACTTGGTGGCTTTAAAAAACAGAAATGTATTCTCTCACAGTTCCAGAAAGCAGAAATCTGAAATCAAGGTGGCAGGGCTGATTCCTTCTGGAGGCTCAGGGGGAGAATCTGCTTCATGCTTATTTTTAAGAGTTTGGTACCTTCTGGCAATCCTTGGCATTCCTTAGCTTGTAACTATATGACTCTAATCTCTTCCCCCATCTTCATGTGGCCTTCTGTCTTGTGTGTATGTGTCTTCTTTTCTGTCTCTTACAAAAACACTTGTCATTGTATTCAGGGCACACCCTATTTTAAGATGATCTCTTCGAAAGATCCTAACCCTAATTATACCTGCAAATAAACTTATTGCAAATAAGTCTACATGGGAAGATTACTGGTTGACGTATGTTGGGGGGATACCATTCAACCTCCTAAACTAAGGAAATAATAATATTAAGCTTACTAAGGAAACTAAAATATTTTCTATTTTTTGTTTTGTTTTGCTGTTTACTTGTAATAGAGCATAATATAAAATTAATACATGGACTTTGACCTTTTGAAAAGAAGACTTAAACAAATGGACTTAGAAAAGAGAGAATCCAGATGGATTCTTCAAGTAAAAAACAATACGATATGCATTTAAATGTTTTTTAATTGCAAGATTATCAACGTTTTCAAGTTCCTGGTGGAAAACTGGAAAACTTTTCGTTGCCTATTTCAGATGTCACTATCACAAAAGTAATGGCTAAAGTTAATTTGCTAGGCTTCAGTAACTTATAGAAAATTCTCAAGATTTTATCAATTTTGAACTAGAAATAGAAGGGATAACCATTCCTGTACACATATACATGCACTTATCTGTAACATGCTTCCACTGATTGCAGGACACTGTTATGATTTAAAAATTCTTACTGATAGTTAACTTCTAACTTTATTCTGAATGTGAAAACTTCATTATTAAAATTATCTTAAATTCTGGAAAACAATTACTTAAAACTACAGCAATCAACAGATATTTTGATAATGCAAAATAAATGCATTTTTGATTCATACACTTGCAAATAATTGTTTTAACATCTTCTTTGAGCATGTGGTTGATCAAATAATGTGTAGTCCTATACTGATTATTTAAATAGAACCTGTATAATTATTCAATATTTATAAAACCAACATGGGATATAGTGAAATGCTGAGTTAATGCTGAATAAACATCATCTTAACGTTTATAAAATTAGAGAAAATCATTCAGTTTTCAAAATTTATTTCAATTTTCTATATGTAATTTGCTGTTGAAACAAACTTTAATTTTGACAAAATTCATTTACAAATGAAAATTCTGTCCATTTAATTTCAAAAATCTAAAATAATAAACAGTTAATGTTATATACTGAAAATAGAAGAAAACAATTTATTCATCAATATTATTGCAAATTTTATTAGGATGTATAGAAATATCTGTAACATAATTAATTTAATAACTATTCAGAGTATACTAAGAAGGTAAACAATAAACTTTCTATCTACTTTAAGTAAAAAACGATAGCTTTCTGATGGTGCATCATTTAGGAAATATATTTGTTAGGCTTTTGTAGATATTGTTCACTTCTTTTTTTTTAACTTGACTGAGTTTCGTTTTAAAGATATAACATTAAAAACTTAATAATAACAAAATTCAGGATTTAACTATCAGTCTGCATGGTTAAGCACCATGAAAGACATAGTCAACCTAAGATTTAACTATTTAACAATCAGGCTGCAGAGCCCATATATGTTTTTGTTGACTGCTTCATACAGAGAAATATTGGCCTTTGTGAGTTGTTCTGTACCTTCATAACTATTTAATTATAAATTATTTTATTTTTGTTTCATATATACTTTGAAAATGTTTTTGCATGACATATTTTACTATACATGCCATTTTTTGAGACAAATAGAACATAAACTCCTCATTGATGGCCAGTTTTTGTTGTTATTGTTGTTTTTTGGTTGTATTTTTTTTTTTTTTTTGAGACAGGGTCTCACTCTGTTGCTGAGGTTGGAGTGCAGTGGTGCCATCGCAGCTCACTGCAGCTTTGACCTCCTGGGCTCAAGCGCTTCTCCCACCTCAGCCTTCAGAGTGGCCGGGACTGTAGGTGCACACAACCATGCCCAGCTAATTTTTGCATTTTTTGTAGAGATGGGGTTTCACCTCATTGCCCAGGCTGGTCTCGAACTCCTGGTCTCAAGAGATCTACCCACATTGGCTTTCCAAAGTGCTAGGATTACAGGCATGAGCCATGGTGCTTGGCAAGGTGGCCAAAATTTGAGTTAATTTGTGCTTATTTTAAGTCGTGCAGAGAAAAACAATGTGGATGAAGGGAAGACCCTAAGGATCATGGTGAGATAACATATTGAGTCTCATCTCTCCCCTTAAGTAGCTTCAACACCCAGAGGTAACAAGTCAATCGTTCCATGCTTCAGTTCCTTATTTGACAAAGCAAAATTATAACTAATCTCTTTAATGCATAGAACTATCTTTTAAAACTAAATTGAAGTGATGAATAAATAAATGCTTTGCAATGTAAAATAGCCACCCAATTGCCTTTAATTATATTTATTACTAATCTAATTATGAAAAACACTGTTTTCAGTATAAATAATCAGTAATAATAATTGATTTACTAAACCAAACATGGAAACATAATCTAAACATGAGGCAGAGAAGGAAAGAGGTGAAGTATAATACAGACAGACTCTTATCTGAAACTTATCTACCAATCCCCTTCATAACTTCTCAGGTATAGCTTTCTCCACTAACTCTTAGGTATTAACCAGTCCTATAATGTTGTCAAATAACCCAGCACATATCTTTCTTGAAGCCTATTCACTTACATTTATTACTGATATAGCTCTCTTCTCTCCTAGACTGTGAACAAATTTAAAGTAGAAATTGTGCTTTATCCATCCATACATCTTTTATTCTCCCTCTATCTCTTTTTTCTCTCATTCCCTTCCTTCTTTTGTATCTTTCCATATTTATATAGTCAGTAAATACTATACTGCTTCACTGGGATAGTGGTTTCATAATGTTAATGGGTTTTAGAAACATGTGGACATAATTTTAACAAGTGCAGATTGTTGCTCCCAGACTCGGACTTTACAATTCAATAGATCTAGGGTTGCATACCTTTGGGTTATCATGTCTAATAAGTTTCCAGATAATGGTAATGTTGCCTGCATTGGAACTACACTTTGAGAACCACTGCTCTAGCATATAAAAAGTGGTCAATAAATGTTTGCTAAATAAAAACTTAAACTCTTATACTAGTGTACCCCACACTGCAATTTTCTTCACTGCTCATAGAGGTTTTTATCAGTTTGATGGTCAACTCTAATAACTGCTCTTAACAATTTATTACAAGAAAGCATTGAATTAAATACATCTATCCTTTATATGGGTTCCTTAGCACCTAGTAAAACAATATTAGCCCTAAATTAGAAAAAATAGATTTATGGGCAAAATAGATGGCAAATTATTAAAATTACCCTCGAAAGACTATGAATTTCTTAAGAAATAGCCATAAAAGATAATAAATTTAAACTAATAGTTTCTACAGTCTTGCTTTCATTGATGTGTTTAAATTACTTCCCTATGAAACTCGAATATCAGGCTGACAACACCTGCTGTGAGTTTGTTAATTTTTGTTTACTAAGCAAAGCTCTTGATCTTTGCCTTTAAACAGCTCATTCGGTAAGCAGAGAGAGAAAAATGTGAGTTTCATTAGAGCAGGGCTAATAAACTCATTGTTAACAAAGCCAAAAAAATAGGCTCACTTCCAAATTCTTCATTAAGAAGCTAATTACTAAACATTCACTTCTATGGTTTTAAAATTATATCGTTTTACATGTGAGTAGCAAACTGGCCATTGACAATTATGTATAACCTGACCCTATGAATGAAGTCATCATATTCAACAAGCATAGAGTATCATATGCAATATTCAAATTCATATAATAAATTTCATTAGAATTTCTAATTCTTTCTAAGATTATGAAAAGCAAACACATTTTAGAATTTTTTTTTTTTTTTTTTTTTTTTTTTTGAGACGGAGTCTCGCTCTGTCGCCCAGGCCGGACTGCGGACTGCAGTGGCGCAATCTCGGCTCACTGCAAGCTCCGCTTCCCGGGTTCACACCATTCTCCTGCCTCAGCCTCCCGAGTAGCTGGGACTACAGGCGCCCGCCACCGCGCCCGGCTAATTTTTTGTATTTTTAGTAGAGACGGGGTTTCACCTTGTTAGCCAGGATGGTCTCGATCTCCTGACCTCATGATCCACCTGCCTCGGCCTCCCAAAGTGCTGGGATTACAGGCGTGAGCCACCGCGCCCGGCCCTAGAATTTCTAAAAAAAAATTTATGAACAATAAAGACCTACTCATCTATTATTTAATGTTTGCTTTTATTTTAATTTTATTCTGTAAACCTTTGTTTGCATTTTAAATAAAGTTTTCATTGGTTTTTACTATTTAAGAATAGCTTACTTTCTAATTAAGAGCTGTTTTTGTGTTGTTTTTGTTTTTGTTTTTTTCTTTCAATTTAAGCCAGTGGCTCTTAAATTGTGCTGCATCAGAATCACCTGTTGGGCTTGGTAAAACAATGTTGGGTCCTAGCACCAGTTTTTAATCCAATAGGTCTTGGGTTAGGACCAGAAAATTTGCATGATTCCTCTATGACACTGATGATGCTAGTCCAGGGACTACACTTTGAGGAATATTCACCAATTTAAATATAAATAATGGTACTTTAGTTCTTATTTCTCATCTTTGAACAAATTAATTCATATATAAGAAAGAACAAAACAGAAAATAAAATATAGCTTGTTTCTTTTCAATTTTTTTAAAGTTCATAATAATGCCAAATATAATTTTGTAATCAAATTATAATTTGCAAGTTTCAAGTTTATTACGCATGATTCTGTAGTTGTTTAGCTATCCCAAAGGGGAAACTTTACATTTACAATTGTAATATTTATGTTCTAATAATACAATAACTGCAAATGTGGTTACATAAACACAGCTTACTTTTAGAACATTTGACTCAGTTGATCCCCTACACTTAAATATCAGACTAAAAATTTAGTATGTGTATGTGTGGTTTGTGTGTATGTGTGTGTTTATTCTATTCAAAGCCTGCTTGGTTATTTAAAAAAATACATTTAAAAAATAAACACTTTTCTTTCTCAATGTTTATTTTGCTTTTATTGATTGATTGATTTATAATTTTTCCCAGGAATTTAAAAGACTGGGAAAATTGACGTTTTCAACATACCAAAGCAGAGAAATGAGTACAGTGAATTCCCAAGCATTCATTATCCTTCCTCAACAAATATCAATTTGTGGCCACTTGTACTTCTATATTCTCCCCTGATTATTTTGAAGCAGATCCCAGGCATGTTATTTTATGTATAAATATCTCAATAAGTATCTCTAAAAAACAAGAACTCGTCTTAAAGATAATAACAATACCATCATCCTTTAACCTTAACAAATACCCAGTCAGTGTTTACATTTTCCAATTGTCCTATAAGTGTTTCGTTTTTTTCCCTTTTGCCTTTTTTTTTCTTTTTTTTTTTTTTTGTGACAGAGTCTCTGTCGCCCAGCCTGGAGTGCAGTGGCAAGATCTTGGCTCACTGCAACCTCTGCCTCCCAGGTTCAAGCCATTCTCCTGCCTCAGTCTCCTAAGTAGCTGGGATTACAGGTGTGTGCCACCATGCTCAGCTAATTTTTGTATTTTTAGTAGAGATGGGTTTTCACCATGTTGGCCAGGCTGGTTTCAAACTCCTGACCTCAAGTGATCCTCCTGCATCGACCTCCCTCTTTTTACCTTTTCTACTTGTATATGTCAACCCATTTGTTAATGGAAAACCCAAACTCTAAAGTATTTTAAAGAGATTTATCTTGAGCCAATATGGGTAATCATGGCCCAGAGAAAACACAAACACAAGAAGCCTTGAATAAGTGGCCCCAAGTTGGTGGGGTCAGTTTCGTTTTATACATTTTAGGGATACAGCAATTATAAGCAAAGACATAAATCAATATGAGAAAGGTGTACACTGGTTTGTCCCAAAAAGGTGAGCTACCTTGAAGTGGGGGTTTATAAGTCATAGGTGGGTTTTAGGGATTCTTTAGTTAACAATGGGATTAGAAAATTAAGCTATTGCCTAAAGACTTGAAGTTAGTAGACCGGAATGCTTGAATTAGGATGGGGAGAGAGACAGCCAAGGCCTTTGGTATGTAGATGAAGCCTCATAGGTAGTCTTCAGAGAAAATAGTAAATGTCTCTTTTCAGAACTTTAAAGGTGTCAGACTCAGTTTATTTCTCCTAGATGTAGGAAAGGCCTAGAAAAGGAGGGTCTGGCTGCATTAATGAAAATTTTCTACAGATGCAAATTTCCCCCACAAAAGACAGCTTTGAAGGGCCATTTCAAAATATGTCAAAGAAATAGATTTTAGGGTAAAACATTTTAATTTCCTTCGGCATATGCTATCTGTCATATGATTGCTATACCAGAATCAGGTTAAAAAGCAAGCCACATTACACCAGGTTAATTTTTAAAAATTTAAGAAGATTTTATGGTGAATAGGGTGTATCTTAACTCTTGCCTTGCATAGCCTTAAGTCTTGTTTATAATCTGATATCTTATTGCCACAAAGAGTATTTTGTCAGTCTTATGATGTGTATTTTAACCTTAATGCTATTGTGCCTAAATTCCAAAAGGGAGGGGGTGCAATGAAGTGTATCTGATCTCCCTTCCAATCATGGCTGGGAATTTAGGTTTTCAGGTTTCTCAGGGATCACCTTGGCCAAGAAGGGTCTGTTCGATTAACCAATTACATGCATGGATTGTGAATGGTAAAGTCAGGCCTTTTTGAATATCCATCACTTGAATAATGCACATCATATCTATTAAGTAAAAAAAAATAAACATTTTAAATAAAATTCAAAATTTCATGGGACATTTAATAGCATCTGTTATTGTTCAATTTCACTTGAGATCAAAGAGATGGAGAACATTTAGAATGCTACGATCTGGACCTTGGAAAATGTTCTTCCAACTGAAAAAGCGTGTAGTAGAGAGTCCACTCCTGAATTGTGCACTATTTTAAAGCAGGGCCAATCGCAGCAGCCATGCTTCTGCTATCATAGAGTTCCTTCTCTTTGGAACTCTATGGCAAGAGTATGGAATTTCTCATACAGGAATATTATAACTACAAACTAGAGAGCTGTAAACTGAGAGGTAGCTGAAGCAAAATGATATGATTTGAGCACCTAACAATTGGTCTAGAATGATTCAGCAAGTCAGGCCTAGAAATATGGAAAGACAAATAATCAATAAAATAACATAATCACAGGGAGGCATTTTTCACTCCTGGGGAGCTAATAGTGAGTTTGTTTTAGAATCGAATAAAAATTCCTCTAGTAAATATAATCCTGAATTCAAAGTTATATAATTATAAAAAATATATAACCATTGGTAAGTGTAATTTTCTTCCTCTAAAATCAATATTGGTCTTTGAAAGCAGATTAGATCTTAAGGTGAAAGACAAATGAATCCACTGTTACAACATGAGGACTTTGGGGTTTTGAAATCAACTGGAACCTCTGGAGCAGCATTTTAGTGTTTCAGATTATTTACCCTTTCACTACTAGTCAATTTCTATAACTAATTTTTCAAACCAAGAAGCTTCATATCAAGTTTTTTTTCAAGTGAGGGGGGCTCAGGACATACTACCCCAAAATATGGCACCTTCTCATACTGAGTATTTTAGGTTGAAATAAATTAAGAACATAACAGAAGCAAAAAAAATTTCTCTGACCTTCTCCCAGCCTTCCTCCCTGAAGCAGGGTTTAAAATCTAGAGAGGACTATCTGGCCTTCTATAAAGCAAGCCATAAAGAAAAAAAAGCTCCAGTTTCCCTTTAAAGCAGGTCATAAGGGCCGTGTGAAAGGTGCCTACCCATACCCAAAAAGAAGGAATGTCCTTATCTCTGAAGACACAGAGACACAGAGAAGAACTTGAACAAATAGGCCTAAATTCCTTGCAGCTTGATATCATTAGATTATATCCCCTTTGGCCAATCATACTTCACAACCATTCATTTATTTATTAAACCTAGCTAAAAACACTCAGATATCTCCTGTTCCTTGGGATATTCATTTCCTTATGAAAGTTCCTGTATCATGTGAAATCTATTAAATAAATTCATGCACTTTTCTCCTATTAATCTATCTTTGCCAATTTTATTTGCAGAACTAGCCAGTGACTCTAATAGGGTTGAGGAAAACCTTTTTCCTCTACACAAGCAATGAAGGAAAACTGAAAAAAAAATATGAAACAAAATATTTGTACTATTTCAAAGAAGTTATTGGTGACTTTTCTGGTTAAAGAAGAAAGGAAAAGAAAAATTGTAAAATTAAAACAGTAGATGACCATGTTTAAATATTGGTAACTTGTCAATATCTAACTAATTGGTAATCTACTAATATATTTGGCTTTGAGATGTCACTTGAGAGTAAAAATCTGGTTCCCATTTTCTCACAGGACTAATGGAGAATAACAAAATACAAGAAATGGAGTATTTTTCTATTTATATATTTAAGCAAACAATATATAGTATATATATAAAGGTTTTAATGATCTATATTATGAAGTAATGCTGTTAATATTTACATATATTAATAAGCTATTCATACTAATAAAGTGGAATCTATTTTTCTAGTTTATTTACTAACTTACAACTTAAACCTATTTCATATCACAATGTTTCTAAGTCTCATCTACCTCATATTTAAGTTATACACAAAATAAATTCAAGGTCATTGGAGCTCTCAATTTCTATAGGTTCTTTTTGAATATATTAGTTACTAATAAACAATCCATCAACTAATGCATATAATACTTTCTATAAAGTAAAGCATATTGGAAATGCTGATTTCAAACTTAAAAATGGATAACATCAGAAGTGAAGGAGAGGAATTTCAGCTTAATTTATCATCTGCAGGATGATCAATAATCTAAAGCTTTGAGAGGACAGCTGCCAAGAGACAGCATGAGAGCATGGCAGAGTCAGCATGACTTCTAATAAAAAGTGGTTTAAAGTGAATGGGAGTTAGTATCTGAGTGGGTAAACAGAAGTAGTGACTAACATAGAAAGAAGCTTAAAAGAGGGAGGGAGGAAAACAGATCAATGGAAAGCTAGCTTAACAATCAGAGAATAACTATAAGGAAGGAAGTTCTGAGGGAGTTCAAAGGCATTCAGGTAGTTGACACTCTTGACATTTATAAGATCCAACAGGATGATATGGAAAAACTAACAGAAATCAGAATAAAGAAAGCTCTCAAAAGAATGATTTCTGTAGAAGAGCATGCAAAATGTTCCCTCTTTTCTTTTGTAATAAAAGACAACTGAGAGATAGAAAAAATAAAAGCAAGATCATTTCCATTCTGGAGAATAGAACTGGACATGAAACCATTTTCAATATCAAGTAACTTGTTCAGAGACTGGTGAAGAAAAGAAAAAGAAAAAAAAAAAAGCAAGTATGTTTGTATCTGGAAGTGGGCTATTCTTTGAGACAAGCCTGTGAGTAGCTCATTGGCATTTACCATTTGCTAAACCTCCAGAGTGATTTTCTTCCTAGAGAAGGTATTACTAATTAGTGTAAGATCAGTAATTTCCTTGTTCAGAGCAATTTGTATTCATGGTTCAGCTTTCTTTGTGTGTAAACATGTTCTTTGACGGTAGACAGAACGTCTCCCAATTGTCCCTCAGCAACTCTAAATTCCCATGCTTTAGAGGAATTGTGCTTAGGAGAAGAGCACAATGTACTGTTATACCAGTTTATTTTGCCCCCATTTGTATAGGAATATACCCTCCTGCTTAAATATTGTTTATTATAAAAGAGATCATGTTTAAGTCTGAGAATGACAAAGACTCTCTCTTTGATCTAACTAAAGTCACGCTCCTCTAAGCCCTTAAGGCCCCTGCCTTAGGCTCTGTCCTTGGCCTATTTAGTGCACTTTCACAAGAATTCTTCTGGGGCAGTCTGGTGAAAATCCTCCAGCCTTGATATCAGATGAAGTTTCTCATCCCTCACCCTGTATATCGTATCACACTAGACTATATTCAGCAAAAATCCTGTGAGTGAGTCTAGCGAGAATCTCCCTACCCTTGATGTTTTATCACAGTAATGTTTCCTTCACTGTTCCACACCCTGCTTCTGGACTATCAACCTGCATTTGTCTGTATTAAATTGAGCCCAGTTTGTGTCTTGCGCTGCAAAACCTCGTTGACGTTGTCCCCATAACTATTGAAATAGTCCTGAATAAAATTTGCCTTACTATCTTAATAAGTATAATAAATATTGTTTTTTTTTTCAATAAGAGTCATTCAGGCCAGCTGTAGTGGCTCATTCCTATAATCCCAGCACTTTGTGGGGGCTGAGGCAGGAGGATGGCTTGACTCCAGGAGTTTGAGATCAGCTGGGTAACACAGTGAGACAGCATCTCTACAAAAAATGAACAAAATTGGCCAGGTGTGGTGGTGCATGTCTGTAGTCCCAGTTACTTGGAAGGCTGAGGCAAGAGAATCGCTTGAGCCCAGGAGGTCAGTGCTCCAGTGAGCAGAGATTGCACCACTGCATTCCAGCCTGGGTCATAGAGCAAGACCCTATCACACACACATACAGACACACACACCACACACACACACAGAGAAAAAAAAAAAAAAAAAGAGTCTCCAGGCCGGGCGCGGAGGCTCACACCTGTAATCCCATCACTTTGGGAGGCCGAGGCAGGTGGATCACGAGGTCAGGAGTTCAAGACCAGCCTGGCCAATATGGCGAAACCCCGTATCTACTAAAACTACAAAATTAACTGGGCATGGTGGCGCATGCCTGTAGTCCCAGCTACTTGGGAGGCTGAGGCAGAAGAATCACTTGAACCCAGGGGGCGGAGTTTGCAGTGGGCCAAGACTGCACCTCTGCTCTCCAGCCTGGGTGACAGAGTAAGACTCCATCTCAAATTAAAAAAAAATAATAATAATAATAATAATAAAAAGAGTCACTCACTTCTCTTCTGTTAGAGGTTTTAAATAATAATTCATGGCCATACACATAGAAGTATCTAGCCAAATGTGGGAAATAGTAATTTTATTCATCTAGAATACATCCCATAATATACAATACTTAAGACTGAAGCTGACATTCGTTCTCCACATACCTGACCTAGATTTAAATTTTGGCACAATGTCTATAGGCCTATGATATACAAATAGTATCTGTTTATATTTAATTTGAGACATTCACTATTGTCAAAAATTTATTAATACATATTAATTAAAACAGTGGGTTAAGTGCTATGAGAAAAAAAGATGAGTACATTGTGGCTGATATCTTAACATTTATTGTTTTGTTAAATCTGAGTTGTTAGCTAGCAGGATATCCAGGTAGAAATGTCCAAAAATATAAATAGAAATGGAAGGTTGAAATTCAGGGTATTTAAAGGATTTATGTTTTTTTTTTTTTTTTAGTTTTTTTTCTTCTCTACTTTGATTATATTTGGAGAGTTTCTCTTAGAAGAAGTAATATATCACAGAAAGAACAAATTTTTTAAAGGATTAGTCACTCTTAGAGGGTCAAATATGTTTTGAGAGTGGTAACTTCATATGGTATTTCTGAGGAATCAGAACCTGATCAACAAAGGTTTTGAAATCTTTACCATTTGTATTAGTCAGAGTTCTCCAGAGGGACAGAACCAATACGATATATGTATATATAAGAGGGAGTTTATTAGAAAGAGTTGGCTCACATGATTAAAAGGTGAAGTCCCACAATAAGCCATCTGCAAGCTGGGGAAAGAGAAAAACTGATAGTCGCTCAGTCCAAATCTGAAGGCCTCAAAACCAGGGAAATTGACAGTGAGGCCATCAGTCTGTGGCCGAAGGCCAGAGAGCCCTTGGGAAGTTGCTGGTGCAAGTCCTAGAGTTCAAAAGCCGAAGAACCTAGAGTTTGAAGTCCAAAGACAGGAGGAGTGGAAGTAAGTGTCTAGCACAGAAAGAAGAAAGTGAGTCAGAAGACCCAGCAAATAAACTCATCCTGCCTTCTTCCACCTGTTTTGACCTAGCCACACTGGCAGCTGATTGGATGGGGCCCACTCCCAGTGAGGGTGGGTCTTCCTCTCCCAGTCCACCAACTCAAATGTCAGTCCCCTCTGGCAACACCTTCACAAACACACTCAGAAACAACATGTTAACAGCCATCTAGGCATCCTTCAATCAAGTTGAGACCTAATATTAACCATCACACCATGTAACTTCAACTTTAATTTGTAGGCAATGATTAATTACAAAAAAATGTCATTAGCAGAATTAAAAACTTCAAGATAACGATTTATCTGAAGAGATTAAAGCAATGGTTCTCAATGTATGCTTCATGAACCAGCAGCAGCAGTATCACCTAGGAATTTTTCGGAAATGTTTATACTGGGACATCACCACAAATTCTACCAGACCTACAAAGCAGAGCTAGTACCAATCTTACTAAAACTATTCCAAAAAAAATTGAAGAAAAGAGAGTCCTTCCTAACTCATTCTATGAAACCAGTGAAAACCAGTGTCAACCTGATGCCAAAATCAGGCAAAGACAAAACAAAAAAAAAAGAAAACTACAGACCATTATCCCTGTTGAACATAGATGCAAAAATCTCCAGCAAAATACTAGCAGACTGAATCAAAATAGCACATCAAAAACACAATGTATCACAATCAGTTGGATTATATTCCAGTGATGCAAGAAAAGTTCCACATTCACAAATCAATAAATGTGATTCACCATGTAAAGAGAATTAAAAACCAAAACCATATGATCATCTCAATAGATGAAGAAAAAGCATTCAATAGTATCCATGAATGCTTCATTGTAAAAACCCTCAACACACTAAGAATCAAAGGAACATAACTCAAAATAATAAGAGCCATCTATCAAAAACCCACTGCCAACATCATACTGAATGAAAATGTTTAAAGTATTCCCTCTAAGAACTGGAACAAGACAAGGATGTCTAGGCTTACCACTCCTATTCAACATAATGCTGGAAGTCCTACCCAGGGCATTCAGGCAAAAAAAAAAAAAAAAAAAAAAAAAAAGTCATCCAAATTGGAAAACAAGAAGTCCAATCATCTCTGTTCACTAATGACATAATTGTACATCTAGAAAATCATAAAGTCTCCTCCAATGGACCTCTAGACTTGATAAATGTTACTTCAATAAAGTTTCAGAATACAAGGCCAATGTACAAAAATCAGTAACATTTTTATATTAACATTCAAGCTGAGAGCCAAATGAAGAATGCAATCTCATTTGCAATAGCCACAAAAAATTAAACACCTTGGGATATATTTAACAAAGGAGATGAAAGATCTTAACAAAGAGAATAACAAAACACTGTTTTAAAAAGAGATCGAGACCATCCTGGCTAACACAGTGAAACTCCGTTTCTACTAAAAATACAAAAAAATATTAGCCTGACATGATGGTGGGCACCTGTAGTCCCAGCTACTCAGGAGGCTGAGGCAGGAGAATGATGTAAACCCGGGAGGCAGAGCTTGCAGTGAGCCCAGAACATGCCACTGCACTCCAGCCTGAGCAACAGAGTGAGACTCCATCTCAAAAAGAAAAAAAAATATATAGATGATATAAAGAAATGCAAATACATCTCAGGCTCATGAATTGGAATAATTAATATTGTTAAAATGACCATATTGCCCAAATCAATCTACAGATTCAATGCAATTCTCATCAAATCCCAAATGTAGTTTTTCCATAATTAGAAAAATAGTTCTAAAGTTCATATGAAACCAAAAAGAGCCCAAGTTACCAAAGTAATCCTACACAAAAAGAACAAAGCCAGAGGCATCACATTACCTGGCTTCAAATTATACTACAAGGCTACCATGACAGAAACAGCATGTTACTGGTACAATAATAGTTCAATGGAACAGAACAGAAAACCCAGATATAAAGCCACATACCTACAACTAAGTGATTTTGTTTTTTGAGACCTTTCTCACTCTGTCTCCCAGGCTGGAGTGCAGTGGCACGATCTTGGCTCACTGAAACCTCCACCTCCCAGGTTCAAGCGATTCTCATGTCTCAGCCTCCCCAGTAGCAGGGATTACAGGTGCAGCCACCACACCCATGCCATCAATCCCACCTAACTTTTGTATTTTTAGTAGAGATGGAGTTTCACCATGTTCAATCAACTGACCTTCAACAAAGTTGACAAAAGTAAAAAATGAGGAACGGACACCCTATTCAATAAATGGGAAAATTTAATAGCCATTTGCAGAAGAATAAAACTGGACCCTGATTTCTCATTATACACCAAAATCAACTCAAGATAAATTAAATACCTACATATAAGACCTGAAACTATAAAAATTCTAGAAGAAAACCTAGGAAAAACTCTTCTGGACACTGGCGTAGGCAACTAATTTATTACAAAGACCCCAAAAGCAAATGAAACAAAAACAAATATACACAAGTAAGACTTAATTAAGCTAAAAATCTTCTGCAGAACTAAAGTAATAAACAGAGTGAACAAATAACTGAGAAATAGGAGAAAACAAATAACCAAGAATAGGAGAAAACATGTGCAAATGCCTCTGACAAAGGATTAATATCCAGAATCCACAAGAAACTCTAACAACTCAAAAAGAAAAAAATCAGATGACCCCTTTAAAAATTTGGCAAAGGACATGAACAGACATTTCTGAAAAGAAGACATACAAGGAAAAAATGCTCAATATAACTAATTATTAGAGAAATGCAAATTAAAACTACAATATCAACTTACACAGACAGAATGACTATTATTAAAAAGTCAAAAGAGAACAGATGTTGCCGTAAGTATGGAGAAAATGGAGCACATATACTTTGGGTGAGAATGTAAATTATTTCAACCTCTATGGAAAACAGTATGGAGATTTCTCAAAGAACTAAAAATAGAACTACTATTCAACAAAGCTCACTACTTGGTTGAAATGTACAAGCTCACTACAATCTCACTACTGAGTATCTATGCAAAGGAAATCATTTTATTAGAAAGACACCTGCAGTTGAATGTTTATCATAGAACTATTCACAATAGCAAAGTCATGGAATCAAGCTACATGTTCATCAATGGTTGATTGGATAAAGAAAATGTAATATATATAAAATATATTATATATATATATACACACGTTATATATTGTTATATACACATATTATATATATATTATAATATATATATATACACACACACATATATGCCATAGAATACTATGCAGTCACAAAAATAAAGAAAATCATGTCCTTTGTAGCAACATGGCTGGAGCTGGAGGATGTTATCCTAGACGAAACAACCCAGAAACAGAAAATCAAATATCGCATGTTCTCAGTTATATGTGAGAGCTAAAAAAATGAGTACACATAGACATAAAGTTGGAAATAATAGACACAGAGGACTCCAAAAGAAAAAAGGGTAACAGAGGGTGAGAGTTGAAAAATTACCATTTAGATAAAATATTCACTATTTGGGTGATGGGTACACTACAAGCCCAAACTCCACCATTACATAATATACCCATGTATCAAATCTGCAAAGGTATTCCCTGAAAGTAAAACAACAAGAACCAAAAAAAGATTAGAGGAGATGAATAAATTCTGAGTAAAAAATAAAACACATTTTAGGTATATGAAAAGAAAAGTAATTCTTTTACTTTTTACTTTTACTTAGAGTAAAATGAGCACTAGTGGGAAAAATGAGTAACAATAATTCCATAGGTTATTTACCCATGAGACTAATATAATAAGTAGATCAGAAAATCAAACATTTAGAAAATCTAGGGTTTGACCCAAACTTAAACTTCAGGCCTCCTTTCACTCCCATATAACATGCAGCTAAATTGAAATAAATGTTAATTAAAGAGACTTCTGATTTGTTTCATGTTAATATTTCAGTTTTTTTCTTGCTTTTCTGAGGATAATAGCTTTCATTTTGTTTATTATATATTCATATATTAATACCTTGCTGTAACACTTATATATACCTAGTAACTCTCCTTTGGATATGATGGACATATTTTATTTCTTCAGTGTAGACCTACAGCACTTTCTGAGGACTCATTTTGTATTTATTCCCAAATTCTCTTTGATATCCTTGATAGAGATTACCTTCAGCTCCTGAGATGGCAATCCCTGGAACTGGCCTATCTCAGCAGTACAACAGGAAATATTCTCTGTCTGTGATAAATAACATCTTTGATTGTGGGCATCCTGGGAATGGAGGCAAGAAAAGAGAAAAGAAGAGATCATAGGAAATATGAAGAGGTTATGTAATCTCAAGTGTCGTTAAAGTCATGTGATAATGAAATCTTTGGTTTTTTAAGAAACCATACTTATGCACTGTTGAGAGGAAAGATGGGACTAAAATTAGATATAATAGAAAGGTATTAATTTTGAGAATCAAGATTTGTAAGGCCAGTTCAAGAATACTTACTAAGCATTAAGTTCCTGAGAATTATGATAGGATCAAGGGCAGAGAAAATAATTGCCAGATGTAAAGTACTTAAATATTCCAAAGCATATCAAAGACTGCCCTAAGGATTAGTAGGTGATGATAGTGAGCATGGGGAGAGGTTAACATACCCCATATTAAGTATGTTCTAGGAGGAGGGGTTGTTAGGAAAGAGTGATGAAAGTGTGGTTTGATGATATCCATGAGAGGAGGTTAACTCCTCTAGCACTTCTGGTATCCGTGATCCTGGGGAGGAGAGCATTGCTATAGAAAAGGAAAGTTTCAGTTATAAACCCACCACCTGACCCCTATTTGCCACATCTGGATAATTCCAGTTTACTCTTTATATTAGTCTGTTCATGCACTGCTATATAGAAATATCTGAGGCTGCGTAATTTCTAAAGAAGAGGGGTTTAATTGGCTCACAGTTCCACAGGCTGTACAGGAAGCATGACAGCATCTGCTCAGCTTCTGAGGAGGCCTTAGGAAACATGCAATCATGGTGGAAGGCAAAGGGGGAGTGAGCCACTTCACATGGCAGGAGTAGGAGAAAGAGACCGGGGGAGATGCTACACACTTTTAAACAACCAGATCTCAGGGTAACTCACTGACTCACTATCAGGAGACCAGCACTGAGAAGATGGTGCTAACCCATTCCTGAGAACTCTGCCTCCATAATCCAATCTCCTCCCACCAGGCCCCAGGGGGTTACACTTTGACATGAGATTTGGTGGGGACACAGATCCAAACCATATCGCTCTTCAAGCTTTAACATCTTAATTCTCCCTAGAAGGCTCTCTTACTCAGTGTCTCCCTCAGAGACATCCAAATAATTTAGTTGTTCTCTGCTTACTCTTGGCAACTTATTAAGCATATATTGACTGCATCCTTAGTATCCAACTTAGAGCTTAGAACATAGTAAATAATCAATAAATATTTGTTGAATTAATAAAAATTCACTGAAATTCTCTCTATGGGATTCAAAACTATTTAATTGTGTAGACCGTGAACAGAAAAGCTATGTGTATACAAAAGTTAAATCCATCAGATTCTTTCAGTAGTTTAAAATTTGCATTTTTGCATTAAAAAATGTAAAGGAACAATAAGCACTGGCCTAAAGTTTCTAAATATGATATAATGATCTGTAATCCCACAAATATATTAACTTTCCTAGAGCTAATTTTATTTCTTTAAAAAACTGTGATAAACAGCAAAATAGAGTCTCTTCAAAAACAAAGATGTAATCATTCTTTACAACAATATAAATATGACAGAGTAAGAAAATGACTACTCATATATATACTCCCATGTCAGAGAAGAAAAAGAAAATCAGAATAAAAAAGTATCTGGGCAAGAGTTAACACCTAGTAAAGGATTCTAATAACTGGGGTTTTCAAATGGATTGATTCATTACACCTGGCACTGATGAAAACATAAGATGTGTTGGAAGAAATATCTCTACTATATATCAAAATGTGTAGAAATGTAATACTTCAAACAAAACTACTTAGATAGTTGCTTTTCCAGAACAGTAAAGTATTTAAGGTAAGAATATAAAACATATAAGTAAAAAGAAAATCCACAACGAAAATTGACTACAAGGTGAAAAATGTAGACAAAAACATGCTACAAGAACTATTAGAATTAACTGATTTCTGAGTTTTTCTTCTTGTGATTTGAAAATACAGTCAATGCAGAAACGTTTAAGCCTCTAAAATGAAAAATAAATTTTAATTTTACCATTTTGCTGTTATTTTCAATCAGATTTTCCTATTGTACATTTTGCCATGACTTCAGAAGTTTTCTTTTTTGTCAAAACTGAGTATAGATAAGTGAATATATGTAAGGTCAAATAAACAGAACAAAGTAAATTAGAGTGATAGATTCCTAAAATTGTAAAATCTTGAATCTGCACATAATCTTGGGGATCATGGAGTTTAGCCACATTATTTTAAAGGAGAACAAAGGCTAGAACCAATATTAGGTGTGAAGCTATGCTCCTGACAGATATTGAACTGGTGGTAAAGTTGACAACAGAACCTGATTCTCCTAACTTCCATGCAGTGTTTTTTCTGTAATAGCAGGTTGCGTGTTACTCGTAAGTCAAACACAGGGGACAAAATTTGTGTCTAAAGTAGCAAAGAGAAAATAAAAGATAATCTCTATCTCCTTCAGTTGTGCTCTGATCTTTGTTATTTCTTGCCTTCTGCTAGCTTTTCAATGTGTTTGCTCTTGCTTTTCTAGTTCTTTTAATTGTGATGTTAGGGTGTCAATTTTAGATCTTTCCTGCTTTCCCTTGTGGGCATTTAGTGCCATAAAATTCCCTCTACACACTGCTTTAAATGTGTCCCAGAGATTCTGGTATGTTGTGTCTTTGTCCTCACTGGTTTCAAAGAACATCTTTATTTCTGCCTTCATTTCGCTATGTACCTAGTAGTCATTCAGGAGCAGGTTGTTCTGTTTCCATGTAGTTGAGAGGTTTTGAGCAAGTTTCTTAATCCTGAGTTCTAGTTTGATTGTACTGTGGTCTGAGAGACTGTTACAATTTCTGTTCTTTTACATTTGCTGAGGAGTGCTTTACTTCCAACTATGTGGTCAATTTTGGAATAAGTGTGATGTGGTGCTGAGAAGAATGTATATTCTGTTGATTTGGGGTGGAGAGTTCTGTAGATGTCTATTAGGTCCACTTGCTGCAGAGCTGAGTTCAATTCCTGGAAATCCTTGTTAACTTTCTGTCTCGTTGATCTGTCTAATGTTGACAGTGGAGTGTTAGTCTCCCATTATTATTCAAAAAATCAATGAATCCAGGAGCTGGTTTTTTGAAAAGATCAAAAAAATTGATGGACCTCTAGCAAGACTAATAAAGAAGAAAAGAGAGAAGAATCAAATAGACGCAATAAAAAATGATAAAGGGGATATCACCACCGATCCCATAGAAATACAAACTACCATCAGAGAATACTATAAACATCTCTATGCAAATAAACTAGAAAATCTAGAAGAAATGGATAAATTCCTGGACACATACACCCTCCCAATACTAAACTAGGAAGAAGTTGAATCCCTGAATAGACCAATAACAGGCTCCGAAATTGAGGCAATAATTAATAGCCTACCAACCAAAAAAAGTCCAGGGCCAGACGGATTCACAGCCGAATTCTACCAGAGGTGCAAAGAGGAGCTGGTACTATTCCTTCTGAAACTATTCCAATCAATAGAAAAAGAGGGAATACTCCCTAACTCATTTTATGAGGCCAGCATCATCCTGATACCAAAGCCTGGCAGAGACACACCAAAAAAAAAGAGAATTTTAGACCAATATCCCTGATGAACATCGATGCAAAAATCCTCAATGAAGTACTGGCAAGCCGAATCCAGCAGCACCTCAAAAAGCTTATCCACCATGATCAAGTTGGTTTCATCCCTGGGATGCAAGGCTGGTTCAACATAAGCAAATCAATAAACGTAATCCATCATATAAACAGAACCAAAGAAAAAAAACACATGATTATCTCAATAGATACAGAAAAGGCCTTCAACAAAATTCAACAGCCCTTCATGCTAAAAACTCTCAATAAACTAGGTACTGATGGGACGTATCTCAAAATAATAAGAGCTGTTTAAGACAAACCCATAGCCAATATCATGCTGAATGGGCAAAAACTGGAAGCATTCCCTTTGAAAACTAGCACAGGACAGGGATGCCCTCTCTCACCACTCCTATTCAATGTAGCGTTTGAAGTTCTGGCCAGGGCAACCAGGCAGGAGAAAGAAATAAAGAGTATTCAATTAGGAAAAGAGGAAGTCAAATTGTCCCTGTTTGCAGATGACATGATTGTATATTTAGGAAACTCCATCATCTCAGTCCAAAATCTCCTTAAGGGGATAAGCAACTTCAGCAAAGTCTCAGGATACAAAATCAATGTGCAAAAATCACAAGCATTCATATACACAAATAACAAACAAACAGAGAGCCAAATCATGAGTGAACTCCCATTCACAATTGCTTCAAACAGAATAAAATACCCAGGAATCCAACTTACAAGGGATGTGAAGGACCTTTTCAAGGAGAACTACAAACCACTGCTCAACAAAATAAAAAAGGACACAAACAAATGGAAGAACATTCCATGCTCATGGATAGAAAAATTCAATATGGTGAAAATGGCCATACTGCCCAAGGTAATTCATAGATTCAATGCCATCCCCATCAAGCTACCAATGGCTTTCTTCACAGAATTGGAAAAAACTACTTTAAAGTTCATATGGAACCAAAAAAGAGCCCGCATTGCCAAGACAATCCTAAGCCAAAAGAACAAAGCTGGAGGCATCATGCTACCTGACTTCAAACTATACTACAAGGCTACAGTACCCAAAGCAGCATGATAGTGGCACCAAAACAGAGATATAGACCAATGGAACAGAACAGAGACCTCAGAAATAATACCACACAACTGCAACCATCTGATCTTTGACAAACCTGACAAAAACAAGAAATGGGGAAAGGATTCCCTATTTAATAAATGGTGCTGGGAAAACTGGCTAGCCATATGTACAAGCTGAAACTGGATCCCTTCCTTACAGCATACACAAAAATTAATTCAAGATGGATTAAAGACTTACATGTTAAACCTAAAACCATAAAAACCCTAGAAGAAAACCTAGGCAATACCATTCAGGACATAGGCAAGGGCAAGGACTTCATTGACTAAAACACGAAAAGCAATGGCAACAAAAGCCAAAATAGATAAATGGGATCTAATTAAACGAGCTTCTGCACAGCAAAAGAAACTACCATCAGATTGAACAGGCAACCTACAGAATGAGAGAAAATTTTTACAATCTACCCATCTGACAAAGGGCTAATATCCAGAATCTACAAAGAACTTAAACAAATTTACAAGAAAAAAATCAAACAACCCCATCAAAAAGTGGGCAAACAATATGAACAGACACTTCCCAAAAGAAGACATTTATGCAGCCAGGAGACACATGAAAAAATACTCATCATCACTGGCCATCAGAGAAATGCAAATCAAAACCACAATGAGATACCATCTCACACCAGTTTGAATGGCGATCATCAAAAAGTCAGGAAACAACAGGTGCTGGAGAGGATGTGGAGAAATAGGAACACTTTTACACCGTTGGTGGGACTGTAAACTAGTTCAACCATTGTGGAAGATAGTGTGGTGATTCCTCAAAGATCTAGAACTAGAAATACCATTTGACCCAGCCACCCCATTGCTGGGTATGTACCCAAAGGATTATAAATCATGCTGCTATAAAGACACATGCACACGTATGTTTACTGTGGCACTATTCACAATAGCAAAGACTTGGAACCAACCCAAATGTCCATCAATGATAGACTGGATTGAGAAAATGTGGCACATATACACCATGGAATACTATGCAGCCATAAAAAAAGGATGAATTCATGTCCTTTGTAAGGACAGGGATGATGCTGGAAACCATCATTCTGAGCAAATTATCGCAAGGACAGAAAACCAAACACCACATGTTCTCACTCATAGGTGGGAATTGAACAATGAGAACACTTGGACACAGGGCAGGGAACATCCCACAATGGGGCCTGTTGTGGGGTGGGGGTAGCGGGGAGGGATAGCATTAGGAGATATACCTGATGTAAATGACGAGTTAATGGGTCCAGCACACCAACATGGCACATGTATACATATGTAACAAACCTGCATGTTGTGCACATGTACCCTAGACCTTAAAGTATAATAAAAAAATCAGAAAATTGACAGTAATATTTTACATTTGTACAACACAATTTTCAAATGTATACATGATTTGAAAATAAACACATATTTGAAATATAAAAAAAGAAAAAATAAAATATTTTTATGAAAACTGATGTCCTAAGTAGTTAAAGACAGTAGTTAAAGACAGTATTTTAAACAAAGGTTTAAAAGCAACCCCTTTCTCAAAAAGGGAATAGGAAGGAAGGAAGGAAGGAAGGAAGGAAGGAAGGAAGGAAGGAAGGAAGGAAACATGCATAGTACAACGAGAGTTTTGAAGGTATATAGGTGTGTATATAGGCCTGGCGCGGTGGCTCACGCCTGTAATCCCAACACTTCAGGAGGCAGAGGCGGGCGGATTACCTGAGGTCAGGAGTTTGAGACCAGCCTGGACAACATGGTGAAACTCCACCTCTACTAAAAATACAAAAATTAGCCGGGTGTGGTGGCGGGTGCCTGTAATCCCAGCTACACGGGAGGCTGAGGCAGGAGAATTGCTTGAACCCAGCAGGTGGAGGTTGCAGTAAGCCAAGATAGTGCCACTTCACTCAAGCCTGGGTGACAGAGCAAGACTCCGTCTCAAAAAGAAAAAAAAAAAAGAAGGTGCGTATATATACACATACACACACACACACATACATATATTCTTTTCTTTTCTTTCTGTTTTTTTTTTTGAGATGGAGTTTTACTCCGTCACCCAGGCTGTAGTGCAATCTTGGCTCACTGCAACCTCTGCTTCATGGATCCAAGCAATTCTCCTGCCTCAGCCTCCCGAGTAGCTGGGATTACAGGTTCCTGCCACTACGCCCAGCTAATTTTTTTTTTTTTTTTTTTTTTTTTAGTAGAGGCAGAGTTTCACCATGTTGGCCAGGCTGGTCTCAAACCGTTACCTCAAGTGACCAACCCACCTCGACCTCCCAAAGTGCTGGGATTACAGGTGTGAGCCACTGTGCTTGGCCCACACGCATATATTCTAACCTATCAAACGCTCAATCAATAATCTAGAAATTATCCCTCTGAAAACTTAAAGAATGGAAGCATATCTTTAAAGTCGCTAGGCAAATTTGTTTCTCAAAAAGCATTATGTGATTTAATTGTAGGGTTAATTTATCCATTAATCATGTTAATTATGCCATGTGCCTCTTCTTGTATCATGAAATTACAGAGTATTTAACTAATCTAGATGGCTTATAATTCTATTTTCATATTTGGTCTGTGTGCATGTGTTTGTGTAAATGTGGGTATATTCTGTATCACCAAAATGTTGCATAGTGCCTGTCACATATTATGTAGTCAATCAATATTTATTTGATTAGGAGGTAATTTAAGATATGCATTTATCTCAACAGAACTTTTTTTATTACATATTTAAACCATAGGAATGAGCCACAGGCACCTTCATTGTCACTGAGGCTCGTATTTTGAAGTCTCTGACATTTAACAGAATTACTCAAGGGAGTTAATGGTTCCAAAGTATGCTGCAAATTGTCTGCACAACATGTGTGTGTTTTTTGTTTGTTTGTTTGTTTGTTTTTGTTTTTTTTAAATAACCTGGGAGTGGCTTCTCTTTCTACACGTAACACTAGAGTCTCAAAATTATTTTGCTGGATTAATTAATCCATTTGATAACAATACTTACTAAGAACAACTGTGGCAGTCACACTGGCAGGTGTAAGAGCCCCAGTGAGGATTAGAGTTACAGTGCATATTAAAATAATTGGCACCATCCTGCCTTCATAAAGATGGTGACCTTCTGAATTTCATAATGAAATATGGACAGGTATGGTGGCTTAAGCCTGTACTGTCAGCACTTTGGGAGATTGAGATAGGAGAGTTGCTTGAGCCCAGGAGTTTGATACCAGCCGGGGCAACATAGTGAGACCCCATCTCAAAAATAAATTTAAAAAATTAGCCACACACACTGACCGGCACTTGTGGTCCTGGCACTTGGGAGGCTGAGGTGGAAGGATCACTTGAGCCCAGGGGTTCCATGTTGCAGTGAGCTATGATCGTGCCACTTCACTCCAGCCTGAACCACAGAGCTAGCTCTTGTCTTCGAAAAAGTAATAATAATAATAATAAATATGGATTCTCCAGACTTCCATCTTTGCATTATTGTACTCAATGCATTAGCTATTCTAATATTATTCCTCAGAGTAGAAATAGTAATATTTGAAACCTGATTTATATTGTGTAGAAAGTAGGATATTTTGTATTTCTTGTGCTCACTACCATTCATCCTTCATTACTAACACTTGCTCAGTATTGTATCTTTGAAACTGCAAACACATATTTTGACAAGTCCAAAAGACTCAGTAAAGGATATATCCATCATCCCTAAATGGTTTTTCAGCATAGCAATTCCTATGTATATTAGAAATGCTGCAACATCTGTCTAAACTTTTGTCCTGAAAGTATTAGTGCCAGGTTTTAAATAGTTAATACCTGACTCTATGATATCTTGATTAAAGAAAGAAATCACCTTTCAATACATACTTACCGTTAATGATTGTATAGACTTCAACCATAGCTACAAAATTTAAAAATCAATCATTTTGTCTGACCTCAGGCAGATTTATCTACATCATGAGGCAAGGTAATTAAACATCTTCTGAAAATCTCCAATTCAATTTGCCTTTACTGTCATATACACTACTCTCTGTTAACACGTCATGTGTATATAAGGGTAGGATTCAGAATAACATTAACAGATTCAGATTCAGGCTACCAGTTTCCAAAAATTACTTGAAAAATGTTACTTCCCTTCTATGATCCTCATTTTCCTTCTCTCTAGAGTGAAGATAATCATCATTATTGAATTTCATCTAATCTAAAATACCTTTTATTGTAAAGAATATCACTGTTTATTTACCACTAAGAAGCTATAATAAATACTAACAATTGTGACAAATCTTCAATAGTAAGATACACTCTAATTTCAGAGATGCTTCCTAAAAATGACAAATATTTTGCATATTTGTTGAATAGTAATATATGTAAAATATATAGCATGGTTCCCTAGAGCTTTCTTATGTTAGTTTCTTTTCTGATTCACTTTCAGTTAGGCTCTTATTCTAGTAGTTTTGATGATCATATTAAATGTGGTTTACATGCATGATAGTATCCCACAAATCCATTGCCAATTCTTTTGCTTACTGTTGCATTTTATGTTCAGAATCTATGAATATTTACTCAAGCACTACTTTTAATTTGCCACGCGGTTTTAGAGAAGTAACTTAATTATCTTGATTCACTTTATTAATTAGCAAAATGGTAATACAAGCTGCAAACATTTTATTAGGTTTAAAATGTATGGTAGATTCCAAAATAATATCCAAATATGATATGTTAAGTATTAGTGGAAAGATGCCTAAAGCCAGTGAAATTTATGTAGCTTTGTTAATTCAAAAAAAAACATTGTAGCCTATGTGAGAGTGCCACTGAATGAGAAATCCTCTCAAGAGAAAGACAAAGGTAAAGAGCTTGAAAAATCCTCTCATCCTTTGTAGGTAAAATCTCCAGAGCAGTGGTTTGAGCAGATGGGAAATTTGTACTCCCTGTGCTATATCTGTTCAGTTGATAAAAAGAGAACTTTGATCTCTGAGACTGTCAATACAGTTCTTTTTAAGAAAAATTTGCTTAAAGCAAACAGTAAAAGTAGCAAAGCAGTTATTAAAATTCCACCCCAATTGGCTATGCTCCCAGTTCCCAAACCCAAAACATAATGCCCACTGATTACTCAGATTATGTTTAAGACATTTTTCTGCATGGGTTTGAAGTTCGGCACTATAAATAGCCAATCTAGTTGAGAAAATTACAAATTTTTCTTTTCAAATTCTAATCATATTAGATGAGTTAAATAAGTTTCAGCAAAAATCCTTGCAGTGACATTGCTATTGATATAAGCCCTAAGTAGTAAATTCTGAGCTGCATCCAGCCACTAGAGTTTTGTGGATAACTGTAAAATAGTACCGTTAAGCTTAAAACCACTGCCTGTCAATCATTTGAAAAGTACACTGATCTGTATAATTCCTGTACATTTTTTAAAGTTTGATGTTAATCTATTCATTGAGGCAGTCCTTAAAAAAACTCTTTTAGTCTTTGAAATCTGGTTTTTTTTTAATGAGATGCATACTTACCTGAGATTTTCAAACAAATTAGCAATATGCAATGAGAAAAACCCAGCTCTACCCATTACAGGTATTTATTTTACAGTCTTGTTAGCTGTAACTGTGTAGTAAACACATTCGGTTTTACCATTCCAATTTTTGCAATTTAAAGAAGATAAGAAGTTCAAACTACATTCTGTAATCTCTGTTGCAACTGGGATGATAGGTATGAATAAATTAATTTACTTCTTTGAGTTATAGAAGGCAGAAGTAAAGCAAAAGCCACCTTGTTGTTTCAGCTAGAAAGAAGCCACAAAAAGTGGGTGCTTTAGGATGCTTAAAGGCATCTAGACTCAGCATTTCAGGCTCTAACAACATATGTGCAAGAATCTGTAGGCAGACTTGGCTGTGGGGACTGTGGAAACTAAAGTAGGATCCTCATCTCTGAAGTGCAGTAACAGTTGCAGTGAACCCTGAGTTTCTCTCATCCATACTTGCAATATTTCTAAGTCCCCTGTATTAAATTCCTTTCGTGGGGAACACCTAAAGTGGTTTCTTTTATTAAATCCTGACTGCAAACCTACTAATGGAGAGTACATTTAATTTAGAATCACTTCCCAAAGATATTTAGGCATAAAGAGAAAATTAAAGACAGCAGATATATGTCTTTGAAGAAGGAATGAAACAGTAAAAGGTATAGAGAATCAGTTATGTTCCAGGGAAAAAAATTTTCCCTGTAACTACAAAAATTTTATATGTGGTTTAAAGATATAGCATGGTGCTTGTCCCAAAACTTATAATCATGCCATTTCAGAGGGAAAGAATTATAGTATAAAGCTATTTAAATCCATGAATAAACTGATCTAGAGGGTAGTAGGATTGGCTCAATATTATATGGTTAGTGTCACAAGCGTGAATAAAATGTACATTCTGACTTTTCTTAAACCTCACTATTAACTCCACAAAAATCCCCAACTTTAGGAGTTTCAGCTCATTTTAGCTGAAAAAGTGGAAGGGATTGGCAAAGAGCATTAAAATTCATTAACTTACTTAATATTAAAATAATATTAATATTAAAATATTACATTTCTACCAGGGGAGAGGCACTTTAACAGATGCTTTATTAGGAAATAAGAAAAACTGAATGCATATGAGTTCTACAAATACTTCTTTTATGTCAAAAGAGTAATGGAGAAAGCACATAAGTAGAAAAAATAACAAAATGATAAAACAATAAAAGTAATTATAGAAACTGGAAACAAACACAAAAAAATAGAGACTATAAACAAGACTAGCAGTTGCGCCTTTGTAAAAAATTATAAGCTAGATATTTGAAAATACTTATCAGGAAGAAATGCAGAAATAGCACACAGAAAAAAATGGCAAATAGCTGTAGATAACAGAGTTTTAAAAGCATAATGGCTTGTCATGAACAAATTCAGGTGATCCCCACTTGAGCGTGGCAGTGTAGAACCATAGAAATGACTATACAAGCTGAACTCCAGCAAGCCAAAACCATGCAAAGCAATCTGAGTAATCAATTGAGAAAATTACAATTGTTCTAAGATCTTTACTTAACTTGTCACATTAAAATCTATCTTATGGTTAGTTAACAATGTACAAGAAAATTTTTAAATCATGAAACTATATTTTACACACTAATTTAAAACATTAGAAACACCAAGCATCAATATGTTATATTTCTTTGTAAAAAAAAATTATGAAAAGAACTTGGAACATTGCTCTCTTTCTAATTCTCATGATGCAGCTTATTATGAGAAGGGAACATTTATTTTCTATACATTAGGAATTGACTTGCTCATTTATAAGTTTGGATCTGCTTCAGCATTTTATCACATTTGCAATATTGTGGAGTATCTCTGAGTCCCTTTAAAATAAGGATTTACCTGGTGTCACTTCTTCTTCGGCATCCTCATCCTTTTGGACACACTTCCTTTCCTAATTTATATTGGTAGATTTACTTTCACTAAGTTCCTGTGTCTGCATATCTGGAGTCTCTGGAAAGGTGGAGGTATCAACATTCTCATGATCAGCTATTTCTTTTATAACTATGTTTACATTCCATTCAAATTTCATGTTCTGTGTTTTTGTGACACTTGTACCTTTGTTGGGCAACTCTGTCTTTGGATTATCTATTTTGTAAACGATCATTTGGGCTTATCACTGGGGGCCAAGGCGGCAACACAACAACATTCTTTGTTGTCTATTTTTGAAATAAATAATATATGTACAGTCACCATTCACTGCAGACAAGGAATGTGACGATTGGTCACTAATTATGGTATACATTTATTATTTATACAGTGATTTGTAGATTGAAGAGTTAGCAGCAAAATTCAGACTATATGTGATTATTTACAGTTATTTCAGTCATGGTAACCGAAATGTGAACCATGGTAGATGGGGGACTGGTGTTATTTAACTAAACTTTGGGAACTAAAAGGTGTGCATATAGAACCACACAGATAAGGACTATTATCTCTGTATCTACTCATCAGTTTGAATATTTGGAAAAATAACAGACAAATTTCTGAAAAAACATAAAAAGCTATAATTGGCATAAGAAATGATAGAAAATTGTGTAAGCCAATAGGCATGAAAGAAAGTTTAAGCTATATTCAAAACTCTAGGGCCCAAATGTTTTTACAATCATGCAAAGCACCTTGTTTTCTTGTGGTAACAAGAAATACAAAAATACGGTAATCATAGTTTTCTACGGAACTAGCCAAGAGTGTTGGATCCAAGGAAACCTTGATGAATTGTATTTTAAAAAGAAACTAAACAAGACACATGAAAGCAGATAGACAGTGATCTGGGTATGGGATGGCCTTCTAGAAGCAGAGAAACATTGCAGAGTGAAGATGAAAAATGATTATTTGGTAGAAATTGAGAAGCTAATTCTAAGATTGTATCAAATTGCAAAGAATTACAATAGCTTAAACAACTTTCAAAAGAAGAAAAAGCTGGAAGACTTGTATTACCAGATTTGAAGACATCATAGAGCCATGGTTACCTAGACAGTGAGTTTGGATGTGAAGATAAGCATATACTTTAAGAATGAAACAGAACAGAGAGCACAGAAGTAAACCCACGTGTATATATTGGCAGTTGCTTTTCAACAAAGTTACCAAGACAGTTCAATGGAGAAAGGATAAACTTTAAAACAAATTGGGCCAGAAAAATTGGATAACCATAAGCAAAATAATGAACCCATCTTGTCCTTTATCACAATCAAAATTAAACTGAAATGGATCATAACAATAAATGCTAGAAGTAAAATTTATGCTTGTATAAGTAAACATAGGAGAAAATCACAGTGAGATAGGACTTGGAAAAGATTTTTAATAGTACACAAAAAGCAAGTTATTGAAAATCCGTAAATTTGACTTCATCAAAATCGAACTTTTGTTCATCAAAATATACCATGAAAAATTCTCAGAACATATATCCAACAAAGAACTTATATCTCTCATGTGTAAAAAACCTTCCACCCAACTGGGCTATTAAGACAAAAAGCCCAATTTAAAAATGAGCAAAACATCAACAGTAACACACACACAAAAACAGCATAAATTTGAAGAGATACTTTGATAAAGACAAGGATACAAAATGTGCAAGATGTTAACATTATCAACCGTTAGGGAAATTGAAATTACAACCACTGTGAAAGCTCATTACACACACACTACAAAGAGCTAAAATTTAACAGATTGACCATACCAAGTTATGGGAAGAAGGCAGAGGAACCAGAATTCACAAGCACTGCTTATCAGTTTATAATAGGGAAACAACTACTTGAGTAAATAGTTTAACAGTTTTCTTAAAAATTAAACATACATCTGTCATACAACCCATCCACTTTTCTCCAAGATATTTATTGAAGAAAAATAAAAGTTTTATGTGCACATACACACTCTATTTATGTTAATCAATATTGAAAATAACTCATATGTTCACCAACTGATGAATAGATGAACAATCTGTGGTATAGCCATACAAAAGAATACTACCATCAGTGAAACAAATGAACTATTGGGACATGTAACAATATGCACACATTTCAAAATAATTATGTTGTGTGGAAGTAGCAAGGAAAAAAAACAAGTTTATACTTACGAGTTCATTTAAATAAAATTCTAGAAGTACAAGCTAATCTATTCTGACAGAAAACAAATCAAAGCCCATGGATGGAAGAATGGAGTAGAGAGCAATTGGGTTACCATGGGACACAAGGAAACTTCTGAGGCTGATGGATATGCTTATATTCTTGTAGTAATGGTTTCCAAGGTATATACGTATGCTAAGACTCATTTGATTGTACACTATATATATATATATATATATATATATATGTATATGCAGTTTATTATACATCATATATACCTCAATGAATCTGTTTGAAATATAGACTAAGTTTGTAAGTGGAGAAGCAGAAAGAACCCTATAACAATGTAGTATCCATAGAAATTAAAATCAATTTCAAAATAACAAATTATAATAACAAAATTAAAATGTATGCACCAAAAACAGATGAAAATAAGTATGATTGCTTGTGGCAAGGAGAATGGTGTAAAAAATTTAGATTAGTAAGTATACATCAATAAATAGACATATGTACATGTTGGGATATGTTTCTTTTCAAAACTATTGGCAATTTTCATGAAGTTAAGAATACATTTTACTCAATTCTAAAATTAAAACAATAAAATAAGTAAATATCCCAAATTCGAAAATTTTCTATTCTTTCCAAATGTTAAAGCAGTAGTCATGGTTATGAGCATTGATGTATTTCTCAATACATGCAAAGTTTATTCAACAAATCTTTATTGAATGCCTGTTTTGCAATGAGCATCATGCTGCGGTCAATGATCCACGGAATTGCTGTAGTTTGCTTTTATTGAAATTTTATTTGAATGCCAAAAGCAGAAAGTAAAATGCTCCTTTCTGTCGAGAATATTCTCATTTCTGCTCCTGTTTCTGCCTGAAGTTTCATTCCTTTTGCTTTTCGCACAAGCTAAAAACCATGATCTTTCTGGTTTTGACCTAAAGCCACCTCAAAGAAGCTGATCCTGATGACCCACTCTAAGTCCCATAACCTACATTTTCTGCTTCCTCTTGGCTTTTTGTCTCCAGCAATGCACCTTGCTTGCTTTCTTATTTGCTCGTCTTCTTTACTGTATTGCAAACTTCACAAGCACAGGTGTTTGCAGTCTTAGAAACTGACACATAGTGTGCACACAATAGTATTTTTTTCTATTTTATTTTTATTCTTTTGGAGGCAGAGTCTCATTCTGTTGCCCAGGCTGGAGTGTAGTGGCATGATCACTGCTCACTGCATCCTTGATCTCTTGGGCTCAAGTGATCCTCCCACCTCAGCCTCCTGAGTAGCTGAGACAACAGGTATGCACCACCACACTGGGCTATTTTTTTCTTTTCATTATTTTTTGTAGAGCTGGGTCTCTCTATGTTGCCCAGGCTGATCTTGAACTCCTGGGCTCAAGCAATCCTTTCACCTTGGCCTCCTAAAGTGCTGGATTATGGGTGTGAGCCACCGTGCCTGGCCTATTTTTTTAAAAATAAATATATCAAATACATCTAAACACACAAAATTAATGAGAGATTAATACATTTATCACAGAGAAAACTAAGTGCATTGTGATTTTGAAAAATATTAGAGCAAATAGTACAATTGCCAGGAAATTTTAGGGGAGGCATACATTTAATTTCAAGACAGAATAATCCCTGGTCATTTGGACATTTTCTGACTTCAAGGTTAACTTGAGAAAAAAAGGAAAAACAAAAACAAACACAAACGAACAATCAAAACACAGTAAAAGTTAAAAAGGCACAGCACCGAGAAATTGCTGTAATGTTATCGTAGATATGAGATTGTTTTGTTCTCCCAGATGACATAATAGATCAAAACGCACTTTTGACTGATAACCGCGTAAAAAACTCCTAAATGGGAAAGTGGTTTGATACAGAAGTGAGAAACATTCCCACACAAATATTCTGATGTTCTTACAACTTTAAGATTCTTAGAATTTAAAAATATACACACATGTCTAATATTTCATTGATTATGCATTAGGTTAGAGATATTTGTGATTAAATTCTGCAACATGAATCTATGGGGTCTAAACAAAAATATGTATGCTCCATTGACACATCCCTATCAATGTGTTTAAATGCATGTTTTCTTAGTTCCTTCAAAAATAAAATTGCCAAAAATTCTAATTTTCATAGACAGTGATTATTATCAATGATTGTGAATTTTGTTTTAGTGTTTTTTTTAATTATAAAAGAACAACTGAATCTCTAATTATGGCAGATTTTATTTTTTAAAAGTGCATTACTGATGCTTTGGTAAATCCTAATATTAGAAAATACCTATGATACTCATTTTACATTCAGCTCTTACATACACATGTATATGCTTTTATATAAACATGCACATATTAAAAGCAGTAGGTGTGTTTGTAAATTAGGTATTCTAAAGAAACTTAAAAATGCACACACAGATACACATGCATATATTCACAGTTATATTCAATCTGTATAAAGTCACAGTCTTTGTTCAGGAGAAATTTCCATTTCATTAGGATATCAAGGAGAATAAAAACTTAAAACCAGTGAAAAGACAAATGATTCAAGAAATATGAAACTCAAACAATGAAAAATACCTTAGCTGCAAGTGATAACTAACTGCTCCTTGAAGCAATCAAACCAACCCTAAGAGCTATTAGATAATTATGACTTATAATTTGATTTTGCACCTATTTGGTAGCACTGTAATGAGTCATAATTATGATGTAACTTTATTCCAAGGCACATAATGTTTGAAAATCTCTATAAACAACTGATAAAAGAAAAAGATCTCCTACCCTATGAGTTTTACTTGGCTTTGCCCCAAGAGACTAAATGAGATAATAATGGATATTTTGCAAGGAAAAGATATATTCATGCACATTTTTAAATAAAGAGTTAGATGTTTTAAATTACTCATTTGAAAACAGAAGTTTGGAGTTTCACATGACTTCAAGTTTCATATGTTTATCTATCCTGTGTAGCTGACACATTTTAATTGAGACATATGGGAAATTTTTGACTGGGCACTTAATAGTCCTAACAGCTTGCTATTTTAGAGAAATTCAATTACGGTAAATCTAGCATTATTAGTGATCTAGCACTGGTATTACTTGAATGACTGGCACAAAGATATTGCATTTTACAAATGAATACCTAATAATTTTTACTTTATAAAGATGAAAAGATGTATCTTAACAGTGGCAATTTGCATTATAATAAATGTTGCCCTTAGAGATGGGTGAAATGAAGTAAAAAACACATAATTTTAAACTTATTTAAATTTAAACAAGTAACTCTAATGGATTTTAAAATAAATTGTTGCCTAAATTTTGTCTTATTTCCAAAATGTACTTTGAGAAAATTGGACAAATAACAAGGATTGAGAGCAAAATACCCAGATTGGAGAATGCAGAACAAAAAATATCTTTATTTTCTATTTAAAGAAAGCTATATATAAATAGGCAGAAACCACTGGTATGATCAGCATGGGATATAATTTTAATTTCCTTTTTGTAGAGCTACTACTTGGACAGAGAATTTTGCCCATGGTGGGTGATTATAGCCAGATGTAATCTCTCAAAATAAAAAGAAACATGACAACAAATAAGGAGAAAATACAACTCAACAATGTTGAGGGCTTTTTGTACTAGATTAAGGAAATTTGGTATGAAAAATATATATATAATCTCAGACCTCAAAAGTACTGTTATCTGGCATGAGATTTTATACAGTTTGGAATATACGTGTACCTAGTAATCTATTTTCTTAGATTGTGCATATCTTAAATACAGAGCTGTGCTTTACTCATGTTTAGGATCTCAGAACTTTATGATATTTTACATCAAGGCATGAGAAGGTATTAAAAACATGTTTGTTCTTAAATTATCAACCCAATCTGGGAATTATGAATTTAAATATAATAAACTGTCCATATAGTATTAAATATTCATCTGTATAAGCACTTGGAGTATTTGGCTGAGGACTATCAACTGCAATTTGTTGAACATCCATTTATTACTGACACATTTTTGGTTCATTCAAACAACCAAAGCTTACTGGGTGGGTATTGACCTAGATCCTAGAAAACAGAAGTTTACAAAACATACATAAAACTCTCATAGAGCTTATGTTTTTGTAGAGCAAACAATAAAAAAATTAATTTACTTCTAATAATAAGTGCTACGATGATGAGTAAGACCAGATGAATGATAAAGATTGATAAAGTGGAGGATGCCTAAGAAAGATTATTAGAGAAAATCTCTCTGATGACATGACATTTGAACAGACGTCTGAATGAAGTAGAGAAGCAAGCTACCTGAACATTTTTTTTCAAAATCATTACAAGCAGAGATAACATTAAGTACAAATACTGTGGAATGAGAGTGAGTTTGGCATGTTTTGGGGAAAAGCAATAAGACTAGAATGGCTGGAGACAAGTGAATAATGGGAAGAAATTTAGAAAATGAGTCAGAGATTTAGCGATAGGTTGCAGGCCATTTAGTCTTTTAGCCCATGTTAAGTCTTGGTCAAAATACAACTTTGGCCTAATTTTAGAATCTCTATTGTATTTTCCTCTGAAGCTGAACACCTCATGGAGTTAAAAAATAGCCAGGATTTCAGTCAAAATAGTGTGTAGTCTGTATTCTCTCCTATTTCAGGACTCCATGAGGGCAAAATACTATTCATAAGGAATCAATGTATTAATAGTATTAATTTTGCAAGAGAGACTTTTGCACAAAATGTTATTGAAGCTTAAAATAGGGAATACTTGACTAGCTAGAAAAATATATATTAAAGCAGAAATTAAAAAAAAACAAATTACATCAGCAATGAAATTCTGATGATATCAATTAGCCAAACAAGGTATAAAGAAAGCAACATAAATGGACAAATGAAGAGAAAGAGATATATTTAAACCTATTCACTAAAACTAGAACATGCAAGATTTGGCAAGAAAACACAAACAAATGCTATAATATGTCTCTAATAAAAGATTTTGAGGACATTAAAAATGTTTGCTTTCATGAAACTTGCAGACTATTTGAGGAGATATAAGACATGTAAGAAAATAACAAATGTAATGATTTTAGATCAGCAAAAAATAAGCTTTATATAAAGGGCCATATTTTTTAATCAATTTGTTAAAACAGTTTAGTCTACCCTAATTGATTCAGGAAACAATATAGTGTAATAAAAACTAGAAAGAAAACTATCAAATAGAAAGCATACTATAAAAAGAAGTGTCAGACTTAAAACTATAAAATTTTTATTCCATACAAATGGAATAAGGTTATCTATTATCAAAAAAAAACTCCTTCCGCACTGGAGCATACGTTGCTCAGAAGTGATAAAATAATTAAATTAATAGATAGACAAAGGCAGAGAGAAAAATGCAAACAATTTTTGAAAGCACAGGCCAGAATACCAGTATTAGAAGGAGGAGCAATTAACTTAATTAACAAACCCAAATTTAGTATATATGAAACCATTATAGTTAATAAGTTTAAGCTTATTCATGTCTTAGCTTTTTCCCACTGTTATTTTTATTTTCTCACTCTACCTACTTTTTAGCTCATTTTATGGGTCAAAGAAGGCTGGCTTTCTGAAACAAAGTTGAAGATAATATCTTATCAAAATATGTTTAAAACTGAATAATAAAATAGAGGTAAATTAGTATAATGACAATTACATGTACTATCGATATCTTCAATTTTAAGTTCCCAATGTTTAAAGTGAAAGTATTTTCTTTCAGGAAATTTAATTTCTGTTGAAAATGCATGTTGGTGTTTAAAATATCATATTACTCTGTGGTTGTTTTCTACAAAAGAATTTGTTTTAAAAGCTGTATATTGCATAATCATGTTCCAGTCCTGTGGGAAGTTTAATGAATATATCTATAATAATTAAATATAGAAAATAATTTAATCAGGAATCAAAGGTAATATGCACTTCTAATAGTTAAGAGACTGCCTTAGTTAGGAATACAGGAAAATGAAAAGATATTTGTTTTATATTTATCAGTTGCTTATTAAGCAAAATGAATAAATGATTCTTGTGAATAGGAATCATCCAATGAATTTCATAAAGATATCATCAATATGTAAAGGAAAATAATAAAACATGGCATTTCTTATTTACCTTGTATTCAATAGCCCTCAAAATTCTATCTAAATACTTTCTAAAAGTTATATCTCCTACTGCCTTTTAAACATGCCTAACCATTGGCCGACAATGTTAGTCATTTTTGGCTTCTTGATCTTCTCTGAATCATTTCTTCACTCCCTGCCTCCTCACTTGACTTAGGTTTTTCTTTTTGCCCAAAGCAGTGTAAACCCTCATCCACTGGGTACAGCTTTATCCATCCTCAATGTCCAACTCAATGGTCATGTTTTTGAAGTCTTGAAAAATTACTTTCCATCTGCTAACTCCATCCACACAAAATAACTCCTACTTTACATATTAGAGTAAATATTTAACATTGAGCTATCTCTTATTATTTTTATTTGCTCAAAATCTTATTGTACCTATAAATACATCTAATAATTTCTGTTACATTAGTTGTTTATTTGATTAATTTATTATCCTGTGTGTTACTTAAAAACATGCTTAATCACTATAGTTATCAATAGTTCCTAGGATGATACCTGATACAACATAAACATTTAATAATTGCTTTATTGAGTTGAATTGAATTGAATTGAATTCAATTCAATTCAATTCAATAAATGTGTAAAACAGAAAGCCTGGTGGATAGTTATCTATTTGGTGTTAAACAATATATTGGGCTTTAGATTTATAAAATTATAAAAAATAAATTACATTAATATTTTTCTATATAAAAAAATTAGAAAATAGTACCAAGTAACGACAGGCAAATATTTTAAAACTTTCCTTTTCATGAACCTTTCCATGATATCTACATGAAAAGAAAATGAATCTGCCATTATAGAAGCTAATAAAGGAAGTCGCAAATCTAAGATTGTACTATAAAATAACTGATGACATTGGTAGGAGTCATTGTCAACTTAGAGCAAGAGAAGTGTACTTTTGCATCTGGAAGGCACCAGAACTAAATCAAGAGGAAAAGAACTCAGTAATCAACTAAAAACGATCATTTTCAAGTTCAAATAGAAATATTTACCACAGGATTATGCAGGAAATCTATAAAATATCCCATTGTTTTATATGTAGTGTAGTAAAAAAGAAAACTGTTTTCTTTCTTAATCATTTTCTCTCTCTCTTTTTTTTTTTTTTTTGAGACAGTCTCACTCTGTTACCCAGGCTGGTGTGAAGTGGCACGATCTGGCTCACTGCAACCTCCACCTCGGGGATTCCAGTTATTATCCTGCCTCAGCCCCCCGAGTAGCTGGGACTACAGGCGCGTGCCACCATGCCTCGCTAATTTTCGTATTTTTAGTAGAAATGGGGTTTCAGCATATTGGCCAGGCTGGTCTTGAACTCCTGACCTCAGTTAATCTGCCCCCCTCGGCCTCCCAAAGTGCTGAGACTACAGGCATGAGCCACCGTGCCCAGCCACAATTTTACTTTTTTTAATTGAAAATTTTTATCAGTACTGCAGCACTTACAATATATAAATATATATATATATATTATTTTTAAAAAATTGTACCTACGTCTTGCTTCCAGGTGAGGAGCAGCACAGGTACTCCACTGAGAGTATATTAGGCCAGAGCCCAAGCCTACCGAGTGAGAATCTGCACTGTAACACAGGACTCACATGCTGCCTAATGTGTGAGAAGCACTCACCTAATCTAAAGTCTGATCCTTAGTATATGCCAAAGAAATGTAATTTTGCTTCCTCTTTCTATGTCCCTACTTGATTTTTGTAGCCTCCAGATTTAGAGGAATATCAGGCTTGTGTCTCCCACCTCCACAGTCTCACTACCTGTTTGAAACAATGAAGTAAATCTAAGACCAAGTTTCACCATATAAACAGACCTTTTCCAGCAATTGAAGAAAACAGTCATTGTTTTTGTTGTATCATTTAGCTATCTCGCTAGTCAAATTAGGATGTAAATGCTTAACTTAGTGCTGGGACATAGGATTGAATGAGGTTGTCAGCCCCTCAGGCACCGCTAGAGTGTGTTAAACTATTGGGGTTATTACTTTCTTATATAATATTCATGTAACTTCATGGATGCCTATACAATATTTTTATTCAATCTATATATGTTAATAATTACATTCATAATGACTTACTTATGGCATTCTGTTAATGTCCAAAACCATAAACTACTCCTTAGTTTCTCAAATATTAACAAAACTATGTCTGGGTGTGTATTGCTAATTAGAGTACACACATGGTCAAAGGTATTAAGTATAGAGTCACAGCTATGTGACAAAAAAATAAATAAATGATAGTACCATTTTCAATCTCTAATAAATTTCCTTCAGAAAAGTGAAAATAAAAATATTTCAACCTCTCTTTACAATGTTTTCTGTAGAAAATTGAGGTGGGCTCAATAGGTTTGCTTAAAGAGCTGCTTTTTACTGTATTATGGTAAGAGCCATGATTTTTTTTTCTTTAAACTATAGACAGGAAACTGCCGATAAGGGATTTCCACGGATGATTGACAAATGTTTTCTGCTTTACTGGAGCAATGGAGCTTTAGCTGGTTTTCAAAATAACAAATAATGGGAATCTCCCAAAGAGTAAACCTTTTTATATGCTTGGACTAACAATCATCTCTGGAAAAACTTCAGTGCCTTCAGGGATTAAGAAGAGAATTTGCTGGCAAACTGATTCATTCCAGAAATGTCTCAGGAAGGGGACAGAGTGGAGAAAAATAAGAGAGAAAGAGGAGACATAATGGGTCTGAGTGTAAGACAACTAATTCTCCAGTGGAAAAAAATAGTGCAATGTGTCATCAAGAATTTATAGACCTTGGGGAAATTCAGATTAATTTTGATATTTCTTTCCAAATGCTATATTTGTTGTGTCAGTTGAGTGCGCTCTGCATTAGTTTCTGCAAAAAGATGTTAAAGGTTCTCATTGATCAGAAATATGAATTTCATATTTCTTGTATAGTCTATTGAAGATAGACGGATATGGAAAATTGAATGGAAAGAGAATGGTAGTGTAGGGTTTTTCCACTTGGTAGTTAGTTCACCAAGGTATTTTTAAATTTTCTGTATTATCTAAGGAGTCTATACTATAAGACTTGTTAGTTCACACTGTTGATTAGAATTTTAAAAGATAACCTTCACTGATTAACTCACAAAACACAAAGTATGTAGTCCAGAAAGGCAATTAATTAATTTGCAGTGAGGATATTACGGGAGGTAGGTCAGACATTTGTGTTTGTCTAACCATTAATTTATTTCCCCTATAGACAAGCTACAAGGGAAGAAAAATGATCACTAGGAGATAGCTGGATAGGCATGAAAATAAGGCAAAGAGATGAGTTATTGAATTTAGATATTTAGTAGCATAAACTCTGATACCTTTATGAATCCATCTCAACACATTTTACCACCACCCACTCAGAAGCTTGGACTTAAAACTTTGGTATGATCTACCTTCCTTCTTTTCTCTATAGCTCACCACGATTTCATTACTTGTCTTTTAAATTTTACCTCTAAAATAATTCATGTATCTGATTACCTCCCACAATGTCTTTATTCAAACCTAGTTAAAGCTATTCTCATTTTTGGCATGAACTACTGTGGCAGACGAGTAGCTAGTCTCCCCTTTACAAGTCTCAGTCTCCACTACCATCTCCATAGTTTCTGTCTATAGCCACTAGAGTGCTTTGTATAGGAAGTAAAAGAGATCATAAGACTACTATATATACAGACTTTAACTTCTCATTGCCTCTATAGTAATAAAGTCAAAATTTTACAAGAAATTTAACATTCACCTTTTATCACCCACCCTGCTCATTCAATATGCTTAATCACCTTACTTTTGCTATTGTGCTTATACTATAATGGATTCTTATGTTATGTTGGACATGACACTCTGACCAACACATTGATCATCTGAAATATTTTAGAACCCACAGGATATGCTGGAGGAGAAGAGCACCAGGCAAAATGTGGCCAGATTCCTCTATGCCAAGCTGAGTTTCTATCTCCATCTCACTGGGGTTTTGACAAGAGAAAAGCGAAACAATCACTTCTGATCTCTAATCCTTTCCTCTTACTCCTGAGCCTCAACAAGAGTTTTCTTCCTTATTCTGCGTGGTTAGAATCCATGTCATAATTTAGATAAACTTAATGGCTTTTTTGTATAAATTCTGCAGTTTACAGTCATGCAAGCTTGTCTGATACTGCTAAGTGTCCAGTTGCAAGCATTCCAACAAAATTTCTCCCTTAATAAAGTAAAACTTCTTCAAATTAAATGTGTTTGCTTTTAAATTACTATCTCTTAAAGGCATTAAACAATTCTATGAAAAAATTAATACTAAGCACCAAATTGTTATGTGGGTTATATTTGCACTCCTGAAGAAGCAAATAATAGGTATTAATCAGGTGAAAACATGAGGAGCAACTATGAACAAATCATGGTGGGTGTGGGTAAAGATGAGGTTATTCCTTTCTTCCTGCATAACTCTCAAAGGTTTACATATCTTTATTACTTGAGAGTATAAGTATACAGGGAAAATGTGGTCATGTTCATTCCTGAAGCTTCTGAAAGCTGTAAGTGAGCAATGTATACCCCCTAATGTAAAAGGTGGCCAAGCAAAGTAAAATCAGAATAGATGATTACTTGTCTAATTAGAAGATATCATGAATCAAGTAGTACAGGTAAGATAACTCTGAAAATAAAATGAAAGAAAACATAGCACATGAAACAGTAGTAAATTAGCATCTAAGGATGCTAATATTTATTTATTTTGGAATATTATGACTGATCAAATTTCCAGGACTGTATGTAAAATTATTCGTGTTCTGTAGTATCTTAACGCCGACAGTGTATCTCTGATAAGCAAACTTTGAAAATTTACACTGTAATCTCAACTTCTCTTTTGTATTATATTTCTTTTTTACCTAGATGAATTGTCAAATATATATATTTTATATATATATGTTTAGATCATATGTATGTGATCAAAACAAAACTCATACTTTTATCCTTAAACCTTGTCTTATTCTTATAATTTTAATTTTCTTAACAATATCATTTGCCACTCTAGTGTGGAACTTAAGGAAACTTCTTTCTTTTTCCCACATTATTATTACTCTGTTAGTTACCAAGTCTGAGAATTCGTCAACACACACACACACACACACACACACACACACACACACACACGCTAACTCTGGAGTCAATCGCCTATGTTTGAATGCAGGTACAACCACTTACAAGTTATGTGACCTTACTTTGTGTTACTTAAACAGCCTGTTTTTCAGAATTCTCTTCTGTAAAATGTGAACAATAATAATAGCATTTTTCTTTTGGCATTATTATGAAGCGCAAATAAAATGATTCATGTAAAATGCTTAGTATCCAGTAACCTCTTATGAATTTTTTGCTGGTATTATTTATGAATTTTATTCGGAATCTGCTACTTTCCATTCATATCTACTGATAATACACAAAGTATTCTCATTACCTCCCACCTGGAATACTTCAATACCATAGGCACTTTGTGTCCATTTCAAGTTCTCATTCTAGCTCCCATTCATCAACTTCTCTAAATAACCATGCAAATGTTATACTAACAAAGTGTCTTCAAAACAAGATTCAAAGACCTAAAAATAATATTCCAGGGTCTCAATGTGGTCAAAATTACTTTTCTAGACTTTTGTTCTCTTTGCTCCTTTCTAAGCTACGGGCAAACCAGAAACTAATCTGCACTTTCCTACATATATGAAACATACGTTAATGCTGTTTGCATTTACTGGAATTGCGTTTCCTACTATTTCTGGTTGTTAAAGTCTACAATGGCTGCTCTTATGTGTGCCATCCATATTCCCTCTTTGGACTAAAGTATGTATTGCCCTAGCTGTTGAAAGTAAGAAAACAGAAGCTGTAAGCCTTCATAATTGTCTGAGTTGCCATGCCCATGATTATGACTCCTTCTTGGGGTAGCCCACATCCAGGAACTCATCAACAAGTAAGTGTAAATTCTCTGGCTTATTGCCTCATCTCATGATAACAATGAAGGGCTTTCAGTATGTTGGCCAGGATGGTCTGGAACTCCTGACCTCAAATGATCCTCCCGCCTCGGCCTCCCAAAGTTCAGCCGGACGTGGTGGTGGGCTCCTGTAATCCCAGCTACTTGGGAGGCTGAGGCAGGAGAATTGCTTGAACTCAGGAGGCAGTGGATGTAGTGAACCAAGATTGTGCCACTGAGCTCCAGCCTGGGCGACAAGAGCAAAGTTCTGTCTCAAAACAACAGCAACAAAAAATATGAAGGGCTATACCAGCCCCAAGATCTCCTTGACTTTGGTTGATGGTTTCTTGAAATGTGGCAGCCTTAATTCTCCCACTGTGTAAGCCTGCTTCCTTAATAATAATTCCAATAGCAGTCCCTAAAATTCTTCTTGCAGGTATCCATCTTACAATCTACTTACCTAGGCAGCCAATCTGTAGAAAGGTCTTATCTACCTTCTAAGGCCTTGCTCCAGTATATGAACTTTCTCTTACTCCCAATCACAAACCAACTCATCCTGTTCGATTTCATGAAAATCTACATTATTCATATGGTATTTAGCATATAGTGATTATATTTAAATATTAATCATAAATATAGCAGTAATATTATATTCCTAGTAAATAAGATGTCTGGGTTTACTTTTATATGCACCATGGTTCCTATATTTATATATTAATTAAATGATTATTATTTATTAATTATCATATTTATTAATTATAAATAATAATTATATTATTGTTTATTATTTATTTAATAATTTATTAAACTATCATTTTATTTATTTTCAAGATAAATCCTCAGAGCTTTGTATTATTTATTAAATAATATTTTCCATTTATGTGTGAGGCAAAAGAAAATAATTTTATTTGGATATATGCATGACTATATGTAAATCATTTACATGTGTGTAAATGTGTTTTATAAAACAAATTCCCTGTGTGGTAAATAAAGTATAAATGAAGAAGTCTTTCTGTTAGAAGGTGTTCAGAACAAATGTGTTATATTCAGCAAAATTATAAGAATATGAAATCTCTTCTAAGTTTAAATTTTAAGTTCAAATTTCTGAGCAATAGCTAAAATTTCCATTTTAATGCCTGAATGGGTCTAAAGCTAGAAAGACTTTCTGAAAAATATTAGACTAGAATATTCAAAAAATGTAATCAATTATCTTTTGACTTAAGTGCAAAATTCCTGGATTTTTAGTCACTTTTATATAAATAGCTTTGACATATATTTTATGAATTTTAAAAATAATCTTCTGAGTTGGCATGTAATCATTCCATTCTTGACACTCCTAAAACATTTTGTTTATACCTTTATTTTAGCATGTGTTACATCGCAGAATAGCCAGTGAACTCATCATATTGAATCAATTTCCCTCCATTAACTTTGGAAATATTTAAGGTCAAGAGGTACATATTTTTATCTGTTCCAAACCAGGTGATGGCAAGCTCAGATTCTGAAACATATATGTTCATTAAATGTCTGTTGAATTAATTTTTTACTTTTATATTTTAATTTAGGCATCACACACGTACACATTTACACACAAACATATCTGTATAAGTATTATACTGAAATATTGAAGTTGTGTGTCTATTGTTAGAATCTTATGAACATAGGTATTATAAATTTAAAGAGTTGATTCTTTCTGTGTCTATAATTTGCTATTATATTATTTTTAATTATCATAATCTGTCAAATAATAATTTTAAAAGATTTTTGAAAATTTTAACTGTACTCAGTATCTCACTCAAACCACAAGATTAAATATAACCATTATTTTTTTCTTTTATTTTTAGTTAATATTTAATAATTGTACATATTTATGGAATACAGTGTGATATCTTGATACATGTATTCTATGTGTAACGATCAAATCAGTGTAATTAGCGTACCAATCACCTTAAACATTTATTACTTCTTAGTGTTATGACCATTCAGAATCTTCTCTTCTACTTTTCTGAAAACATACACTAAAATTATTGTTAACCATATTCACCCTACCGTGCTATTGAATACTAGAACTTATCCCTTCTATCTAACTATATATTCGTACCCATTAAGCAACCTTCCCCTATCCCTCCACCCTTTCCAGCCTCTGATAACCATCATTCTACTCTCTACCTCCATGATATCAACCTTTTTAGCTCCCACATATGAGTGAAAATATATGATATTGGCCTTTCTAGGCCTGGCTTATTTCACTTAATATAATGACCTCAGTGCTATCCATGCTGCTGCAAATGACAAGATGTTATTCTTTTTTTCTGGACAAATAGTATTTCATTGTGTATATATACCACTTTTTGCATCCACTCATCTGTTGATCAACACTTAGATTGATTTGCTGTCTTGGCTATTGTGAGTATAGCTGCAATAACAATGAGGGTGCAGGGATCCCTTCAATATACTGATTTCCTTTCCTTTGAATAAATAATCAGTAGCTCTTATGATAGTACTATTTTTGGTTGTTTTCTTTTTATTTTTGTTTAAACTTTATACTTTTTCATAATGATTGTGCTAATTTACATTCTCACCAACAGTGTGTAAGTATTCCCTTTTCTCCACATCCTTGCCAGCATCTGTTATTTTTTATCTTATTAATGATAGTCATTCTAACTGAGATAAGATGATATCTCATTGTGGATTTGATTTGCATTTCTCTGATGATTAGTGATGTTGAGCATTTTTCATATACCTATTGGCCATTTGTATGGATTTTTTTTTTGAGAAATGTCTAGTCAAATCCTTTGCCCACTTTTTAATGGGATTATTTAATATGTTTTGCTGTTGAGTTTGAATTTCTTGTATATTTTGGATATTAGTCCCTAGTTAGATTAATAGTTTGCAAATTAACTATTTTTTTAGATATTGCAAATGGGATTGTTTTTCTTTTTCTTTTGAGACAGTCTTGCTCTGTCACCCAGGCTGGAGTGACGTGGCACGATCTCGGCTCACTGCAACCTCCGCCTCCTGGGTTCAAGCAATTCTCCTGCCTCAGCCTACGGAGTAGCTGGGATTACAGCCACACGCCACCATGCCCGGCTAACTTTTTGTACTTTTTTGGTAGAGACGGGGTTTCACCATGCTGGCCAGGTTGGTCTTGAGCTCCTGATCTTGTACAGATCTGCCCACCTCAGCCTCCCAAAATGCTGGGATTACAGGCGTAAGCCACCGTGCCCGGCCAGCACATGAAATTGTTTTATTGTCTCCTTTTTTAGCTAGTTCATCATTAATTACTAATTAACAATATTAATTCTTCCAACCCATTCTACATGTTGTCTCTTAATTCTGTTGAGTAGTTTCTTTGCTGTACAGAAGCTTTTTAGTTTAATATAGCTCCATTTGTCTATGTTTGTTTTTGTTACGTTCTTTTAAGTCTTAGTCATAAAACATTTGCCTACACCAATGTCCTGAAGCATTTTCCTGTGTTTTTTCTTTTTTTTTTTTTTTTCTGTTGGTTTTATAATTTGGGGTTAATCCATTTGAGGTTTATTTGTGTATATGGTTTGAGAAAGGGTTTAGCTTTATTGTTCTGCATATGCATGTCCAGTTTTCCCAGCACCATTTACTGAAGAGACTGTTCTTTCACCAATGTATGTTTCTGGCACCTTTGTTGAAAATCAATTGCCTGTTGAAAATCAATTGCCTGTAGACAGCAGTGGTGATGGCATCCCCTCTCCCTGGTAATATGGCAGGCTTAGGCCGATTCTAGCCAGTGGCTGGCTGTTGAGAATCCGTGCGGCTTTGTGTTTGGAAACCAAGACCCTAGCGTCATGGGCTCACGAGTGGGATCTTCCAATCCATGGGTTGTACAGTTCCATGAAAAAAGCATGGTTTCCCAGGCTGGATAGCACACTCACTCACCACCTCCCTTGGCTGGGGGTGGGGGCTTCCCTGCCCTGTGTGGCTCTTAGGTGGACCGTGGTCATGCCAGCTACCTAGTCAGTCCCAATGACAGAACCTGGATACCTCGAATGCTGGTGCAGGATTTGCACACTGTTTTGTATCTTTTTTTTGGGAGCTTCCAATCGCCCAGGTCTTAATTTTTCTACAAAGTACATTATATCTAAGTATTAACAAAGTTAAATAAGTCTTATTAAATTAAAATTGAATAACTTTTTTTAAAAAAGTAAATGGACCCCATAGAACAGTGAAACAGCTATCCCTAAACTGGTAGAAGCTACTTATTTAATAGATAACTGAAAAGTAATTAATAATCAACATTTTTAAAAATCTCCAGGGGAAAAGAAGAATAAGGGAAGTACCACAGTAGTAAAATGGGCAAAAAACCTCGATAGATACTTGTTAAAAAATTATACCCTTTTACATGACACAAAATGTAAAAATTTATGAAGTCAAGGAATAACAGGAATATAGAGCAATGTTTACATTTATCTAGTAATGTGAAAATTAGTGAGATCAATTTATTAAACAATTTGATTATGTAATAAAATCAACTATATACAAAACCTAAGACTCAAGAATTTCACTGTTACAGCCTCTTAACAATTCTTGAGAACATGAACTGTGATTTATGTCCAAGAATGTTTCTCTTCTGCTTCTAATTCATCCTCCATAAAAATGACAATTTCTAGTTAGTAAGACTCATGTCCTCTATAATCTCAGTGATGTCGACTATTGCCACATCAAGTGCCCTATTAGTTAGCTATATCCTCATTAAGAACTGTTTTCATGTTTGGCTCATGCTTACCCTTTTATGAGAAAATTATGCCTTTTAGATTCTTATCAGTCTTTCTCAGGAAGTAGACATTTTCTTTCTGTAAAGAAGAGATATCAAGGGGAGATCATCAGATACAGTGGTTAGAAGCCCAGGCTCTGGGCTCTTCTGTTCTTTTTGACAGCAGTTGTGTGATTTTGGGCAAAGAACTAAAGTCTTCCGAGTGCCTGTCTGTGCCATCTGAGAATAATGAACCAGTGCTAAGAAAGGAAGTATCATTGCATACTGAAGTCCCTGTCCCTCTAAGAACATATTCTGCTAACTCCTCAGTATATATGTAGAATTTCCTTCCATAAAAGAAATACTTTATTACAACATTTAAAGAATAGTGAACACATCTTAAATTAGGTATATATGCTATATCAAATATGCCTTTCTTTGAATTTTGAAATTAACTAATGGTGGAAAGTTAAAGTTATTATTTTCTTTGAAAGTAAAGTCTGTTTGTTGATGTTAATTTTCATACCTCTGAATTTCAAGACACATTAATTGGAATTATATTTTTAAAATTCATTGTTTCTTTGTTTTATAGCCAGGAACTATTAAATGTCAAGTCTTATTTAAAATTCTCACATAACAAATAAATATGATGTTCAAATGTAACAATAACTTTAATTGCAATTATGTTTTAATAATTAACACATGAAACCCCATTGTCTACATGACTTTCCAAAAGATCATTATTCAAGAGTAGTAAATTAAGCATTTTGTTACTCTGAAAAATGAAATCCTATTAAAAAGTCTTCTCTTACTAGTTATTAATAATTTTATAACATCAAGAGACATTCTGACTTTTTAGTTTATAAACAAGAAGAAGGGATTAATAAAACACAGAAACCACAAAATATATGATTATTTCCTAAAATGAGAGATGATATTGAATGTCAATATTTGTATAAAGTAAAATATGGAAAAGCACAACATCAAAAGACAATGGATTATAGCTAATGTAAGTCATTCATGCTACATATATAAAACCTGATTATATGTTGCAATAAATTTTTGTAGGAAATTATATTTTTATATTATTTAGTTTGTTTTATACAGAGCATTAAAACATTTTGTCTACAGGAAAATAAAGAATTTTTTATAAACCATCCAGAGTGTTCTGCAAAAGAGCCATTTTTTCTAAATAAAATTGTTATAAATGTATTTTTTAATTATTAAAATAATTTTCTAAATAATGATATACTGTAAGAACAACAAAGAGTTAATAATGTTGAGGTATAGAGTTTGAATATGTTTTAAATAAAATAAAGGGGCTTTCCAATATATAAATATAATGTTTTAATTTTATTGTTTTCAGTATTTGAATTTTGACCTATTTAGGTTTTTAATTCTAGCTTTTATTTTAATCTAAGAAAAATCATTCACATTACATATAAAATGTTCAATTCTTCCCAAGTGATATATAGTCATAAGAGAAATATAGATAGATGAATGGATGGATGGATGGATGGATGAATGGATGGATTAACAGATAGATAGATAGATAGATAGATAGATAGATACAGATTTGGTTACAGACATGCATGTTAAGAATGTACTATATGCCAACATTGTAAATTCAATTACAGTACATTTAAAAATACAAAAAATAAAATGTAACACTTTTTTTTCTATAATCAATTTGGCTCTCCTTTTGAGGTCCTCACCCTACTGAGCAGTATAAGAATAAAAAATTAATAAATTGAGATCAGTCCAACATTCACAGTTTATTTCAAAGATCTAAATTTTCTCTTTGGGTATTTCAGCCTGTTTTGTTTAAATATCCAGGCTTTCCTTCTCTTCCTCCCTGTTACTGATGTTTTCATGTATGAAGAAGGTCTTGCATGAGCTCGTAGGGGTGGTAAAGATATAACCTCCTATATTAAATCCATATTAGATGCTTATATTGCCCATGAACTTGTATGGTTTATCCAGCAATGGTCCTTTTCCACCTTCCACTGTTCATCTTTCTGGAACTTGGAGATTTAAGACTGTGTATCTGATTCTCATGGGTCTATTCCCTCTCAATTGAGTCATGCCCAACAATTTTCCCTGAAACTCCATGTCAGCTCCTGGAGTTCCCCACACCTCGGATATAATTCACATTTTTCTCCATCCAGTCGGCTTGCCCTTAAGTTCTATTACCACTGAGACACTTTGACACCTTCTGAAAAGATTATCAATCAAGCCCAACCAACTTTCACATAAACTCCCTAAGGGCCTATGGGAGTTCACACACCCAGAAACCAAGCATTGGCAGCTAGAGGAAAATAAAGACCTAAACATGCTCTTCTACTAGGTTTATTTTAATCGCAAGTTGGCATTTGTTCATTTCCTGTGTCTCAAACATTTTTCCTAGAATTACTCTCAATTTTTTAAACACTTCTCTCTAGGAAGTATACAGAATGAGAGGGCTGCAAAACATGTGTCTCAATATGTTCTTATTCTATTTCTATCTTTCAGATATACTCCATAATAAGCTGCACCAGAAAGGGCAGGTTATATACATATGCTGTGACATCAAATTTCACTAAAAGATTGAGTTCGGTCTCACTGAACAAAGCTTCAAGTCAGGCCTTTTTAGCGATAAAGAAATGGACAACACCATAACAAATAGAACATTATGCCACAGAGACAGTTAAAATTAAACTAGCAAGGTAGTACTTAGAAAAGTTTGTAAATTTGAAGTCTATTGACTACTTTGGGAAATTGCAGAAAATATACACTCTATGTTCCTTTTTTTTTTTTTTTTTTTTAAGACAGAGTATTGCTCTGTCGCCCTGGCTGCAGTGCAGTGGCGTGATCTCGGTTCGCTGCAACCTCCACCTCCCGGGTTCAAACGATTCTCTTGCCTCATCCTCCGGGATGGCTGGGACTATGGGTGCCCACCACAAAGCCCGGCTAATTTTTTGTATGTTTAGTAGAGACAGGGTTTCACCATGTTAGCCAGGATGGTTTTGATCTCCTGACCTTGTGATCTGCCCTCCTTGGCCTCCCAAAGTGCTGGGATTACAGGCGTGAGCCACTGTGCCCAGCCTACACTCTATGTTCTATAAAAAACTGTGTGATCGGGTCCACCAGACCTAATTATAATATGTTTACTAGCATTCAAGGAAGTTAGAAAATTTAGAAATTATTTTCTTTCCTAACAAAAACTGGATTTAAAACTACTGTTTCAATAAAGATGTACATTTCATGATTAAAATATGAATGCCTTATTTCACATCTGCTACATCAGATTTATTCAAAACTGCTCATTTCCCACATCCCCAGCAGGGCGGATGAATGTCTTAGAATGTCCACAGAGAAAGCCATATCTGAAAAGGAAAATGTAAATTAAAATAAATTGACTAAAAACATTACTTTATTACACTTTCAAAGTGATTTTCTATTAAGTCACCATTTACTTATTTTCCTCCACCATTCAAAGGTAAAACTGACAAATGGAGTTAGCATAATGGAAAAGCAAAACAATTGGTCATTACTAAAATCATGTAAAATTTGAATTTTAAAATTTTATCTTATGCACCTGGTGCTTCAGAGTAAGAATCAAACTAAATAGATATACATACTGAGCATTTTTTTCATATTTAAGCTGAATATATTGCTATTCATAATAGAAGTAGTCTTCAAGGGAGCTAAAGTTAAAGAATATTTGAATTTATCTTTTTACTGCTTTACTATAAATATCTACTGCTATTCCATTCCTATTGATTGATTTTTTCTAGCATCGTCTCCATTTAACATACATGTCTGTTCATTTTGTGCAAAGCTTTTTGTTTAAGTAGAAGAGACATTTTTCGTATTTCTAGAGAGAAAAAGTAAAGAAGAGAGTATTCAAAATTTAAAAATAAGTTTAATGTTTCATTTGCCATAATGACAGGCAGGCATTATATTGTCAGAAATTAAATGATTATTTTTTCTTTATTCCAAATTATTCCAAATTGTTAATTGAGTTAATCAGTGAACATATGCTTTCACAAATGCATAATGTCATATATACACATAACACATACACATACAAACACAAAAGTTGAACTTTTTATTCTTTTTTTGTAATACTTAAAGCATTCTTCTCTTTAACAGAGTTGTCTCCCTATGTTTCCCTTTTCTTTAAGTCTATAAAGTACATGAATACATGATCTTTTTGCTGATTTTATCCACATAACCCCCAAAGTACTTAAAATACTATCTTGTGTATATATTTTCTTCTTAAAAATAAATTTTAAAAGTAATATGACTAAATTCAAAATAGAAACAATAAAATACACTATAATTTAGTGCAATATAATGTAATATAATACTAAATATAATATAAATAAAAATTTTAGGTCAGGAACCAAAGTCTAATAATTAATTTGTTCACTTAGGGAATGTTTACATATTTCTAGTTTTAGTCTCCTGTTCTAAATTTATGGTGAGTTATTTTAATCTTTATTTTCAAATTCTTCAAGAACATAAAATTGTCTATGTAGTAATAATATCTTTAGTTATAACATTCTAAAATTCTATGAGTTTCTAAAATAATAAAATGGCAGTGGAGGCAAATAAATACCCAAAGGAAGGAAGAGATAGTGACAAAACCTTAAATGTATACAGAAAAATGGAGGCCTTTTTTTAATATGGGAGAAAAGTGAGAAAGACTACAGTCATAGAAACAAAAAGGCAAATATTTATGAAATAAAAAGTGTGGATTTACAAATATTTATTTTAAAGTATTAAAAGTATATCGAGCCAAAGATGTTTGGTTAGTAGCAGTTAAAAATACATATCTAATCCAGTGTTTCTCAAAGCAAGAACAGCATCTGTTACCAAGCAACTTTGTTAAAAATGAAGATTTCTGGTTTGCACCACTGAACAGGAATCCTTTAGCATGGGACTTGGAAGTATGCATCTGAAGCATACACCCTAGGTGATTCTGATGCATGTTAAGCTTTGAGATTCATTGGGAGTGTACATTTGGAAGTGATTCCATGAGCAATTACTTGCTGATTGCCTATTATAACAGTGGCAGCCACTGTTATTGGAAAACATGAGTGGAGGAAAAAAAACAAGTGCCCTGGTGAAGCTTACATTCTAAAAGGAAAGAATCATATGCAGAAAGAAAACAGATAAAGCTATAACGTGCTTAACATCATCAAGACAGAATCAGTTAGGCAAGATGGTAGAAAAGAGAAGCCAGGGAAACGTTAACCTGCAGCATGTTGGAATCAAAGTACTAAGCAAAAATAGAGAAGGATAATCAGAGAGCAAGAGGAATGCAAAAAGAGGACAATTCCATAAAATTAAAAGGAGGGAAAAATAAGAAGAAAAAAAAAGGGAGGGGCGGGGATGTGTAGGTCAAACTTTCTAAAAACTATAGGCTGGGCATAGTGGCTCACGCCTGTAATCCCAGAACTTTGGGAGGCCGAGGCGGGCGGACCACCTGAGGTCAGGAGTTCGAGACCAGCCTGGCCAACATGGTGAAACCCCGTCTCTACTAAAAATACCAAAAATTAGCCAGGCATAGTGGCAGGCGCCTATAATCCCAGCTACTCAGGAGGCTGAGATAGGAGAATAGCTTGAACTGGGGAGGCAAAGGTTGCAGTGAGCCGAGATCGCGTTGTTGCATTCCAACCTGGGCAACAAGAGCGAAACTCCGTCTCAGAAAAAAAAAAAAAAAGGTTGATATGGCTAAGAGGAAAGAGACACTGACTTTTGGAATAAATCGAACATAATAAAAATGACACGGTAAATAAAAATAAACAGATCTTTAAAATTTCTGTGTGCAGACTTTTGTGTGAGTTTTCAACTCATTTTGAGCGCAAATGCTGGATCGTATGGTGAGAGTATGTATAATTTTGCAAGAAACTGCCCAATTGTTTTTCCGAGTACCTGGATCATCTTGCATTTCCACCAGCAATGAATTAATTCCTATTGCTCCACATTATTCCCAGGAATTGACGCTGTTAAGTGCTCTGGATTTGGCCATTTTAACAGGCGTATAGGTTCTCTTTCTTTTAATTTATATTTCTCTATATAATGTGAAGCATCTTTTCATACACAAATATTTTAAAATACAATTTTTAAAATAATTAGATATCAATAGGTCAGGAATTCTCTTGCTATACGTGAACTTCTTGTTCTTCATGCAATTAGTTGATGATCTCATTATTCTAAATTGATGAAACAAAATCTGTAATTCTAAATTCATCTTTCCCATTCCCTCCTTATAGCTAGTCTTGTCTGCCTATATTTTTATGTTTTATCTAAAATGCAATTAGAAATAAATTTGAATAACATGAGCTTGATAAGATAGACCCTTTTTCAAGCCTTATTCTAGTTTCTGCTAAGATTAGATATATGTAAATTTTGAATAAAATAATACACTTGCTTTTTTGATTTCTTACTCCTCAGTTTTAAAGATTTGTATATTTGTGATACAAGTCCTATATCAGAAATGTTTGCCAACATGTTATCTCATTCTGTGGCTAGCTTTTAGTGTTGTTGTTCATTTTATAACAGTGTCTCTTCAACAAGTTTTAAATTTTAATACAGTCTAACTCAGAAATTTTTTTCTTTCATGAATCATGATATAATTTCTATATTGTATCTAAAAACTCATCACTAACCCAAGGCCTTATAGATTTTTCTTATGTTTACTTCTACAAGTTTCATAGTTGTGTATTTCATATTTAGGTCTACAATTCATTTTGAGTTAATTTTTGTGGTAAATGTAAAATTTGTGTCTAAATTAATTTTTTGTGCATTTGGTTATCCAGTGTCCTAGCTTCATTGATTGGGAAGATTTTACCACTTGGTAAAAACTCCACTGACTATATTTGCATAATTCTATTCCTAGGCTCTCCATATTTTATCAGTGATCCATATTTCTCTTCTTCCACCACTATCACACTGTCTGGATTACTATAACTTCATATATCTCTTCTTTCATTAATACCACACTGTCTGGATTACAATAGCTTCATAATTGCCAAAAGCAGGTAGTGGGAATCCTCCAACATTTTTCTTCTCTTCAGTATTTTTTTTAAAGTGAAAGCGAAGGGATAAGGGAAAAGGGGGAGGGGAAGATGCCTTCTCTTCAGTATTTTGTTGGCTATTCTAGGTCTTTCACCTTGACAAACTTTAGAATTTGCAAATATCTACAAAATAGCTTGCAAGGTTTTTATTTGGGATTAAATTAAATCTGAATGTCAAGTTGAGAAGAATTGACAGCTTCACAATAGATTAGTCTTTCAATACATATTATAAATATGCCTGTGTTTATATCTTCTTGTACTTTTGTCACACAATATTTGTAGTTTTTGATACATGTAGAACTTTTATATATTTTATTAAATTGTTACTTAAGTGTTTCATGTTTGGAAGCTATTAATTTCTTTTAATTTCTACTTTCAATTGTTCATTTCTGTTGTAGAGAATAACAGTTTATTTTTGTACATTAACACAGTATCCTATGACCTTAAAGTGCTCATCTATTAATGTCAATTTGTTCTATTCCTTTGATTTTCTTTGTTTATAATTTTTATTTATTTCATTTCAACACTTATTTTAGATATGGGGGTCCATGTGCAGGTTTGTTACATGAGTATGATTTTCTATTTTGATAGTCATGTAATCTGCAAACAAAGACAGTTTATTTCATCCTTTTCGAACTCTATTTTTAGTTACTTTTTTTATTTTTACTGCATAGCCTAGAATTTTTAGTATGATGATGAGTAGACAAAATCTTGGCTTTTTCCTGATCTTAATGAGAAAATATCTAGTTTCTTACCATTAATGTTAAATGTAGGTTATTCGTAGATGTTCTTTATCAAGTTAAAGTTCCCATCTACTCTTACTTTGTTGAGAATTTTATCATATATTATTGTAAAATTTTGTCAAATTCTTTTTTGCATGAATTGATGTGATAGTATAATTTTTCCTTTTAAGCATACTGATGTGGGGGATTACATTGGTTGAATTTAAGGTTTAATAAAATTTAAGATATTTTTCATATTTAACCAGCCTTGCATACCTGGAATAAATGCATATTGATTATTGTGTTCGATTCCAATGTAGGCTTAGGCTCAATTTTCTAATATTTTGTTCAAGATTTTTGCATCTACATTAACGAGAGACATTACCATGATCTTTTTTTTCTCGTAATGACTTTTTCTGATTTGAATATTTGGGTGATAAAATATCCTAAAATCAGAGAATTTTTCCCTTTGCTTCATTATCTAGAAAATATTCTAGAGAATTGATATTATTTTTATCTTAATTGTTTTGTAGAATTCAGTAGTGAAGTCATCTGGGTCTTGAACTTTTGGGGAGAAGTTTATTAGTTATTGATTTAAAAATATAGCTTTTGTTTTTTTATTTCTTTTTCTCTATTGTTTTCCTATTTGCAATGTTATTAATTTCTGCTCTAATATTTATTTTTTCCTGCATGCTGTAGACTTAAATTTCTCTTATTTCTCTAGTTTTCTAAGGTAAGCGTACAAATTATTGATTTTTAATTTTTCTTTTCTTACATATACATTTTATGCCTCTATTTTCTCTCTACGCACTGTTTTTGTTGCATCCCACAAATTTTGATACATTTTCTTTAACTTCAAGACATTTTAAAATTTATCTTGAGAATTTTTTGATCCAGATGTTATTTAGAAATGTTTTATTTAATTTCCAAACATTAGGGCATTGTCCAGCTCTATTCCTTTTATTTATATCTTGTTAATTGTATTGCTATCTGGAAATCTGTCTTTTATGATTTCTGCTTTTTGAAACTTGTTAAGGTATGTTTTTCTGGCCCAGAATGTAGTCTAAATCTTGCATACAAGCTTAAGAATATGTACTCTGATGTCATTGGATGTGGTATAATGTCAATTAGATGAAATTAATTAATGGTGTTTTTCATTCAATTATATTCTATTCTTATTGTTTTTTTTACTTCCTTGATTTATCAATTTTTAAAAGAAAAATTGTTAAAGTTACCAACTATAATGGTAGTATTGTCTATTTCTGTTTGAATTTCTATTTATAAATTGCCATTTATAATTTAATGTCTTGCTATTAGGCGCATACATATTAAAGATTGTCATGATACCTTAGAGAATTGACCCTTTTGTCATTATTTTATAATACCTTTTAAACTGATAATTTTTTCCATTCCTCGTTTGAATAGGATATTTTTTCAATGTTCTGCAGTATGCATTGTCTGAAATTAATAGAGCTACTCTGGGTCTCTTCTGATTTGTATTGAAGTTGTATCTTTCTCTAAACCGTTACTTTTAAGCTGCGTTGATATTTAATGTAGATTTCCTTTAGACAACATATAATAGAGACTTTTTTTATTATTCTGAAAAACTTTCTCTTTTAGTTGGTATATTTTCATGATTCCTATTTAAAGTGATAATTGATATAGTTGGATTAATACCTTTCATATTTGTAACAGTTTTCTATTCATTGAATGTGTTCTGTGCTTCATTTTAATTCCTAGTATTTTTCTTTCTTCTCTGGTTTTAACTGAGAATTTTATGATTTGCTTTTAACTTTTGCCTTAGCATATCAATGAGTTATTTTTAAATTTATTTTCCTGTTTGCCCTATATAGCTTGCAATATACAATTTTAACTAATTTATGTCTATCTTCAGATAATACTATTCACTTTATGAGTAGTGCAGGTATCTTTTAACAGAGTAGTTCCAATTCCTTCCTACCATCATTTATGACATTCCTGTCATTCATCTAAATTATCCATATGCTATAATCTTCCAGTATATTATTATATAATATCAATTATATAATATCAATTAAAGGAACAGTATTATTCTTAAGTTAATTAGGAATTTTAAATAATTATTTGCCTTCATTTACTTCTCCAATGTTCTCTTCCCCTTTTCCTTTCTCGCTTTCTCTCTCTCTTTCTCTCTCTCTCTCTCTAATGTACATCCAAGAACTACGTAATTTTCCTCTGCCTAAAGAAAAGTATTTAAAATTCTTAACAGGAAGGTCTATTGATAAATTTCCACCATTATGGCTTATCTGAGAAAATTCATTTCTTGTTCATGAGTAAACAAGGATAATTTCACTGGATTTATTATTCTACATTGATGTTATTTTTTTCATTCAGCATTTAAAATATTTCACTGAACTGTCTTATTACTGCATGGATTCTGACATAAAGTTCACAATAATTCTTACTCTTGTTACTGTTCAGGTAATCCTCCTTACCCCACAGCTTCTTTTGAGATGTACTGTTGGTCTTTCATTTTCTTCAGTTTGAAAATGATATGCCTAGGAGTATATTTTTTGTTATTTATCCTGCTTTGGGTTTGCTGAGTTTCTTGGATCTATGTTTTAATTTCTGTCATTAATTTTCAAAAGTTTTCAGCCATTATTACTATACATATTATTTCTTTTTCTGTATTACTTTTTTCTCCTTCAGGTATCCCCATCGCATGTATGCTATACCTTTTGAAACTATACCGCTGTTCTTGGTACTTGGATATTCTGTTCAGAATTCTACCTTATATTTTCTACCTGCAATTCCATTTGCAAAATTTCAATCTTATCTTCCAGCTCACAAATTCTTGCCTTATCTATTTCCAGTCTACTGATAAATCTATTATAGGCATTTTTCATTTCTCTTCGTGTTTTTCATTCTTCGTGTATTTCACTTTTGATTCTTTTTAAGATTTTTCACTTCTCTACTTACATTATTTGTTTGTTCTTGCCTACTGTCTACTTATGTGCCATTAGAGTTTTTAACATATTAATCATAGTTATTTCAGCTTCCTGTCAATTTTAAAATCTGTAGAATATCTAAGGCTAATTCTGATGCCTGTCTTGTCCCTTCAAACTGTATGTCATTTCCTTGTCTTTTAGATGCTTTGCAAGTATTTGTAATAATTATACTAACAATTATAATAATTATTATTATGTATTAAATAGTGCAAAATGAGTTAGCAGGTTCTTTAGTGTGAGGTTTAGGTTGTTCTGAGTAAGCATTCTGCTATGATTAATTCTTCCTATAACTGTAGGAGTCAGAGGTATCTGATGCTGCTGGAATCCTTGTTTTTGCCTCCACTGTTACTGTAGGTTTCCCTAAGAACTCTTAGATTGAGTCTGATTCTTCCGGTTCTTTTAGTTGTAGTCCATTGTTTTTATACAGGAACTCTATTGATATGGGGCTAAAATATTGGAGAAGTGAAGCATTATATAATCTTATGATTTAGTGTTAATTGTTTAGTGATCCTGTGCCCCTCAACTATGACCTGAACAATTTTTTTGTTTGTTACCCAAATCGCTCCAGTCTCCTTAGGTTGAAGTAAGCTAGAGAGGGCTAGGGTCAAAGAAATCACTTTCATCCAAGTATGTTAAGGACCAGGTAGAGCCTTTTTCCCTGGACAGTAGGTCTTTGTTTTGAAGAACATTATATGTGTATTTCACAATGATACCTTTTCCACTTGCCTTGCAAGAGCCAAGATGGGATCTTTGTCCAATTTGCACTTGAACATGGTGGGGTTCCTGGAGGTTAAACCTACAAAAGTGTGGACTCTCCCCAACTTTTTCCTCCCTACAGTAGTTTTTTACTCTCATACTAGTCTACATTCAGCCTCCAGCAATTTGTCAACAATATCATTTAATTGTTCCTAGCAGTTAATGGCTCCAGCAGTTCCTGCTCCAAGTAACCTGATCTGAATTGTCACTCTGTGAATTTGCCTGTCTCTTCAGATTCTCAGGTGGTGATTTGCCCTGAAATCTCAGTTATTTTCTTTAATGGATCCAAGAAAATTCATTTCCAGTGTATTCATCATTTTTTCTTATTGAAAGAATGGGAGAGCTCACTTCCAAGCATTTTACATGTTGGAGCTAAAACAGAAAGTCCTGAATTGCTTTTTAAATGGTATTTAAATATTACATACAAGTATTTAAAAAAATATTTTTTACTCATGATCATGTAATTCAGGTTTTACCAAAGAAAAAAGGACTAGGGTGATTAGTTCATTTCTGTAATGTTTAAAATTAGATATTAATTTATTTGCTGACTTATACCTTATTTCTTTAAAATCTTTTATTACAACAATGCTCCAATGCTTTATTGTTCTTATAAATGTTTTATAAAGGATTTAGTCATTTTTAAAGTACGTTCATATTTGACATCTTGAAGCAATTTTGCCACTTGGAAAAAAGTAAATTTGGAGAAAAAACAAAAACAATCATACAAAAATGCTTCTAGCAAGGATTGTACTATTTCTGCTTATTCAGATATTTTACAAATAAAATGCAATAATTGAGAAAAACACGTTGAGTAATATCTGCTTTCTTCAACTTGTATAGCATGAAACAGAGGACTTGCTAGAGTATTTTTCATTGTTTCCACTGTGTGTGAATTACCCTGAATATCCAATACATTTTATTCTACAGTCTCTCATTAAGACCAAAACTGTGAAAGTTTGTGGGCCATCATTTTCTATGCAACATTTAATATGCAAACTAATTTTGAAAGGCAAAAGACACCTGCACACAGATTTCAAAGAAATTTGCATAATAAATATAGTACAGACTCAAAGCTTGCCTTGCAGAGGACAATGACAGATGTGAAAGCAGTTTTGTGTGAGAGTCCTGCATAACAAAATTTGCTTTAGAGTTGAATTTCAGAGTCAGGGTAGGACAAGCAATCTATTATAGGATAAATATTTCATGTAAGGAAACATTCTATATTAAAGCATCCAAGGATTATTCTCTATACAAACTGTGGTGGTGGGAGGTTTTTTATTTTATCAAAAATATCTTAGAATTTCTTCTTGAATACTGAGGGGGGCTAAAATTTGAAGATAAGAGCCTGTAACCTCTTTTCAACCTGAGAAGAGAAAGATTACTAAATTCTGATATTGTTCCTTTTTTCATTTAGTTTATTTATTATGCTTACTGTTAGTATTTTTTTCTGAAAATTGTATCAATCTTTTTTTGTCTATATGATTGTGATGGTTTTAAATATTAATGAGTGAATAACAAAATAACTCTGATCTATAGGAAAATAATCCTGTCTAGAAATATATCTACCAACTTTTTTTCCCCACACTGTGAAAATGCACAAAACTAATTGACTAACAAAGTTAACTTTCTAGTATAGCCCAGAGGAAAACTCCTTTCTCTCAAAAGTGATTTGTAAAGTGATTAATTTGTGATCAGAGATGTATTAGCCTCATTGTTATAGTCATTGAACACCAGAAGTAAAGAATAAACAATGTCCGGCATCTACCTAATGGTTGTTCCAGGTAAATTATAAGCCAGAGGAACTGTGGACAAATCATTTGCTTTTCCAGGCTAATGCCCATACATGTTGTAATTTAGTGATGCCTTACAAGTTGAAATCTTTATTATACACAAAAAAGAGAACTCTTTCCTCATGCCCAGTGATTCCCTCAGCTGGTCACCTTTGTATTTTTTCTTCTAGAACCCCAGAAAGAGTCTTAAATATATTAAGTATTTAATCATCAATGATGGGACTTTTAAAATATGGAATGTTTGACTGTAAAGACAGATTTTACTGGTTAAAAAGACTATTTTATAATCTAGATAAGAAACATTAATCAATTAAGTATAAGCTGGTAACACAGTATATCAGTAAAAATTAGTTTAGCTGATAATTACAGAGACAAAAAATGCAACAGCTTAAACAAGATAGAAGTTGATTCTTCTCTGAGATCAATGTCATTATGTAAGCAGCAATGGTACAATATCCTTGGAAATCCTGACTCCTTTCACTTAATCAATCTGCCACCTTTAGGATTTGAAAGATAACTTGGTGGGATTCATATCCAAGTAAAGAGGATGAAAGCAGAAACAAATAAGTGTGGGCTCAGCTTAGGCTCCAACTATCTCTTACGGATCATTCATGGAAATTACCATATCACTTTTCACTTATATTTAACTTGAATTAACTTTCGTCAAATGATCACACTTAGCTTCAAGGATGATAGAGTAATGTAGTCTCTGTTTTGAACTGTTGCTGATCACCTAAAAATTGAGGTAAAATTACTAAGGACGAAAGGAGAAGAAATATTACAGATAATCCTCCATCCCTTATCCCTGCACTTACACTAATGTGTTACTAAATGAAAAATATATACATGAACATAAATATTTTCAAGCAAAAAGAACAGCATAAAGGATTAAATCCATTAATAATTTCTCATAATTTGTCTTCAGAACTTCTGCAAAAAGTATTCATCTCTCTTTCTCATTACTACTCATTTACCTTGCTCTTCAAGTTATTTAACTTTTATGTAACAAGACCGCTTTCCATAAAAATTGTGCAGATCACAAAGTTGACTGATCACAACCCTGTTGGTTTTTGTATTCTCAGGACATCTAACATAAACCTAAGCACACAGTTGTCATTCAGTACATATACACATAACAATAATTAGAAGTATATGTATGTATACAAATATACATATATGACATAACATTAAGCATATACTAATAAGTAACACATTTAAAGTGATATATACAGATTGGCATTTTAGTTCATTTGATGAAGTATATATAAATTAACTTTGATCATGATTTGTGTAATATAGTTAGTATGACCTTTTTTTTTTTTTTTTTGAGATGGAGTTTCACTCTTGTTGCTCAGGCTGGAGTGCAATGGCATGATCTCGGGGCACTGCAACCTCCACCTCCCAGGTTCAAGTGATTCTCCTGCCTCAGTCTCCCAAGCAGCTAGGATTATAGCCATGTGCCATTACGCCCAGCTAATTTTGTATTTTTAGTAGAGATGGGGTTTCTCCACGTTGGTCAGGCTGGTCTCAAACTCTTGACCTCAGGTGATTCACCTGCCTTGGCCTCCCAAAATGCTGGGATTACAGGCCTGAGCCATCGTGCCCGGCCTAGTATGACCTTTTAAACTACTCCTTGGTTGGCAGAATTAATAAAACAAACAAATAAATTATACATATATGACTTCTACTTCTGATCAAAATGAAAAAGACAGGACCCAGATTTACTTTTCCAGATAAAACAATGAAAAAAAATAGCCAAATATATAAAACAAGGGTTTGCAGGATACTGAACATAAGGCTTTGAAACGCACTGGTTCTTGAGAAGTAAAAACCAAAGGAAATGAGCACTGTGATGAACCAAGCCACAGACTTGAAAGAACTTCCAAGCCACATGGCAAGGAGGAAAGGCATAGACCAGTGGACTCCCTAAGTTGAGGAGACAAACTGCGGATGCAGGAATAACAAGAGATCTAGAATTTGCAGAACTGAGTATAACAAATGAGAGACTAGGAAGGAGAAAAATCTCCAAAGATTTTCAGAAGATCCCTCTTAAGTATTCAGATGAATACCAATGAGCTCATGAGCATGAGGAAACAATCCAAGGCCAAGGAAAGAAACAATTATAAAGACTAAAGCTAACAGTGTACAGCACTCACACGGAGCTGGAAATCATGCTTGTTCCCATCAGTCAGCCTGTAAAATCTCATTATTCATGGGACACTGGGTAGAGTAAACAGAAAACTTCTGCCTCAGTAGTGAGATATAATTTGTTTTAGACAGAACACTGCTTCATTCCAATAGAAAAAAATAAAAGCAACACCTGAAAGGAGAAAAGATGTTTCCAAGTCAAGTATTTTATCTCACAATAAATTTCAAGAATATACGTAAGATTGTAAAACGTCCATATCCAGAACCCAACAAGGTAAAATTCACAGCATCTGGGATCCAATAGAAAATTAACAGTCATGAAAAGAAATGGGAAACTACAACCCAATGAGGAGATAATCAATTGAAACTTCCCAAGAATTAACACAGATGTTAGAATTATCATACAAAGCAATTAAAAATGTATTATAATTGTGTTCCATATGTTGAAAAGCTATTTAGAAACATGGAAGATATAAAAACAGAATGAAACCAAACTTCTAGATATGAAAAATGCACTATCTGAAGTGAAATATATGATTTGTATTAATAGCAGACTAGAAATTGCAGAAGAAAATATTAATAAATTTGATGACATAGCATTAAAACCTATGCAAAAGGAAAAATAAAAAGAAAAAATACTTTTTAAAAATTTGAAAACAGCATCAGTGTGCCATGAAAAAAAATACAATAGTCTAATGTATGTAGAATATCCCAAAGGAAAGAAGAAAGCATAGAGTGACTACACTATCTAGTCTTGCCAAGAATGGAATTTCCATTGATGTGGGACTTCTAGGTTCAAAACCAGAAAAGTCTTAGTAAAATTGTGATTTATTAGTCATCATAGCAGAGAGTGATGTGGTAGAGAATGCAAACTTTTTTTTAAGAAAATACTTGCTGGAAAATTGCCACATTAAATGACAAGTATTACCTCAGAGATTCAAAAATATTGAAAAACTCTGAGAACAAGAAATGAAAGAAAAAAATTAATTCAAATCATAAATTACTTAAAACCAATGATTTAAAAATGATTTTAATTTACATTAAAATCTAAATGCAGCCAGGTGATAGAAGATGCATTGTGTGCAAAGGAGAAAAGTTTAGAAAGGCAGAAGATTTGGACCAGGTGTGGTGGCTCACGCCTGTAATCCCAGCACTTTGGGAGGCCGACGTGGGAGGATCACGAGGTCAGAAGACCGAGACCATCCTGGCTAACACAGTGAAACCCCATCTCTACTAAAAATAAAAAAGATTAGCCAGGCGTGGTGGCGGGCACCTGTAGTCCCATGTACTCGGGAGGCTGAGGCAGAAGTGTAAACCAAGGAAGCGGAGCTTCCAGTGAGCAGAGATCGTGCCACTGCACTCCAGCCTGGGTGACAGAGCAACAGAGAGAGACTGTGTCTCAAAAAAAAAAAAAAAAAAAAAAAGAAAGGTAGCAGATTTGTTGTAAAATACAATATAAGCAAGAAAACAGCACAGCAATTAAAAAAATTAAAAAATAAAATAAAAACACTATAGCGTTCTCTACTCACCTGTCTTAGTCCATTTGTGTTGCTATAAAGAAATACCTATTGGGAGGCTGAGCCGGGTGGATCACTTGAGGTCAGGAGTTCAAGACCAGCTGGTCAACATGGTGAAACCCTGTCTCTACTAAAAATGCAAAAAAAAAAAAAAAAAAAATAGCCCCAGGCATGGTGGCCTGTACCTATAGTCCCAGCTACTCAGGAAGCTTAGACCAGAGAATCACTTGAACCTGGCAGGTGGAGCTTGCAGTGAGTAGAGATAGCACCACTCCACTCCAGGTTGGGTGACAGAGGGAGACTCTGTCAAAAAAAAAAACAAGAAATACCCAAAACTGGGTAATTTATTTAAAAAAATAAATAAATAAAAATTGTCTCACAGTTCTACATGCTATACAAAAATATTTCCAATATTTGCTTCTGAGGGGGGACTCAGAAGTCTCTTACTCATGACAGAAGGTGAAGGGTTGCTGGCATGTGCAGACATTACATGGTAACCAAGGAAGCAAGAGGCAGGGGGGAAGGTACCAGGCTCTTTTTAACAACTCACTCATGGGGGAACATCTGTGGGAACTAATAATGCCAGAACTCACTGATTACTGCCAGGACAACACCAAGCCACTCATGAGGGATCCACTCCCATGACCCAACACTTCTCATTAGGCCACAACCTCAACATAGTGGATCAACTTCCAACATAATGTTTGGAGGGCCAAATACCCACACCGTAACACTAGCCAAATGTCTCTCTTTCAAATATGAAGGCAAAATAAAAACTTACTCATATGTTTAAAAAAATTAAAATAAGTCATCAATATCAGACACATACTACAAGAAATGTTAAAGGAAGTTCTTCAGGCAGAAGGAAAATTATATCAGATAGAATGTGCATCTGCACAATGAAATGATGAACATAGAAAACAATAACTGCATGAGCTAATATATAAGATTATTTTCTTACTATTTAAACCACTTTTTATTTTAAATGACGGTTTAAACAAAAATAACAACACTTTAGAATGGATTTATTATACATGTGTAAATAAACTATATGACAACAATAGCACAAATGTTAGAAAACAAATGAAAGTACAATGTTTTAAAGTTCTTATATTGTGAGAAGTAGCATAATAACACTTGAAAGAAGATGCCAGTAAGTTAAAGTTCTGTACTATAAAACCTCAAGAAACCACTAACAAAAAAAATACAAGAGTTTTATCTATAAGGCCAAAAAGGGGAATAAAATGCAATTATTAAAAAATAGTTAATCAAAAAGAAGACAGAGAAAGGAGAAAGGGTTTGGAAAAAGAGTAGATAAAACAAGCAGAAAAAAAAACGAACTGAAAACTTTAAATCCAACCATATCAATAATCAATGTTACATGGAAATGATTTAAAATTATACAGAAAGTTCATATTGTTGTTATACATAAAGTAATAGAACAGTTATCTTTTGCTCAGCTGCTTAACCCAGCCCAATATATAGCATCTTATAAATTCTGAAACAGCAGTGGCATCTAGATTCAGGGCTGATTAATTCTTTAATGATGCCTCTTACTCTCCTTTTGTATTTCCCCCCATAAATAAAAATGATTTCAAACAATGAAGTAGTGAAACAACAAGTAAATAAAAAATTTAATTAAATGCTTTAAATCATTAGTCCATAGCAAATGCTGAATAATCGAATAATGACTGTGCATGAACATTTAAAGATTATCAGTTTCAATTCATATCAGAAACCTGATATGGTTTCTGATACAGCTTTGGTCAATTGTTCATCAAAAGCCAGTATATTAACACTATTTGTAAAATCATAGTACTTAACGGGACCATCATCTTTGTCTTCATGATTATATTATTTAGTAGAAGTTTATGCCAAGTAAGAGAAAATAAAATGGACTGACACCCTAAATATAATACTAGGGAGATGCTACTTTAGGTATCAGGAGGAGGCAGAGCAAGATGGCCTAGTAGAAACCTCTACTGATAGCCTTCCAGACAGGAACACCAAAATCAACAACTATCTACATAAAAAAGCTCCTTCATGAGAACCAAAAATTAAGTGAGCAATCACAGTACCTGGTTATAACTTCATATTGCTGAAAGAGCCACAAAAGAGGGCAGGAAAAAAAAAGTCTTAATTGCTGACACGACCCCTCCATCATTCCCTTGACAGCCACAAGACCCTGACAAATAGACATGGCACAGAGAGCAAATCTATGTGCTTGTGAGAGAGAGAGCACAGTTACTGTGGAACTTTGCATTGGAACTCAGTGTTGCCCTTTTGCAGTGTAAAACAACTCTGGGTAGAACTCAGCTGGTGCCCACAGAGCATTTACTTGAGCCCTAGAGAGAGGGGAAAAGCCCATCCCAACTGTTGCACCTTGAGTTTCAGCAAGCTTTGCCAGTGCAGGCTAATGTTCTCTGGGGTCCTAAATAAACTTGAAGGGCAGTCTAAGTCACAAAGACTGCACCTCCTAGGCAAATCGTAGTGCTGTGCTAGGCTCAGAGCAAAAGGTCTTGGGGAAGGAGGGGGTGGGTACATGACCTGGTGAGATACCAGCTGGCGCAGTTAAGGGAGTGTTAGTGCCACCTCTCCCCCAAACCTAGGCAGTGCAGCTCACAGCTCCAAAAGAAACCTCTTCCTTTCACTTGGGGAGAGGAAAGGAAAGAGTAAAGACAGCTTTGTCTTGTAACTTGAATACAAGCTCAGCCACAGTAGGATAGGGCACCAGGAAGACTTGTGAAGCCTTCATTCCAAGCCCTAGCTCCTGGATGACATTTCTGGACACAGCCTGGGCCAGGAGGAAACTCTTTGGTGGCGGCCAAAGGAGTGCTTGTGTCACATCTCCCCTAGCTCCAGGCGGCTCAATACAGAAAGAAACTTCATTTGCTTGGGGAAAAAGTAAGGGAAGAGAACAAGAGTCTCTGGTAATCCAGAGAATTCTTCTGGAACTTATCCAAGACTACAAAGGTGGTATCTCTACAAGGCTACCAGAATGACAGTGTTATTGTGCTTGAGAGTGCCCTTTAATGCAGATTCTGCTACAGTACTAAAAACTTAGATCACAACACACAAGTCCTTTTGAATACCTGGAAGGCATTCTCAAGGACAGATACAAAAAAAAACAGGTCTCACCAGTTCATGTACCCACCCTCTTTCCCCAAGGCCTTTGCTCTGAGCCTAGCACAGCACTACGATTTGCCTAGGAGGTGCAGTCTTTGTGACTTAGACTGCCCTTCAAGTTTATTTAGGACCCCAGACTGCGAAGACTACAATAAATACTTAATTCTTTAATGCACAGACACTGACAAATAGCCACAATTGATTGACTTCACCAAACAAACTAAATAAGGTACCAGTGACCAATCCCAGAGAAACAGAAATATGTGACCTTTCAGACAAATAATTCAAAATAGCTATGTTGAGGAAACTCAAAAAAGCTCAAGATAACACAAAGGAATTCAGAAGTCTATCATACAGTTTCTGTGTGTTTGTTTGTTTGTTTGTAACAAGTTCTCGCTCTGTTGCCCTGGCTGAAGTGCAGTGGTGTTATTACAGCTCACTGCAGCCTCATCCTGCTGGAGTCAAGTGATCTTCCCACCTTAGTCTCTCAAGTTGCTGGAACCACAGGCATGTACCACCACACCTGGCTAATTTTTCTATTTTTTTGTAGAAACAGGTTTAGCCATGTTGTGCAGGCTGGTCTTGAACTCCTGAGGTCAAGCAATCCATCTGCCTAGCCTCCCAATTTTCTGGGATTACAGGTGTGAGCCACTGCACCTAGCTCTATCAGATAAATTTAACAAAAAAATTGAAATAATAAAAAAGAATCAAGCAGAAATTTTGGAATTGAAAAATATAATTGACATTTGGAAGAATGCATCAGGGTCTCTTCATAGCAGAATTTATCAAGCAGAAGAATGAATTAGTGAGCTTAAAAATAGACTATTTGAAAATACACAGAGAAGACAAAAGAAAAAAGAATAAAAAAGAAATAAGTACACATACAAGATCTAGAAAACAGCTTCAAGAGGGTGAACCTAAGAGTTGTTGGCCTTACAGAGGAGGTAGAGAGAAAGCGTGATAAAAAATTTATTGAAAGGGATAAAAACAGGGAATTTCTCAAACCTAGAGAAAGATATAAATATTCAAATACAAGAAGGTTATAGAACACCAAGCCAATTTAACCCAAAGGAGTCTACCTCAAGGCATTTAATAATCAAACTCCCAAAGGCCAAAGATAAAGAATGGATCCTAAGGATCTCAGAAAGAGAAAAGAAACAAATAACATGCAATGAAGTTTCAATATATCTGGCAGCAGACATTTCAGTGGAAACCTTACAGGTCAAGAAAGAGAGTCATGACATATTTAAAGTGCTGAAGAAAAACAAACAGACAAACAAACTTTTACCCTAAAGTAGTATACTTGTTGAAAATATCCTTCAAACATGAGGAAGAAATAAAGACTTTCCCAGACAAACAAAAGCTGAGGGATTTCATCAACACCAGGCCTGTCCTACAAGAAATGCTAAAGGGAATTCTTCAATTGAAAAGAAGATAATATTAATAAGCATTAAAAAATTATCTGAAGATACAAAATTTACTGATAATAGTAAATACACAGAAAAACAGAATATTATAACACTATAATTGTGGTATGTAAATTACTCATCTTGAATAGAAAGATGAAAAGATGAATCAATCAAAAATAATAACTACAACTTTTGAAGACATAGACAGTCTGAAAAGATATAAATACAAAAACCAAAAAGATAAAAAGCAGGAAACAAAGTCAAAGTGTAGAGTTTTTGTTACTTTTCTCTTTGCTTGTTTGTTAGTCTGTTGGTTTCTACAATCAGTGTTAAGTTGTCATCATTTTAAATTAATGGATTATAAGTCATTATTTGCTAGCCTCATGGTAATCTCAAATCTAAAAACGTACAATGGATAAACAAAAAATGAAAAGAAGGAAATTAAAACATATTCCCAGAGAAAATTATCTTCCCTAGAAGGAAGAGAGGAAGGAAGGAAAGAAGGAAGAGATTGCGAAACAATCAGAAAACAAATAACTAAATGGCAAGAGTAAGTCCTGACTTATCAATAGTAATATTGAATGTAAATGGAGTAAACGCTCAAATCAACAACCATAGAGTTGGCTGAATAGAGTGGCTGCATAGATTAAAAAATGACACCCAGCTCAGTGCAGTGGCTCACGCCTGTAATCCCAGCACTTCGGGAGGCCTAGACAGGTGGATCACCTGAGGTCAGGAGTTCGAGACCAGCCTGACCAACATGGTGAAACTCTGTTTCTACTAAAAATACAAAATTAGCCAGGTGTGGTGGTGCATGCCAGCAATCTCAGCTACTCAGGAGGCTGAGGCAGGAGAATTGCTTGAATCTGGGAGGCGGAGTTTGCAGTGAGCTGAGATCATGCCATTGCACTCCAGCCTGGGGGACAAGAGGGAAAACTCTGTCCCAAAAGAAAAAAAAAAAAGAAAAGAGAGAGAGAGACTACCCAAATAAATAAAATCAGAAATGAAAAAGGAGTTATTACAAGCAGAAAAATGAGTTAACACCACAGAAACTCAAAGGATCATTAGAGGCTACTATGAGGAGCTATATGCCAATAAATTGAAAAACCTAGAAAAAAAATGGATAAATCCCTAGATTGGATAAATCCCTAGATTCGTACAATCTACCAAGATGGAACCATGAAGAAATCCAACACCTGAGTAGAACAAAAACAAACAATAAGATTGAAGTGGTAACAATGTTTCCTAACAAAGAAAATCCCAGGAACTGATTGCTTCACTGCTGAATTTTATCGAACATTTAAAGAACTAACACCAATCCTACTCAAACTTTTTAAAAATTAGAGGATGAGAGAATACTTCCAAACTCATTGTACAAGGCCAGTATTACCCTGATACCAAAACCAGACAAAGGCATATCAAAAAAGAAAACTACAAACCAATATCCCTGAAAAGAATTATTCATCTTGACAAAGTTAATTTATCGCAGTAGAGGCAAGGATAATTTGATATATGCAAATCAATTAATGTGATACATCATATCAACACAATGAAGGACAAAAACCATATGATCATTTAAATTGATGCTGAGAAAGCATTTGATAAAATTCAACATTCTTTCATGATAAAATTCCTCAAATAACTGAGTACAGAAAAAACATCTCAACACAATAAAAGCCATATGTAACAGACTCACAGGTAGTATCTTACTGAATGGGAACAAACTGAAAGCCTTTCCTCTAGTATCTGGAACATGACAAGGAAGCTCACTTTCATCAGTGTTATTCAATATAGTTCTGGAAGTCCTAGCTAGAGCAATCAAACAAGAAACAAAGGCCATCCAAGTTGGAATGGAAAAAGTCAAATTATGCTTGTTTGCAGATGATATAATTTTATATTTGGAAAAACTGAAAGACTCCAGCACAAAGCTATTAGAACTGATAAATTCAAAAAAGTTGCAGGATACAACATCAACATACAAAAATCAGTAGCATTTCTATTAATATTTGCCAATAGCAAACAATCAGAAAAAGAAATCAAGAAAGTAATCCCATTTACAATAGCTACAAATAAAACCAAATACCTAGGAATTAACTTAGTCAAAGAAGGAAAAGTTCTCTACAATGAAAACTATAAAACACTGCTGAAAGAAATTGAGTACACCAGAAAATGAAAAGATATTCTACGTTTATGGATTGAAAGAGTCAATATTGTTAAAATATTCATAGCACCAAAAGCAATCTACAGATTCAAGGCAATTCTTATCAAAATACCAATGACATTCTTGACAAAAATAGGAGAAAAAATCCTAAAATTTATATAAAGCTACAAAAGACACACAGTAGCCAACACTCTCCTGAGCAAAAAGAATAAAACTGAAGGAATTACATTACCTGACTTTAAATTATACTACAGACCTATAGCAACCAAAACAGCACGGTACTGTAATAAAGGAGAAAAACAGACCAGTAGAACAGGATAGAGAACCCAGAGATAAATCCATACATCTACAGTTAACTCATTTTCAACAAAGTTTCCAAGACTATTTGGAAAAGGACAGTCTCTTCAATAAATGGTGCTGGGAAAACTAGATATCCATATGCAGAAGAATGAAAGTAGACTGCTATCTCTTGCCACATAACAAATAAAATCAACATGGCTTAAATACTTAACTCTAAGACCTGAAACTATGAAACTACTAAAGAAAACATTGGGGAAACTCTCCAGGACACTGTACTGGGCAAAGATTTCTTGAATAATACTCCACAACCACAGGCAATCAAAGCAAAATTGAACAAATGGGGTCCCATCAAGTTAAAAACTTCTACCCAGAAAAGGAAACAAAGTGAAGAGACAACCTACATAATGGGAGAAAATATTTGCAAACTCTGTCTGACAAGGGATTAATAACCAGAATGCAGAAGGAGCTCAAACAACTCAATGGGAAAAGATCCTAATAATCCAATTTTAAAATGGGCAAAAGATTGAATAGACATTTCTAAAAAGAAGACATACAAATGGAAAAAAGGCACATGAAAAGGTACTCAAGGTCATTGATCATCAGTGAAATGTGAATTAAAACTACAATGAGATATTATCTCACCCCAGTTAAAATGGCTTTTATCAAAAAGACAGACAATAATGAATACTGGTGAGGATGTGGAGAAAAGGGAACCCTCATCCACTGCTGGTGGGAATGTAAATTAGTAAAACCACTATAAAAAATAGTTTGCAGATTCCTCAAAAAACTAAAAATAGAACTACCATATGATCCAGCAATGTCACTTCTATGTATATACAGAAGAAAGGAAGTCAGTGTATCTAAGAAATATCTGCACTCCCATGTTTATTGCAGCACTGTTCACAATAACCAAGATTTGGAAGCAACCCAGTTGTCCATCAACAAATGAATGGATAAAGAAAATGTGGTACATATACAAAATGGAGTACTATTTGTTCATAAAAATTAATGGAATCCTGTCATTGGTGACAGAATGTGTGGAGCTGGAGGTCATTATGTTAAGCAAAATAAGCCAGGCACAGAAAGACAAACTTCACATCTTCTCACGTATTTGTGGGAGCTAAAAATTAAAACAATTAAACTCATAGAAATAGTAAAATGATTGTTACTAGAGGTTGGGAAGGGTAGTGAAAGGCTGGGAGAGGGGATTGGGGATAGTTAATGGGTACAAAAAATAAAAAGCATGAATAAGGTCTAGTATTTGATAGCATAATGGGGTGACTATAAGCAATAATATTTCAATTATACATTTCAAAATAACTAAAAGAGCATAAGTGGATTTTTTGTAACACAAAGGATAACTGCTTCGGGTGATGGATAGTCCATTTACCCTGCTGTGATTATTACACATTCTATGCCTGTGTCAATATATCTCATATATCCCATAAATATATACACCTACTATGTACCTACAAAAATTAAAAATAAATTTTTAAATAATAAAAAGATATTTTTAAAAGACAAACATCAGATAAGGGAGCCAAATATGGGAGTATAATTATTTTCATAAATATTTGTATGTTCTGAGCAAATGTAACAGGATATCCAGTGACTATAGTTCTAGCATTGAATCTAATGTAAGTGAGTGTAAACTTCCGTGACAGAGCTGGATTGAATAATGACTAAAGTATTGCCTATGAGATTCTATTGTAATTTGAATAAAGTCCAAACCCCATGCTCTGTTCACAAGAACACAAGGGCTTGCATCACAGGTCCTCTATTTTTCCAACAACAATCTCATTCTGCTACCGTTCCCAAATGCCCTGCCCTGAATATTAGCATTTTCTTCAGTCTCTCACTGTATATTTTTGGCTTTAATTTGACATAATGCCTGCCCAAAATGTATCCAAGATTTCTCCAATATTAGATTTCTCTCCTCCTTCAGATCTCATCTCAAATATCTCTCTTCAGAGCAATCTTCTCTGAGCTCTCTGTATAAATTTCACTCCCATTATTCTCCTTATATTACCCTGTTCTGTTTTATCTATATCACTCATCTCTATTTGAATGGTATTTTTACTTTCATTACCAATTTTTGGACATTGCTCACTAGAATGAAAGCACCGAAAGAGTAAAGTCTCACATACATTCATCAAGCACTTAAAACTGTGCTAGTGCTTGGCATAGAATAGACTTTAAATACATGCTCAGTGAATGAATGATTGCTATAATTGCTAGCATTCCATAAATGAGGAATTTTATAAGAAATCATTAAGTTTAAATTTTGAGATGTTTTAACTGTTGGAATATATTTGAAATTTTTAAGAAACATCACTTCATTCAAAGATGAACTATGAAGCCTGAAATAATCTGATATTCGTCTAGAAAAGTAATTCCCATGCAATCAAGTCCACATGCATTACAGTTTACAGTGGACACAAAAGAAACTCTACTTTGAAGCATCCCTGAAATAATTTAGGATATGTTAGTTATGCCTACAAAATATAATCATACAAGAAAAACTGAATGGCAGTTTGGCTTTAAGAGTTTGACTAACAGAAAAAAAAATCACAAATGTGAGAAAATCAGTACCTAGGTAACTATTACCGAAATTCCTACAGAAAATTATTCGCTTGGAAACCCTGGAAAGCAAAGCAAAACAAAAAATGCACTCTAAAATTGCAGTTAAAAAACTTTATTAAGAATTGTGGGGAAAAGTTACATTAAAAAAATTTGAATGCAAACATTTCAGGTAAAATATGCATACATATCAACCTAAATATGTAGGCATGCATATCTATCTTCTAAAACCTCCTAGCATAACTTGGATGCAGTGGCTCATGCTTGTAGTCCCAGCATATATAAAATATATATATATAAAATATATATATATATATGAGCCAGACATGATGACACACATTTATAGTCCCAGAATACTCAAAAGCCTGAGGCTGGAGGATAACTTGAGTCTGAGGTTTGAGGTTACAGTAAGCTATAATTGCAGCACAGCACTGCAGCCTGGGTGACAGACCAAGACCCTGTCTCTAAGAAAAAAGGAAAAAAGAAAAAAAAAATCTCCCAGCATAATACTCTGGGAATCAGCCTTAAGAAACAAACACACAGCGCCTTAGATCAACAATCATTTTCTTCTGTAACTCGTGGGTTTACCTCATGTGAACACATGTAAAATAGATTTTAAACATATCATAATGAAGTAATTAATTGAGTCCCAAAGTATATTTACATCATAAATATTGGAAGTAAAAATCAGGCCTGAATAAAAAGGGTCTGCTGAAGATCTATATTTAATTTTAATTGTGCATGTATCCTAGGTAATTTAAAAATTTAAAAATATAAAATTGTCATACATTTTATTAAAATGTATACATACATACATATTTGTGAAACATGTGTGACCTATTATTTTGTTTCTTATGAATACCCTTAAAAGCTATTGTTTGAGTTGAAAGACTAAATGAAATAGTTATATAATTACGTGCTATGGTGTACTCATTATGATAATTTTTGTAATCAAAGCTATTCAAACAATAAAATTTGAAGAATTGAGTAATAATATGATTCTTTATATTAAATATTTGATTTTTCTGGAGGGGAAAGCATAGTTAAAATATCTGGACATAGAAGTGCAAGAGAGTATTTGTCAATACAGGGAGCTCTTAATTGAAACTGAAATTTAATTAAAAAGATACTGAAACAGCTACCATGTTCTTAATGAAATCCTTGAGGTTTTAAGCATAATCAAAGGAAAAGGAGAGGGCAAAATTAAAAGTGCCTTTATTTAAGTATGAAAGTTACTTCCTAAGCATGCAAATTGAGCTAAATCATTTGGGTTACAATTGAATCAAGAATTATTTCTGAAATGAACTGCTTCAATTCTTTGTGTTCCCATCACTCAAGTAGACGTTGTGGTTGGATTCCGACTCAGTACAAAGTAGAGGTTGTTTGATTAAACTGAGATATCCCAATAGAGTCACTGAAGCAAAGCTTCTGTTATCTTGTATGAAAGAATATGGTTAGGAGTAATCCAAAATTCCATGTTGTTGGACTAAAAGGAAAAATAATTCTGATGTGTCTGACTGAAAACTTTGAGGTTTTTGAGGTCGGGTTATTAGCAACAGGAAAAACTAAGAAATTAAACAGCAGTCAATAATTACAATTAAAATTTCTCAGAACTGTATTTTAAAAAGTATGTGAAGAAAAAGAAATCAGTTCTAAAATATGCATCCATGTTTGTCTAAATTCAGTGCTAAGGTAAGATATTCTGAAGAAACGTATTTCAATTGTTCAAACATAATTCTATTTTTATAAAATAGCTATATGGAATACATATATTAAAGGTAATAATAATAGAGGGTTGGAAAGATAAAAGATAAAATATCAGTAGATGAAGAATAAAACATTAAATGTCAGAAAATCATTACTTATGAAATAGTTAAAGCAGTGTAACTTATTCTAGCAGTATGCTAATATAACAGCAAATAGTGTTCTAGAATTATGAAAATAACTAACTCCAAATCAGCTGAATTTTCCAGAAACAAAGTTCTTGACATTAGGTAACATTTTTTTTCTTGGGCAACACTTAATATAAGAGAGTTGACTGATAGGAGAGGAAAATATGAGAAACAAATTATTCATAATGTGCATTTAAAAACTGATGAAATTAATAAGGATGAAGCATGGAAACTTCAGTACCAAATACTTACTTTTAAGGAGAAAAAATGTAGTGTTAAAATGCAAGCCATTTCTTTTTTTAAGATTTTTTTCAGATTTTTTTTTCAGAATTATTCTATTTGTTTCAGAAAAGCTAAGTGAAACTCTCTAATAGGTAAGTAGGGATCATTCTAATTTAGACAAACACATTTGATGATTTGTTGAAAGCAAAATACTTTGCATTTAAGTTGTTGTTGAGCATCTAAGACAAGTTGAGAAGTTCATTAAACACAAAAAAAAGACAATAAAGCTTTTCTTTTATGAAAAACTCGTGTCGTCTCACTAGTATACTTTGAGAATAGCTAAGAAAGTATGGACAGTATATAAAAACCACTAAAACTAGTCTTGACATCTCTGGAAAGATTCCTACAGTGAAATTCAAGATATCCAGTAACTGAAGAAGTTAAAAATATTTCTTGTGTGTTTTTCAATTGTTCCATTTCTAAAACACACACACACACACACACACACACACACACACTTTCTTTTATTTCCACTGAAAATTACCTGAAGAGGAAAAAGTCAAAATAAGAGAAGAAGAAATAAGGTGAAAGTTTTGGGGCCAAAAGTGTATTACGTAACATATCACAGTAAGTTTAAAATAATGGTTATAGGTATATAGTAGCTCATAACACTTTTTTTTGTCAATGAGGAACTTACGAATATGGAAGTCAAGAAAATTTACCAAGCTGGGCACCATGGCTCATGCCTGTAGTCCCAGCAATTTGGGAGGCCGAGATGGGTGGATCACTTGAGCCCAGGAGTTCAAGACCAGTCTGGTCAACATGGCAAGGCCCTGTCTTTAGAAAAAATTAGCCAGGAGTGGTGGTGCACACCTGTGGTCCCAGCTACTCAGGAAGCTGAGGTGGGAGGATAACTCGAGCCCAGGAGGTCAAGGCTGAAGTGAGCTGTGTTCACAGCACTGGAATTCAGCCTGGGTGACAAAGCAAGACTCTATCTCCAAAAAAGAAAAGAACAAAATTTTTTGTTTGCAGGCAGGAATCCATCATGAGAAGGAACAGACTTATCCATGGTCTTTTCATAATACCACAGTGCTTCACAGTTATTCATACTTTAAAAAATTACTGATTTGCTTGTGTATACTAATTTATCTTTTCTAAAACCTATTGAAATTTTTTTTGAATACCCTCTTTATATAAACTAAAATCACACCATAATGAATCATGTGAAATAAAAAGTAAAATTATCTATCTTCCCACAATCATAATATATATCCTGGAAATTTTTTTGATATATTGTCTTGATAAGTATGATTATATTTTTGCATATTCACACTAAGAATCGCTATTTTTATCAAATACAATTATACTCTATACATCTTTTTTTAATATAACAATATGTAAAAGATAAATTTCTTTTTCTTTTTTTTTTTTTTTGAGATGGAGTCTCACTCTGTCACCCAGGCTGGAGTGCAGTGGCATGATCTAGGTTCACCACAGCCTCTGCCTTCTGGGCTAAAGCAATTATCCTGCCTCATCCACCTGGGTAACTGGGATTACAAGCACCCACCATCACACCTGGCTAATTTTTGTATTTTTTAGTAGAGACAGGGTTCCACCATTTTGGTCAGGCTGGTCTTGAACTCCTGACTTTAGGCGATCTACCCGCCTTGGCCTCCCAAAGTGCTGGTATTACATATGTTACATACATGAAATGCATATGTTAAAGGTAATAATACAGGTATGAAGTACTGCACCCGGCATATGTAAAAGACATGCAGAAACAACTCAATATTTCTCATTGTTAATAATTTTATTACATGACTCAATAATAATTGAATTTATTATTTTTTGGTTTCTGTTGAATGTATTGACAAGTTTTTCATAATATTCAGTTATTACACTTTCAATATCTGTAACATCTGTAAAGAAATCATCTCTCTTATTCTTCACAGGGTAATTTATGTTTTTTCTTTCCTTCCTTCCTTCTTAATTGTTTGGTCAGAGTTTTGTCAATATTATTACCGATTTCAGAAAGCCAACTTTTGGATTCATTGATTTCTATTTTCCTGTGCTCTATTTCACGGATTTCTGCTGTTTTCTTTATTATCTCCTTCTTTGTTTTAGATTTAATTTTCTTTTTTTCTTTTCTTTTCTTTTTTTTTTTTTTTTTTTAAGAAGGAGTCTCGCTCTGTTGCCCAGGCTGGAGTGCAGTGGTGCGATCTCCGCTCCCTGCAAGCTCCGCCTCCTGGGTTCACGCCATTCTGCCTCAGCCTCCCAAGTAGCTGGGACTACAGGCGTCCATCACCATGCCCTGCTATTTTTTTTGTATTTTTAGTAGAGACGGGGTTTCACTGTGTTAGCCAAGATGGTCTCTGTCTTCTGACCTCGTGATCCGCCCACCTCAGCCTGCCAAAGTGCTGGGATTACAGGCCTGAGCCACCGCACCTGGCCAGATTTAATTTTCACTTACTTTTTCCTGGTTTCTCTAGCTGGAAGCTTACGTCAATTATTTGAGAGCTTTCCTCTTTTTGGTTTTATTTTAAATCAGAGGAAAATATTTTCTAATCACTTACAAAATTCTTTAACCCCTGGCTAATTTAGAAGTTTTGTTTACCTTTCAAATATTCAAATATTCAAGATATATTTATTTTATTATTATTATCATTATTATTATTATTTTGAGACAGAGCCTTGCTCTGTCGCCCAGGCTAGAATGCAGTGGCACGATCTCAGCTCACTACAAACTCTGCCTCCCGGGTTCAAGCAGTTCTCCTGCCTCAGCCTCCCGAGTAGCTGGGATTACAAGCTCCAGCCACCGCGCCCGGCTAATTTTTGTGTTTTTAGTAGAGACAGGGTTTCACCATCTTGGCCAGGCTGGTCTCGAACTCCTGACCTCGTGATCCACCTGCCTCTGCCTCCCAAAGTACTGGGATTACAGGCGTGAGACACTGCACCTGGCCTATTTAATTTTTAACATGATTCCCTTTCTGTACTCTGTTAGATTTATTGAAATAGGCTTATGGTTCAGAATATGACATATCTAGGTAAATGTTTCATATTCACTTAAACAAACTTATTTTATGTTTACTTATTTTTTTTTATTTTTCAGATCTGTTCCACAGGAAGTACTCACTTACTCTGTCAAGTACAGGGTTGACATTAACAAATATAATAGAAAAGTATTTATTTATCCTTTAATTTTTATTTATTTTTGATTTCTGTACTTTGAAGTTCTTATATTAGGTACATGCATATTAAGGCATTTACGTCATATCTATTAAATTGACTCTTTAATCATTATGAGATGATCCTCTTCATTCCTGGTAACATTCCTTGCCCTGAAATCAACGTTTTCTGATTTAATATAATAATTCCAGCTTTTATTAGATTAACATTAGCATTGTTCACATTTTTTTAAATCCTATGACTTTAGACTCTGTTTCTTACAGGGAACATATAGTTTGGTTCTGCTTTTTTAAAATATATAATTTCAATGTCACCTTCTAATTAGAGGAATTAATTCATTTACATTATTTATTGATAATGTTGGATGTAAATCTGATTTTCTTTTTCCTATGTGTTCCATCTGATTTATTTATTTATTTATTTATTTATTTATTTATTTATTTATTTTTGAGATGGAGTCTCGCTCTGTTGCCCAGGCTGGAGTGCAGTGGCGTGATCTCGGCTCACTGCAACCTCTGCCTCCCAGGTTCAAGTGATTCTCCTGTCTCAGCCTCCCAAGAACCGGGACTACAGGTGCACACAGCCACGCTGGCTAAATTTTTTTTTTTTTTTTTTTTTTGTATTTTTAGTAGAGACAAGGTTTCACCATGTTGTCCAGGCTGGTTTTGAACTCCTGAGCTCAGGCAATCAGCCTGCCTCAGCCTCCCAAAGTGCTAGGAATACAGGCGTGAGCTGCACCCGGCCAATTTTGATTTTTTCTACTTTTGGATTAATTGATTATTTTCACATATGTTTTATCTTCTTTCTGGCAGTTTATTTTCTTTCTTTCTAAACTTCTTTAAAACTAATTTTAGGCTTATGGAAAAGTTACAGAAATTGTACAGAGAGTTTCCACATACTCCTACAACCAGATTCCACTAATTTTATCACTTGGCAAAACCACATTGTAATGATCAAACCAGAAAATTACTTTTGGTATATTATTATTAAATAAACTAAACACCTTGTTCAAAGTTCATCAGCTTTTCCACTAATGTTTTCAGTATGTGAAATAAAAATTATATCTATCTATATACCTATCATTCCCAACTACTCTTTATTCAATTATGTAGATCTAAATTTTCATCTAGTATAATTATCCTTATGCCAGAAAGATCTTCTTAAACATTTTAGTAATGCTGGCATGCTGGCAGTGAAGTCAAATGACTAAGAGAAAAATTCATCTGTTCATTCCCTACCCTACAACTTATAATGGGAACAGGATAATCAAAATAAAAACTGTCAGACAGAAGAGATGTTGCATTATATGAAATGCTCAATTAAATACAAAGGACAGAAAAAGAGTGGGATACAAAATAAAAGCAAAGAACAAGGCAACAAATATAAAAAGTAATAAATAGGTATGTATCCAACTGTATCAATAAACATTTTGAACATCAGTAGTCTAAATGCACCAATAAAAACAGATTGTCAGAGGAAATCAAATAGCATGAGAAACCTATATGTTGTCTATAAGAAACTAGGGAAGTACTGAATTGTCCATTTGGGGGTGGGTGTGGTGGCTTCTGGTTCTGTGGGTGGGTACATGTGTGTCAGCAGCAAAAGTTTCCATGGTGGTGGTTCCAACCCTGAGGTTGTGCAGTGGCAGCGCTGACCCTGGGGAGACACAACAAATATTTCTTGCTCCAGGGTTGCAAGGCTCAGAAATGTAAATTCTGGGCTGCTCCATCAGCCGGAGTCAGCATCAGCAAATACTGTAGGGGTTCTCAGCAGCTGGTGCTACAGTTGTCTACAACAATGGTGAGGTGGTGAGGGCTGCTAGAGTCCTCAGTGCACAGAATCCAAAAGTCCTCCTGCTCTCCTTTCCCTCTGGCGGGTGAGTGGGGAGTTAAAGCCAAGAGGATCTCTCTTGGCTCTAAGCTATATCTACCTAGGACAGGTGATACAGGTAAAATGATTCCTACACTTTTCTATGTGGCCATCCTCAGTTTTTGTGCCCTAATTGGACAGCTCCCTAATTGTACTTGAGAGCTCTCCCAGAGCTATTTTCACCCATGGGCAGTTGTTAAATCATTGTTTTTGTGGCAAGGCAAGGTAAGGGCTAGGATGTCCTGGTCAGCCATCTTGCTGTTTCTCCCTAAAGTTGCCCTTTAAGATATCTACAATTATATGCCTCCACCTTTCATGTGTAATAATAATAAATAATCCTCTCTTTTATGAAACACAGCAAAATACTGGGAGCCTACTATCAGAATTATGGTCTTGTTACTTTGGAGCACTGGTTTGTTACTTTGTTGTTTTTTAAAACTTTGAGTCTTTTGCCTATGAAAGACATTTTCCCCATCAGCAGCAACTGCAAAGTATGCAATATAACTATAGTGTTAAATTTTGTATAGTTTTGTAGCATATCTGGAGCCTTTCAACAGTGTAAGATTGTTTATTGAGTCTATCAAGTACAAACCTTGGCTCATGAGTCAGGTGAATTACAGGTCTGAGAGCATGGCATATTTACTGTAAAGGAAGGCTTAGCAGTCTCTGCTTTTACCTCTGAGAAATGCTGCAAGCCTTTCAGAGAGATTTCCTACGTTGCTATCAGTAGTGTGAGCAGCGGCACTTTTGCTAGCAAGCTTCATGTCATTAGATACATAACTCTTAATTACAAAAAATCATCATGAAGTTAGAAATCTATGGGGAAATTAAAAGACCTGTGGCAGAAAATCCTGAAAGGGAGATCTGCTTTGCACAAATTAAATTGACTTATGTTACCCAAACAGTTCTGATAATTTGGAAAGTCTATCTTTTCAACATTGCAGAGCAGTTGTAACTATATAGTTCATTACCTTAAAAGATATAGACATGTTCAAATTGAAAAAAATGCAAACAGTACCTGATTAAGAGATAAAAAATGGTGGTCGATCGACCTACTTAAATTAGACTGTGAATCTTTTGAATAAAGAAATCTTTATGTACACACTTTTTCTTAACCTAACTTTTCTTCAAGTTTTGAAATCTTTAGAAATAAACTTTTCCATCTCAATCGAAAGAATCAAGTTTCCATTTGGCAGCAAAAGGGTCCTGCAAAAAACGTTTTGTAATAAAATTACAAAACAAAATGAAAAGTTAGGGGCATTTTGAAATGTACGTTTTTCATGCTATCAAGTTTGCTTTTGTGGGCATAAATACATTTTCTAATCACTTTTGGCATTCAGTGAGGAATGTATAAATCTAAGTAATAGTTTGCTCATTAAGAAAACACACATATAAGGGCCAGGCGCAGTGGCTCACGCCTGTAATCCCAGAACTTTGGGAGGCTAAGGCGGGCGGATCACGAGGTCAGGAGATCGAGACCACCCTGGCTAACACCGTGAAACCCCGTCTCTACTAAAAATACAAAAAATTAACAGGGCGTGGTGGCAGGCGCCTGTAGTCCCAGCTACTCGGGAGGCTGAGGCAGGAGAATGGCGTGAACCTGGGAGGTGGAGCTTGCAGAGAGCTGCGATCGCACCGCTGCACTCCAGCCTGGACGACAGAGCTAGAGAGTGAGACTCCGTCTCAAAAAATAAATAAATACATACATAAAATAAAGAAAACACACATATAGATATAGTTACATACATTACAAGGCTAGAAGTGGTGGTTCATGCTTGTAATCCCACCACTTTGGGAGGCCTAGGCAGGAGGATTGATTGAGCCCAATGTAGTGAAACCCCATCTCTACAAAATACACAAAAATTAACCGGGCGTGGTGTGCCTGTAGTCCCAGCTACTTGGGAGGCTGAGGTGGGAGGATGGCTTGAGCCCAGGGAAAGGTAGTTGCAATGAGCCATGATCGGGCCACTGCAATCCAGCCTGGGTGAAAGAGCAAGACTCTGTCTCAAAAAAAAAAAAAAAAAAAAAGAAAAGAAAAGAAAAAGAAAAAGAAAAAGAAAAGAAAAGAAAAGAAAAGAAAAGAAAAAAACTATTGGGGGAAGAAGAGTGAGTGAGTAGCATGAGCCATAGAGCTTGGGGCTCGGAAGGAACATGCAGTTTGTACTGAAAGTGTATAGGCAAATTTCCCCACAATGAAAAGCTGAGTTCCTGGAATCCATAGGAAATTCAATATATTTTTTAAAAAACAGAAATAATTGTAGTGAGAGAGCATTAGTTAAAAATGGTACTACACTCAACACGACATAAAAGTTTTAGATATTGTCAATAGTGAGTCAACATTAAGAGGATTGTGGATGTTTGACTAAGTGTTGAGGCCCAGCACTAAAGAAGCACAGCAATAATTGAGAATGGAGTTGTTTGTGGGAAATAGTGGCACTGGGATGAAAGAAAATAGCCTGAAATGTTCTTCCAATGTCCACTTAGTGTCATAATCAACCTTGAGTGCCAGCTCAAATATCACTCCTATGAAAGGTTTGCTTATTTCCCTAAGGCTCATTTAACCTCTAAACCATCAGTAGTTTCATAGCACTACATACACACTTCTATTTTTCTCGTTGGGTTGCGATTTGTTCACATGACTTTTTTTTCCCACTAAACTATGAGTTTTTCGATGTGGAAACATTTTCTTAATGACCCACTCACCACACCATACTCACCACACACATGCTCAACAGCATTGTACTTAGTATCTAGGAAAAAGTAAGCTGTAGTAACATAGACATTTGTTGAATTAATTAAAAATAAATAAGTCATATTCTTGAAAAATTTAACATTAAAAAGTAAAGTCAAATTTCAGGTTATTTCTAGTTAGTATTTGTAGCCTACATAATTACTAGTTTTTGAAAGCCTTCTCTTTGAATATTTCTCCAAAAGCACTGTGTTGAGACCACTAATTATATTATTTGCCAAGCATATATTTACAAGTAATGAAAATAGTGCATCCTTATCCATACAGTTAATTTTCGCTATTCATCTGCAACTGAAGAATGTGAATAAAATTACAGTTGGACAATTTCTGAGACTTCATTTGACTAGACATATGGTTACTGCCAGGTTATAAATTCCAAGAGATGATGAAATGTCTAACTCCTTTTTGTGCAAGAACTAAAGCAGAGCCATACATAGGTATTTCTGCCATTAAAAGATGAATTTTGTAACCTAGCAATATAATCTGTGACTCACCTCTCTTAACCCAGTGCAGTTTTGAAATTATGTTATATAATATTCATCTTTTTCTTTCCTCACAATATTTCAAAATCCTCAAGGGCAAGGGATATGATTAATATGTAAAACAACAACCTACTTTAGCATTAATAGAGCTTAAAGTTGCTCATATTTTTTAATGGTTGCTACTTCTTTTCTCATGATTTCTAGTTGACTGGAAAAAAGTTTATGCATTGCAAATGCCAAATATCTCTCTGGAGACAAACTGGTCTTAATTTCTCTACACATAATCAACATAAACAATTATTTTTGTATCTCGCATATCTAACCAGCAACCCTTATCAATATGCCTATTTTGCCCATCATGGTTTAGTCCACTGTTATTTCCTTTTTGATGTCTCTGTTACTGATTTTATTTGCATTAAAATTGTATATATACATTTAAAATTTATTATAAAATTTAGAACATGATTTTTATAATTGTTATTTTTCCTTATCATAGACAATGTAAAGTTTCACCCCCATCATAAAAAAAGAAAGAAAATAGCAAATACAAATCAATAGTGGTATCCTCGGCACCTACATTATCTGTGACAGCTGACAACCAAGCTCCAGATAGTTTCACAGAAGAGGTCATATATCACATTAGTTTGGTAGAATGATTGGGTGAGGAAGTTGATGCTGAAATTTATCTGTTTTGTCCTTGTCTTCTTTCACTAGATCATAAGCACTTCGAGGACAAGGATAACAAGGAGTATGTCTTTTTCATTTCCTATCATCCATGAGTAATGTAGTGACTGGGATATAAAAGGTGTGTAAGACAAGTTTGTTAAATGAAACTATTGAACTAAGAATAGGCAAGAGGTTGTAACAGGAAGGAATCTGTCCGACATACGAAGGAGTGTGATTGAGCATATACTACTGCAAGTCAGTAAAGCAAAGAGATTCCAAGAAATGTGAAACCATCATTCAGTGCCACAGAAAATTAAAGTAAAATAAAAATAAAGAAGACAACTAGATTTTTGTAATTGAAGATTGTGTGTCTTTTTATATATTAATTGGACATGTGTGTTTCCTAGTCTTTGAAATGTATGTTTGTATTTCTCCTCCATTTTTTCCCCAGATTTTTATACCACTTTTATTGACTTGGGATGATTCTTTATGTATTTTTATATGAATCCTTTGATGGTTATATCTGTTTAAATTGCTTTCCCAGTTTATAACCTTTATATTTACTATCTTTAAGAGTGCTTTATTTTAATATGGTCAAATATATCAAACTTTTTTTTTTTACATCTTACTTATCAAATCCTTCCCTACATCAGGTCTAAAAATTATTCACCTACATTTCCTGAGAGTTTTAAAATATTATCTTTGCCAAGCAACACTTGAATCCATCTGGATTTGAATGTATATATTTCTACATTTCTATTTATGTATGTACATATCTTGGGAGTAAAATGATGAAGAATAAAACTAATCGAATATATTAGTATTTAATTCAAATAGTATTTCAGAAGTAAATAAGTTAATATGAGGTAAAAAGAGGCTTGCATAATCAATCAAAATAAGAATGGCAAAGGTCAGATTAAAACCAAATGATATTTATAAGAAATAACAAAAAGGAAACATTTGGTTCTTTATACAATTTTTATCTCAGAACCATATTTTCTGCACATTTGGAAGAATATCAACTAGCTTTAGCGTCATTACAAAAAAAGAAATAAACAGGCTTTAAGAATGAACTGTGCTGGCTCCAAACTGAAGTTACAATGCCACTAATGACATATAAATAAATGGTGGAGGGAAAGACTAATTTGGGAAAGAATATAGGCAGAACTTTGACACAGACAGCTTCAAAAAGACAAGTTAAAACTGCAAGTGGATCCAAAACATGAATTTGGATTTTGTAAAAATATGTACTTCCAGACATGAGTGTTTTTGAAATTTTAGGGTTTTTGCAAAGCAGTTGATTTCTCTCTTGACTCTAAATAGTGCAGTGGCATTAATAAATCATGTAATAATATAACAAATTTGCTTTACTTGTTTACCAATTAGTCAGTATAGATGTATGATGGAATAATAGCAGAGTTCACTATACTAATATTTGGGATAAGTTGGCCTGGAAGAGAAGAAAGAGCCCACAGGGATAGTATGTGGCTTATATTGTTCTCCACATTCTCTTAAAATCAAGCCTGCTCAAAGGCTAAGCAGAGGCAACTTTTATCTCTTTCTCTGTTCCTCTTTTTCAGCCTTTTTCAATTCCAAGTTATTTAAGCAGCACAACTGTCAGACTGGGATGAAGCTTCCAGTAAAAGACAAAAAAATTCTAGAAAAGAATGTGTCATCAAGATCTTGTCTTGTTTTATAAATACTCTTAATTTCTTAATATTTACATTTCAATATAATGTTAAATAATTTCAAATATGTTTGTCAATTTAAGGATAGCTACTACTATAAGAGAATAAAGGTTTTCAAGTGAGATGCAATATAGAATAATGGCTAAGAGACTGGACTCTGCAGCCTCCCTCACTCATTTATGAGCTAGGTAACTTGGATATGTTACTTAAATACCTCGTGCCTCAGGTTCTATCTCTGTAGAATGGGAGTAATAATGAAACCCAATTCATATGGTTATTGTAAAGATCAAATGAGTTAACATATGTAAACCACTTGGAAAAGAGGATGGAGTTAATTATTAAAATTTAATATATATTAACAATTATTAATAGAATATTTCATCATATATGAGGAAACCTGAAAGCAAAGATATGGTCAATTTTACTAAAGTCAGGAGAAGGGAAAGAAGAAAGATGATCACACGGATCTTAGATTACAAAGCAGGATTCAAACAGAACATATTTATAACCACAATAAAAATGAATATATGTTCCTATAATTTATCAATTTATTCATTCATTAATTTCACAAATATTTTGTATACTTGCCATTCCCAGGTATGAATATTCTCAGTACCATATTACATAGATTACTACTGTGCACAGAAAAATTTCTTATCATCATGGAATTTTGGATTTAACAGAGGAGACAGAACTGTGCTGCCTAATACGGTAACCAGCATCCACATGTGGCTTCTTTATTTTATATTTAAATGAATTAAAATGAAATAAAAGTAATAATTTAGTTTGCAGTCTCAGTAGCTACATTTCCAGTGCTCAATAGACATATGTGGTTAATGGCTACCACATTACCCCATGTGGTACATGATATAGAGCATATCATTCATTGCAAAACATGCTATTGGGCAATGCTAATATAGAAATAAACCAAGACAATTTCAGATTTGGGCTGTGAAGGAAATAAGGAATAGCAGTGTGATAGAAAATGACTGGCAACTTTTTAAAAACAAGAGCTGGGCTGAGTGACAGACAGGGAGGTCACCAAATGCTTTTGTGAAAAGATATACAAGCTGAAATCTGAATGATAACACTAGAACAACAAAGACAACAGTTTGTAAAAGTTCAGTCTGGGAAGAGGTAACACTGGGCAAATTCTAGGCAGAGTACACAGAGAAACTGACAATAAAGAGGAAGGCTTTGAAATACGCTCATGGTAAAATGAGAGATGAGGCATTGAGAAATATAGTTAGATATGTAGAAAGAGGCGAGATCAGCTGGGGCCAGGTGGGCCAGAGTAAGGAACTTGAATTTAATTCTTAATGCAATGTGAAGCCATCAAAAGTGTTTAAATAATTGAAGTTTCAAAACAAATAAACAAATCAATGAATAAACTTCCAAATGAGCTTTAAAAAAACAGCAATATTCTATTGTTAAGAAATTAAAATAAAAGTGACATGGCACCACTGATTATCATGTAATGGATAAAGCGCTAGACAATTGAATATGAAACTCAGAAAAAGGCATTGGTAGCAATATTGTTATGATAAATTGAAAACTATGGCAATAGAAGAGACTAAAAAGCAATATTTTATAATGATTAATATACAAGGTACAAATCATCAAGTTTCTCCCAAAATGTTTCATATAAAGCATTGCTGAGTATTGGAAAGGTTAACTATTTGGAACATAATAATTCAACACCCAAAGAATTCATAGTGTGGTATCTTAAAAGGTGATGGCATTTGTAGAGTTTTTTTAAAGAGTAATTAATGCTACATGAGGTCATATGAGTGGGCGCTAATCCAATCTGACTGGTGTTCTTATAAGAGGAGGAGATTAAGACACAGACATGAACACAGAAGACCATACGAAGACACAGGGAGAAAAAGAAGTCCAATTACACGTGAAGGAAAAGGGCCTCAGAAAAAATCAACCCTGTTGGCATCTTGATCTCAGACTTTTAGCCTCCTGAATTGTGAGAAAACAAATTTCTGTAGTTTAAGTCACTCAGTCTGTGACATTTTGTTATGGCAGCTCTAGCTAATTAATATAACTCTTTAACTCACTTGAATTTTAATAAAATCAGGTCATATCTTCCCCTAATCCTTCTCCCAAATCAGAGGCTATATATTGTAAATATATATATGTATATATATTTAATTAGAAGTTATTAAAAAATACATGCCTCCCCTAGAAATCAATGACAAAAATTTTGACGTTTTTATTTTTAATTAATATTAATAGTAGAAAAAATATTTTTAAAACAAGCAAAATATAAATTTAAAATTGATCCTTCCTACTATTTCTTTGAATATTCAGATACTCAGGATAAGGTTTGATTATTGTTCAGTTATTACTACTTATACGGGGATTCTTCGTATGACCCCTACAAGTGCTCTCCCATTAACACTCATATCATTTAGCTTTCAAAATGCTTCAAATAAGTGTATTTTACAAAAGTGGAACATAATCTATTTTATTTTGTAAGTATTTGAGGCTATATTTCAGAAATCCTATTAAGTTCATGCATATAAACCTCTTTTTTACAAATGAAACCTAGAAAGAATGGGTTTTTGAAGAAAACATAGCTTGTAATTAGTAAGTTGTAAATACAAAGTCTGTATTTTCCCAAAGTTTCTCTGTATTCATCATAATGTGATTCTGTTCATCCTTTTACAAATTAATTTATTTTCCTTGACAAGTAAAACTTGAATGTACTTATGCCACACAGCCTGATGTTTTGATATATGTATACATTATGGAATGGCTAAATCAAGCTATTTAAGTTGTCTCCCTTTTGAATGCATTTATGTAATAGTCAACTTGTATCACTGAATTTTCTTAATTGGTGTTTTTTCAGTGTTAGGAGTTCACACATAGAAAGAGTTGATGTCAAAAGGTCTCCTAGTTCATCCTTCAGGCTCTGAGCAGGAATCTATAAAAACCAACTCTGAAGAGATTTGGAATGAGAGAGCAGTACCACCTTGCATAAGAAATATTCACTGCTTTGTACTATTCACCTCCATTAAAACATGCATAATTATACTGCCTTTCATTGCAGATTTAAACCATTCATAGTTGAATCTGAAATAACATAATTTCATCCCGTGTCTACTTTATAAACAAAGTACATAAATGGATTAGCAAAATGAAATAGAAAATATCTCTACAGAGATTCATAACAAAAACAAAGTCTTTGAGAGGTCTATCTTTACCATTCATCCAATTTTTAATTAAGATATGCCTCCTAACTTGAAAGAGGCTCATTTGTAGCTCAGGTGCCACATCATTCTTAATTTACTCTTGCTTACAGTGCATATGCTATAAAGCATTATTATTGTAAAATAAACTAAGAAGAGAAAAAAGAAAAGCATACTAGATAATTTCACCTTTTTTTGGTTTTCATGTGAGTGGAGCAAATTACAAAATCTGTAGTTGCCAAAATGTGCACACACTTGTTAAAGGAGCAGCTGGTAATATTATATACAAGCTGCTCTCCAGAAATCAATTGTGAATATTAAGAATAATTCTGACCTGGGTCACAGCTGCACTGATTTATTTTTTCTCCTAGACATTTATCAGGCCTGTCTCTTCTTCCACCTAACTGAAACGCAGGAAGTCTTAGAGTTTATGATGAAAAATCTGCCAATGTATTATGAACCTATACAAGCAAGACATCTGCTTAAAAACCCATGCTTTGGGGTTTTTCATGATTGTAGTATGCCAAATTATGAACACCATATGAAGCACAGAATTGCTTTGGCTCACCTTCTCATTATAGGTAATTTTTTTTTTTTTTTGAGACGGAGTCTCGCTCTGTCGCCCAGGCTGGAGTGCAGTGGCGGGATCTCGGCTCACTGCAAGCTCCGCCTCCCGGGTTCACGCCATTCTCCTGCCTCAGCCTCCCAAGTAGCTGGGACTACAGGCGCCCGCCACTACGCCCGGCTAATTTTTTTGTATTTTTAGTAGAGACGGGGTTTCACCGTTTTAGCCAGGATGGTATCGATCTCCTGACCTCGTGATCCGCCCGCCTCGGCCTCCCAAAGTGCTGGGATTACAGGCGTGAGCCACCGCGCCCGGCCTATAGGTAATTTTTTTAAAAGACTCATCTAAGTGAACAGATTAAACAAAATTTAGTAGCATATATTGAATAGATCTAGTGATAATAGTAATTTGGTGTCTGGGCAAAAAGTTTGTATAAAGTATATTGCTTATTGGTGGCAACATAATCAAAAAAAATGATTTCTGGGGATTTTGACCCAAGTTACTTTCTATTTTTGTTTATGTGTTTTTAAACTTCATTTGTGATAAAGCAAGTGCAAGTAATTTTTTTGAAATAATAGATTTATTAGAGGCATATAAGTTTTATTTTACTATTTCTGATGCATAACAAAATATATGCTGACTTTCAAACTGTGAGTTTTGGCAATACTTCAATGTTGTGTTAATTCCTTCATATGTAAAATGAGAATTATAAGACAAATGTGATAGGATCTTTACAAGACCCACTAACAGTAGCGTAAAGCATATGGCATATAATAATTCCATACCTCACCAACGCTGTTTTTAACAGAATTTAAAGGCTGAAAGCAGTGGCCCCTGCGTATAATCCCCGCACTTTGAGGCCCAGGCAGGAAGATCACTTGAGGTCAGGAATTTGCAACACAGTGAGACTCCGCATCTACAAAAAAAGAGCACGAAAATTAGCTGGGTGTGGTGGTATGTGCTTGTAGATCTAGCTGCTGGAGAGGCTAAGGAGGAAGAGTCACCTAAGCCCAGGAGTTAGTGGCTGCGATGAGCTATAATTGTACCATGTACTCTAGCCTCAGCAACAGAGGGAGAACTCATCTCTAAAAGAACAAATAATTTATTTTTTTTTAAGTGCCATTACAAAATCATGTTTAAAAGCATGCTCACTGACTTCATTAAGCATTTAAATCCCGGCTCACAGTGCTATATTTTTCTTGTCAGTTTATTCTTTGACTTCCCACATTTTTCTTTTTTAAATACATTTTATTGTGTATAATTAAAGTATACAACATGATGTAAGGAGAAAATACCTATAGATAGTAAAATGATTACTATGTTGAAGTAACGTATCTATTATGTCACATAGTTATCCGTTCCTGTTTGTCTGTGTGTGTGTGTGTGTATGTATGTGGCAACAGCAGCATCTACTCATTTATTTAAAATCCTGAATACAATATACTCTTATAAACTATAGTTCTCATGTGGTACATCACAGCTTGAGACTTGTTCACTCTATGTAAATGCTACTTTATATCTTTTGACCTACGTCCTATATTTCTTCTAGCCTGCCTCTAATAACCACTCTTTATACTGTATCTCTGTATATTTGGCTTTTTCTGGGGTTCCACATATAAGTGAGATCATGCAATATTTTTCTTTCTGTGTCTGGATTATTTTACTTAACATTTTGTCCTCCACATTCATCCGTGTTGTAGCAAATGACAGGATTTTTTTTCTTTTGTAAGACAGAATCATATTCCATCATATATATGTACCAGTTTCTTTATCTATTCATCCATCAATGGCCACTAGGTTGTTTCCATATCTTGGCTATTGTGAAGCAATGTTGCAATGTACATGGGAGGGCAGTTATCTTTATGAGGTGGTGAATTCATTTCCTTTGGGTATATACCCAGAAGAGAATTTGCTCGGTCATATTGTAGTTCTATCTTTATTTGGGAACCTTCACACTTTTTTCCATAATGGCAGAACCAATCTACATCCCCAGAAACTGTGTACAAGGATTTCTTCTTCTCTACACTCTCACCAACACTTGTTATTGTTACCGGGGGTCCTTGCTCACAGAGCTCCCAAGATGGTGGCAAGCCGCTTCCAAGATAGTGGCAGGCCGCTTCCAAGATGGTGGCAAGCCTTGTGTTCTCTGACCTGGGGTTCTTGGCCTCACGGATTCCAAGGAATGGAATCTTGGATCATGTGGTGAGTGTTATAGCTCTATTAGAAGCTGTGGGTCATGGAAGAGAACCGTGGAACCCAGTGACTAGTGTTCAGCTCAATTAGGACGAACCCAGGCACTTAGCCGTGCAGGAACAATGGCAAGCCTTTAGCACGATCGGTAGTGGCAATGGGAGTCTCGCTGGATCAGGAGCACAGTGGACACCCTGCCAGATCTGGAGGGATGGGAGTCAGTGGCGGGATGGGAGTCAGGGGCGGGTCTGCGACAGTGGCAAACAGCAGTGGTGGACGGCGAGCGAAAAGCTCAGCTCGAGCCGTAACAAACATGGACGAGAAGAGTGCAGTTGCAAGATTTAACAGAGTGAAATAGAGTGAAAACAGAGCTCCCATAGGAAGGGAGGGGACCCAAAGGGGGTTGCTGTTGCCGGCTCGAATGTCTGGGTTCATATCCCGATCCTTGTCCCTCCCGCTGTGCTTTCAGGCAATAGATGATTGGCTATTTCTTTACCTCCTGTTTTTGCCTAGTTAGCATTTTAGTGAGCTCTCTGATTGGTTGGGTGTGAGTTAAGTTGCAAGCCCCATGTTTAAAGGTGGATGCGGTCACCTTCCCAGCTAGGCTTAGGGATTCTTAGTTGGCCTAGGAAATCCAACTAGTCCTGTCTCTCAGTCCCCCCTCTCAACAGGAAAACCCAAGTGCTGTTGGGGAAGTTGGCCAATGACTGCTCTGTTTCCTGCTGAATTGGGGCATAGTAGGGGTTGTGCAGTTGAGATTTCCTCAGGAGGGGTGCCTTCGATGTCATTAACATCGGAGCATGGGCTAGCAGGCCGGTCCAGGGGTCCGCAGTGGATCTTAGTCATGGACTGCATCTGGGGCTCCATTTGAAGAACAATTTGTAGTTTTACAGTTTTAATTCTGGAAGAGTCAAACTTAACAAGGAGGTTAAAGATACAGGGATTGAAATGTATGGCCTGCAGTGCAGGGGATTACTTCTTTGGCACACTTCACAGGCCCTGACTATCCGCTTGATAGTTTTGAAAGACCTGGTCTAGTAAATAATAATTTGGCCATCTGATGGGTGCTATCAATGCCAAAGTGAAAGGTTTGGTAAAGGGTTTTAAGTAATTTCTACTGGTTAGCTGCAGGCATAAGTATTTTTCCTTCTTTGGTGGCTGGCCATCCTGAGGGGAGGAAACTATGTCTTCATGAGGTTCCTCATTCTATTTTTTCTTCTGAGTACTGGGGCTTGGTTTCCTGGAGGGGATTACCCCATACTAGGGGTCCTCTATAAGCATTTCTAATGGAAGGTCCTGCCTTGCAGCTCTTTTGGCTTCAATATCTGCTTGGCAGTTCCCTTCTATTTCCCTTTCCTTTCCTTTCTGATGACCCCGGCAGTGTAAGACTGCCACCTCTTTAGGTTTCTGTACAGCCAATAATAATCTCCTAATGGCTTCCTGATGTAAGACTGCCACCTCTTTAGGTTTCTGTACAGCCAATAATAATCTCCTAATGGCTTCCTTGCAGCTCTTTTGGCTTCAATATCTGCTTGGCAGTTCCCTTCTATTTCCCTTTCCTTTCCTTTCTGATGACCCCGGCAGTGTAAGACTGCCACCTCTTTAGGTTTCTGTACAGCCAATAATAATCTCCTAATGGCTTCCTGATGTTTGATAGGTGTTCCCTCAGAAGTTAGGAATTCTCTTTCTCTCCATATTGCTGCATAGGCCTGGAGGACTAGGTAAGCATACTTAGAGTCTGTATATATATTTACCCTTTTCCCTTCTCCTAATTCTAGTGCCCGAGTGAGGGCTATTAGTTCTGCCAGCTGAGCACTAGTTCCTGGAGTGAGGGGATTATTTTCAAGTATTCCATTATCACTGACCACTGCATACCCCGCTTTTCAAAGTCCTTTTTCTACAAAGGAACTTCCATCAGTATACAAGTTGAGGTCAGGATCAGTCAAGGGAACCTCTAAAAGGTCCCCTCGAGTGGAGTTGGTTTGAGTAATTACTTGTTGACAGTTATGTTCTATCTTTTCTTCATTGTCTGGAAGAAATGTGGCTGGGTTAAGAGTTGCACAAGTGCGCAGTTGCAGCACTGGCCCTTCAAGTAAGAGCCTGATATTTAAGTAAATGGTTGTCTGACAGCCACAAGTCTCCTTTAGCACTGTGTATGCTGTTCACATCATGAGATGTCCACACAGTAAGATCTCCTGTATTATTTTAACTGCTGCAGATACTAAGACTGCTACTGCTGCCACTACCCATAAACAATGAGGCCAACCCTTTGCCACTACATCATTTTCCTTACTCAGATATGCCACGGGTTGCAAGCTCATCCCTCGGACCTGTGTAAGGACTCTTAAAGCTATTCCTGTTTCTTCTGTGACATATAAAGAAAAGTCTTGCCCCGTTGGCAAGCTTAACACTGGGGCTTGGGTTAGGGCCTATTTTAGGGCCTGGAAAGCTGCTTCTGCTTCAGGTGTCCATCTTACTAAATGGGTATTGGCTTTCTGAGTTTCCTTAATTAGTGTATATAATGGCCTGGCTATTTTGCTGTACCTGGGAATCCATATTCGGCAGAAGCCTGTTATGCCAAGGAACCCTCTTAGTTGCTTTATGGTTTTGGGATAAGGATAAGCCAGTTTAGGCTGGATACGTTCCTCACTGAGGGCCCTGGTGCCTTTGGATAATTTTAGCCCTAAGTATTTAACCTGCTGTGAGCAGAGCTGAGCCTTTAGTTTGGAAACCTTGTAGCCACAGGTAGCAAGGAAATTTAAGAGCGCTTGGGTGGCTTGATGGCACAAGGTTTCTGAATGGGTGGCTAAAATTAAATCATCCCCATACCGAAGGACAAGAGTGTCCATATATGAGAATTGGCTCAAGTCTTGGGCTAATGCCTGGTCAAATAGATGGGGGCTATCCTTGAACCCTTGAGTAAAACAGTCCAGGTGAGTTGAGACGTTGGGTTTGAAGGATCTTCAAAGGCAAACAAGAATTGAGAGTCAGGATGTACAGGGATGCAGAAAAAGGCATCCTTAAGGTCCAGGACTATAAACCACTCTGCTTCCTCTGGTATTTGGGAAAGCAGAGTATGAGGGCTAGGTACAGCTGGGTATAGAGGAACAACAGCCTCACTGATAATCCTGAGATCTTGCACTAACCTCTACTGTCTGTTGGGCTTCTGTACTCCTAAAATTGGAGTACTGCAGTGGCTATTGCATGCTTTTACTAGGCCTTGGGCTTTTAGGTCCTTAACAATCTTTTGGAGTCCTTGTTGGGCCTTGGGTCTGAGGGGGTAGGGAAAGGAGGCAGAATCCTTTAGTTTAACTTGAACAGGATGGGCATTCTTTGCTCATCTATATTGTCCTTCTGTTGCCTAGACTTTAGGATTAATTCCTTCCTCAAGCAGGGGACAACAAACAGGTGTTCCTTCTCCTATGTTCAGGTGTATAATGGCCCCTGCTTTTGCTGGAATGTCTCTCCCTAACAAGGGAGTGGGGCTTTCAGGTGTAATTAGAAAAACATGTGAAAAGAGTAAAGCTCCTCGGTCACAGCTTGGTGGGTGGGAGAAGTATCTAGTGACCGGCTGTCCTAGGACCCCTAGGATAGTGACAGATCTGGAGGACAGTTGTCCGGGACAGGAGAGTAAGACTGAGAAGGCCGTGCCAGTGTCCAGGAGACAGTTAACCTCCTGGCCCTCAATGTTCAAGCATATCAGGGGCTCTGTGAGGGTGATGGCATGGGCTGGCACTTGCCCCAGGCACCCTCAGTCCTGCTGCTGGATCATCTGGTTAGTGGCTTCTAACTCAGATGACCTTTGTCCCCTGGGGCAGTGGGCCTTCCAGTGATTCCTTTGACATAAGGGGCGTGGACTAGAGGGCAGCTTACTTCTACTTGGACAATCTTTTTTAAAGTGTCCTTGTAGACTGCACTGGAAGAAAGCCCTATCAGGCATTCAATTTGCCCAGCTTTTCCCTTTTCCAGAGACTCCAAAGTCCGCTTGCCTGAGGGCCATGACTAAAGTGGTGGCCTTTTATTTTTTTATCCCGTTAGTCCCATTCCGCCTGCTCCTCCTGATCTCTATTATAAAAAACTGAGGTTGCCAAGTTCAATAGGGTTTCTAAATTTTGCGCTGGGCCTAAGGTGGACTTTTGAAGTTTTTTTCTAATGTCTGCAGCTGACTGAGTGATAAACTTATCCTTTAAGATTAGTTGGCCTTCAATAGAGTCAGGTGACAGAGAGGTATGATTCCTCCATGCCTCCCTTAGTCTCTCCAGAAAGGCAGTAGGATTTTCTTCCTTTCCCTGTGTTATAGTGGACATCACTGAATAAATCATAGTCTTCTTAGTTTTCCTTAGTCCTTCTAGCATGCAAGTTAGCAAATGTCTGCGGCACCAATCTCCATGTTCTGATTCTGTGTCCCAGTGAGGGGCTACACTCGGAACTGCCTGCTGGCCTGTGGAGAATCATTCTCTTTCCTCTGTTGTCATCCTATCATTGACCTAACTGAGATACCAGATATTGCCAAACTCTCGGGCTGCAGTTGTGGCGGCACTTCTCTCATTTGGGGTTAATGTCTGATTTAGCAGTAACATTATATCTCTCCATGTCAGATCAAAAGATTGTCCTAACCCTTGTAAAACATCAATATAGCCATCAGGGTTATCTGAGAAGTTACCTAGGTCTATTTTAATTTGCTTTAAGTCTGAGAGAGAAAAAGGTACATGCACTCTGGCTGGGCCGAATTCTCCTCCTCCCACTGCTTGGAGGGGGCATAATCGGAATATTGGCACTGTTTGGTTCATTATTTATCCCTTTGTCTATCTCCTTTGAACCATTTGGGTAAAAGGGGGGTCCTTATTAGTTGGGGAAGGAGTCGGGGGGACACTGGGATAGGGAGGTAGACTCTGAGGGCTTCCTGTAGGGCATAAACCACATTTTTTACGTAATTATGAGTTGTCTCTTAATGAAAAGAAAGTTTGCACATATGGCACTTCACTCCATTTGCCCTCCTTTCTACAGAAGAGGTCTAGCTGTAAGATAGTGTTATAATTTATACTTCCCTCAGAAGGCCAGGTTTCTCCCTTTTAAGAGGGTATTGTGGCCAGGCAGTACTGCAGAAGACTATAAGTCATTTCTTTCTTAGCATCTGAGGGTCAAATTGGTCCTAATTCTCCAGAGTACATCTTAGGGGCATTTTTGCTTTGGGGTGGGGGGAACGTTTCCCATCTGAAAAAAGAACATAGGGATGCCAGCACCCCTAGTCATTTTCCGATAAGCATTAGTCCTAGAGCGTCCTCTAAGGGCCTAATGCTTATTCTTTTCCAGGGTGCGTAACCACCCATGGACCTCTGCTTATCAGATTAGTTATGCTCACCAATGTAGCAGCCCTGCACCTATTTTAGCGCCTCTCTTGACCACAAAGAGAGGGGTTCGGGCTGCAGGATTCTAGTGATCCTTTACCAGCGTGCCCAACATTGCCTTTGTGCTCAGGAGTGAGTCCTAGAGCTGGGCCGGGTTCCCGAGTATTTCATAACAACCCAGCTGCCCCATGAAGATGCATCCCCATAAACAATAGTTCTTATGCAAATTCATTCCAGAGAGGATGTAGCGAATCTTTGGAGTCAGGATTGAGGTAGTGTTTTGATTCTGTAAGTACTTTAAGGCTTGGCTGAGTGCAAACAGCTCGCACGTTTGAGGAGACCAATTGTTAAGCAATTTTTCTAGCTCTGCTTCCACAAGAGTCTCTGTATCAATTACTGAATACACATTGTGGTTTTTTTCCTTAATCACCTGGGAGGAACCATCTACCATCCTGTCCTGAAGGGAGTTCCTCCTAGGTCTGGTCAGACCTTTGTATGGTAATTAAGATTTAAATCCCCTGTTAGGAAATCTGCTGGGTTAAGGGAATTATCAGTGGTTGGAGTTACATTACCCTTTTCTAAAATAATAGCCCCATACTTTAAGATTTTTGAGTTAGTAAGCTACCTTTGCTTTTTTTTTTTTTTTTTTTTTTTTTTTGACTTAGAATAATTCTGAACTGGTAAGGTGTGCTCACAACGAGGTTTCCTCTAAAAGTTACTTTTCTACTTTTAGCAAAGCAGTTGCCGCTACCGACTGAATGCATTTGGCCATCCGTGGGTTACTGGGTTAAGGATTTTTGATAGGAAAGCTATGGGTTGTCAGTGGCCTCAGTGCTTTCGGGCTACGCCCTTATTTACACTGACAACAAAGTGGCATTGGAGTGTTATAGGATCATGGAGAAGACCTTCAATTATCAATTACAGGTTTTAAATTTACCCTGGCTTTTAAAGGAATAGGGCACACTTTTCTTTTTACTATTTCTATCTTTTTCTTTCTTTCTCTTTGACTCCGTCTTTGTCTCTCTCTCTGTCTCTCTCTCTCTCTCTGTCTCTCTCTCTCCATCTCTCTCTGTCTCTCTCTCTCTCTCTCTCCATCTGTCTCTCTCTCTCCATCTCTCTCTTAGCCATTACAGACTTGGGCCCCTGGCAAGGGTGGTGGGGAATGGGTCCCACATAACTGCCCATGTCGAGAGCTGTATACCTAAATCGGGAGGGACACCAGGGATAAGACTCCCTGGGTTACAGCCTAGATGCCTAAGGACACAGCATAGAGCTTCCTGAGATCCCTTTGGAGATACAACTTGCTAGAGGAAATGAAAGTCTGAACCATTAGTACCTAGGACGCAAGGATCAGAGGAAGTAGATTCAGAGGTAAGGAGAATTTGGGGGCTATGCTTTCAAGAAAGTCATGGTCGGGACCCAGGAGGTATGGATCAGAAGGGAAAGGTAGGGGCGCACGGATGGGCATCTACTGAGTAGAGAATTCTGGCTGCGCCATGATCTCAACCGGCTACTGCCAGGAGTTCGGGATGACAGCTTTCTGCCTCTAGTCGGCCCTCGGCTTCCCCATGAAAATTGAAAGTGGAAGCTGCTCCGACCAGACCAACGTCCCCAAGCCAGAAGGGTTGGGGGTTGTTAGAAAGCCCTTCGCCAGATAGTCTCACACCTGAGTCTTAAGTCCGGCGGCCATGCTAATCGTTTTTAACTGGTCGACAGGTGCCCGGTATTTTCCTCCAATTCCAAGGAAGGATAGGACAGAATAGCAAGCGAAAGTGGTCCAATATTACTCACCGCTTTGGAGGTCACTTCGTGGTCACCAAAATGTTACCTGAGGCCCTTGCTCACAGAGTTCCCAAGATGGTGGCAAGCCGCTTCCAAGATGGTGGTGGGCCGCTTCCAAGATGGTGGCAAGCTTTGTGTTCTCTGACCCGGGATTCTTGGCCTCACGGATTCCAAGGAATGGAATCTTGGATCATGCAGTGAGTGTTATAGCTCTATTAGAAGCTGTGGGTCATGGAAGAGAACCGTGGAACCCAGTGACTAGTGTTCAGCTCAATTAGGACGAACCCAGGCACTTAGCCGTGCAGGAACAATGGCAAGCCTTTAGCAAAATCAGGAGTGGCAACCGGAGTCTTGCTGGATCAGGAGCACAGCGGACACCCTGCCGGATCTGGAGGGATGGGAGTCAGTGGCGGGATGGGAGTCAGGGGCGGGTCTACGACAGTGGCAAACAGCAGTGGTGGACGGCGAGCGAAAAGCTCAGCTCGAGCCGTAACAAACATGGACGAGAAGAGTGCAGTGCAAGATTTAATAGAGTGAAATAGAGTGAAAACAAAGCTCCCATAGGAAGGAGGGGACCCAAAGGGGGTTGCTGTTGCCGGCTCGAATGCCTGGGTTTATATCCCGATCCTTGTCCCTCCTGCTGTGCTCTCAGGCAATAGATGATTGGCTATTTCTTTACCTCCTGTTTTTGCCTAATTAGCATTTTAGTGAGCTCTCTGATTGGTTGGGTGTGAGTTAAGTTGCAAGCCCCGTGTTTAAAGGTGGATGCGGTCACCTTCCCAGCTAGGCTTAGGGATTCTTAGTCGGCCTAGGAAATCCAGCTAGTCCTGTCTCTCATTATCTCTTATCTTTTTGATGACAACTGTCTTAATAGGTATGTGGTGGCATCTCATAGTATTTCTAATTTGTGTTTTCCTGATGATTACTGATGTTGAGTATCTTCTCATATACTTGTTCGCCATTTTTATGTCTTTGGTATGTGTATTCAAGGCCCACACAACATTTCTTAATGTTCATTCTCTCTTTTACACATTCTCTATTCATTCCCAGATCCTGAGCCGGCAAACATTGCCCTCCGTTCAGGATATAATGGTATTGTTTTCACAGTTTTAAAAAAATAGCGTTAGGTGGGCTCTTCCTTGACCATTTACTATCAGTCACTAAAATTGCCTGTACTCTCATTCTGTTCCTCCTTTCCTCCCTGTATTTTTGGAATATCTGCCCTGCCTTTCACTGATGGACATTACTTCTACTAGAGTTATCACCTCCTCTCATTTTCCTCTCTGCTGACCTCATTATGCTTGCATTAAAAGATTTTAAAGTTCAGCTAATTTTGAAAGAAATTCTCTCCAAGTATGGTGAAATGCCTGGTGTAGCCATTACCAAGAGTAATCAACCATGAAAATTATATTTAATAAAAAGTAAATATGATATTGATAGTTAAATACAATAATTAAAAAAACATAAAATAGAAGACAACAGAGAACACCATATGTAAGTGCATATGGTTTCTCATTTTTCTTGCTGAGGTGTTGGGCCAAAAAGGCATCTAAATTTAATAAAGTTAATAAACAAGAATGTCTGCTATAATTTTGAAAAGAACTATGAAAAGTACTAAAAATAGTAAATATAATTAATAAATAGTGGGGAAAAGGAAGCTTGAAGGAGAAGTATGAGGAAATATAAATGAACTAATTTTCTCATTTTTCCCATTTTTCATAATGGGAAATAAAGAGCATTATGATATTAAGTTAAAAATCAATCAGTAGAAAGAAAATTTGAAGATGGGTCTTGGAAAATACTAAGGGAAACATGCTCATAAAAGCAAAGCAACACAATGGAAAGGCAATTCCTATAGCAAAACAAGAAAACAAAAGTAGCTTTAACAACTGGAAAATAAAATTTTTAGTCTCAAATGAAATGTTAAGTACTCTATTATCCATTGGGAAACCACATTGCAATTAAAATATAGAAATTCAAAAAGGAATCAACTCAGACAATGACAAGATAATGTAAGGAGGAGGCTGGGGAGACAAAAAGTGAGAGATCTTAACAAATTTATGGAAGATGAAAAACAAAGTGAGCGATATACATTTAGTGTATTAAAATGTGGGAAAAATGTAACTCATTGTGATGGTTAATATTGCCTGTCAACTTAATTGGATTGAAGGATGCAAAGTATTCTTCCTGGGTGTGTCTGTGAGGGTGTTGTCAAAGGAGATTAACATTTGAGTTAGTGGGCTGGGGAACACAGACCCACCCTCAATCTTGGTGGGCAAAATCTAATCAGCTGCCAGCATGGCCAGAATAAAAGCAGGCAGAAGAATGTGGAAAGACTAGACTGGTTCGGTCTCCCAGCTCACATCTTTCTCCTGTGCTGGATGCTTCCTGCCCTTGAACATCAGACTCCAAGTTCTTCATGTTTGGGACTTGGACTGACTTTCTTGCTCCTCAGCTTGCAGACGGCCTATTGCGGGACCTCACCTTGTGATCGAGTCAGTACTCCTTAATAAACTCCTACATCTTTCCTATTAGTTCTGTCTCTATAGAGAACCCTAATATGCTCATAATATATTATAAAGACATTACAGAGGAGGGTAAAAACTGTTGGAAAAATTGAAAAAATAAAAATAAAATTTGAAAAGGGCCCAAATGTAGCAGGTACTAGAGAGAATGTGAGGAAAATAAGGTGGAAAACAAGAGGAGTAAGTGAAATCTTGTACATAGCATAATCATCTCAGTCAAATATCACAGACACACTTAGGAATTTAGCCTCAGGTAAGAACCTCTTTTGGTTGTACTGAGTCCATTGTAGTGGGTTGAACAGTGTGCACCCCAAACTGATGTCCATTGAAACCTCAGAAAATAATTTTATTTTGAAATGAGTCTTTGCAGATATTATTAGTTCAGGATCTCAAGATGAAATCATCTTGGACTTAAGTGAGCCCTAAAAACAATGAACGGTGTTGAATAAGAGAAAGGGGAATATTTTTTTTTATTTCAATAGCTTTAGGGATTCAAGTGGTTTCTGGTTACACGGATGAGTTGTATAGTGGTAAAATCTGGGGCTTTTAGTGCACCCATCACCTGAATAGTGTTCACTGTACCCAATAGATAATGTTTCATCCTGTACCCTCCTCCCTTCCTTCTCTCTTCTGAATCTCCAGTATCTATTATACCACTCTATATGCCTTTGCATACCCATAGCTTAGCTCCCCCACTTATAAGTAAAAAGACATATAGTATTTGGTTTTCCATTCCGAGTAACTTCACTTAGGATAATGGCCTCCAGTTCCATCCAAGTCACTGCAAAAGGCATTATTTCATCTTTTTTGTGGCTGGAGGGTAGCATTCCATGGTGTGTGTGTGTGTGTGTGTGTGTGTGTGTGTGTGTGTGTGTCTATGTATGTATATGTATATATATACACACACATATAGATATTCCATGTCTACATATATATATACACACACATATATTCACACACAAATATATTGTGTGGTGTATGTGTGTGCATAAACACACACACACATATCTGTGTGCATAAACACACACACACACACACATATCTGTGCCATATTTTCTTTATCCACTCATCTGTTAATGGGCATTTAAATTAATTCCATATCTTTGCAATTGTGAATTGTGCTATAATAAAGGTTTGAGTGCAGGTGTCATGATATAATGACTTATTTTACTTTGAGTAGATACCCAGTGGCAGGATTGCTTGATCAAATGATAAATCTACTTCCAGTTCTTTCAGAAATCTTGATACTATTTTCCATAAAAGTCATACTAATATACATTCTCACCAACAGTGAATAGCATTCCCTTTTCATTGCACCATTGCTAACATCTGTTGTTTTTGGCTTTTTAATAATGGTCATGCTTACAGGGGTAATGTGGCATCTCATTGTGGTTTTAATTTGCATTTCTCTCACGACTACTGACTTGATGTTGATCAATTTTTATGTTTGTTGGCTATTTGTATATCTTCTTTTGAGAACTGTCTGTTCATGACATTTGCCCACTTTTTAGTTGAAGTTTTTTTCTTGGTGATTTGTTTAAATTCTTTGTAGATGCTAGATGTTTGTTCTTTATTGGATGCATAGTTTGAAAATATTTTCTCCCAATCTGCAGGTTATCTCTTTAGTCTGTTGATAATTTCTTTTGCTGTGCAGGAGATTTTTAGTTTAATTAAATCTCATATATTTATTTTTGTTTTGTTGCATCTACTTTTGGGGTCTTACTTATAAATTATTTGATTATGGTTTACCAGAGTTGTACAAAGGGAAAAGAAAGCCACATGATGACAGAAAACAAGGCAGAGATTGGATTTATGCTGCTGCAAGTCAAAGAAAATCTGGGGCTACCCAAAGCCAGAAAAGATAAGGAAGGATTCATCCTTAGATCCTTCATAGCTCTGCTGATACTTTGACTTTATATTTCTAGCCTCCAGAACTGTGAAAGAATACAATTCTCTTTTTTTAGTCTACCCAATGAGAGGTAATTTATTGTGGCAACTCTAGCAAATGTAATACATCCATCATCTATCATAATCTTTCTTTTGGAAAAGGGGAAAAAAGTCCTCTCAGATTTTTTCTCCTTCTCTTACCTCATTTTCTGTGGTTGAAGTGGGGGTAGGGACTAAGCATGGCTAGACATATTGACCCACTGGGCAGGTTGGATGATTTCACTTCATCTTCTGTAAAATCAGATAAACTTGTAGCTGGATCAGCAATTTACTCTAGTCCTATAGTAAGTCGTACACTCACTCTCACTCTCCTCAGGAGATTATTTTGTATCACTTTCTCTATTCTTAAATATTTTATTCTCTCCTCACCACTTCGCTCTTAGTTAATGGTTTTTCATCACATAGTTAAACAAACAGAAGGTATCCAAAAGGAGTTGTATCTTCTCCCTCCACAAATCCAGTAATCTGTGCTCTCATTCTTTTCTCCCATGTCAGTGGCAGAATTGGTCCTCTTTCCATCAACGATTAGTTCCTATACATGTGTTCTGGATGCCATCTTCTATTATCTTTGAAAGCACTGTGCCTCTTCATTATGCCATCACTATACTGCATAATTAGCCTGTGTTCCTATTCCATCATTCACAGTTTACAAACATGCTTTCGTGTTCCTTATCCTTCAAAGCAAAATATAACGCAAACATGAGAGTTACTTGGGAATAACTGCCTTTTTCTATTTCCATTTTCTTCATAATGAATGATATTCAAATGTAAACACCTAGTCCAAATCCCTTATATGTTTACTCTGTCAACATATTTGTAAACACCAGTTAAATATCTTACTATATCAAATATTTTTTTTGTGAAAAAAATTCTGCTGATTTTCTAATCTCTAACATTTCAGAGTAAACTACTACAAACTAGTCATTCAAGAAAAATTTTTAATGAAAATATAGTTCCTATAATGAATGAGGATTATATATTGAGATTTGAATTAGTAAGATTATTAGGCAGGTTTTATTAAAATAGTCACTAATTTGAGACTTTTCTATAATGCTTAAATTTTAGGTCTAAAACATTGTGAATATTCTAAATTGATCACCAGATATAATATCTTCTTTATTCTCTCTTAAAATTGTTGATATAGCCCAGAGTTACTGTTATTAGGCAAACAATTCACCACTTTTGCTATGTATCTATGGAGAACTCTTACATTAGCAGATAATCTTTACTTCATCATCTTCCTTATCTCTGCCTGGATTTATTACTTATGATCTCATGCAGGAAGACATAGCTTCTGAATGCTTCTCAGATTTTTCTCTTCCTCAATTCTATTTGTCCTCAAGGAAAGATTCTAAGTCCACTTTAACCATTAGTCAGGAATTCACATCCAAGATCCAAGATTCATATGCAAAGGATCAGACTTGAATCTTCATTCCAAAATAAACTGTTTATATCTTTTTTTGAAACTTGCTTCTTTTTTTAACTTATCTCAGGAATTTGATAAAACCTTAAAAATCTTTTTGTCAAACCTTTTAATAAAGGTAAATACTGTATCCCATAATAAAAATAAAGTTAAAGTATAGTTAAATGTAATGACTACTAAATGTTTGTTAAATTTTGCTTGCCATAGTTTTCTTTACAACCTCCTCTGTCTTAATGCTTTCTATTTACATGCTTATAAGTAGGGACATTAAAATAGTAAGAAAATGTTTTAAAACAGATTAAAATACGCAGATTATGTTCTATTTATTACCCTACATTTATCACTGGTCCTTCTATATCACAAAATAATAGAATAAAATACATATGATGCAAAATATTTCTTTTATCCTTAGTCAAACACAATATTTATCTTACATGCATGATTATGATTGGTCTGCCATTACAATCAGCAATAATATTCAAAAAATAGATTTTTTTTCTAAGTAAGTAAATATTTTGATTGGAGATTTAAAGCTGTTGGGCTAAAAGGTGCTGATAGTTCAATAGATCAAAAACAAGAGTCAGCACTCCATTGGTTTGCCAGATTTCAACATTTTTTGTATAATTCAAGGCAGCTAATAGCTTTATGTTGTGTGCTAGTGAAGAAAACAAATCAGATTCGCACAGCATTGCCAAAATCTGTTGTGACGTCCATACATTAAAGATGGAAAGATGAACATCTTTAGTGAACTTGGTAAATTCAAGAGGAACAAACTAGATAAATGAAAAGGGCATAGCAGTATTTATTTTGATTGTGTATATATAATACACACCACAAATCAAATGCTGAAAACTGATTTTTTTTTAGTTTAAAATGTCTTTAGTTTAAACGTAAGTGACTCCCTGATTGCCTATTTAGCCTAAAAAAGATTGACTACAAAAAAATAAAGTATTTAGGCTCACACATTTGCCCATAAAAGGAATGTGCACTGTTCTTTTACTAAAGCCTAAGGGACTAATGATTGAAGGAGGAGAAGGAGCATGCTGATGAAAAGAGGACACGATCTTCTCATACTTACAGATATGCTGGCAAAACACAGAGCAGTGGCCACAATGCCAGCTACCTTCTGAGTAGGTGTCACATAAAACTTCATTGTCTGACATGTCAAACTCTCCCTAGAATGGACGTGAACTAAGCTTTCTGCATGGTAAGAGCACATGGATAAAGAGTAAGTAAATATAAAATGATGTCAAGCATAATTTATTAATCATGTTAACAATGATCTTTGGCATCATTTACCATCCACATGTGTGTTCACGTCATCTAATTGTAGAGCAGTACCAATGAATCAACTCAGGGAGAAGAACTAAAGGCTAAATTATTACAGGCATTTTCTTAGTGCTTTATTTTTCATAATGTAAGGCTATTCTATATGCTAGATCCTCAGCCCATAGTTCAATATTTGACATCCAATAATCTCATTTTCCCAAGATAAAATTTATTGACTTCAGATATACAAAATGTGGGAGAAAAAGAGCTTGGAATCTAAACGATATTTGGCCCACCAACTTCCTGATAATCCATACAAACTCTTAGGCATTTCAATACCTAGAAGCACCACAGCTTCCAATGTGAAGATTTGACATTGGTATTTAGGTCATCTCTAGTTAATCTGTCCTTGGTTACAAAAGTATAGAGTTTTTTCAGATGATATTATGATAGTTTTAAAGTACACAGATAAAAATTTTAATATCTTTATAATGCCTAGAAAATACTTTTAAAAACTGAAATCCAACTGACTGGCAACTGGGAGGTTTTATTGGAAAATCCATAACCTTAAAAGTGTGAAAATAAATATTTTGAAACCAAACTAGAAGGCAAAAAGAAAGAAGCTTTAAAGTCAGTGTAAGCATTAAAATGTTGTTCACTCAAAATCTCATCAATTATTGAAATATTTGTGTTGGCCACTGCCAGCTTTCTTTAAGTTTTTTCCTCATTATGTTTATTCGTTACGTGTTTGTTTCATCTACCTGTATACATAGAGTTGGCATTTTTGTGCTTTTGTTCCTACACAGCAACTACAAAGAAATAGGAAGAAGAGGAAGAAGAAGAAGAAGAAGAAGAAGAGGAAGAGGAAGAGGAAGAGGAAGAAGAAGAAGAAGAAGAAAAAGTAGTTGTTGTTTATTGAGAGCGTGCTGGCAAATCAGGAGGGGTTTAATCATCTGAAGACTCTGCTAATTGATTTACATTTCATTCTCCATCATCTTAATCTTCCTACTAGAAAAACAACAAAATGTAATTCTACAATAGTGAACAGTTTTTTTATTCTTATGTATTTATACCTCACCTTATTTCATAAAAGACTTCAGGTTATTAAAGGTACTCCATTGTAAACCAACATAGGGCCTGGAGAAAGCACAAAACATCTTTCATGTGAGCATAAAAATGTCCTGCTTAAGTCCTTTAATCCATTCCATCCTAATAATATGACTTATCAACCTGCTCATGTTGAACTAGAATCATTAATTATTGATGTTCTTTTTGTAGTTTTAAATGAAAAAATGGTTAACTTCTTAAATATTTGTAAAACTATAAACAAAGTAGCTAAAATACAGAGTATTAAGGCTATTATTTGGCTCCTTAAGGTAAATGGATTGTAGACTTAGAACAGCTATCACATTGCAAGTTACGAATCCTGATTTTTGGCTGCTGTTAAAATGTCTATTTGTGCTATTCACTCTAATTTCCCGTTTGAATAATGCATAGTGGGCATTAGAAAAAAAAAATTTTAATGTTAATAATGGCAAGGGATTGTCTGAATTCTATCAGTCACCAATAATCTTAATTACATCAGAGCAGTACTCTATTATTACAAAAAATGTTTATCTGTTTTATTTCTTTAGAATTTATAATAAATTCATTTTTATTAATTAGTTATTTAGAAAATTATATAGTTAGTTCAAATAGATAACATAAACTATGCCCTTCCATTGACAAAATTGTAATTGAAATAGTAAAGTTGCCCAATTCATTCAGTCAAATATTTAGCCTGTGTTTTCAATCATAGTGACTGAATGTGTGTGTGTGTGGTTTCAACTAATCCTATAGTATATAGTTTGTTTATAAGATGGTGTGACCTATAAACTAGAATTATTTGTTACCCCAGTTTTTTCTCCATATAGCCAGGTTTCAATTCTGGATTTATTATTTGAATATATAAAAACAAAATAAAATCATTTTGTTTTTATAAACACAGTCCTAATCACATAACCTTCTACAATGGAGTTAAGAAGTTATGGACAAGGGCCAAATTCAGCTCTCTGCTTGATTTAATTTAACCATTATAGTGACAGTGCTTTTATCGCTAATACTACAACCCCCTAAGTATTAATAATTAGGCTTTATATGATCCCTTTTATTATGTTATTTAGCATATTTCTAATCTTATAGCTGTATGTTATAGTTGAGCTATAAAAATATTTATACGGCAAATCATTATTGCAAAAGGTATTTATATTTATAATATCATATACTAAAATGCAATATTTATAACTAATGTTCACTAAGACTCCATTATGTATCTTGCTTTCTTTGGTTTCCTTTTATCTTTACTATTTTACTTTGGTTTTGAAGTCTCACATAAGACTCTTCCCCAACCGCTTCTCTCCCTTGACTCTGGGTATATCTTTTCCTTTCTCTACATCTCCTCCTATTGTTGTACTTTGATCATTCCCACAATTTATCTACACACTTCTTTTACTCATCCTCTCCCTACACTAATGCTTAGCAAATTTTATGCAAACAGCCACGCATTTTTCATGGATACCAGTCTGTGGATATACTGACGATAATGAGTCCCATGAATTTTGATAAAAAGGAGACTAATCTAGCACAATGGTGAATTACTCGGAATGAGTAGATAACTCTGTCATTTCTCATGATATCATTTTTTACCAGTTACTGCTAGATACTAACAGCTGGTTATTCCAAAGCTACTCAAACTCAACATATCAAAATTGGAGCACCTTACCTCTCCATTTCATTTTTGTAACTTACAAATAATGTTTCTGCCTGGTTACAAGCTGTATTTCATCACTTATCTTTTTTTTTTTTTAAGATGGAGTCTCATTCTGTAGCTCACGCTGGAATGTAGTGGCATGATCTCAGCTCACTGCAACCTCAGCCTCCTGGGTTCTGGTTCAAGTAATTCTCCTGCCTCAGCCTCCCGAGTAGCTGGGATTACAGGGGCACACCACCATGCCCAGCTAATTTTTTTCTATTTTTAGTAGAGAAGGAGTTTCACCATGTTGGCCAGGCTGGTCTTGAACTCCTGACCTTGTGATCTGCCTGCCTTGGCCCCCCAAAGTGCTGGGATTACAGGCATGAGCCAAAGCGCCAGGCCCACTTATCTATTTTGTCAATATAATTCTATGTTGAGGTATAAAACTTAGGGAACTTGGGATATCTTTGACTATTTTCCTAGCATACCATACTTAATAGTCACCAAGACTTTAATAGGCACTCTTGTTATCCATTCTCAATGGCACTGCCCTGGCCATGTCTTCATCATAACTTGGATACATTATCAAAATTACCTTTTAATTATTAATCTTATTAATCACCTCCAATATCTATCCTTTTCACATGTAGTCATTATGCCACCTTTATCATTCTAAAGTATGGTTCTTATCATGTGCCACAACCCCTCCAGTAATGTTAACATTAGATAGTCTTTTGTCTTCAATAGTTGGCAGGCTATTCTAAGTTTTCTGCATGTATTTTATGTAATTAAATATTCACAACAGTCTTGTGAGGTAGGTGCAGCTATTATTATTTTACTTGACAAATTGTCTCACATAAAAAGCCTTTCAAGTTAGGTTAAGAAAGATTTCCAATTACTTTTAAATGCTCAACTTACCATATAGCAAGTACTTAATAAACTCAAGTTCTGATAATGATTATTTTAGGTATATGCTGATGACATCCCAGGGGTCTGTGATATAATTTTGTTTCATGACATTTTGAATATTTGTTTTTATCTGCAGAGTTTTATAACTCTTGCTCTATTAAGGGATTGCCATAGATTTAAAAGAAGCCTAATAAAACTATTAAATTTTATTGCAATAAGCTCAATTTTTGTAAGATGACTGAGTTATAAATTATGTAAGCATCAGAGGTTTTAAAAAATATTGTGTTTATCAATTACTTTACTAGTTTATTTCAGTCATATAGGCAGCTAAGAACCCAGTAAAATGTTTCAAGCATTTGGGTCTTTCATATTTAAATTTATGATTTTGGCATATCTTTATCTGTATGGATTTATATACTTAATGCTTTCTTTGAATCAACACATTTTTTGGTTAGATAAATTTCTTTTAATGAAGGCCTATATCACTGTCATAAATAGTAAGCCAGTATAATTTTCATTATAAAAATGTTATCTTAAATGTGAATATATAAATCTAGTTCCATTGATAGTGAAATAGCTTGTATGAACAAACCCTCTTACATTAACAATTATAAATCCTAAAAATAAATTTTTTTAAATAATAAAAATACTACTCAACAGCACTGAAAAGTGACAATATGCATATAGATATTGTAGAAAATTTGACCGATAAAATAGGTCCCATGTTAAGTAAGATCAAATTCTCAATGAAAACAGTTACTAGTCTATGCAGAACATGGTGCTTAGAATTCAAAAGGAAATCCAGTCATACAGGTTTGAGGTATCAGAGGATGAATTTTAGGGCTTCCAGCTAGCAACCAAAGGGGTAAGTCCCAGAAGGGAGAAAGCCTCAGAGAGCAAGCCTTAAATCTTCACATAAGCTCACTTCAAATCCATGGCTGACTTCTGATTTAGATATGTTTAGGAGAAACTCCAAGGAACTCACACACACAAAAAAGGAAAGAAGTGGATAGAAGACTAAATAAGCTGATTATAGATTTCAGCTGCTGCTCTGGATGAGCGAGTTGAAATATGTAGGTCTTTAAGACAGAGGACTTTGTGAACATTTCCATATTTCCATAAAATTTTCAGAAGACCATATAGTGTGATTATAATTTTTCGAGGATTGAGAAATTACTGTGACTGTAGCCAAAACCAAAACAGGTCAGCTGTAGGAAAGTGTTTAGTAATAACTCCACAGTTTGAAAGTGATCAGGCATTAAATACATTCTAGGGAAAAAATCAACCGTAAAAAAAAAATTGAAGGTCTCTACAGTGTTTTATCTGCAATGCCCAATATATTAAAACAACAACAATGAGCATTTTACATGTGAATAATTAGAAAAAGTGACTGATTTTCAAGAGAAAAGCAGTCCAAAGAAATTTCACAGTGTTCGATTGTTGCAATTTGCTAGTAAGGACATTAAGCAGAATTATAAGTATTCTTAATGACTTAAAGAAAAATATAGTCACAATGAATGAATATATAAAAACTGTGGCCAATAAATGGAGAAAAAACTGAGAGGCTATAAAGACAGCAGAACTACATTACAAAAAAAAAAATGTGTAAGAATGTTCTTCAGGCCAAAAGAAAATCATAACAGAAGGAAATTGTGATTTATAAGATTGGATGAGTGGTAATGGAAATGGAAAATACATAGCTAAATATAAAATGAATTTTTTATTATTATTTAAATTAATTGAAAGCAGCTGACTTTAACCTAAAACTTATAACATTGTATTGTGGGACTTAGATTGTATGCAGGTATCATTATATGACAATAGTAACCCAAAAGATTTAAGTAAAGTAGACGGTTATAGTGTTGCAATTTTCTTACATTTTATGTGAAATAAAACAATATTAATTCTAAGGGGTGATTAAGGTTACCTATTATAATATTAAGAGCATCTTCTAAAAAGATACAAATCTAGAACTAAAAAGAATTAGTGGAATTAAAATGCAATATTAAAAGTATCAACTCAAAAGGAAAAGAAAGGAGAAGCAGGAGATACAAATATAAGTAAAAATAACAGAAAAAAGTATAAAATTGTATACTTAAACCCAACATTATCCTTACCTATGTTAACTACAAATGAAATAAACACTCCAAATAAAAGTAGATTTCAGAAGTGTTTTTTTTTTTAAAAAAACAATGCATTTATATGCAGTTACTATTGAAGCATTTTTAATAAAAAGAGATAAGCTGAATGCAAAAGGGTGGTAAAAGTATACCAGGGAAGTGTAAAGACTAAACTGGTTGTGGTAGTATCAGACTATGTGGACTGGTGACAAGAAATATGGGAAACAAAAAAAGAAATTATAATGATCAATGGGTTGATTTACCAGGAAGAGATAACAAACCTAAACATGTAATTACTTGTTCAAGATACAATGTGCCCAAAAAATAAAAAGAGCACAAAATGCCAACACTGGCATTTTAATCACATTTGTTTGGATATTATTATTATCAATTATACTCTTTGAAATATATAAAGCAAAATAGTTGATTTTGTTGTCATTTTCTAACATTTATAAAGGCCAACAGTGAGAAGTGTTCAAAAAGGTTACCAAAAAAAAAAAAAAACTTTTGTGTTTTGTGTTGCAAATATATGTGCAGCAGTTTGTGGCTTCTGTTGCTATGAGCTACAGCCAGAGAGATTCACTGTGTGTGGTTGATTTTGATATAGTCTGTGTTTATTAAAAATATACTCCATTTCAAGTAGGAATAAATCAGTTCATTTAGACATTGTCCTCCAACAGAATTGCACAAGCGAAGCTATAAATTAAAAGAAAATACAATATTGGAACAAGAAGGGAGTATTTGCCGCAGATCCATTTTAAAGGTGCTAATTTTAGAAAATTTATTTTAAAAAGGGTAAGCATAGACTTCAAGATATATACAACTCTGGGGTATATTTAGCATGAATAGCTATAGTCAATTATTTTGAGAAGAGAAAATACATATCAAATTGATTTTTTAAAAAATGTCTTGCAAATCCAGGCTTTCTGTAAGAGTAACTATAGCAATTACTGTTTGTCTTTGGTGTCCTCTTCCTTCCTATAATAATTTTTCAAACAGGAGAGTTTTTTAAGATCTCAAAACAAATGCTATGCTGAAAAGTATTGTGATAGTAAGAGGAAACAAAATAAAATTCAAATTTAGAAAGAAACATCATGTTTCCTGACTAATCTAATGCTCGAACACTACTATTTCAGATAAAACATGGGATTTGACAAAAATAATAGTATTTGTTTGTAGTATTCCTCCTAATCAATCTCCAATTCAGAAAACTTTTAATTATTTTTACTCATTTTCAACTCTAAAAGATTAACAACAGGACATTTTTATTTTATTTAGAGACATGGCTGTGCTGTGTAATGCAGGCTGGAGTGCATGGTACAATCATAGCTCGCTGCAACCTTGAACTCCTGGGCCAAGTGTATATTTTTATGAAAACAGTCTAGGTCAAGAATTAAAAATATGAAACATTGTACAACAATATTTTGGCATTGTAGCTTGAATTACAGATTCCATAAATAATTCAAATGAGGGGTAAAATGTTATATTAGAGCATGTGATTTAACACAGTTGCATATTCAAGATTGAAATAATTTCCCAAATATTTCACAGTCACTGAGATCAAAACCAGAGTATGTTCACGTATTAGTCTGTTCTCATGCTGCTATGAAGAAATACCTGAGACTGGATAATTTATAAAGAAAAGAGGTTTAATTGACTCACAGTTCCACATGGCTGGGGAGGCCTCAGGAAACTTACAATCATGGTGGAAGGCACCTCTTCACAGGGCAGCAGGAGACAGAATGAGTACCAGCAGAGGAAATGCCAGATGCTTATAAAACCATTAGATCTTGTGAGAACTCACTCACTATCACAAGAACAGCATGGGGGAAACCACCCCATTATTCAATTACCTCCCACCATGTCCCTCCCATGACAAATGAGGATTATGGAGTTAAGGGATTTCAATTCAAGATGAGGTTTGGGTGGGGACACAAAGCAAGCTGTATTAGTTAGGAAACGCATCACTTTATACACCACCCTGGAAAATTAAAGTAAAAGAAAAAAATGGGTCACTTACTTGAAGAAATGTGGCCCAGAGGCTATGTTAATGAGAAGAAAGTTATATCTTTGGTCTATATTATCCAAGTGACTGCTAACATCAATTAGACTAACCAAATAACTACACTCTTCTCCTTTTAGTCTAAAGAACAGCTGTAAGTGGTACAACTTGACTGGGACTAGCCACTCTTCAGCAGAACAGCCAGAGAGTTTGAATTAGAAAGAAATCATGTAACACACATACTCAAATACTAGTGTAGACGATTCTCATTTCTATTACCATTAGGCAACAGGGACCTAACTTAAATATGAAAATCACAGTAAAAATCACATAAAGATTAAATGAGAAAGGTCACATACACTTAGCACCTTGCTTAACAAGCTCATGAAAAAGCCCTTCTTTAATACCATAGGTTTCTCTTTCAATCTCTGCTCCTCCTTCTGCTTTTTCTAACTTTAGAGAGAAGCTTATTCATGGAAAGCATAGATGGTTTAGATTTAGGAAAAATGTGAATAAAATGAACAAATCTAAGTTAAATGAAAATATCAAGATTATTTCAGCAGATTTAAAATGTATTAGGGAATAATCATCATTCACTCCCACATTAAAAAATAAAGTCATTCTGAAGTTGGCAGGGATTAAAAAAAAAACTTGTGCAATATAACGTGATTTTCCAGTACCAGATAATTTTATATGAAATAGATAAATGCTGGTAGCATTGCTAGTATACACAGTATATTTTGCAACACTACAAATTTGTGGTTTCAAATTTAGCTGTTTGACAAAGTAATGTCTTTCTTTTTCTTTTTTTTCTTGAAACCACTATTTCAAGAAAATAGTTTATTCTTCCAGAGACTCCTTCTACTCAAGATTTCCCACTCACTCTAAGTGAATGGCACTGTCTACCTTCTTACTAAAGAAATAGAAGCTTTGATGTGGGAATTTCCTCTAGTTTTGTTTTCACCTCAATGTAATCCCATAATCCCATTTTTTTCTTCAGTGAATAATTTCACATCTGTTTTCTCTTCCGGAATCTTGTTTATATTGTAAATCTCTTTTTTATATTGTAAATCAGTCACTCTTTACCTCTCTTCCCTCCACCAACAAGTATGCTACATAGTTTCCCTTTCTCTTTATGCTAAATCTCCCACTATTAAGGTGTCTTGCTTCTTTCATTTACAGCCAAGCTGCTCAAAAGAATAGCTAATGTGTAATGACCATATGTCACTACCTCCTCAATGTATTTACATCTGATCTCTAGGTTTATAATTGAGATAGCTTCTACCATGCCAAGCAATCACTTGGCATTGCTGGAAATTAGATATTTTAGCTCATTCAACTGATAAATCTTTTTTCTTGGCTTCTAGGACATCATTTCTTTAATTGTTTCATTACAATTGCTTCTGTCTGATAAAGTGCCTGAAGTCTATATATTAGTGTTGTATTGTAGGGGACTGGTGTGAAAGCGTTGAGGTACACAGTGTCCTAACCCCTGAAACAATAAGCTCTTCCAGGCCTTCATGAAAAATAATGGGAAATATATTCAAGGCCACTTTGAAGCCTTTTGCAGCATACCAATATGCCACGACCCACTAATCACAAATCTGCATCTATACACCTTCCCAGCTGAATGCCAACTATTCTTATTGTTTGAAAAACCAACTTTAGCTGCAACTCAAATTATCACTCTCCCCTTACTGACTCCATATTTACATATTGAATTACCTACTCTATATCTCTCTTTAGACTCCAATGAGCACTGAAAAACCAGTACATGAAATGAAGCCATAATATTCCATCTTTCCTCAACTTCCTCACTCCTAAAATTTTATTTAACTTGGTAATTTTCATCCCCCAAATGAAAATACCATAATCTATTTATTCTGTCAAGCAAGAAATGGGGAAGTCATTTTTACTTCTCTCTCCTTCCTAAATCTGTACTTTCAATTTTTTCATAAATTCTAGTTGATTTTATCTCTTCAGTATGTTGCTATTTCTCTTTACAATCACTAACAGTTTTCCTCCTTTCCCATGCCTCATAATTTTATACCAAAAGTCATATTAGAACTATTAGTTTTTAATATTCACTAACATTGCTACCTTCAAGTGTATTTTACATTGCTGCCACCATAAAATTCCTCAATGCAAATATTGCCATGGCATACGCCTAATTAAAATTCATGATGGCTCTTTATGAAGACCTGGATATAGATACTGTATTAGTCAGGATTATCTTAGAGGGACAGAATAGGATAGATGTATGTGTGTGTGTGTGTGTGTGTGTGTGTGTGTGTGTGTGTATATATGTGTGTGTATATATGTGTATATATATGTGTATATATGTATATATATATGTGTATATATATGTGTATATATATGTGTGTATATATATGTGTATATATGTGTGTGTGTGTATATATATGTGTGTATATATGTGTGTATATATAAACACACACATATATATACACACACATTCAACTCCTATATATATATAGGAGTTTATTAAGTATTAACTAACATGATCACAAGGTCTCACAATAGGCTGTCTGCAAGCTGAGGGGCAACGTGAGCCAGCTCAAGTCCCAATGCTAAAGAGCCTGGAATCCGATGTTCAAGGGCAGGAAGCAACCAGCACAGGAGAAAGATGTAGGCTGGGAGGCTAGACCCCTCTCTCAATTCACATTTTTCTGTCTGCTTTTTATTCACTGGAAGCTGATTAGAATGTACCCACCAGATTAAGGGTGGATCTGCCTTCCCCAGCCCACTGACTCAAATGTTAATCTCTTCTGGCAATGCCCACACAGACACACCCAAGGCTAATACTGTGTATCCCTCAATCCAATCAAGTTATCACTCAGTATTAACCATCACGGATACTTATATCCATATCTCTATCTATAGCTCTATATTCTGAACTTAAAGTTTTTGGTAGGGTTTACAAACCTATTTTAATCTATTTTTCCCTGTAAAAACCCTGAACAATATTATCTGACTTTGTTCTATGTCAAAAGAGAAATACACCTTTTTTTTTTTTTTAATTTTCGTCTTCCTCTTTGTTATTATCTTGCAAATTTGGAAGCGGCTTTCACATATGAACAAGTAACTAATATGTAGGGAATCCTTGTTTACAACTGCAGTTTTCTTCAGTTATTTCTCTAGTTACCAAACCCCATTATTATCTATTATTTATCATTATAGTGGAGATCACTGAACACTGCTTGATTTGTTATTATTTGCAATATATTTTACCTAAATGCTTGTATTTTCTTTCCTCAAATGAAAAATGTGACTAATTTCATGTACAGGTGAGTCTTTTTTATTTATTTTACTTTACTATAGTAAATAATTTGAATCTGTATTGTTAAAGCCTATTTTTCAACCCAATATATATTTTTAAAATCATGCCTTTGACATTTCTCTTGTTGATTTTGTTTTTTCTTTAAATGAATCTTATATGAATTTACTGTTTCTTCCTTATATATTCTAATTATTTTCACCATGTCTTTCCAGGGTTTATGCATTACAGCAGTTTGTCTTGATTTATTTCCTGTATGAGCATTCAATTTCCTCTTTTTTAATTTTGCTTCCTACTTTACCCAATGTGATGTTAGTTCTACCATTAACTTGCAGTCCTTTATTTAGTTCAACCACCTGACTTTTAATCTAAACTTTTCTCTTTGAAATGTATTGTGTTTTTTTAATTTATTTTCTATCTCAATAAACACTTATCTCCTAATAGCAAATCTTTGATACAAACACCATGCTCTTCTTGCATGTTATTGAATATATTAGCCACGTTTCTGAAATTTTATTTTGAAACTTGTGAAAGAAATATTATGTTTCACAAATAAGCCTCCTTCATCTTAAGCATGATGAAAACTTTGTTCTCTCTTCCACAGCATTTTTCTTCTTTAATGACATCTTTTGATAACCTTAATCATTCTTAAACAACGAAAACTCTATTCAGTTGACTTTTGCTAAACAATCTGAATTTCTGAAATTATACCGTTACTCTCACCTCCTAAATGAGAAATGTTCAAATTGCCTTCACCCAGCCCAATTAACACTGTATAGCAAGAATTAAATCAACAATAATGTTTGCTAAAGATATACTTTCCCTAATTATTCTCTGACACTCAGAATCCATGGACAACATGGTAATTTAAATATTGGATTTGTGATATCATAAATTAGCTTCTTGTTTAACAGATCCAACCTATGGAGCCTCTGAAATAGATATATATGAAAAGAACGAATTACAGATTGATTAAACATTAATGTCACCCATGACTAAGCATTTCTGGTTCATGTCTATATGTTTCTCTTCATACTTAAATCATTAATTTAGTCAGTGGAAGTTTCACAATATTTTAAAATGTTAGGTGTCATTTATTTATTTATTTGAAAACCCCTTACTTTTAGTTACATCTTTTTCTTTGTTCTTATAGGTATTTTAGCAGAACAATAAGAAATACTCTATAAGGGGCGCTAATGAAGCACATTTTTTCTTCATAAGTATGTGACGACAAAATGAATCAAAGAGTCTCAATAACCTATACGAAAATTTCTAAAGCTTTAGAAAATTCCATAAGCTTAGTTTTGAAATCAAAAGCTTATATTCATTCATTCGACACTTATCACTTCATGATTTTTTTCAAGATATTCTTGTTTTCCCTTTAATTGTTTATTCATACATTTTTATACTGTTGGAGCATACATTTTTATACTGTTGGGTAGTCACGGTTTGTAATATGACTACCTTCCTCAATTAAATTAACAGCCTCTACTGACTTTTTTTTTTTTTTTTTTTTTGAGATAGAATCTTATTCTGTTTCCCAGGCTGGAGTGCAGCGGTACAATCTCAGCTCACTGCAACCTCTGCCTCCAAGGTTCAAGCAATTCTCCTGCCTCAGGCTCCTGAGTAGCTGGGATTACAGGCATGCACTACCATGCCTGACTAATTTTTATATTTTTGGTAGAGATGGAGTCTCACCATGTTGACCAGGCTGGTCTAGAACTCCTGACCTCAAGTGATCCACCCATCTCAGCCTCCCAAACTGCTGGGATTACAGGCATGAGCCACCACACCTGGCCCTCTACTGACTTTGTATTTTATTTATTTTTCACGTGTTTTCTGTTGTGTACAGCATCATGTTTTGCAGTACATAGACATTGTGGGATGGTTAGATCTAGCTCATTAACCAAAATGTTACCTCACATTGTTATCATGTTTGTGATAAGAGCATATAACATCCACTCTATTTCTTTTTTTAAGAATACAATATATCATCATTAATTATAGTTACCTTACTATACAATAACTACTTACTTTTAAAAAGACATGTAATTAAAGATTCCTAATAGCAAGCCAATTCATTTTAAGATTATTTCAAGTTTTCAAACTTTGCTTAGGTATGGCTTCAATATAACTTGTATAATAAAATTATTGCCTTTGAAAAACCTCTGCATGAAAGAAAATCCAATACATTTTAAACCATAAAATTTGTAGGGAACATGATAGCTTTATACAGCAGTCCCACACCCCTGTCTGCTTCTTTAAGCTAAGAGGATTCCCAGTAAATTGAGGTTAAAACAATAGAAGTCTTTAGTGAGTCATGTTTTTTTGTGTTTTCTTTCCATTGATAATATGAAATAATTGTATTCAATATGAATAATAAATCGTTCCTACGTGTTTTCAAATGTTTGCCATGCATTCAGTTTTGATTTTTCAATACTGCTCTTAGTTGTACCATTATCCAAGCTTGACTAAATATAATTTCTTCTGACACTAAAACTACAGGTAAGATGTTGGTAATATAATTGTAATGCTAATACTTACACTACATGTATTGCTGTATTATAGTCAACAATAAAAGCATGCTGAAATGTTGTGAAAATGTCTCCTGCCTGTATTATGTTATGATATTTGATAACCTTTATTTTTAGATGAAAGTGGTTTACTGTACTGTATCAGCTATAATGAGCACCAATAAACAAGCTGCTTTGCCAAGGGCAAATATAATTTCAAGCAATAAAATCGGATCTACTACACTGTATCTTCTATTCTTCATTTCAGATTCATTAACTATTATGGAGATCAATCTCTTTGACACAGTATATTTCTAACCTCATTTATGCCAGAATATGTACTCATTAGCATGTTTGATCTCCATAGCTAAACTGACAGGATTTCCCCCTTGCTTTGTGATATTATACATCATTTGAAAAGCAGGCCTTGAGCATTCTGACAACCACATTATTTAGGATACATTTTTTTTTCTCTACATGTGTACATTTATGCACATCCTATACCTTTGAGTTGTATATTAAACATATTGAAAAAATAGTATTGCTTATAAAACTTTTTAAAATTTAAATAAGAGCAATGCTTTAAATAAACTCTCTTTAGTATCAGTGTTTAGAAATATTAATATATTTTTACTTTTCTTCCTTATGTATAATTGTAAATTTTAACCATACGTGTGTGTGTAGGTAGATATAAAATGAAATCACTACATTTATCGCCTAAAGCTTTTGCTATTGACAACTTTTGGAAAGGTCATCTATTAAAATTTATAAGGTTCCTTCTAAGTGTCATAGCTCAGTTATGTTCTTTACAGCTTCAACCTTATTTCCTTGACACAACTCACTGAAATACATTTAATAATGAGGAACAGAAAGAATAAAATATAACCAAGGAAAAAGTTGACATAAATCAAAAGTTATATTTCTATTTCTAGGCAATTAAGCCTACCAAATTTTCCTTTTTCCTTTTTTTTTTTTTTTTTCACTGAATATTGTATTAGGGTTTTTTGTTTTTGTTTTTGTTTTTTTTGACTGAGTCTTGCTCTATCGCCCAGGCTGGAGTGCAGTGGTGCAATCTCGACTCACTGCAAGGTCCACCTCCCGGGTTCATGTCATTCTCCTGCCTCAGCCTCCTGAGTAGCTGGGACTACAGGTGCCCACCACCACGCCCAGCGAATTTTTTGTGTTTTTAGTAGAGACGGGGTTTCACTGTGTTAGCCAGGATGGTCTCGATCTCCTGACCTCATGATCTGCCCGCCTTGGCCTCCCAAAGTGCTGGGATTACAGGCGTGAGCCACCGCGCCTGGCCTAAATGTCTGTTTTCTATAACAAACAAGCAAACAAACAAACCAGAGTTGTTCAAATATCTTCTCAGCACTTCATTTTGCTTGGATGTGCTGAATTCATAATTCCTTAGTAGGAAAGAGAACGGCAATTTTGAGGAACAGTAAGTAGTTAGGGATGGGCTTGAATACTTGTGAGCAGTGCAAGAAAAACAAAAGAAGAAGGCTAGTTGAGAAGATCCTTGTTTTTCAAGTGAAGAAGTTTATTTAGTGTTTTCATTCTGAATATGAAGATACATAAAATATATTTGATCTGGGAAATGACATGATGGCTTTATTTTAATAAATTCTGCCAACTGCATGGAGGGGTACGGGATGCAAAAGGGATTATTAAGGTGCCTGCTGCATGATTTCACATATTTTTAAGTTAAATGGAAGTTACAAAAGGACACTTAGTCTTAAATATTTAAAAACGAAAAAGTCATTAAAAGATTTACATTTGTGATTTTTTTGCTGGAAACATAGCAGGAAGTTCAGAACTAGATTTAGTCCTAGACCTGTGACATATTGGCTGCATTATTTTATCACATTACAAGCTAGGAATCTTAATTTTCTTATATGTAAAATGGGTTGAGAATATCTGATGCCTTAAGTAGTTATTATTTGAATTAAGTTCATGGGTGTATAATTAACACAGTTTTTCGGCACTGACAATACAACTCCAATCTGATTCAATTGGCTTCAGTGAAATGGAAACACAAACTTCCTGTGTGACCTGGAACCTGGGAGAGACTGGGGAGTTCTTTGAATAGTAACAACAGTAGTTGGTCAAGAAAGGACCTTTTTATGAAAGACGCAGGGGCCCCAATATTAATCATTGTAACTGTGGATCTAGAGTTAAAAAACGGGATGCATTATTATAAATTTCAGCAAGACAAAGGAAGAAAATAATGTGGACAAGAGCACTGGTATACCATGGTTCTCTTCTAGACTCACAATATTATTTTGGAGTTAGCTCCTTACCAGAATTTTGCAAAATCAAATCATGAAATTTAAGAAATGTGGCATATCATACTACCGTGTCAAGTTAAAGTAACATTTTTAAAAACATTTAAGTTCAGGGGTACATGCTTAGGATGTGCAGATTTGTTACATACGTAATTGTGTGTCATGAGGGTTTGCTATACTAAAATGACTTTTAAATTACCTCTCTTTTGTGAATTCCCTAGTGGTTTCATTATTTTTTTATTTTCCCTTTCAATTTTATATTGCCCCTACCTCCCCGTAATTGCTGTACCAACTGCACTGGACTGTAAGTGTGATAAAGACAAGATCTATGTCTCACTCCTGTCTTTTTCAGATAAATACTGCTTTGTACACTGTCTTGCTTAGAGAACATGTGGAACCTTTAAGAGTTAACCAGAGAAATGAAGGATAAATACATATTTTTAATCTATTTTTGACACTAAATGGGGCATGTGTATTCCTAACTACATCCAAATATTCTTAATTCTAAGAAGTGTTTACTCCAATGCTCTCTATTTAATAATGGCTTTAAAAAAAAAAGTCCTACATTTAAGTTCACATTTGAGGTCACAAATGTCAATGTACAGCAATAAGTATCTTTGGGGAATTATTATACTTTACTTTCTCATTCTTTTGTTTTTATCTCAAGGGAGTATACATTTTTATTACATTAATGGATGAAAATGTTGAAGTCCTCTGTATGTATAAATTCTGAGAATGTAGGGCAGAGAATCTTACAGAATCAGTTCAAGAGAAAAGCCCTAACCAAAAATGCTATAAAGAGTGAAACACTTTATACATAAAGTTATTAAGAGTCTGATTAAAGGATAAGAGTATGATTGAGTATTGAGGATCATTTTTGGTAGACTTTACTTTTCTCAGTCCAGATCCAAGAAACCCAGAGAATAACTTGCTTTCTGAGAATACAGATATCAAGAAATCAGATTGGAAAAATGACCAACTATAAAAAGTGACACACTGCTCCTCCTCCTGCCAGTAAATATTGGTAATCATTTAGAAAGGCTTGATACTGATGCCTATTAACAACTCAGGCATACAGTAGATGCCAATAACCCATATTCATATTTTACTTTGGATTGGAAAATGTCCAGAAGCTGATGGACATCTGGCCTATGTGACTACTAAATGCCACTAAGATGATGATTGATGTGCTTTTCATCAGCAATATGAGGACTATAAGTTGTCAGATTTAAGCATTTCACCATTAGAATGAGTGTTAGAAACAGAAAAGGAATTATTATTTAGTTCCATGTCAAAAATATAGTATCTTTACTTGCTCTATTATCTGTTTATCCACACACAAAAAGCCATGGTACTCTTTAATAAGTTCCAAAAGTATGGCTCAAAGATGACCAAGGTGGCAGAGAACAGCCTTAGTAGAACAAAGACTATTCTATCAGAAACAAAGGTGAGAACATCATGACTTGTAAATATATATTAATAGCATCAATATTAGTTACAGAATAGGTACTATAAAGGCTTCTGATTAAATAAAATACAAATTATAGCTAAAACAAATGTATCAGTCATAAAACCATATAATAGCATACATTAAACACTACCTTTGAAGCATGAAAGATATTTTTTGGAATTAGAGAATTCTTTACAATTTAATAATACTCTACAGATACAAAATAATTTTATGTAATCTTATTTTATTTGATCTTCCCTTTGATTCTTTGAAACAGATGATATCATTGACAATATTAGTTTGAAAATAATAAAACTGAATATCAAGAGAGTGTTACTGAATTTGCCCTGAGTGTATGACTCTCAAAAGAGATGCATTGCTTTCAATCCCAGTGCCTTCCAGCTGAAACAACCTGCCTATTAACAACATGTTCCGGTGGAACTGGAATGGAAATGGGCTGAGAAATTATTGTAGTTTGAAAAAAAATGAAGCTTACAGAAATTACGCAATTTGTCTATATTTGTAAATCAAGTTATTGTCAGACTTCAGATTAGAACTTAACTTACCCAAATTGTACTTCCAGAGCAACACTAGGGAAATAAACTAAAAATAAAATGTTGCTTTATAAGTTAATACTGAACTTAGAATTCATTTATATATGAATGACTGAACCAGTAAATTTAAAAAGGAATATAAGCTGTATTCTAGTATCACCCTAATGTTTTAAAAGTTGATCTCTAAAAATAAAAAAAAAGTTCCATATAAAATGTGTATTTTGTACCTGTTAGAAAGTACTTGGCTAGATAAGTTAGTGTGTGACATCTATTATAACAAACAATTGAGATCAGGCTAGACAAAAAGTATTAGTCGGCTATAAAATTGTATTGCAAAATTAAATTACTCATGCATGTCAAAAATTTTCAAAATAAATAATGAAATCCCACTTTGTTAAAAAGTCTTACCATTTACTAATAAGCTCATATAAGAGAAATCCAGAGAAACAGGAAAACAAACAAGAATTTGCTTACAAAGTCTCTGGTGAGCATTCTTGTCAGCAGGAATACGTATCACGTACAAGGTCATGATGCTGTTTATGTTAGGTTAAATGCACTAATTAATACTTTCTTTTGACTCTACCTAAGGGAAATAGAAGTAGAAAGTGTTAGCAAGCCAGAGATTTATAAGATTGTGTTTAGCGACAGGTGTTCTGCTGTATCCCCTTTACCCCCACCCCTCAATATTCAACTTCTAGTGATCTTCCCATTGTTTCCATGTGGTTTACTGGAAATGTAACATTTTGCAATGTCTGTTGAAGGGGTAATATTTGCATCCAAGTCCTAATGTTTATGCCCAGCAGTGTAGTATGGAGAGACCTTTATTAATAAAACATTTATGTTTTCTTTGTCTCTTACTTGCTCTTTTCCTAGGGATGGAGGTTGGAGTGAGAAGGAAAACTGCCTGACTAATGATTTTGGAAGGAGAAACTAGGCATGGTGCCTTGCTCTTTCTCTTTCCCTTAAGACGTTGCTGACCATTGAGAGCATGAAATCTAATGTAAACGACTTTCTTATACAGATAAAGCCATATTTTCCATACTAACTTTGTTCATAATAAAGGTAATATTTTTATCCTTACAACTTTATTATATGTCATTATATTTTCAACTGGATGGACACTCAGATAGAAAAAATAGGATGATATTTATTTAGCTCTTTGAACACTCAAAATTTGTTGCATTGATCTGTCTGCCTCAAGAAATAGGCAAAGAAAGTAAAATTTATAGAATAAAATACAAATGGAGTGGTTGAGGTTTTTCATGTGGCTCAGTCTTGAACCTGAGTATATTATTGGGAAGCTGTGATGTTGGTGGCTTATAAAGGCTTAAATTGGATCATATGACTGGGTTTGCTTTATGTTTTCAGGCTACAAATTCTGAACAACTGGCACCCAATCAACAGACTGTATACTGACAAGTCTAAAGCCAAGAATGTAGATTTTACATACTCACATACTACTGAATCACACTTATATGTAAGCAACAGCAAATACTGGGTTCTAGAAACAATTTGTTTTAGAGTATGTGCAATATAGGCCTAAAATGGAGTGTTTATTAAATGTTGTGGGTATTCAGTCCATTGCTGAAATGATTTTGCCTGCCCTATTAAATATTTTCTACCTTATAAAAAATGAGGCAAATAAAAAACTTTGAATGCATAAAACATCTTATGTCCTAAACAAACTAAGAAGTTACACTCATTCTAACCAGAGGCACTTCACATGGCAATTGCTTGAGGAATGCCAACTCTACCCAGGAATTAAGCACCCTTCTCCCTAATACTGGGAAATAAGAAATTGGAAGGAATAAATGTTTAACTTTTTTTGTTGAAACACTGGTTTTAGATTTTAAGACCAATCAGATATTTTGGATTTTATTTTAACTTTATTTCTCTGTGAGAATTTGATAATGGGATAAAATTATATTAGTTCAGATTCTGTGCCATTTCCTTTCATTTTTAAAGTTCCAATGACTTTATTCAACAATGAAGCTGCATACAATTTAAGATGAAGAATAGAATAAAAAATTAATTTCAACCTCACATACAAAGTAACCTAAGCATTAATTAATATACTACTCTGATTCTTTTGAGAGTCTTCTGGTATCAAAATATCCACTAGTGCCCAGTGATCTCAGGAATATGCAAGAAGTCAGGGTTGTTACTGTAAATTGGCTTTATGAAGGTTAAATTAGGCCCATCTTGATGGAATATTGACCTTCAAAAAAGGAAGAGTGATAGTTCAAATGACCACAAATTCAACATTTAATCTGAATGTATTAAATAATTCCACTTAACTAATGACATAAGCTACATGTTTCAATATTATCTTTATTGGTAATAAAGGTAATACTGATACAAATCTGACATACTCTTGTCTTTATTCCTCAGTTTGTTGGAAACAGCCTCTGGTAAGTAAGGCAGTGGAAAGAAGTACTCAATGCCTAACATTTGCTTTGTTGCTATTTTTGTTGTACTAATTACTTTATTTTCTAAAATACATTAAAATTTTCAAAAATTAACAAAAATGACACATCTAATTCCGAGATATCATTTATTCATTTCATTGAGGTTTAACATTTTCTCACATTAGCTTTATTATCTACTTAGTCTGAATCTCTCTTTTCTCTAACTCCCTGTGTCATTCTGTGGGCAAGAATCTCCATTGTAAAATAGATCACAACCATGGGACTCCTTCAGTTTCTCTATTGTAAAGTTGATATTTTCCATTTGTGAATTAAAATAATGGTGATAGGGAGATACATGAAGCCTGTAAATATCCTGTGTTTTGTCAAAGTAAAAGTTCCAAAATTCCAACAGACAAAGTTAGACAGGTTAAGAAAGTCTTTATTTAAGTCTGTTGTAATGGGTAGGAGGGGCCAGAACTCACATCTCTGCTAACAAACAAACAAACAAAAAAATGGCTGTAGATACTTTAAAGGCTGAAGTGGGAAGGATCTTAGGCCATCGGCATTTTCTAATTGATCTTACCCGAATAAAATGTAAACTTTCTTGTATTTTTCTTAATGACAGAAGGTAGTTTTACAATTTAAAGTGCCTACTGAAGTTAGGCTCCTACACTTCCACAGAAATTGAGAGATGGGGTGCTATCTTCCTTGATCATGACATTTCAAAAAGATGGCTCCCAGGTTATTAAGAAAAAGACCCTGATACTGGGGAATTTATAAAGAAAGGAGGTTTAAATGAGGTACAGTCCCAAAGGACTGGGGAGACCTCAGGAAACTCACAATCAAGGCAGAAGGTAAAGCAAACATGTCCTTCTTCACATGGCAGCAGGAGAGAGAAGTATCAAGCAAATGGGGAAATCCCCTTTATAAAAACCATCAGCTCTCAAGAGAACTCACTCCCTATCATGAGAACAGCATGAGGGTGTTCCCCATGATTTAATTACCTCCCACTGGGTCCCTCCCATGACATATGGGGATTATGAGAACTACAATTCAAGATGAGATTTTGGGTGGGACACAGCCAAACCATATCATTCTGCCCTTGGCCCCTCCCAAATCTCATGTCCTCACATTCCAAAACACAACCATGACTTTCCAACAGTCCCTGAAAGTCTTAATTCATTCCAGCATTAACTCAAAAGTCCAAGTCCAAAGTCTCACCTCAGACAAGGCAAGTCCCTTCCACCTAAGAGCCTGTAAATTGAAAAGCAAGTTAGTTATTTCCTAGATACAATGGAGGTACAGACATTGGGTAAATACACCCATACCAGTTGGTAGAAATTGTCCAAAACGAAGGGGCTGCAGGCCCCATGCAACTCTAAAACCCAATAGGGCAGTCATTAAGCCTTAAAGATTCAAAATGATCTCTTTTGACTCCATGTCTCATATCCAGGTCACAGTGATGCAAGAGGTGGTCTCCCAGGTTCTTGGGCAGCTCCACCCCTGAGGCTTTATGGGGTACAGCCACCCTTCTGGCTGCTTTCACAGGCTGGTGTTGAGTGTCTGCAGCTTTTCCAGTTGCATGGTGCAAGCTGTCAGTGGATCTACCATTCTGGGGTCTGAAGGATGGTGGCCCGCTTCTCACAGCTCCACTAGCAGTGCCCAGTGGGGACTCTGTGTGGGGGCTTCAACCCAACATTTCCCTTCTGCACTGCTCTTGCAGAGGTTCTCTATGAAGGCTCTGCCCATGCAGCAGACTTCTGCCTGGACATCCAAGCATTTCCTTACATCCTCTCAGATACAGGTAGAGGTTCCCAAACGTCAATTCTTGCCTCCTGTGCAACCACAGGACCAACACCATGAGGAAGCTGCCAGGGATTGGGCTTTCACCCTCCATTGCAGTGGCCAGAGCTGTACTTTGGCCCCTTTTAGCCACAGCTGGAGCAGGTTGGATGCAGGGCACCAAGTCCATCTGCACACAGCAGGGGGACCTAGACCCAGCCCAGGAAACCATTTTTCCCTCCTGGGCCTCTGGGCCTTCAATGGGAGGGGCTGCTGTGAAGAACTCTGACATGCCCTGGAGACATTTTCCCCACTGTCTGAGTGATGAGCATTTGGCTCCTCATTACCTATGCAAATTTCTGTAGCAGGCTTGAATTTCTCCCCAGAAAAGGTGTCTTTCCTTTCTACCACATGGCCAGACTGCAAATTTTCCAAACTTTTATGCTTTGCTTCCCCTTAAATGCTTTGCTGCTTAGAAATTTCTTCAACCACATAACCCAAATCATCTCTCTCACATTCAAAGTTCCACAGATCTCTAAGGCAGGGACAAAAAGCCACCAGTCTCTTTGCTAAAGCATAGCAAGACTGACTTTTACTCCAGTTCCCAACAAGTTTCTCATCTCCATCTGAGACCACCTCAGTCTGGAATTCATTTTCCATATCATTATCAGCCTTTTGGTCAAAGCCATTCAACAAATCTCTAGGAAATTCCAAACTTTACCACATACCTGTCTTCTGAGCCCTCCAAGTCTCTAGGAAATTCCATACTTTTTCACATTTTCCCGTCTTCTGAGCTTTCCAAGTCTCTAAGAAGTTCCAAACTTTCCTACATTTTCCTGTGTTCTTCTGAGCCCTCCAAACTGTTCCAACCTCTGCCTGTTACTCAATTCCAAAGCTGCTTCCACATTTTTGAGTATCTTTACAGCAGAGCCATACTATCCTGGTACCAATTTACTGTATTAGTCTGTTCTCATGCCGCTATGAATAAATACCTGAGACTGGGTAATTAAAAAAGAAACAAAAAGGTTTAATTGACTCACAGTTTTGCAGGGCTGTGGGGGCCTCAGGAAACTCACAATTATGGCAGAAGGGAAAGTAAACATGTCCTTCTCATGGCTGCAGGAGAGAGAAGTGCCTGGCAAAGGGAGAAACACCCCTTATAAAACAATCAGATCTCGTGAGAACTCGCTCACTATCACAAGAACAGCACGAGGGTAACCGCCCCTGTGATTCAATTACCTCCCACCGGGTCCCTCATGACATGTGGGGATTATGGGAACTACAATTCCAGATGAGATTTTGGATGGGGACACAACCATACCATATCAGATATCTTCATGAGTCTCACCAAATTTATTGTAAGTGTTTTAACCATTGATTATTTTTGCTGGAATTCTTAATATGATGTGAAATGGTAATATTATTACTCCATTTAGTATTTTTGCTCGTTTATTTTAATGTCAGGTGAATAATAAATCTGTATTTTAGATTGTGTCTTTTATTAAAGTAACAAGAACATTTTGTCTTTCAGGGTCTCTTATTCCATCATTTCTTCTGTATTTGTTAGTTGGCATTCTACTCTAAAGAAGAGTCTCCACTTATATCATTTTCTATCTATCCATTTATCATTAGTATAAACAGATAGATTCTTATTTTATTCAACTATTTATGACCCAAGAATACACCTTTTTTATTGTGTTATTCACAAACTCGCAGTGTTGGTTACTAGGAACCCTTTAAAGCTGGATTCTATGTCTTTTCAGGCCACCATTAATTTTTAAGCTCTTGTCTTCTTGCTTAAAAAGATATTTCTGGTTCATTTTGTAATGTTTCTCCTTCAAACATTTGCTGGAGAATACCATTTATCCAAGGAAATGATATTTAGAAATATTGATATGTGCATAAAGTATGCTCATTGCTGCTGGGATATCATTGCTTCTAGGCCATTTCATCAGACACAGCTAAAGCAGATTGAGGCTTGCCTCCTCTGACTTTCCTTATTCCATATTTGTATCTCTTGTTTTCACAGGGAGAAGTCTGTTGCCCAAAACATCAATATATCTACTAATTTGTTCATTCCAACAATAGGCATAAAATAGCTAATCATTTTGGAATTACTAAACCTATACAACAAATAATACTATTAAAAAACTATGCATTTTTTTTGTTTCTTGTTTAAGCGAATACAGTTTGTTGTGTTAAAAGTAACCAGGATTAGTTCTTGTTTGTTTCTCCTTCAATATGATTATGTAATTCATTTGAAATTAATTTGCATTCATTTGTTTCTGTTTACATTCAGTTTTGAGGTTTGTTTTTTCCTGTATCTGTTGATTTATTTATTTTAAGTAAGCAGGACAGTAACATGATTTAGAAGTCAAAACTTTAAGAAACAATACTCAGGGAAGTGTTATTTTTTTTCTATCTCTTCTACTCCATTCTCCTCTACCACAGAGTAGATCTGTTTTATTGATTTCCATTGTATTCCCCCTACATATCTTTTGCGATTGCATGCAGCTACATAACCACATACGCATTTATTTTCTTTTCTTCTTTACAAAGCAGAAGCGTACTATTGATACTCTTATACTTGTTATGTTTTTTTCTTATTTCAATACATGATAGAAAACCTTCTGTAACAGCTCATACTGATTTTCCTTATTCTTTCTTACATGCAAGTGTTTCCTACAGCAATAAAAAATCGTCTGTGTTAGTTAGGTAATTTTTTTTTGGAATCAAAAATACCATCAATAGGTTTACTTGTGTGCCATATTTTATCAATATCACAGCAGTATGTTTTGATGGGAGATAAAGAAAATTAAACAACACAAAGTTGCTACTTTCTTTAATATTATGAAAAATATTTATATAAGAAAGACTATTTTTCTACGTCTTTGATAAATAAAACTGGGCATGAAGTGCTCTAGTAGAGACTCTGGTGTTGCAAAAGTCTCTGTTTCTCCCATTTCTTCCTTTTCACCCAATAAAACTCTGTCTGATCACCATTCAAATTGTCTGCGAGCCTGAATTTTCATGGCCATGGGACAAAGAATTCTGTCTTTAGCTGAACTAAAAACAAAAGTACTGCAACAATAATATCCTGGACAATGAGTATGCATCTGTATGTGTGTGTTTGTGTGTATGCATAAATACATATAGACGTGTGAAGTCTGGATGCTTGTTAACAAATTTACCTCTGAAATTACACATTATTTTTGATTTCTGAAGTGTTTTATTTATTTATTCAACTAGCTAGTAAATGGTTAATAAGTAAATATGTTTTATACCACACTCCTGGGCTCTTATATATTTCTAATTTCGTGTGTATAACCCACTATCACTTAGTTCTATTGTCTATATCAGTACTTTAAGAAGAAAAACTCAGTCAAAACTATTTTACTGTGATGAGCCAATGACCAAGGAGTTGATACTATTATACAGAGTCATTTTTTTAACCTTTTGGGTATCTAGTAAAGCTTAAGGCAGTATTATTTAATATTGATTATGTTTCTTCTTACTTTTACCTTTATCATATAACATGGTAATTTGAGATGTAAATTATTATAATTACTATAGTAAATATCTAGAACTGTGTCCATGACATTTATTTATCTCTCATGTGGTTAATATTTAGTTTCCATCACTGGTCATGGAAGCAAGTCAAGGAACAATGTTGATGTTAAGCTTGTCAAATTACATTTATGACTTTTAGAAATTCCTCAGCAGTTAGAGTTAATAATATTATACTCTAAAAACATTGCCCAAAGTAGGGAAATTCGGGTTTAGTATTTTTTTTCTTAAAAGATTAACTCAGAGTGTTCACAGAGAAAAATGATAAAGTAAAAGTCACTGCACTGAACAGTATTTTAATGCCTGAGATATTCTCTATAACAGTAATGTCTTATTGTGCTTATATTGTACCATTTTCCATGTTAAATACTCTCTTTATTTAACCCTTACAATTATCTAGTGGGTTTGCCTGAGACAGTCTGATTTCCGATTTCTGCATATTGTCACAATGTAGTTACACACACACACACATACACACACATTAAATTAGAAGAGCAAATACCACTGGACTTTACAAATATATATATATAAATATGCATGTGTGTGTATATACATATATATATATATATTTGTAAAGTCCAGTGGTATTTGCTCTTCTAATTTAATGGAGAAATATTCAGGGTAGTCTTCAAAACTATGGTAATACACTCATAATGTGTTCAGTGGAAGAAACAAAACTCACTGAAAAATAATAATGAAACTCTGTTAATGTGGTATAAATTATATGGAAAAATGGAAAATGATCTAGGGACAAAACCATCAAATAGACCTTTATAAAGCAAGGTATATGACAGAATCACCAGTCATCAGGATATTTATTCAAGTTTACGTTAATTCAGCGGCAGATAATGAACAGAAAGAACATTTGAACTTGCTGGTGCCTTGGATAAAACAATAAAAGCTGAAGAAAGGTCCATAAATCAATGACATGATATCAATGACTTGCTATACATTCTTAATATATGAGAAAAAAGAGGTAACAAAAATAAAAGAAATTTTATCCACCTATATTTTATATTATAGTAATAAAAGTGAAACTTATAGGATAACAAATTTTTAAAAAACTTGGAGATTTAGAATCAAAGATACTATTACCAATACCAAATAATATTACATTGCATTTTTCTACTTTATGTTCACAATTCTTCTTTAAAAATGTAGTGAAATGTGTGAGTGCATTTTCTGCTGCTATGACAGAATATCACACAATGGGTGATTTATAAACAATAAAACTTTATCTTACTCATAGTTCTGAAGGCTAGAAAGTCCAAGAATATGACACAAGTATCTGGGGAAGGTTGTCCCATGGAGGAAGGTATCACGTGGTAAGAAAGCACGCAGGAGAAACAGAAGAAAAGGATAAAACTTATCAAGTGCCCATTACTGTGATAACGGAAATAACCCATTGATAAGGACAGAGTCTTTATGGCCTAATGACCTGTGTAAGGTCTTGCCTTTCAACGGTTTCACTGGGGATTTAGTTTTCAACATACAAACTCTTTTCATTGCAAATATTTATTTATTTATTAATTTATTTAAATTTTTTTATTTTTATTTCAATAGTTTTTGAGGTACAGATGGTTTTTGATTACACAGATAAGTTCTTTAGTGGTCGTTTCTGGGATTTTGGTGTGTCCGTCTCCAACTGAGCATACACCGTATCCATTATGTAGTCTTTTATCCCTCACCCCTGCTTCTAGTCCTCCCCCTCAAGTCCCAAAGTCCATTATATCATTCCATTCTTATCCCTATGCATCCTCATAGCTTAGCTCCCATTTATAAGTAAGGACATGCAATATTTGGTTTTCTACTCCTGAGTTATTACACTTAAAATAATGGCCTCTAGCTCCATCCAAGTTGCTGCAAAAGACATTATTTTGTTCCTTTGTTATGGCTGAGTAGTATTTCATGCTGTATATATACCACATTTCTTTATCCACTCGTTGGTTGATGGGCACTTAGGTTAGGTCTATATCTTTGCAATTCTCAATTGTGCTGCTATTAACATGTGTGTGTATGTGTCTTTTTCATATAAGGACTTCTTTTCCTTTGGGTAGATACTTGGCAGTGGGATTGCTGGATTGAACGGTAGTTTTACTTTTAGTTCTTTAAGGAATCTCCATACTGCTTTCCACAGTGGTTGTACTAGTTTGCATTTCCACCAGTAGTGTAAAAGTGTTCCTTTTTCACCACATCCATGCCAATATCTACTGGTTTTTGACTTTTTAGTTATGGCTATTCTTGCAGGAGTAAGGTGGTATCTCATTGCGGTTTTAATTTGCATTTGCCTGATCATTAGTAATTCAACACATAAACTTTTGAAAGACAGTTTCCAACCACAGCATTTTGCTCTTTGCTCTCAAAATTTATGTCTTTCTCAAAAGGCAAAATGCATTTATTCCATCACAGTATCCCCCAAAGTCTTAATTTGTTACAGTATCAACTCAAAACTTGTAAGTCCAGAGTCTCATCTAAATCAGATAAAGGTGAGACTCAAAGCACGATTCATCGTGAGGGAAATTCTTCCTAACTCTGAGCCTGTGAAATCAAACCAAGTTACCTACTTCAAAATACAACGGTGGGACAGGCATAGGATAGACACTTTCATTCCGAAAGAGAGAAGTAAGCAAGAAGAAACAGGTCCCAAGTAAGTACAAAACCCAACAGGGCAAACAGCATTAAATCTTAAGGCTGCAGAAAAAACTCTTTGACTCCATGTCCTGGTTCCTGGATGTACTGGGGCTGGGTTTGGGGCCCCAAGGCAATGGGCCATCCCATTTCTCTGACTTTGTTAGGCTCAATCCATACAGCTCTCCCAGGCTGGCATTGCACATGGGTAGCTCTACAGTTCTTGGGTCTTCATGGCTGTCCACACCCATAGCTGCAATAGTGATTATCCTAATGAGGACCATGTGGTGGTCCCAACCCTGTGGCAGGTTTTTGTCTGGCCTTCCAGGCATCCTGTGATATCATTTAAAATCTAGGTGGAGGAAGTCATGCCTCCATAGCTCTTCCATTCTAGGTACCCACAGACTTGACACTACATGGACACTGATGAGGCTTATGGCTTATATTTTTAGAGAAAAGGTTTGAGTCACAGCTAGGCATGCTTGAGTCACAGCTGGGATGGCCAAGAAGCACTTTGATGGGAAGTAGGGATCAAAAACCCAAGGCAACTTTGGGAAGAGAGACTGTAAAGGCCACCCTTAGCCTATCCCTAAAAGTTATTCTGCCCTCCTAGGGTTCTGGGCCTGTGATGTCAGGAGAAGCATCAAAGATCTCTAAAATACCTACAGGGTCATTCTTCCATTGTCTGTTAGAAGAAATATTTCAAATGTCTACTCCAGGTACTACTGTACCTGGTATCCTTCTCTCCACACTAATCTCTTTAGCAAATTGTTGATTGGACACACTCTTTACATGGACTGGCAGTAAATTTTCCAATTCTTTCCATTCTGCTGCTCTTTTAATTATAAATTCTGTCTTTAAGTTATTTATTGCCTCTATAATCTCCTTGTATTCAGTTAAATGTAGTCACACAGCAGCCCGAATGCTTTGCTACTTCTATATTTATTCCACTAGATATCCTAAGTTGTTGCTCTTAAATTCTGCATCCCATGAAGTCTTAGGACATGAACACATTTTAGCCAAAGTCACTGCTGCTTTATAACAATGATGGTCTTTTCTCCAGTTTCCAATACTTAGCTTTTCATTTTCATCTGAAAGCTCATCAGAATGGCCTTTACTATCCATATTTCTACTAACATTCTGGTCAAAGTAATCTCCAAGAAGATTCAGACCTTCCCTATAGCCTCTTCTTCTGAGCCCTCACCTGAATCATTCTTAATGCTCCATTCATGGCAATACAGGCTTTTTGGAGCCTACTCCTTCAAGTTATTTTAGCCTCTACCCATTACTCAGTTCCAAAGTTGCTTTCACATTTTTAGTTATTTGTTACAGCAACAGCCCTACTTCTTAGTACCAATTTTTCTGTCTCAGACTATTTCCTTCTGCTATGAGAGAGTACTACAGACTACAACATTTATAAATAATATAAGTTGATTTGGTTTACAGTTCTGGAGGCTAGAAACTTCAAAAGCATGGCACCAGCATCTGGCAAGAATCATCTCATTAAGGAAGACATGATATGGCAAGGAAGTACAAACATGAGACAGAGAAAAAGGAAGAGGGCCAAACTGATCAGAAGTCCACTCTTGCAATACCAAGCCTACACTCACAACAAGAACATTAACCCTTTTTTGAGGGCAGAGCTCTCATTATCTAGTCACCTTCTCAATGTCCTACCTCTCAACACTGTTGTACTGGGGATTAAGATTCCAACAAATGAACTTATATAAGACACACTCAACCCACAGCATGAAGCAAAAAGTAAGAGTGCTTTCTCTTTCTGTATCATCTTATTATATTCTGCTAATGTCTGGATAAATGCAAGAATAAATACTCGTAAGTTCTTCCCATGTTATAGCAGCTTTTAAATAAGAAAGAATAATGGCACCTGTAATCGCAGCACTTTGGCAGGCCAAGAAGAGGTGGATCACTTAAGGTCAGGAGTGTGAGACCAGCCTGGTCAACATGGTGAAACCCTGTCTCTACTAAAAATACAAAAATTAGCCAGGCATGATGGCACATGCCTATAATCCCAGCTACTTGGGAGGCTGAGGCATGAGAAATGCTTGAACCTGGGAAGCAGTGGCTGCAGTAAGCTGGGATCATGCCATTGCACTTCAGCGTGGGCAACAGAGTGAGACTCTGTCTCAAAAAACAAACAAACAAACAAACAAAAAAGAAAAGAAATAATGGCTTACATAACTATGGATATTTGTCAAATTAAAGAATTCCACAGACTGCCTGAAAGCCCAGTCAAAACTTGCCACGGGGGAGGGACCACCACATTGGGACCCACTAGGCTAATGGCTACTAAAGCTACAGAAGTGGACAGCCACCAAATATGCCTACTATGTGACAGAGACCATGCTAAGACTGTTGCTCATATTTTCCCATTTAAACTTTTCAGTGCCTCTCTATGACAAATAATACTATTGCCCTCATTTTAATGACTAGAAAACTGACACAAATAAGTGGAGGAAATTTGCCCCAAGTTAGTGGTAGAGCAGATATTGAAACCTTTATTATCTAATTCTAGAGATGAGTGAGAATGATCATTTTTTGTTCATTTTTATTTTTCTTTTTTTGACAAGAGCTCCAGTTTTTGTAGAAAAATAGTTATGGAGAAAATAGATTTGGAGGTTTTTGAGTCACAAAAGGAAAACTTCTAAATTAGTTTAGTAAGCAATGAGAAAGTATTTATTGATAAGTAAGTGATGTGAGAAGAGATCTGAGAAGATCTATCAACTGGGGTGTATTAAAGGGAAATTTAAATGAGAGAAATGAACAAGAAAGCTATTTTAATAATCTAATATAAAACAAGAATTAAGATGATAATACAAAAGTTATAGACACAAATTGAACAAGAAATATGAAAGTAGATTTTAGAAGAATTGGTCACTGATATTGGGCAGACAGCCAAGTAGAATATCTTCAAAAAGATAAATGAAAACATTTAACAGAAATAATGTAAGAGAAGTGAGTAATATTTGTAATTGACTTTACCTACAAAAGGGTAATGTGAAGTCATGGAAAGGGATAAAACAAATCATTTTTGAATAAAATTATTATTTATAGGCAATATAAAGAAGAAACTAGAGTTACTGAAGGTACAGAGAATAAATGTTATACAAGAGAAAAATGTGGAAAAACATGAAATTTATGGATGACAAAAATATGAGTTTAAGAAGAAGGAGGTATAATTGAAATTATGAAAGAGCTCAAGAAGATGAGATCATTTGACTTCAATGCCTACATGAGTTATTCAGAGGCTTCTAGTAGAGATGTGTTTATAAATTATATACAGTATACTGATTTATAACTCTTTACTACATATATAGTATATAGTATAATAAATCAATGAAACACAAATGTGAGTAACACTTTTTCTAATTTGAAGTGCATTGGAATTTAATTTTTTTTTTTTTTCAAGACAGGGTCTTGCTCTGTCACCCAGGCTGGAGTGCAGTGGTGCAATCTCGGCTCACTGCAACCTCCGCCTCTCCAGTTCAAGCAATTCTCCTGACTCAGCCTCCCGAGTGGCTGGGATTACAGGTGCACGCCATCATGCCCAGATAATTTTTGCATTTTTTTTGTAGAGATGGGGTTTCATGATGTTGGCCAGGCTGGTCTCAAACTCCTGACCCTGTGATTCACCTGCCTCGGCCTCCCAAAGTGCTGGGATTACAGGTGAGAGCCACTGCACTCAGCCTAATTTTTTTTTAATTAAAGCATTAAAAGAAATTTGCTTGTACATTTTAATGTGGAAATGCTTCATAGCTTACATTTAATATTTTTGAGGCCTAGGGCAGGGGTTCACACACGTAGTACCAGCATTTTGGGACGCCAAGGTGGGAGGATCACTTAAGCCCAGGAATTCAAGACCAGCTGGGCAACATAGTGTCTCTCCAAAATAAAAAAAAAATTAATTAGCCAGGCATGGTAGTTCACACCTGTATTCCCAGCTGAAGCAGGAGGATTGCTTGAACTTAGGAGGTTGAGGCTGCTGTGAGCTGTAATCACGCCGCTACACTCCAACCTGGGTAACAGAGTAAGATCCTGCCAAAAACAACAACAACAATAAAAATCTACATCTATATATTTGAAATCTAAAGTTGAAAAGCTGAAATAGATGTGTTTAGTTTGGAAAGGAATAAAACGAATACGTCTTTTTTTAAATTTAAGGAGAGGGAAAGCAAAAACAAGGGAGTGAAAATTTAAAGAAATTATTTTGACATGAGAAAAAGGAAGTTGAATAAAATCATATTGAGAGCTTAGATCTTTGGAAAATTGGAGGTGAGAGCACCTACAGAGTAAATGTGAGGTTTCTGAGAAAAGTGGAAGAGAGTTATCTCTGGAATGAATGAGCTCTGAAGAAATAAACATAAAATTAATAAAATAATTGTACAGAATCAAGGAATTTAGATAATTTTATTATTCTCCTCTAGGCTGCTCACTAGCTGGAATAAAAAAAGATGAAATAGGAAGTGGATATTACTAAAGACTTGGAATTAACCAAAAAGGAAGACAGAAATTCTGTTTTTTTGTGATATGTTGTAGACTGTGAGTTTACTGATTGTGAGTCCAAATTTAGCATGGAGGTAAGTGAAAGTTAAAACAAAAAATAATAAATTGAGTAAATGTAGTGTGTTTGAACCTTTAGAGATGTGATGAGGATGAAAAAGTAAATTGGTAACAAAAAAGAAAAGAAAGTTTAAAAGACAAGGAATTACAGGACAACAAAAAAGAATCTTGACTTTGTGTTAGGACGGTAAGCAAAATTGGTTAAATGGTAATGTTGACTCTGCAAGAGTAATTATTCAAAGTATAATGATTAGGGAAGACAAAGGCCTAAAGATGTAGGAAAAAATGAGTGTTAGTAATGTCAACAATGTGGCAGATGAAGTTTTAGAGGATTATGATTTCTAAAAAATAAAAAGGAAAGCCTTACAAAAAAACCAAAACCATTTTTAAAAGAATGATAAAATGGTGAAAACTCTTCCTGATAATATTTAGCATATAGCCACAATAGCCAAGGAAGTTTGGTACTGGCAGGGGATAAATGCAAAAGAATATAGAACCCAGAAAACAAATCCAAACAAATATGGCTAATTAATTTTTTAAAAAGAAGCAAATGTGATATCAATGAGGGGATAACCTTTTCAGCAAATGGTACTGAAGCATTGGGGATCTATCAGCAAAAAAATTGAACTCAGTCCCAAACTTCATACCTCACACAAAAATTAACTCAAAATGGAGTACGAGCTTAAAAGTACAACATGAAACTGAAATCTGTGAAAAAGAACATAAGAAAAAATCTTTGATACCTAGGACTAAGTTCTTAACTTTGACATCAAAAGCACAATTTATAAAGGTAAATATTGGTAAATTGGACCTCATCAAAAAGAACACCTTTTGCTCTGTGAAAGATCCTGTTAAAAGGATGAAGAGACATTCACATCCCAAAATTAAAGACTGAGAGAAAATATTTACAAATTACATATTGTTATAGGAGACAGAAGGAAATTATTTAGGTAGACAGGGTAAAGAGAGTCCCTGGCAGAAAACTTTACTTTTAACACAAAGCAACTCAAAATTTCCTCCCTTTCTAACCTCATGCAGTTCAAAGAAATCACTTTTCTTCTGACAAAAAGCAGCCTGGAATATCAGGCTGTAAAACACAGACAAACTCGGGCACAGAACGAGGCGGAGGAGTCTCCTGGGTAATCACCAAGCTTCACACTCTTGCAAAGGGCCCCTGGTAAAAAACAGTGGGCCTTAATAAGCACATTCCTTTCCCTTTAGGCACACTAAAATAGGGAAGCTAGAAGTGGAGCTGACAGAGGTGGGGGGCAAGGAGGTGCCTGCAGCTGCTAGAAGATGTCTGGGAACAGACATGGAAACTCTCCCTCCCAGATAAGCAAAACAAAGCGGCACAGACTAAGTCTTCCTACCTGATCAAGGAATGGGAGAGAGCCTATAGAAAACTCTGCTCTGTACATCTGTACAGATAGCACACCTGATCCCAACTAAATCTTCGAGCCTTAGGAAGATAAGACACCCCCTCCTCACTAGCCAATTTTTAAAAACCCTGGCATTTTTACTACCACTTGGCAACCCACTCGGGACCCCTCTCTGTGACAAAGAGCTGTTCTTTTCTTTTGCCTATTAAACTCCTGCTCCAATCTCACCCTGTGTGTGTGTTTCCACAACCTCGATTTCCTTGGCCGTGAGACGAAGAACCTTGGTATTTACCCCACACAATGGGGATGCTTCAGTATCTGACAACTGCCTTGAATACAGAACACATAATTATTCTCAAAAATATATACTACCCTCAGAATTATTAATATATACCACTTATTCTCAAAACTTAATAAACAAGCCAATTAGAAATGTGCTAAAAGAAAACACGCAGAGACCTTTCGCTGACAAGAATACGCAGGTGGTAAATAAGCACATGAAAAGATGTTCAACATCATTTTCCATTACAGAAATGCAACTTAAGTCCACTATGAGATATTACAACCCACCATCAGAATGATTAAAATAAAAAGTAGTAACACCAATTGTGGGCAATGATGTGGAGAAATTAAATTACTCATACATTGCTGGTAGAAATGTGAGATTATTCAATTACTATAGGAGCTAGTCTAGTTCACAGCATCTTATGCCTTTGAGTAGATAAATGGTTAAACAAACAACGTAAATTCATATTATGGAATACTATAAAATAATAAAAAGGAATGAATTACTAGTTCCCTGAAACATTTGGATGAACCTAGAGTTTTTAAAAAGCCAGTCTCAAAATGATATTTAATATATACTGCATGCTTTCATTTATGTAACATTTATGAAATAACATAAATACAGAGATAGAGAAGAGATTAATTGTGAGGACTTGGAAGTGGGTAGTGGAGGGGATGGATGTAGTTATAAAACAATAACACAAAAGAGGCTTGTGGTGATCATATGTTTATATTGATTGTGGCAATAGTAATACAAAAATAGACATGAGTTAAAATTGCATGGAGCTGCATAAGTACACATGCACACACACACATAAATAAGTGTACATTTAACTGGTGAAATCCGAATAAGCTCTGTTAGTTTGCACCAGTATAAATTTCTTCCTGTTTATTTTCTTGCCTTGTACTACAATTATATGAGCAAATAACATTGTAGGAGAGTGGAAGAGTTTGCATGGAACTGTGTTTCTTGTAACTTAATGTGAATTTTTTTTTAATAAAAAGTTAAAAACATAATCTGAGATATGGAAAAAAGATGCTTGGATGTTGTGAAAAGCAGGAAAGTTTTGAAGGCTGGGTTTGCTTGTGAAAGAGAAGATGAGAACATTTTTTTAAGCAAGCAGGATAAATTTTGGAAGAGAAAGGAGGGAATTTGGAAATTATTTAATAAAAACCATCAAAAATAGTTTCAAAGAAATGTATTTGGAGCACAGCTATGTTTATTTTTTGTTCCAGAAATAGGATTGAGAATGACAACTTCTACTCTGGAAGATAGTGATTTTAAGGAAATCTAAAGAACAAAAATATCATCATAGATTTATGTCTGTGGAAAGAGTAAGAATATACAGAACAGGTAATCTCGAGAGTACCTTGAGATCTGAATATGAAATACCATTACACTTTTATAAGCCAAGTGAGCTTGGGCTACTTTATATCAATGTTCTTCAACTCAGCAAATGTTTTATTATTAACATTGTTACAGTCTCTAACAATCTAACATGAAAGAATGTCTGGCTTTTCCTATTTTCCTTGCAAGGAAATTATTTAGCTAAATTATTTAGCTAAAAAATTATTTAAATCTTTAAATCTTTAAAATAAATTTAAATTATTTAAATTTAAATATTATTTAGCTAAATAATTTTTAATTAAAAAATAAATGTGAGTAAAAGAACTTGTTATTATATTACATGGTATGATTTTTCATGTTGGCCAATCAATAAAAATTGTGTTGGTAAGAAGATATGGAATTAAATAAGAAAAATATATAATATAAAGTATATTTTAGATAGTTATAATAACATAAAATAATCTAAAATGAATGACCTCAAACTAAACTATCTGAGAGCTGATGACTAGATAAAAAAATTAAATATAATTGCTTGGAGTTTCATGTTAATTTTCTAGATTGTAATGATTTTGTAATGAAAATAATTATTAGGCAATTAATATAAGTGCAAAATAGTGTTAAATTCTAAACATAACAGATGCTAAAATAAACAGTGAAATTTATTTTATTATTCCTTATTTTCACTTGGGTAGTTATTTATACCCAGTAGTCATCCAGGAGCGGGTTGTTCCATTTTGATGTAATTGTGCAGCTTTCAGTGAGTTTCTTAATCCTGAGTTCTAATTTGATTGCACTGTGGTCTGAGAGATTGTTTGTTATGATTTCCGTTCTCTTGCATTTGCTCAGGAGTGTTTTGCTTCCAATTATGTGGTCAATTTTAGAATAAGTGCAATGTGGTGCTGAGAAGAATGTATATTCTGTTGATTTGGGGTGGAAAGTTCTGTAGATGTCTATTACGTCCACTTGGTTCAGAGCTGAGTTCAAGTCCTGAATATCCTCGTTACTTTTCTGTCTCATTGATCTATCTAATATTGACAGTGGGGTGTTAAAGTCTCCCACTGTTATTGTGTGGGATTCTAAGATTCTTTATAGGTCTCCAAGAACTTGTTTTATGGATCTGGGTGCTCCTGTATTGGATGCATATATATTTAGGATAGTTAGCTCTTCCTGTTGCATTGATCTCTTTATCAGTATGTAATCCACTTCTTTGACTCTTTTGATCTTTGTTGGTTTAAATTCTGTTTTATCAGAGACTAGGATTGCAACGCCTGTTTTTTTTTTTTTACTTTCCATTTGCTTGGTAAATCTTCCTCCATTCCTTTATTTTGAGCCTATGTGTGTCTCTGCATGTGAGATGGGTCTCCTGAATATAGCATACCTATGGGTCTGGACTCTATACAATTTGCCAATCTATGTCTTGGAATTGGGGCATTTAGCCTCTTTACATTTAAGGTTAATATTGTTATATGTAAATTTGATCCTGTCATTATGATGCTAGCTGGTTATTTTGCCCAATAGTTGATGCAGTTTCTTCATAGTGTCGATGGTCTTTACAATCTGGTATGTTATTTGCAGTGGCTAGTAGCGTTTTTCCTTTCCATATTTAGTGCTTCCTTCAGGAGCTCTTGTAAGGCAGGCCTGGTGGTGACAAACTCTCAGCATTTGCTTATCAGTAAAGGATTTTATTTCTCCTTCCCTTATGAAGCTTAATTTAGCTGGATATGAAATTCTGGGTTGAAAATTCTTTTCTTTAAGAATGTTGAATATTGGCCCCCACTCTCTTCTGACTTGTAGGATTTCTGCAGAGAGATCTGCTGTTATTCTGATGGGCTTCCCTCTTTAGGTAACCCGATCTTTCTCTCTGGCTGCTTAGGTAGTTATTTATAAATGTAGAAATATAAAATGTTATTTTATTTAATGCATTTTTCTTTAAGAGATTGTGGAAACCATCAAACTGGCACTTTTCACTGCATGATTACCACTACCACCATAAAATTATTAGAAGTATTTTAGTAGGCAATAAACCATAAGCTAAACCATTTATTATAAAAATCACTTTGCTAGATATATACATTTATGAATTACAAAATAACCACGATTCATTTAAAAATATTTCAGACATCTTTGATCACTGTCTTATAAGAGGGAAGAAAATGTGAAGCATTGTTGAGATGAACATGTTTTCGTAGGTAAAGAAACAAATATTTTATTATTTTTATAAGAGAGAATTGTATTATATTTTAATATAAAAAACTTTTAAAACCTTAAAATGCTTTATTCTTTTAAACAATTTGAGTATATGTTAAAACTTAGATATATTTAAAGTATAGAATATATTGAATACATTTTATCATTTTAATATGAATTTACATTTTAATCTTTCTACTTTCCCTAGGAATATTCCTCATTTTTATATGAGATAAATTACTTTATCAACATAATGTTTTCAAATAATTTGGGGCTATGTATAGCAGGAAGAAAAATTAAATATGGAACTGGCTGGGCGTGGCGGCTCATGTCTGTAATCCCAGCACTTTGGGAGGCTGAGGTGAGAGGATCACAAGGTCAGGAGATCGAGACCATCCTGGCTAACATGGTGAAACCTCGTCTCTACTAAAAATACAAAAAATTAGCCAGGCATGGTGGCAGGTGCCTGTAGTCCCAGCTACTCGGGAGGCTGAGGCAGGAGAACGTCATGAACCCAGGAGGTGGAGCTTGCAGTGAGCCGAGATTGCGCCACTGCACTCCAACCTGGGTGACAGAACAAGACACTGTCTCAAAAAAAAAAAAAAAATTGGAACTATGATCTAATGGGAAAATGAGAAAAATTATGAAAATTGTGGATGATTCAATACAAAGTGTATTTAATAAACATAATGGTAGCTATTCATGTTTTAGTCATCCTTTGCTCAAATATTAATAATTTCTTTCTATAATATAAGCTTACTATTTTCTATCTGATGCTATAGGACTTTCTTGGGAGCCTCTGGCTAAATTGAGGTTCTAGTACCAGAGCCATTATCAACCTTGCCCTAATAGGAAATGAGGGGAGCTGGACATGAGTATTTACAGTGTGTCTCTCACAGTGTTGCAGGAAAAGGAAGCCCCAACTTTGAGCCTCCACCTGTGAAATTTCTTGGCTTCCTCCAAGAAGGGATTCAAAGGCAAGCAGGTGGTAGAAGAAAGCTTTTTTGAAGTGGCAGGGTTGCAGCTCCATGACTGCTCTTGCAGAGCAAGCTACCCCATAGACAGTGCATCAAGAGTAGCAGCTCAGGGGCAGTTCTGTAATCACATATATATCCACTTTTAATTGCACGCGCATCAAGGTACAAGTTATTCCGAAATTCCTAGAAAAGGGTGGTAACTTCCAGGTCATTGACAGGGAATGGGTAAACTGTCATGGTGCTGGTGGGCATGTCAGTCAGTCTTCAACCTGGTCTGGAGTTGAGCCCAGCCTTCAGAATCAAGTTCTACCTCCTACCTCAACAAGATACTTCTTTTATCTGGCAGCAGCCTAATGCCTAGCTCTCCCAGCCACGACCAGGGCTCACTCACATGGGGAACTTGTTTATATTGGCAAACACTCTTATGGCTCTTGTCTTACCCATTGCTGACCCATGCCTGCCTGACCGTTGCTCTGGTGCAGAGGGAAAGTAGGAGCACAGTCTGCTAGGCAGGAGAGAGAGCTCTAGTTTTTATCTCAGGCCATAGGCTTGTGCCATTTGGGTTTGGTGTAGAACTAGAAATTGTGTCAAGGGTGGCTAAGCCCTGCTTCTGGTATGAGAAAGTTAAACGTGTACTCAAAATGGATGTTGAGGCAATTTAAAATGATAAGAATTTACTACCAGATTGAAAAGCTGTTAAGAAAAGACTGATTTCATTTAAATTATTCAATCAAGATAAAGGTCAAAGTTATCAATGTAAATAAAAGACCTAAATAAAGATTAAATTTCAACTCATTCCTGATGTTGAATTGTTAGTAAGAGAAAATTTAACCGTATCTAATGGTAATTTGAAAAACATCCTAAATCATTAAGAACAATGTAGAATATATAAAATAAACAAATAGGGAAATACACACATATACAAAGATATACAAGCATACTTCCAAAAAGACATACATACATTAACATTACATATACTTGTAAGACATCCATTTATATCACATTTAAAACTCTTGAATATCCAAATAATCTTTATTTACTTGCATTTGCTGGTGTAGCTTACTTCACAGAAAACCTTTTCTGTTCCTTCTTCTATTTCAGGCAAAGTTTGAAAATCAATACCAATTTATTTTTGACATGAAATATGTCTCATTCTCTTCGAGTCTAATATCTTTCATAGTTTATTGGTGATATGAAACCCCCATATAAAATTAAATTCTGTACAACATGCTATCTAAGAGCTAATCCAGGATAAGATTTTCTTAGATGAAAATGAATAGTCCAGTCCATCTTATTTTTTCAATCTGAGACATGTTTAACACTTTGTATAGTGGAGTTAATATTTATCCTATTAAACATATGGCAAAAATAATGATAATGTTAACATGCATGAGTTCAGGGATCTAATCTCTTATAAAATCTGGGTGTCAATAATACCAAATTGCCATTTCACAACATACCACAAATTGAAGGCAAGGCTACAGAAGAATTCAAAAAGGCTATAGTAATTCAAGGAGCTTGTGGTTCTTCCCAAGCTCTTTGTTTTTCTACAATATAACAAAAAAAGGCTAAAATTTTCTTTAAATAAATATATATTCTGAAACTGTTATTTATAGAGATTGTTTTTATTAAAAAAAAATTCCAAGGATAGTGGCATGGTTTGGCTGTGTCCTCACGTTTTGTAATTTGAGTTACGAATTATAACTCCCAGAGTTCCCTTGTGTCATGGGAGAAACCCGGTGGGAGGTGATTGAATTATGGGGGCGAGTCTTTCCTGTGCTGTTCTTGTGATAGTGGATGAGTCTCACGAGAGATGTGATGGTTTCAAAAATGGGAGTTTCTCTGCACAAGCTCTCCCTTTGCCTGCTGCCATCCACATAAGATGTGACTTGCTCCTCCATGCCTTCTGCCATGATTGTGAGGCCTCCTTAGCAAGGTGAAACTGTGAGTGCATTAAACCTCTTTCTTTTATAAATTACCCAGTCTCAGGTATGTCTTTATCAGCAGCATGAGAAGGACTAATACAGTAAATTGGTACCAGTAGAGTGGGACACTCTTGAAAAGATACCCAAAAATGTGGAAGCAACTTTGGAACTGGATAACAGGCAGAGGTTGGAACAGTTTGGAGGGCCTAGAAGAAGAGAGGAATATGTGGGAAAGTTTGGAACTTCCTAGAGACTTGTTGAATGGCTTTGCCCAAAATGCTGATAGTGATATGGACAATAATGTCCAGGCTGAGGTGGTCTCAGATGGAGATGAGGAACTTTTTGGGAACTGGAGCAAAGGTGACTCTTGTTAAGTGTTAGCAAAGAGACTGGTGGCATTTTGCCCTTGCCCTAGAGATTTGTGGAACTTTGAAGTTGAGAGGGATGATTTAGGATATCTGCCAGAAGAAATTTCTAAGCAGCAAGCATTCAAGATGTGACTTGGGTGCTGTTAAAAGCATTCAGTTTTAAAAAGGAAACAGAGTACAAAAGTTTGGAAAAATTACAGCCTGACAATGGGATAGAAAGAAAATCCCATTTTCTGAGGAGAAATTCAAGCTGGCTGCAGAAATTCACATCAGTAACAAGGAGTCAAATGTTAATTACCAAGACGATGGGGAAAATGTCTTCAGGGCATGTCAGAGACCTTTGAGGCAGCCCCTCCCATCACAGGCCCAGAGGTTTAGGAGAAAAAAAAAGGTTTCCTGGACTGGGCCCAGGTTCCCTCTGTTGTGTGCTGTCTAGGGACTTTGTGTCCTGCATCCAAGCTGCTCCAGCTGTGACTAAAAGGGGCCAAGGTATAGCTCAGACCATTGCTTCAAAGGGTGGAAGCCCCAAGCGTTGGCAGCTTCCATGTGGTATTGAGCCTGTGGGTGCACAGAATTCAAGAATCGAAGTTTGAGAACCTCTGCCTAGATTTCAGAGGATGTATGGAAATGCCTGGATGCCCAGGCAGAAGTTTGCTGCAGGGGCAGGGCCCTCATGGAAAACCTCTGCTAGGGCAGTGAGGAAGCGAAATGTGGGGTCGAAGCCCCCACACAGTCCTTACTGGAGCACCACCTACTGGAGTTGTGAGAAGAGGGCCGTTGTCCTCCAGACCCCAGAATGGTAGATCCATTGACAGCTTGCACCATGCGCCTGGAAAATCCACAGACACTAAATGCCAGCCCATGAAAGCAGATGGGAGGGAAGCTATATCCTGCAAAGCCACAGGGGCAGAGCTTCCTAAGACCAGGAGAACCCACCTCTTGCCTCAGCATGACCTGGATGTGAGACATGGATTCAAAGGAGATAATTTTGGAGCTTTAAGACTTGACTTCCCTACTTGATTTTGAGCTTGCATGGTGCCAGTAACCCATTTGTTTTGGCCAATATCTCCCATTTGTAATGGCTGTATTTATCCAATGCCTGTACCCCCATTGTATCTAGGAAGTGACTAACTTGCTTTTGATTTTACAGGCTCATAGGCAGAAGGGACTTGCTTGGTCACAGATGAAAAACTGGACTGTGGACTTTTGAGTTAATGCTGAAATGAGTTAAGGCTTTGGGGGACTCTTGGGAAGGCATGATTGGTTTTGAAATGTGAGAACATGAGATTTGAGAGGGCCCAGGGGTGGAATGATATGTTTGGTTGTGTCCCCACCCAAATTTCATTTTGAATTGTTAACTCCCACAATTTCCACATGTTGTAGTAGGAACCCAGTGGGAGGTGATTGAATTATGGGGGGCAGGTCTTTCCTGTGCTTTTCTCATGATAGTGAATGAGTCTCACAATATCTCATGGTTTTTAAAACTGGGAGTTTCCCGCACAAGCTCTCTCTTTGCCTGCTGCCATTCATATAAGATGTAACTTGCTCTTACTTGCCTTCCGCCATGATTGAGAGGCCTCCCCAGCCATGTGGAACTGTAAGTCCATTAAACCTCTTCCTTTTGTAAATTAACCAGTCTCAGGTATGCCTTTATCAGCAGTGCAAGGACAGACTAACACAGATAACTCTTATTATTACTGGCATTCCTATAAAGTCTAGATATATTTTGTCAATGAAAAGAGCCAAATTCTGTAAAATACTTGAAGAGATTTATTCTGAGTCAAATATATGTGACAATGGCCAGTGACACAGCCCCAGGAGGTCCTGAGAATATATGCCCAAAATGGTATAATTGCAGCTTGGTTTTATATGTTTTAGGGAGACATAAGATACCAATTGATACATGTAAGGTGTACATTGGTTCAGGACAGTAACTTGAAGCAGGGTGGGGATGGTGTGAGGGTCAGTCTTCAGGTTATAGGTAGATTCAAAGATTTTCTGATGGGCAATTGGGTGAAATTTTGTTGAAAGAGTTAAGAAATTATCTAAAAACCTAGAATCAATAGAAGTGAGTGTCTGGGTTCAGATAAGGGGTTGTGGAGACGAAGGGTCTTATTATGCAGATAAAGCCTCGAGGTAGCAGGCTTCAGAGAGAATAGATTATAAATGTTTCAGACAAGACTTTAAAAAATGACAGACTCTTAGTTAATTCTCTCCTGGATCAGAGAAGAGACCTGGAAGGGAAAGAGGATTCTCTACAGAATGTAAATTTTCCCCACAAGAGACAGCTTTGCAGAGCCATTTCAAAATATGTCAAATAAATATATATTATGGTAAAATACTTTGATTGCTTTCAGGGCCTGCTGTCGTGTTGATATCTTATTGCTACAAAGAGTCTGTTTTGTCAGTCTTAAAGTCTGTTTTAATGTTAATGCTGGTCAGTTGTGCCTGAATTCAAAAGGGACAAGGGTATAACGAGGCATGTCTAACCCCCACTTCCCACCAATGGCCTGAACTAGTTTCTTGGGTTAACTTTGCAATGCCCTTGGCTGAGAAGGAGGGGTCCATTCAGTTGGCTGGGGGAATTAGAACTTTATTTTTGATTTATAATTTTCAAGTATTCTTTCCTGCTCTAGGAATCTACTTGTCATATGTTGTAACATACCTAATATAATTAATTACGTAAATTATCCTATTAAAAGTACCTATTTTAATAGCATAATTTACTAAATCTTATGTAATTGAGTCATAATATATGTTGAGCATGAAATTATCAGAAGTAATGGCACTTTACTAAAGCACTTCTCTGAAATACATCCAAAAAATGAGCTGTTAATAAGAACATGTTACAATTATTACATAATATAAAAATACAACATTTCTTGTTAAGCCACACATTTTCCAAATTATTCAAAACTTATTATAACTACTGGTTCTCAGGCAAAAGGAGCAAGTGCATGTCCATAGCAAAACAAGGAGTTCAATTATTAACTTTATGTAAAAGAAGAAAAATTAAATAAGAATTATTTTATAGCAACATTTCAATTGGTTAAAAATAATCAAATATCAGAATACAGTTCAAGAAGAGAAAATAGTAATCTGTTGAAGAGGTAATTTTTAAGGTTAACTGAAAGTGGCAATAGAAGTAAGCTATTACTTCTTCAAAACTAATACAGATTTTGAAGATATTAACTTTCCAGCTACTTTCTTAACTAGTTTTAGAATCTCAGGAAAGCTACTTCTTACATTCTCTGGGTTTTAATTTCCTCATTTATAAAATGAGAGGTTTGTCCTCATTGATTTCCAACCATTACTTAAAACATATCATTCATGGCTACTCAAAGAAAATGACAGTGCCTCTGGCTTACCCTTATGCTCCCACATGTCCCTTGGAAGGAATGTCACAATATGAAACTAGGAAGAAACATGCAACAGCTCTGGAAATCAAAAGTGAGTGCCCTCTACGTGTCATAAATTGGGGTTTCTGCAGTGATGGGACAGTTGCTGTCAGATTTAAAATAATACCCGAAGGTCAATTCAAAAGGCACGCCTCTTACTCCCAAAAGAACCTGATTTCCTAAGAAATAAGAGGAAAGGCCTTAGTCCCCATCAAGTTAACTAAACTTTTAGACAGAATTCTTCCTGACTGTAGGCCCCTGACCTACCCTTTATTTGAGCATTTACTTTAGAAAATTTCCAACTGTAAATTCTTTCTCTGTCCTTTTGAGATATAAATCTTCTCTCAGCCTCTTGCCAGAAATGCCTTTCTGAAGGACCTGGGGGTCATCTGTTTTAAATGTAATAATCTAAAGAGATAGCATCCCAATCTCCTGGTTTGTAGGGGAGGGTAGGAGCCTAATGTCAGTAAGCAACAATTAACAAACACAAATGTTCTAATCACAATGACCAACCCTCCCCTCCAACATCCTCCAGTATTTTTCCATGAGCTCACCACAGAGGTGAAAAACTCTTCCACCTTTTGTGGAATGGTATACAAGCTTTTGTACCTCCTTAGGGGGGTTGGGTCTTCATTCTGAACGCTCCCATGCGTACACATTAAGTTTGTGTGCCTTTTTTTCTATTAATCAATCTGCCTCATGTCAGTAATTTTTCAGCAAATCTTTAAGTGGCCGAGGGCCTTGACCCCCCACTCCAACAATATACACATGTGCACACACATGCAAACACACACAAAATGGGAATTGCCTCACTTGATTATGGAATCAAGAAGTCTGAAAATCAGCAGGCTGGAAGTACAGGAGAGCCCCTGGTGTAAGTTCCAGTCTGAGTCCAAAGACCCAGAAAACACCAGCATAGATGTTTGAGGGCATAAGAAAATGGATGTCCCAGTTCAAACCGAGTGAATTTCCTTCTTAGCTTTTTTTGTTTTATTTTGACATGAAACAGATTGGATGATACCACCTGCTTTGGTGAGGGTAATCATTACTCATTTCATTAATTCAAATGCTAATCTCTTTTAGAAACAACCAGAAGCAATGTTTTACCAGCTAGCTGGACATACCTTGGCCCAGTGAAATTGACACATGAAATTAACCATCACAAATTGAAAAAGAAAAAAATGTGCTAGAACCATACTGTGGAATTTTATAATCTGCTAAAAGGAATGAGTTAAAACTACATCCATTGTTTAAGAGGCATATCCATGTTAAGGAAAATAAGAAAATTGCAGAGCAATGTATATAATAATTTGCCTTTAAAAATATACTAACTAAATAACCAAGCATGGAGAAAGCTGTGAAAAAACGTAAAAACTGTGCTGCTATTATCATTCATGTTACTGAAATGGGGGAGTTCCTTGATTCCCTTCACAGGATATGCAAGGGGTGTGGCTCACCTGCTTGGTCACCCTACAGCTCAAACCCTTAGTAGGATCATGCAGATGGGCAGGTGCAGAGGCTGGTGCAAGTGCTTTTGGGCTCCGGCCCCGTGGCGGGGACTAGGGGTAGGTGTCTGTTACACCCAAAGCCCACTGTGATACAGTGTTCCCTTAGGCTGTAAACATCTAGAGGCTAGTAATAACTTACCTCCTGGGAATACAGCCCAGCAAGTCCCAGCCTCATTTTTCCTAGCCCTCGCTCAAGATGGAGTCTCTTTGGTTCAAATGCCTCTGACAATATGAAACACACAGAAGAGAGCTATCCTCTACTAAAAAGTAAAATCATAGCATTAATATTTTCAGTAATAAATGAGAAAATAATCATGAACCTTAACATATTAGAAATTGAATCCAAAAATTAAAAGTAAATTTTAAATATGCATGAAAAAGGAAAAGAATAAATTAAAGTAATAACTAAAGAAAGAAATAAACATAGGATAACTTTAATGTTAAAAATAGAGAAGTAACAAAATTAAGAAAATTTGTCAAATACAATCAAAAAGGAGTTAAAAAGCAAATATCAAAATCATTAAAGAAAGGTAATAATAGAGTGACAATGAAAATTGAAAAAAAGGTATGTACAATAAGGAAATTAAAATAATTTACCCCACAATATATACTTCTTTGACATATTTTGAGATGGGTTTTCAGATAGGCAGAAAACAGAAGTAGTCATGCAGAACTGTCTTTTGTGGGGGAGATAAGCATTTGTAAGAGAATATTTGCATTTGATGTAGCTAGAATTTCTCTGAAGGTCTTTCCTTGTCTGATTCAGGAAGGATTAACTGAGTCTGACACCTCTGAAGGTCTGAAAGACACATTTACCATCTGTTCTCTTGAGGGCTGCTACCTGTGAGGTTCATTTAAATAACAAATCACCTTTATTAGCCAGGCCTCCTTTGCTCTCCCTCCCATTACCTGTCTCGCCACCATAACCCGCTTTAACCACCATAACCTACTTGTGACCATGCTCTGAATCCTCATCCTTTGTGTAGCTCCAAAAATGGCATATAAGTTTCTGTACCGCATTGGGAAGTTGGGGGAATCACTCTGTGGTTCTCACTTATGTTCACATTAATAAATTTTGCGTCTTTTCTCCATTAATCTGCCTTTTGTCAGTTGATTCTTCAGTGAACTTTCAGAGTGTTAAGGAAAAACTTTCCCTTGGCCCCTGTAACATCTTCACATTTTAAAATTTAAAATATTCATTACAAGAAAAATTATTGAAGAGTTAAAAGATTATACTACCCCCAAAGAGTATACATATTAACTAATTCATTCCTATTAACTGGTGACTCACTATGGAGCACAGGGAGATAAAAGAGGCAGTGAAGCTCAATTAGTTGGGTTCCCCAGAAGTAAAGGCTTTGAATGGGATTCATTTAAAAGTGATTTATTGAGGGCATGCCCACAGGAGAGTCCTATGAGAAAGGGAAAAAAGCAGGACTGAGTGGGGGGAAAAGATATGCAAAATTTGATTTCAGTTGAAGTCTCAACTTGATCCCGTGGGGAGCTGCATTTGTGAATGGCATCTTAGAGTTACTTCCACTTGATGTAAGAGGACCGGCCTTCTGTATGCAAGTAATTGGCTGTGATACAGTGTCTGGGAAGGCTATAGCATCCCATGAATTTCTACATCAGATTGTGCCCAATAGTACTGGGAAATTCTCCAGCCACAAGTGCAGCTGTGAGCTCTCAGAAGCTAATACTCATACCAGCCGAGGAATATGGGAACCTGCAAAGCAAATGGGGTCTGAGTAGGTACCAACAGCATCTATTTCTAGCCTGTGCTAATGAAACTGCCTTTACAAAATTATGACATTAAGAGAAATCTGACAGAGTTGACTCCATCTTGCTCCTAACCTCTAGGCTGTCTTTGGTCATTCCTGGGCATATGCCAAGCTTACTTTGGGAGGAATTTAGTTTCTAGTTTAACTTTAAAGCAGTGATGATAATAGTCCTTCCCAAAACTAAACTGCCTTTGTAAAAGTAATGAAAATCATTCTGCCTATGTAGGCGTAGTAAAACAATAATCAGCCAACCCATTCGGGAAGTCGCAAGATTTCTAACTTCTCTAATTATTCCTGTAGATAACATCACTATTTTAGAACATAAGATTGGACTTCTGAGATGTCTTTTCAGAATTTTGCATTTCTGGCAACTGGCTGACTCCACCTAGACCTATGACCTGTGACTCAACCAATCCTGTTGACCCTGCCCAGAGGTTGATGCAGCACATGAGGACCATTTTCCACACCCCTAAAATTTCATCCCCAACAAATTAACATTTCCCATTCCCAAGCCCCTGCACAACAAATAATCCTTGAAAAGCCCTAACCTCCAACATTCGGGGGGATATTGATTTGAGTAATCACTCCGTCTCCTGCATGGCTAGCCTCACATCAATTAAACTCTCTTTACTTCAATGCCGCAGTCTCAGTGAATTGATTTCATCTGCGTAGTGGGCACAAAGAACCCTTCAGTTGATTACACTGAAAGAGTTTCTGTTAACAGGGTTTTTATTAAGCACCTATTTTAAAGTATAAGGATAATCAGAAAAAAAGTTTTCCCAAATTTCAAAACTTAAAAAACAAATGTCATTTCGAACAATATATTTTCACTTTTACGTAAGGTCAGGCATGTTTTACTTTAGAGTCAGAAGGGAGGGTAACTGAAGAAAGAATTATCTGTGCTTTAGAGAGAAAGTGAGGATGAGAAATTCTGGGGACAAAAGAGATAGATTGAAAAGCTAAAGCAATTTATATAATTGTAGAATCAGTGATTACAAATGAGTAGAGTGAAGGTTCTAATTATGAAAAAATGAAAGAATATTAAACTAAAGAGCTTTAGAAATGATAGGCCAACAACAATGTCTCGTCACTGTTTGAGATACAATCAAATACTCTCAGTTTATCTATACAGAGGATAAACTTATTCTCATTTACTTAGGTCAATAAAAGTATTGACTACTATGATGGAAAGGAAAATTGACATTATGCTGCATGAAAGAAGCCTTACACAAGAGTATGTGCTATAATATGAAACTTTAAAACAAACAAAATTAATATATGGTAGTGTAGGGAAGGATAAATATTTTCTATCTTCTATACCTTTTAGTAGGGACAGACTCCTGTAATGAAAGACAGATTAACAAAAGAAAAACAAAGAGAAGTTTTATAACGTGCATTCTTCCTGTATATATGGGAGGTAGCCAGAGAAATGAGTAAATCTCTACAGGAGATCTCAGAGAAGTGGCTTTGACCTCAGGCTTAAATACTATCATTCTCTGAGGCAAAGAAAGTAGGGTGTGGAAAAAGCTCTACTTAAGGCAAAATGGCCAGTAAGAGCATTGTGTTACAAGAGTAAGGTTTGTCTTGCACATTTACACCTTTAATTTAGGATTTAAAATACCTTCTGCATTGATTAAAACTGTCTAGTAATTTAGTCATCCTTATCTTTGTGGTGCAGAGAAGGAAATACCCTTACAAATGGAGATTTATTTTATAGGTTTAAATTTCTCTTACAAAAGGGTAACTTTCCGGAGCGTCTTATGTATCTGTATTTCTTAAAATAACCAATTCAAAAGAATGCTTATGCCAAAAAGACATATTTTGGGCTAGCAAATTCCGTTCTTCAAAATATGAGCAGTCATATTTTAGGATAATGAGTCCTAAACCCCATCAGTGAAAAAAAAAAAAAAACAGTTCATGGTTTCATATGGTGAGATGGAGACACAATGTTACTAGAAAAGGTCATGGACAATCATTCTGGGATGATAGTAATGCTGTGTGTTCCATACAGGTGTTTGGATTATATAGGTTACATGCACTATCTGGTTATACATTTGTCAAAACTCAGCATATGCTTATAAAATTTGTCTATATTTCATTGTATACAAAATAGAATAGTGAACTCTGGTTAATGATACGTATAACAAAAGATTTAGGAGGAAGTATACTGATACCTAAACAATTTTCTATAAAAATCAAAAAATAAGATTGTGTAATGATAAAAGAATGGATAGAGGGAAGTTCTGTGATTGAACAAGTATAATGAAATGTTTAAGGTAGAGTCATGGTACTGGGTATATGAGTCTTTATTGTCAAATTCTCAACATTTTGGTATGGTGGGAAATATCCATAAATAAATGTTGTGAAAGATGGTTGAAAATAATTGAAAGAGTCATTTTAAACTTATAACGGGCGTGTTAGTCCTAGATTAATTTCATATTCTGATGTAATGTTCAGAAGAGATAAATGGTCACTCATTCTTACAGCACATTTTCTCTCTAACAAGAGATGCTCATTATAACAGTAAAGGATTTTTTTAAAAATCAGGACTCACCTATATTAAATCTTTTTAATGTTTTGGATCATTACTGAAGAAGAGATGTATATTTAATCCTCAAGTTTTCTAGCAACTTGAACAATGGGATTTGTGTACCTTAACTTATGTTTTTAACCACAGACTACAGAACACAGAACATAGACCACAGAACAATACGACATGCTGAATTTGGCAATTGTGAAATGCACAAACCAGAAGCTGGTTTCATATACTTTATTAGTGTTATCAAAACACCAGAGATTTGGTCTTGGTGCTGCTGCTCACCACAGAGAAAGCCAATCACTGAGATGACAAGTATTGCCAAGGAAGAAGGCTTTAATTGGGTGCATCAGCCGAGAAGATAGGAGCTCAGTCTCAAATCCATGTCCTAACTGACTAAAACCAGGGGTTTATATAGCAGGCAAGAAATTTAACAATGTATAAGAAAATAGGAACCTGGGAGGGGCAAAAAAGCAATCATGGTAAATGAGGAATCCAGCATCTGTTGTGGACCTGGTTTCAGTTCTTTGATACTTTTCGTGAGAGGCCTAAAGATCCTTCCCTGAGGAAGGAACTCAGATAAAGCAAATACAACTTTCAAGCTTTTTAAGAGCAGAAGGGCCAACTTCTGTGTTTATCCCAAAACAACTGTCTATGGGACTCTTGGGCCAGTTTCATTAAGAAATAATTAAGTTTCAGAATTGGCTTCCTACCATTTCTACTGTCCTAGGAGTTAGACATACTCCAAATATTAGGAGACATGTTGTAGTGAAAAAGCTGATGTAAATTCCCTTCTCATTGGAGAGAAAGGTTCATTGAACTTTTAAACTGTCATGTTAATTTTCTAATCATTGGTTTATTCATCTGTAAAATATAATTCTCAGTTCTTAACTTGCATGGTCATATAAGTTGGCAAATTAGATGGATAATCATAAAAATTAGATAAAAACATACTATTTATTTTCAATATGTTTACTTAGTTTTCTATTCTATTAAGTTAAAACAATAAAATACAGAAATAATTATTTAACACAATGGTAATTAAGACATACTTTCAAAAATTTGCATGGACATTTCTATCCAAAGATTTGAGGACTAAGGTTTCACACTATTGTCTATTATGGCAGAAAGTGTGGTTGCTTTCAGGAAATGGAGACACATTTTCTGAAAATCTAAGCCCATCTGAAAAATTACCATACCAATACTTTGAAACGAACAGAAAATTGTCCAAATGACAATCTCACCACTCCAAATTAATATCTTAATCTTGACAAATTATGAATATCATCATGACCTACACCATATCTCTCTGCTAAAATTTCTATAAAGAGAGAATTTATAGCACACACAGACACACACACACTCACACACACACACCAAGCACAAAGAAACAATAAACAAATGTAATAAAACATAATAGAAAAAAACACATATATCTGTCCTCAAAAGACATTTTTAATGCAGCTGATATGAGTTTTTTTCTGTTTACCAAGGCAAATTAAAGCATTTTTAAAAGAAGAGACATAAGTAAAAATTTGTCAGCACACCTGTCTCTATTTTAGGGCAAAAACCCAAAGGTAAGAACACACTCTGCTAAGCAATAAGAAAATACCTATTTGTATAGTGTGAAAGTAATATAATTTGGTTACAGACTCCTGCTACTTATCTTTTCCTAATAACAACACAAGTCAAAACTCTCAGCAATATATTTCTCTCTCTTGTAAGTAATATGCAGTAAGACCAATCTAAATTTAGAGTTATTTTTGTACGTTTACTAATTAAGGAAGATAAATAATTACAAATGGTATAATTAACATACATAACAACATAAAAATTGCCTTTTTGCTAGATTAAAAGGAGTAAACATAAGGCCACTGCTAGCTTTAATGGCTAGTCAGTTATTCCTATTTACAGAATGAGCACAATGAGCACACTCATGACTCTCAGCAGTGGGTCCATGCTTATTTTACAAGGATTTTTTTTCTTTTATCACAGCCAACTTTGTAGTTTCCAAAATTTTGTAAAAGTCCTTTAACAAATATATCTAATATAACGTACAATAATAAAGAATAAACATTTTCAAAATTATTCATAAAATATGAAAGGACTCATGACAAAAATTAAAATTGTAATAAAACATTAAAAATGAGAGGTTTTGTTGTTGTTCCTATTGTCTTTTTTTTTTTCCCCTCACCTATCATTTCCTGGCTGCATCTACTTCTTCACCACAATCCTTTTGCTGATAAAGAGCTTTTATATGTGGATTCATTTTCCTGTTATTTCATTGCTCCCCCCACCCCCACTATCAATTTGGCTCTAGTTGTCTCAGCCAACAAACTTTAACTTTTAAGAAATTATTTTTCATTTTTAATAATCTTTACTAATATTCTGCTTCAGTAATTCATTCTAATAGGCACTTCAGAAACTTGGCATCAATTACATCTGTCAGACATTTACAACTTTAAAATCTAACACTTCAATTTCCTCATATTCATGTTCTTTTTTTCCCTCATTCTTACTCCTTTTATGTTTGTTTGCTTGTTTTAATTGAGGGCTCAATTTCCTTTATCTTTCTATGTCCTCTTGGTCTACCCACATACCCCTGGGACTTTTTTTTTCTATTTTAGATCTAAAACCTATGGTCTACTACTTTAAGAACCCTCTTTCTGGGACCTTTAATTATCTTCATTTTTTTTCCCAGACATATTCCAAAATTACAAAATTTTAAATCTATTCAAATGACAATTTTCTTCCATTTTTAAGTTTATGTTATTAAGTATTGCAAAATAAAAATATAAACATTGTCATGACTTGAAACCCATTGTTTCTAAACTCAACCAGAATGTCAAAGATGTTTATTAATTCATTTTCTTATACATGGACATTTATTTCTCTCTCTGCCCACATCTGTCACCTTAGGTTCTAAACCTCACCACTTTCTCTTTTTCTTCTCAGCAAATAAAATAATTAAGCAAGAACTCCTGTTACCGAAACACCAGGGATTAGGTCTAGTGCCTCCTGTTTGCCACACCAAATTCCAATCACTGAGAATATGAGTATTGCCAAGAAAGAAGGCTTTAATCAGGTGCTACAGCTGAGAATATGGGAGATCATTATCAAATCCATCTTCCTGACTGACTAAAATTACGGGTTTATATAGCAGAAAAGAAATGTAACCATGTGTGGTAAAACAGGAATTAGGGAGGGGTAAGGAAGAAGATTTGGTTAACAGGAAGCAGGTGGTTGATTAGGTAGTCATAATGGGTGAGGGGTTTGGAGTCTTATTGTCCAAATGCAGTGATCTGGTTCATTGCAGCTCCTTGATACTATCTGGAAGGCATGAAGGTTGGTTTCCCAAGAAGGGAACTCAGATGAGACAAATATAACTTTCTCAGATTTGAAGAGGAGGAGGGCCAATTTCCATGTTTATTCAAAGAAAGCATAAACATCAGCTCTATAGGACAACTGGGTCAGTTTCACTTCCACTCCCCATCTTACTGCCAGCTAATAAATCACTATCTGCATTTATTCTTCCTTTCCCTTCCTGTCATATTGAAAGAAGTATTCTCCTCAATCCAAGCATAACCCTACAACCTACACCATGAATACATCCGTCATTCCTCATCTGAGACCCAGAGGGAACACTTCTCTTCTCATGTTAACTTTAGCATCTCAATCTGTCTTGACTTCTATGACGTTGCCACCTTCTGGCTTTCAGCCTTTCTCTTTGGTCTCTTTCTGCTATTTCATAGTTGTTTTTCTACCTTTTGAATTTTAAGCTTTCTAAAATTAGAAATTAAATATATCTTGCTAAAATATCAGATTAAACTATCAGATGACTGTAGTTGGAAACACCTTTGTAACACATAAACCCACATGCAACATACTTCTTAAACATATAAAACAGTGATAACACACATGGCATGATTGATAATACTCTGGCAAGAAAGATTCATCAGAATTTAATTAAATTTTAAATTGCAAAGAACGACATCATAGAAATAATGGGAAAGAAGAAATTTAAACATTTAAATTATAATAACAAATGTCTATTAAAGACTGATACAAGGTGAGCCAAACATTAAAAACAAAGAATATGAGAGATGGCATATAAAATAACAGAAAGTTGCCACCAAACATTCTCTTTACTGCTGTTTTAAATGATCACATCTACTAAAATAATTGGTGGAGAGGGGGTGAAATTTATATGATTAACTCTGGATGCTGTGTACATAAGTCACAGACCTAAAATTAAAAACCCTATGTCGACATTACACAGTGTTATGTTCACTATAATTAACGTTGTAAAGAATAATTATATCATGGCCTGAGATAGAGCTGTAAGATTGTACATGTGTAATGAGGAAAAAGTACAATTATTCTGTAACACAAAAATTATTCAATATCAACTATTCAACTGAGCCCCAATTAAAGGAGTCTATTGTACTCTTAACTTCTTACTTTATCAAATTAATTCTAGGAAATGAACACTAAATATAAGGATCTGTGAATCTTTGCCAACAGTACATTCTGGAAAAACCTTCAAAAATTGTTATTGTTATTGAGCACTTTTGATACTGAAATTAGTATGTTGAAACATACAGAGGTAGTTTGACTAAAGAGTAAAGGCTGACTTGAAATTAAGCCATTGCTTATAATTTACATTTTTTTTGGCCACAGAAACTTCAGTAATTGTCCAGTAACCCACTTCATAAATATCTGCCTCTTCAATGCATAATTTTCTTCTATGCTATAAAGACAAAGTGAATATAGAATAACTAATAAAATCCCTTACTTCTTCTGACCCCTACTAAGAGTATCTAATTGGATTTTTCTCTTTAATTCCTTTTCACAAGGTGTGAGATAGTCAGTTTTCACTTGCTCAGCATGAGCATCTCTGTTTCTAATCTTGCATCTAAGAGACAATGGATCATTAGCTAATGACTATAGTTGACTGTGATATTCACTATAGAACAATGTAGGAAAATGAGGCTAATGACTACAAACAGAAAATGATAAAAAGACTATATCCTTAATAAATATACAGTACAAAACACTTAGAAGAATGAAGTTATGTAGATTCAAGTAGTATAAACATGCATGAAACAGCCTTATTAATATTAATAGTCAATGAAAAGTTGACATATAAAACCAACATGGATTAAGTCATATTCAGAAGAGAGGATTTCAAGAAAACATTCAAAGCATGAATTCATTTAAAAAATAGGCCCTTTAAAGTATATGCATACTTAAAAGTCAAAATGAGGAAATAAAAATGAATATGTTTCGCTGTTTTTTAGAGGTTAGAGTTCTTGAACTTTGTATTTGGATGATTACATATAATTTGATATAAACTGGTGGAAAAACAGTTCCTTTTGAGAACTTCTCCAAAATATACATGCACGCAATTCAATAAGGGAAGCAGATGAAACAATCAGGTCCCTGCTTTATGTCGAAGTGACTAGTGTGATTCAGGAATATGAACTGTATTTTTTTTTTTTTTTTTTTGAGACGGAGTCTCGCTCTGTAGCCCAGGCTGGAGTGCAGTGGCGGGATCTCGGCTCACTGCAAGCTCCGCCTCCCGGGTTCACACCATTCTCCTGCCTCAGCCTCCCAAGTAGCTGGGACTACAGGCGCCCGCCACTACGCCCGACTAATTTTTTGTATTTTTAGTAGAGACGGGGTTTCACCGTTTTAGCCGGGATGGTCTCGATCTCCTGACCTCGTGATCCGCCCGCCTCGGCCTCCCAAAGTGCTGGGATTACAGGCGTGAGCCACCGCGCCCGGCCGAACTGTATTTTTTTTTTAAGCACAGAGGGAGCTTGTTCATATGAATGTTATTCAATCTTGTGAGACTTCTTTTTCACTTTTTTTCTATTATTTATGTACTTCCTTTACTCAGACACTATTAGAAAGTGTATTTTGTATATTTGCTATTCCTTGTTGCAATGTGTAACTTTGAGATTCTATCACAAATCTGGTGGGTATAACTCTCCTGCAGTCATGCTTTGTGTGTCTGTGTTAGTGTTTTAAATCTTATTTGGCATCCTAAGGCACTTTTCTTTGTTTGTATTCTTAACTGCTCACATTCACACATATATTGCTTTTCATCTACATGAAACTTGACAGTTATAGTGAACTGGTATACACAGTATGAAAATTGAAGAAAACCCAATGTAGCTTATCTACACTCATAATTGAGACTTATTTATATGCCTTGCCATATTAAGAAAAAAATAATTTTATATCTAGAACATGGTATATACCTTACTTACTTGCTCCACGGAGGACCCATGGTAGGAACAAGGGACAAATAATTTTAAATATCAGATTTACAAGAGAATCTAAAGATGGTGAATCAAATTTTGCTTATTTTGGCAATGAGAAAATAGACCCTTCTGAATTCTTAAATGCAGACATTGCAAATGAGAAGATCCTGTTGGAATGCCACCTAATTTACTCTGAACTACAAGCATATAGTATAGTAAAACCAATTAGAATAGGTAAATAGATAAAAAGAAAAGATACAAAGATAGATATATAGGCCTGGTGCGGTGGCTCATGCCTATAACCCCAGCTCTTTGGGAGGCTGAGGCAGGCAGATCACTTGAGGTCAGAAGTTCGAGACCATCCTGATCAACATGGCGAAACTCCGTCTCTACCAAAAATACAAAAATTAGCCAGGCATGGTGGCACGTGACTGTAATCCCAGCTACTCTGGAGGCTGAGGCACCTGGGAGGCAGAGGTTGCAGTGAGTTGAGATCATGCCCCCTGTACTCCAGCCTGGGTGACAGAGTGAAACTCTGTCAAAAAAAAAGAAGATAGATATATAGATGATAGATAGATAGATACATAGATGGATACATAGAGACAAACAGCATATAAATATCGAGTTTGTTCTCTCTAATTTTGAATGAAGCATGCACATCAATATTGAATAAAATAAAATATCAATATTGACTAGCATGGGGTTCTTGGAAAAGAAGATTAACCAAAATTGATTACTGACTCCAGCCTCTTCTATCCACATTGTGGGTATGAAAGAGCATGGATAAAGAGAGAAGTTATGCTTCAAGTATTTCTCTGGGGAGCGCTGTGTTGCAAGGGCCTACACTCTAGTGGAACAAAGTGGCATAACTTTCTCGTAACTCAGGAGAAGAAAAAAGTTTGATAAATCTTTGCTGCATTCAGAAGGACTCAGCAGATTTGTTTCTGCCTCTCACCTGGGAAATCTAGAGAGACAGGAAACAAGAGATACGGAGTGGCTACTTGATTTGGCAGCTGAGCGGAGAAGAATGCTGTTGTTGAAAATGGCTCACTCCTAGAGTATGAATATCTCTTATAAATCAAATTGTATTTTAAACACCAGACAAGCCCCGAGAATACAAAGCCAGCTTATGCAGTATAAGGCGACAACTTTTCTGTTTCCCTAAACTCACCTCCGTCCAGCCATTTAATATTACTGTGGTCAAGGACCTTAGCTAAATTTAAAACAGAGGTGAAAATATAAGGGAGACATAACACCACTGTGTCCTGCCAGAGGCCAGCAAGCAGCAAGTTGCGAAAGAGAAAGGGAAGATCTCATTTTATATCAGGTGTGATGTTTAGATTAGTTTGAGAACTAGAAAACAACTAGAAGCACGTAATCACTGAATTGAAAAGGTTTTTTTTTTTTTTCCATGTAACTATAAGACCTTTTATAATAAAAGTAAGCCAAAAAGCATAGGAATGCTTTTGGAGGAATGCTTTTTGGAGTTCTCAGCAGAGCATAGAGGTGGTACTTTATCGTTGAACAAATTTTTAAAAGACAATGGAAGAGAAAAGATGCTTTCTGATTATATCCATGAATGCTGGTTTCTCAAGGCATGGCATACAAACCGTTTGTACTTTCAACAACAAAAATGTAAAGATATGAATGTTTGGAGGATATAAAATTTGAAGGAGTCCATTAGACTCAAGTGTGTAGTGAAAGAACATTGTTTTATAGCTCAAATTTTATCTCCAACTCAGCCTTAGTTCTCTAAATGGTGGACAACATATTTGAGTCAATTTAATGTGCTTTCTCACTGCAAATTCAGGATACGTAATTCAGTCTTTTAAAAGTAAATAGTGATTTCACAATTCTTTCTCCTTTTTCTGCCTTTCTCACTGGGCTGATTTCTGTTCCCAGGGATTGAAGAGAGAGTTGGTGGGTTCTAGTTGGCTTTTGATGAGGTATAGCTCACTTTATCTCATCTTTGGGTGTCTGCCCCTTGGCATTTCCAGTGACCAGCTTTGAAAATTTTGTGTTCATTTCTTTAGTGTTACAAGTCCCCTTCAGGACTGTGAGTTCACTAGTTCACTCCCAGTCAATCTCCACACCACATTCTAGGAGATGCAGGGATTCTTTGAGTACGCCCCTCTCCATGCCAGGGTCACATAGAGTAGGGATTGCAAGGACAGCTCTTTGGGCCCCCTGCCCACCTTCCAGTACTATCCTACAGTGTGAACAAGATATTTTTGAAAGGAGGTATCCATAGCTTTTGCTTTGGTTTGAATATATAATGAGACAGCCAAGTAAAAAGGACCCCCTGGAGAACCTCCAATCTGGCCTGCACACTGGGAGAATGGGGTGGAGCCACAGAAGTTTGTCCTGTTTGCAGAGGGGAGGAGCCTGGTCTCTTGAGTTCCTGTGCGGTGGGTCAGGAGCTGGTTAACAGGCTTCCCCCTCACTCTGCTGAAAGTTTTTCTCTTTTTCCTTTTTTGCCCAATAAGTTTTGTTTTTCCCACCCTTCTATGTGTCCGAGAGCCTACTCTTTCCTGGTCATGTGACAAAAATCTGGTTTTTAGTTGAACTCAGGAGAAAGTCCTGCAACAAAATGTCCCTCCAAAGTTCATACTTTGGATACCCAATGTGCTTGTAGTAAGAGGTGAGGTCTTTAGTGATGTGATTCAGTCATGATGGCTCCACCCTCATTAATGAATTAGTCCTTTTATGAAAGAGATTGAAGGGAGTGCCAAAGTGCCTTTTGCCCTTCAACCATGTTAGGACACAGCAACAAGGAGCTATTCTGGAAGCAGAGCGCAGCCCTTACTAGATCCTAAATCTGCTGGCAGTTTGAGTTGGACTTCTCAGCCCCCAGAACTGTGAGAAATAAATTTCTGTTCTTTACAAATTACCAAGTTTAAGGTATTTTGTAATAGCAGGGCAAATAAACTAAGACAGCTTTCATCTGCAAGTTCTAGGTAGAAAGCTGGACACAGGCCTCTAAACTATCTAGGTTCTCCTTGCATAAAACCTGAGGTTTCATTCCAAGAATGGGATAAAATAAAAAGCTTTATTATTATGTGATGACAATAAGGACACTCTAGGTATTATTTAACTGCTTCTCATCAAACACAAATATGAAATACATGGAAATAATTTCTGAATAATAGATAACATGAAATTATTATATTTTAAAATAGCAAAATAGTAAAAAGTCTTGCAAGTCATGTGATATTTGAACATATATTATTTTGTGTAATGGAAGTATGGCATCAAGGAATTTAAACTGTGCTACACACCATAATAGATGTATAAATTCATTGATATACACACGTATAGTATTACTTTAGGATAATATGCCTTACTGAGTTATCATTTCTTTCTGCCTACAGGTAGGAAGCCCTAAGATGATTCACAAGTCCTAAGATGTATGTGTATATACACATACACACATACATATATCACAAACATCATATATGTATGAAAGTGATTTGCCATTATGACAGTCACCAATGAAATTGATCAAATTTAATAAAACTAAAACTCCGTCACTCAGATATAAACAATTAGCCTGGGTACCATAGTGAGACCCTGTCTTTACAAAAAATAAAAAAATTAGCCAGATACAGTGGTGCACGCCTATAGTCCCAGATACTTAGGAAGCAAAGGTGTAAGGTTTGCTCAAGCCCAGGATATCAAGGCTGCAGAGAGCCATGATCAGGCCAATGCACTCCAGCCTGTCCAACAGAGTGAAATCCTGTCTCAAAAATATATATATACAAATAATTGAAATATTACAGTAAAAACAAGAAAAAATGCAATCGCAAAATTGACATTTTATTCAGAAGGGAATTTTTTTTTCAGTTACAAACAACATAAAACATTAGGTCACAAATAAAGAAACATAGACAGTAATTGTGTTTTGTTTATGTGCATATGTGTGTCATCACTTTTGTACATATATATACAATTACTGCATATTTTACATATAAGCATGGCCTTCTATATTACAGTGAATGTGTCCCTATCCTTAGCAATGTGTCCCTGTCCTCTGTTACTGGGGTCTCTCACTTTCTCCACCTCTCTTTCTTCTCACTATCCAGTGGTTCATTATCTTCTCCTCCCTAATCCTAGCGAATACATAGCTGCCTTTGCCTAGTTTCTTTGTTTAAACTTGAAAGCATGGATGTGGATAAACTGATATCAATATGGGTAACTGACAAGGAAGTCTTGGAGAGGGGAAGGTGAGATACAGGGGAAAACATGGTCAACAATATCTCTCCAATCCATTCTCTCAATTTGAGAGGTTACATGTCCTGGGGAAAGAAAAAAGAAAGGTGATTTGCTGAAACCTCCTTGTAAACATGCTAACTGCTAGCAACAGACTTCTTGGCAAACATATAATGATACTTACTAACAGAGACTATCTATGGAATGCCCTAGGTTTGTCTAAGATTGCGTATGGTAAGCAAGCACAGAATAGGAAGATGTATAGGCATGGCTCCCTGGAAAATGTCATGTGAGCTATGTAACTGAGTATAAAATAAAGATATTTCAGGAATGAAACGTCTCCATTTTGTGTATGTAATCCAGCCACATACATCACTTAGAATCCTAAGATATTGTTCTGGACAGAGCATGTCCTAATGTGACAATAAAAGACTCACGGAGATGTGATGATACTCTCAAGCCTCTCTTTATTTTGCATGTGGTAGTTATTTGTATCCTTGAAATGATTAGGGAAGGTTAGTTCTGGGTAAGATCTCTGATTCACGTGAGTCTAACTTGATAAGTTGGTCCTTTCTGTTATCTAGATACATAACTCACTTTCATTCCCAAATAAAGTATTACACAATTTGACTTCTGTGCATAAAACATGGTGGGAATAAAAGCATTGTATTGTTGATTTAACTATTTTGATTACTTCAAGTGAATAAAGGAGCTTACAAAGTTTAGCAAAAATTGGGGGGAAAGGTGCTTTGTGGAACATCTATTATGAAGCAATTGTGGTACTCAATAATTTTTGCTTTTTGGGTTCCCTCCCCCCGAATTATATTTGAGAAATGTTAGACCTACTGAAAAGTTAATAGAATAGTCAATGAACACATATACAGTCAACACTTAGATTCACTAATTTTTAAATGTTTTAAATGTTCGTTTTGTCTCTATATAAAAATATATACTTTATTTTGATAATCCTTTTAAAAGTTGAAGATTTTATGATGCTGAACCTCTAAATATTTTAGAATGTATTTCTCAAAGCTATTGTTTTATATAGCCTCACTATTATTATTATACCATAGGACATGAACATTTATATAAAATTTTATCAAATACAGTCTACATTCAAATTTTCCCGAATTTACCAATAATATGCTTACAATTGATCTTAGTTTCCACTAGAAAATTTTGATCACTCTCTCACTTGTGGGTGACAGATATCTAATTCAAACAAACTCAAGTACAAAAAAGAAATGTATTGGCCTATGTAACCCTGAGAAAATAGGGTTAGATTTCAGAGAGAGTTCTAAGGGCTCGGTACCATCAAGTCTCTCCATCTCTTTCTCTTTCTCTCTCTTCCACTTCAGCTTTTCACTTACTCTCTCTTCTATTTCTTTCATTATTGAGCAAGATCTCTTTATATTGTGTAAGTACTGCTTACATCATTCTTACAGTTTGGAGTTCAAAAGAAAAGAATGCTTCTTATTTAAGAACTGTAGCAATCATCTCAAGGATTGATTTTCACTGGTGAAGTCTACTTTGGAGTTATAGACTCATTTCTGAAAAGAATCATATTATTCAGGCCTAGAGCACAGGTCTGCTCTTTGAGTCAAGTATAAAGTTGATTCAGCCTAAAGCATGAGATGGAGAAGGGAAATGAATGGTTGTTCAAAAGGGGAAAATTTCAGATCAATTAAAAGTAATGGAAACTATCAGTACAACCTGGTGCTGAGAATGTAAAGAGGAATATATGTTCCAGGACAAGAAGCTTACTCTGTAGTAGGGGAGACAAACATAAATAAATGCACATAATATTGCATACCAAGTATCACAAAAAAGATGTAATTCAAAGTGAAGTCAAAGCACAAAACTTTTTATTTTGACATTTTCAATCCAAGATATCTACCTTTTTGTATAGAATAAATAAAATATTTTTCTGCCTTTCATTAGAATAAATTATAACTGTAAAATTATTATTTATTTTGGTTTGGCAATTGCTCTTGATATTAAGTGGCTGAAAACTCCAGAATAGGCCGCCTCAAGGTTAAAGGGTAGAGTCCATTATTTCAGTTCTACTTTTGAACACATTTCTTCCAGCCATTCTACTACGTATTGGAATAAAAGATGGTCCTTGCTCTCAAGAAGCTTAAAGTTCAGCAAGACTGCAATAGAAAATGGCCTCAGTTGTGATGCCTTTCCTTATTTATGTGTGCCGAGGGCTTATTCTTCTACTTGACTTCACCTATTTCTCATTTCCTGCTGATGCCCCGCATGCTCTTGGGACATATTTTGCTCTGATTTCTATGTGATATGAATTTTTCTGGTTCCTGTCTATCTAACTAAATTCTGGTCCCCTCACTTTTCTGACCCCAATTCTTCATGTTCACACATTGCTTTGCTTCCCCAAACCCAATAAATGTTTCTTTTAACTCATTGAAATGAATATCTTTGTGAGAAAATGTTTTTAACATACCAGTGGTGAAAGTGAAAACTAGTTCATCAAAGCAGAACTGATAATATAAATGTCTTATTTTACACCTCTAGAGCAAAGACAAGTCCAAAAGTAATATTATAATGTCCTGAAACGTTAATTATGATGTCTTGTGCATGTTAGCCAATTCATTTTAGTTATAAACTGTTTTCCTGACCAAATGTTGACTGATAAATTCATTATTTTAAAACGTCAGTTTAAAATATAATTTAAATATAATTTTTAAAGTTTTTATTATTAGGAATAGCATTGTTTGGCCAGGTGTGGTGGCTCATGCCTGTAATTCCCACACTTTGGGAGGCCAAGGTGAGCAGATCATCTGAGGTCAGGAGTTCAGGACTAGCCTGGCCAACATGGTGAAAGAAACCCTGTCTCTACTAAAAAAATACAAAAATTAGCTGGCCGTGGTGGTGGGCACCTATAATCCCAGCTATTCGGGAGGCTGAGGCAGTAGAATCACTTGAACTCAGGAGGCGGAGGTTGCAGTGAGCCAAGATCGTGCCACTGCACTCCATCCTGGGTGACAGTGAGGCTCCGTCCCAAAAAAAAAAAAAAAGAAAAAGTATCTTTGTTATGGTCTCTTATTATTTATAATTTGTTTCCAATTTTTGCAAAGTCGAAAAACAAAAAATATAACTTGTTTTAATTTACAACTATTTGATTATTAGTGGCAGTGAACCTTTATAGATGTATTGATTACACATCCTGATTTCTTCTTACATTAACTATTTATTGTGTTTTTGCCTAAAGCATATATTGAGAGGATAGGGCTCATTGTACCAACTTATATCTATACTGAATAATATATAAATACTAATCTGTTGTCTAACATAGCTATAATACAATTTCTTCATTTTACTGTTTTGATGTTTAAATGTATCGTTTTGTTTGTTTTTTAAACATAAACATAAATTTGTTGAGAAATGTATTCACTTATACCTGATTCATCTCTGTATCACAATATGCAACTTATATAAAGTAAACTGATATTTCTGTATCAAGCAAAAATATGTGCATATATGTGTAAGCATCTCAGCAAATAATAAAAATAAATTGTTATACACTAAAGCAAAAATGGTTGGGTTTACTGTAAACACACCTAATGTCAGACGGTAGATAAGAAGAACAGCCCAATGGTTCAGGATGACAGAGATATTAATAATTTATCTCTATTTCTCATCCACCACTAACTTGTCTCATTTGTATTTTGGTCTATGTGAAGAACAAGATGTCTGCTGAATGTAAACAGTCTCATCATTCTTTAAAAAATTCACCCTCATTAGAGTGTTGGGTTGACATTTCTTTCAAAAGCCTTTTAAATTATCCTCATTGTATCTTTAGTCATTAAAACCACTTCACCACAATTGCCACCTAATACTCTTAAATTTGACACTGTTATCTATATTAATGAATGTTAATCCTTTAGGTGGATAATTTATCTGTGGTTGTTTTCTTCCTGCCAATTCAGCCATGAAGTTTTATAAACAGAGCTGTAAAACAGTAAGAGAACAAGAAGGCTTGACAACTGCCTTGCGATTTCTAAGAACCTAGTGTAGTGCTTCCCTTTTTACACCTGGTGGCACATTTAATCTATATGTATAAACACTGGCAAACAAAATAATCTTTTTCCATAAAATTGAAGGAAAGGTTTGTATTGTTGAATAAATTAATGTTGGCCTTAGACTGGCTTCTATCCAATTTAGCTTCATGGCGAGTAGACACTGCAGAATCAACTTTCCTATCTAATACTATATATTCTAAGTGTGAAAGAGAAGAGGAGACTAAGTTTGGAAGAATTCTATTAAGTTCAAAATTTAACTGAATAAGAAGAGAAAGATGAGAAAACTCTATATTGGAGAAAAATAATAATGGTAGGAACGCACACTCGGATATACAGCTACACAAGTTTCTCAGGTGAAGCTGTAGACTAAGAGAGTATAGAGGGAAAGAATTCTGCTGAATAGGTGAGCCCTGGGATGATAAAAGCTAGAGATGAGTAGCCTATCCAAAGTTGAAAGAATCTTCTCAAACATCAGTCATCGCATAACAGCTTATTCTCTGGGCTAAATTGACACATAATCCTTACTGAACATAATATACATGGAAGATACCTATAACTATAATCCTCCATTTGAAAATGAAAAAGTCCCATTTTTCATACATAAACACAAGCTTGGAGTAATGCCACAGAGCAATTTCTCCAGCAGGCTTTGTAGAGCAGCCTTTGAAAATCCATTCAGTAATAACTAATGTTTTTAGAAACCCAAATTTGCATCAAAGGCAACATTTGTTTACTATAAACTCTCCTCATGATACACTCTTAGCTGTCACCATCTTTGCTGTCAAAGAATCTTTGAAGTGCCAATTGTTAACAGCCAGGAGCTTTCAGGCTTTGGAAATTTGCTATAGTGTTTCTTATCAACTCTGTTCTTTCTAAAAGATCAAACGACCTATTCACATACAGCACTCATATACTGAAGATATTTAAAAATTTATTTAGCTTGTTACTGGTTTATTTCACCACTCATATCTAATACCAGGGATGGCTGAAACATTATTTACGTAAACATATTGCACACTTTTTTCACAGAATGAACATGAAAAACTGGAAACTATTTTAAGGACAAAAATTTTACATCTTGTCTTTTGGAGAAAAAACATAAATGGAACTCATAGGCAAAGCAAGGAGAGACAAGCAATTGAACTTAACTCTGATTTGGAGTGGCGTTTAAAAATTGTAAAAATAGTATCCATTTAAAAAACACAAAATAAAACTTGAAATTACTTTCACTTATTAAGATGCAATCAAGGTTTTGGTAGCTTTTATTTGAATGTCATTCGAGATACGTCACCTCTAAAACTGCATAAGATCACTAAATGGGTTTCTGCACAGATTTTAAGCACATGCTCAAGTTCATTTCCAAACACAGATTTTGGCTTTACAATACTGACAGGAAATGTGGCTTTCGTGGTTTCCTGTAGGTTGTTCAAACTATGAACTGTTCCAGGAGTTACCATATGTGTTCACATCTCTCTCTAATCCAGTTTTGAAGGACAAACTAAATCTAATGTGGAACCTCTGAATACAAGTTTGCAGTGCCTCAGAAAAATAATTAAAAAAAATTAACTGAGTGGAACTTATTATAGCTTCCAAAGCCAGAGAGCTAGAGGTAGAGGAAGAAAAGAGAGAGAAAGAGAGGAGAGAGAAAGAGAAAAACAGAAAGTCTTAAATTCTTGTTTTCCTGGATTAATAACAATGAAATTGTGAGACTAGAGGAGTTTAGAAAAAGTAGCAAATAACCTAATGCAATAATGGAGCAGCAGCAACCAATATTGACTATACTTTTCTTTCTTTAATAAATGCTAGATCATATTACCTGGGTATAAAGTGAAACTCACTTGTTTTACATCAATGATCTTATATCCTTATGTGGAAACCAAAGCTGAAGGAATATGAAACATATTTTAATTTTATGCTTTGTCTGTGGAACCTAAAAAATAATCTTTTTCAAAAACAATTTCAAACATTATTCAATAAATTCCAGAATAATGAAAATTTAGAAGCTGTGTCATATATCAACTATAGAACCAGGTTAAATACAGAAAGGTCTAAATATGAATCAGCAAGACATGATTAAGCATTCTAATATGGGAAAGATACTGGCCAATAGTATTTAACACCCGCCTCCTTGCAATTTCCCTTAGATTAACAAGGCTACTGTGTTAATAATCTAAGGAGGGCAGATTAAAAGGCAGAGTGAGTCATTAATTGAGCTAAAAGAAATGTAAAACACAAGGGAACCTGTAAGACACTCTAACAGCTAATCAGCTGTTAAATTCCCAATTTCTGTGGGATGAAAAGTGCTATGCTTGCCCCTCCTTTTCTCCTTACTCTACTTCTTTGACTTTGACTCATTGCTCCTCTACCTCCTTGGTCAAAAAAATTAAACAGCAATATTAGAATTTAAAAATAGAATCACCATGAAAAAGTTTCCATGAAAATAAAAAAAACAAATGTTTTAAAAGCTTAGGAGCCATATAGAACATAGTTTCCAACAGGGCAATGGCAATCCCAGTTTTTGAAAAAGAAAAAAAAAATCATTGTCCTTATTTTCATTTAGCTCATTCTTATTTATTTTTAGGAGATCACAATAAAAGAATACAATCAATTCATAAAAATTTGACCAAATGAGTAGAAGTTAAGAATATATTCTTTGACAACCATAAGTCTGCATCTGCATTCAAATCCAGGCCTTTTGAATTTGACAGCTTTACATCTATGGTCATAGCTTTGTTTCCCCCAGAATTAAGAAAGTATCACCTACTGTTAGTCCTGAATTAAAGTTTATGTAAATAATATATTTAAGTACGTTGTGTTAGGCTGTATCTTATTTTTGCAAATATTCGTTGCCCCTACTTAAGGAGGATTTACCTTCTCTCCCTGATGACACCAGCCTGAAGACATGGATTTGCTTTCGCCTGTAGTAACTGGTTACAAGTTTCATGTGTAGCACCTGTGGGCAGAAGTTTTGAGATGCATTATGTGGTTTCTACTATATGCCTTTTCTCTCTTCTACATGATTGATAATACTCTTAACAAACGCAGACCAGAGTGAAGGTGAAGCATAGCAGAGTTATAGCCAACCTTCACTGGACATGTGGCATGAGCGAGAAATAAACATTTGACTGTGGAAGACCATGAAATTTTAGAGTTCCAGAAGTTACCATATGTGTTGGCAATGCTCTCTAATCCAGTTTTGAAGGACAAACTGAACCTAATGTGAAGCTTCAATATGAGATGGTAGTGTCTCTTAAAAATAAAATTTAAAAATTAAATAAATTCGATGAAGCTTATTGTAGACTCCAAAGCTGCAGAGAGATAGAGGTAGAGACAGACAGAGGGAGAAAAAGAAACAACATAAGATAGTCTCTTCTGAAAGATATAAGCACAGTGCTGTTGCACAGTAAGCATGGTAACTATAATTAGTAATAAGAAGAAACTTCAATAATCAAAGTATTTTTTCCTTTGATATTTCATGAGAAGAAAGTATATTTAACATAAAAAGGTGTTATCTAGATGGCAAAAACCTATTAAAAACAAATAAAAATTAATTATATGCTGTATGTTAAATTCAGCATGGATTAATCCTAATACCAGATTAATTAATGAATCCTAATTAATTAATCCTAATACCTAATACCAATTTCGTAGCTATATAGGACTTACCATTTAATTTTAAATACGTCACCTACCTCATTTTAGCAACAGGGAAACTGACACCCTGTGAGCAGAGGGATTTTGCTAATATCACCTAGCCCTTAAAAAACAGACCTGGCCAGGTACAGTGGCTCACACCTGTAGTCCCAGCACTTTGGGAGGCCGAGGTGGGAGGATCACTTGACCCCAGGATTTAAGATCAGCCTGGGCAATATAATGAGACCCTGTCTCTACAAAAAATGAAAAACTAGCAGGGCATGGTGGTGCATTCCTGTGGTCCCAGATACTCGGGAGGTTGAGGCAATAGGATCGCTTGAGCATGGAGGGTCAAGTCCACAGTCAGTCGAGATCGTGCCACTGCACTTCAGCCTGGGCAACAGAGTGAGACCCTGTCTCTAAAACAAACAGAAAAAAAAAAAAAAGCACAGATCTAGAATCCTAGTCAAATTACTCTTAGTTGCAAACAATTAGCACTAACCTACAACTGAAAAATAGCACTGTCCATATATTTGATAGAGAGAGGAGAGAGAGGCATCCAATACTACAAATTTATGAATCATTAAAAGAAGGTTAATTTTTAAAACTACTTTCTAAGGAAGGAGAGTAGGCAACATTTTAGAATGACATAGTTTATATATATATAGTTTATATTTTTTCAATGTGCTTTCATAATATGACACAACATACAGATAGATAACCATGTATGTGAGGAAATTAGTTGCAAAATAAGTAGATTAGGCATTTCATTTTTCTGTGTGGATGAAACCAAAAGCACCTCAATGAAGTCTTTGAGGAGAACCTGGAACAGCTTGTTTTAGAATTATTATTTCACCAAAAATTTTTAGAAAGTCAGAAAATGTACATAAATTATCTATTTAATGGCAACAGAAAACTAAAGTATACCAAAGACTAGAAGACTTAAAATTTTATTACAGAAGAGTAATAGAGATGGCAGGGTGATTACAGCCAATTCTGTGGGGTGTAGGTGTGGATTTCATGCCTGACCAAAAGAGTAAGAATTCAGATGGCATGAAAATGGGCAAGTCCAGAGATAAACTGGCAGAGCTGGAGTAACCAAATAGAAATAGAATAACCAAATAAAGGAACCAAATAGAAAACTTGATGAGCCTCAAACTCAGGCCACCTTTCCCCCACATATGAGGTATTTATAGTAGTAAAATTCATAGAAATAGCGGTTGCCAGGGGCTGGAATTGAGGGGTAAATAAGTATAAAATTTAAGTTATGCTAGATGAGTAAATTCTAAAGATCTGTTATACAACATAGTGCCTGTAGTTAACAATACATTGTTGGGCTGAGGCTCAGAAACTGACACCCCAAAAACAGGGCACTTTTGAATTGCTGAACTGAAGAAGCCTCTCGTGGTCTCTTTGACCTTCCCCCTCCCACACACTTTACCCCACCTTCTCTTAACCCTCTATCCCTCCAAAGCACGAGATAAAGTTGTTCTCTGAGTTCCCTTATCTGCCCAAAGTATGAACACACAAAAGAAGAGAATAATCACCTCTGGTTCCTTCCTTGAGCTTTTAATAACTGAACTCATATTGCATGAAGAAAGACAAATCTGTCAACACACCTGGACAGACTATTGTCACAAACCATTGTCTGTTATGTGCGTCCAACAGACTTTGTCCCAGGCCACTGTGCATCCAAGCCCATTGAGTCCCCTAAATATAATTTACTACTCCCTTGAAATAATTTGCACTTCCCCATCTCTCTTCCTCCTAAAAAGAAGTGGATATAAGCCATCTGTACCCTATTGCACAGTGGAGTAATTGCTCTGTGATTTTCCCCCATTCACATTAATTAATTTGTATGTCTTTTATTAATCTCTTTTTTGTGAGTTGATTTTTCAGGGAAACTAAAGTGGGTGAAGGGGAAGTGTTCCCTTGGCCCCTACGGTTTTGGCACAACCAGCAGCCTACCAAAGACGCTCTGCTCTTCAGGAAGCCACAGTAAAGGGAACCCAGGACCTGACAAGTGAGCAGGTAAGAGATTCTTACCAGCCAGGCTTTCAGCCTCTCTGTCTGCGGAATCCAGTCATGCAGAAGGTAAATATCACTGTCTCTCTTTGCTAAATTTTGATTAATGGGAGAAGAGAATTCATGTGACTAGTTTTTGAGAAGAGAATTCATGTGACTAGTTTTGGGTATAGCAACCCTGATATACTTTTTGATCTGAATCGTCATACTGTTTGATCCCTTTTCTGCCAGAAATAGTATTTTCCCTTGTCTGTGTTTTCTGTCATAAAGAGGGGTAGCACAGAGTAGAACAAGGGCCTAAAACTTCTACAAACCTGACATTCAAGTTGGTTTTGCAGACCAGTCAGTTTTGAGATTCTGATCAGACAAGTGTCTATAAACTTTACTATGGGTTCCCAAAATATAACCGGATGAGGTTACCTTCTGTCTTGTTTCATGTCTTTAAGAGCTTGACTTATGACCAAATTGAAGCACTCTCTCCTGGTCTCTACCATCTGAGGGATATAATTTTCAGATTACTTCTGGTGGCCAGTCTGAAATGGCTGGAAACCCCGAGGCACATAAAATTTTAGGCAGCATACTGTTTGTTCCAAAGGTGTCAGGCTGTCAGGGAAATTTGTCTTAATGAAAAGTCTCATCCCTATAGGACTTTCGTCATCTCAACCCCTTTGTTGCCTGGTTAGTCCTGAGAAGCTCCAATCCCAGGAGAGCCTATCTGGTGTCATAGATTAACATGTCTGTGACTGGCGACCCTTCACACATTTGTGGGATAACAAAGGCACTGTGTGCTCAAACATTATCCTTAACTGTCTGTGACAACAAGAGTATTTTGCTATTTTAATCTACTCCTGAGAGTGAGTTTTTTGACGGAGAGGATCACTGGAACTGCCTCTTCTATTCTCTATCCAGATAATACCTCTTGCTAAGATAAAAAGTTATTCTAAACATGAAAAATTACCTGCTGGGCTTTCCATGAACAGGTTTATGGAATTGGGTCCCTCCTGGAATAAGTACACCATTGGAAATTATTTGTGTGACTCTTGAATTCCTGGGGGGGTACCCATTAGTTATTGATAACTTTTCTCTTTCATGGCCAGCTTTTGACTTCTTTCATATTTGGGCCATATGGGAATTTTGGGCTTTTGTTTGTAGATGGTTGGCTAAGAAGCTGAGATTCTAGAGACTATGGAAACATTCGTTTCTTTAAGCTGTTTTGGGGTCGTTATAAATCTTGCAAGCACTGCTCTGCATCTCTTTGGAGATATCTAGTATGTCCTTGTTTAAGTCATAACCTTGGTTAAAGGCTTATTGGCTTTGGTAAGTCACTTAGAAAGGTATCTTTGATTTAAAAGAAAGAAAGAAACAGTTTAAAAGGCAGCAATATTGGCTGTTTGTCCTGATTGAAATCTGATAAGAGATTCGCAAAGATTTTTTTAATAGCTGTATGGCCAGAAGTCAGCTTAACTAAAAGCTGACAATGTCAGGTTATAATCATTTTTTTTGAAAAAAAATTCTTTATTATTTTTTTTTTCTCTTTTGGATCCTGATTTTGGGAAATTTTTTTCAGTCAATTGTGACACTTTTTAATTATGTGTTTGGTCCCTCTGTTCATTTTCTTCCTTGTCGGTACAATTTTGCTGAAGAAAAAATGCAACACTTCCTTGACCCCTTTGGAAAACCTATAGTCTTCTGAAAATGGCTCCTCTAAGATTTGTACTCGCCTTTACTTCTGCTCCTCCTTCCTCTTTGCCATCTTCAATATCATGTAAAGACATCTAGAAGAGTTATCTAGAACCGCTGAGACCCTTCAGGAACACAGAAAAAAGCATTGAACACACTCTTTTTGGGATATTTTGGATTACTTTTGGAGTCTGAAGAGACATGGGCAGTTTTCTGTCAGGTCTAAAGCTTTGCTCTCTTTCACATTAAACTATGTGATCTCTTTGACTTTGGAGAGTACCAGGGATTACTTAATACTGTGAGAGAACAGGATCTTTGGGTGTGTAATAGCTGGCAAGTTACTAGAGAAGGTTATAAGGTTATATAGTTTCTGAGATGACTGACAGTGCAGTGGATGGTTGTGACTGCAAGGGGCTACTTATTTCTTTGGGCTTGGAGATAAGAAACGTGTGGCTTAAATATCTGGAGGCTATGGGAACACTTGCTACCAAGTGATAAGACTCCCATGAGGGAAGTCTGATCACAGAGTGGGCTGATTGGCATTGTATCATCCACCATCATCAGGAAAATGCCCAGGTGGTTAGGTGCACTGTGGAAGCATTGCACAGCCACTCCCATGGCATTTATCTCCTTTTGGGCACCTGGGATTCAGTGTAAAAGTTGAAAGAGGCCGGGCATGGTGGCTCACGCCTGTAATCCCAGCACTTTGGGAGGCCAAGGTGGGTGATCACGAGGTCAGGAGTTCAAGACCAGCCTGGCCAAGATGGTGAAACCCTGTCTCTACTAAAAATACAAAAATTTAGCCATGCGTGGTGGCGGGTGTCTGTAATCCCAGCTACTCGGGAGGCTGAGGCAGGAGAATTGCTTGAACCCAGGAGGCAGAGGTTGCAGTGAGCCAAGATCGCACCACTGCCCTCCAGCCTGGGCGACAGAGTGAGACTCTGTCTCAAAAAAAAAAAAAGGTTGGAATCTTGATTTTTGAAAATCTAGATGTTCTGTCTTCCAGCTATACCTACTTTTTACATATTTAAATGTTAGGCCCTGAAAACTGCAAATATTTTATTGGTCCTATTTATTAATGGGTTCATCCTGAACTCAGTGGTCTAATTGAGAAAAAGAGCCAAAATGAGAAGCTACCTATCCAAATGAAACTGATCTCCTTATACAAACCTGTGGTGAATTCTTATGATTTGTATTACTTTGGCAATTATTCTTAGTCTTCCTCTAACAAACCTAAACTCCTTCTTGAAAAAGCTTAAATTCTCCCTTCTCTTTGAGATGTAAATTTGCTACACTATTTTCTCCAAAACTCGTTAAGTGCTTCAGTCATGTAGGACAGATAAACTTACTATATTTACAGAGGCACAATTTAATACAAATGTCCTTTTAAGCTAGTGAGCTTTCCCTATTTTACAGCTAAAATTTTAAAATCAAAGCTATAAGATATTTGTATCCGTCTCTATTTTTATGTATACCTGTCTACATATCTGTATTTGTATATTGTCTACATAGTATAAAATTGCCTTACAAATAAATAGTCACTCATAAGTTAAGTAAGTAAGCCTAAATGTTTTGCAAGTTCATGTGAGTTTAGTAGTCTTTGGTAAATAAAATGAGTGTTAAAATTGTTGGTGAAACAAAATAAAAATATTTTCAGAATTGGAGAAATTTTGCTTGGGTCTACTAGTTAGACAAATTTATACTATCTCTGCTAGACGTTTTAAGGTTATAAAACTTGCTTCTGTGAATTGGTGATACTTGCTTGATTTGTCTATGAACTTATGTCTTTGGTCTCGAGCCTTCAGAGTCTAAAGTCTAGTCAAGTAGCCATGGTAAGGCCTGAGGATATACGTGTGTCTACACTGCCTTAGCCCCATCCTCCTCCCTGGCCCAGCTGTGCCTCTTGGCAATGCGGGAACGGGTCAGATTTTCCAGGCATTGCCTTCAAAGCTCTGTCCTTCCTGGGCTATGCATCTAATACATAACACTTAAAATTACTTCCTTCCTATGTTTTGCACTGAAAATTAAGGTTACTAAGAGTTAACACTGTAAGTAATATATACAGTTAAAACTTCTAAATATAAGAGAAACATTTCTGTGTTTGAAATGTGTATGGAAAATACGTTGTGTTTTTGGTACAAAATATTATAAGGCAGGCATAAAATTTTTCTGTTAAAGGAAAAGTAATTTTATCTAGTTTAAAGTTTTTAAATTAAAAAAATAAAAAGGGAGTGACAGATAAAACTAAGTGAATACAGAAAGTTGGAGAAAGAGTATGGAAAGGTTTATGAAAATTTTATCTTGTGTGGTCAAAGCTGATTGAAATTTGATAGATTTCTTTATTAGTTTTTTAATAATAATGCTAGTCATAAAACAGCTGACAAGTGTTCAGCTTTTAGTCATCATGGAAATGCTAATTGAAAGAAAATATGCGACCATCATGTAGTTCATTAGAAATTGAGACAATGCCAATTTTTTTATTGATAAGGGGCGGCAATTTTTTTTCAGATACTGGTAGTAGGAGTGTGAACTGGTATAACCAATTTGGAAACTATTGATTATATTCACTAAAATTAAACATATTCATGCTTTATTATCCAGCACTTCTACCTTTAGTTATATAGCCAACAGTAATAAAGACACATACTAGAACGTTCTTAACAGCATATTTGTAATATTATAAAATGGAAAAAACCTAAATGTCCATCAATAGTAGAGCAGATAAAAATATCAACACATTTTTATAAAATAGAATATTATTCAGCAATGAGAATGGACCAACCTATAACTCCATGAACTGCATGGATGAATCCTAGAAACATAATGTTGGGCAAAGAAAACTACACATAAAAATATACACACTGATTAAAACAAGTGCTAGTACACAAGGTTAGAAATTATAATAGTCATTATCCTCAAGTGAGGGAGTAGGGGCTGGAGTGTACATGAGAGGGACTTCTGGGACACAAAAAATGTTCTTTATCTTATTCTGTGTGCTGATTAGTTTGGGGTGTACACTTTGTGTTGTATATTTATGACTTCATACATTTGTCTATGTATATAGTTAAATGAAATATCTCCTTAAAGCATTTCAATATAAATTATTTATTTATGTAGGTTAAATTTAATCTTCACTTCTTCTGATGTTTAAAGAGCATTAAAGTATCTTAATCACAAAACCATAGATCCTACAGAATAACTAGAATTTGACATATACTCATTATGAATCCACAATTAGTATATATTGTTAGCATTATAGTTACTGTAATCAGAAATATTCACCCTCAGAATTGCAAAGTATATTGACTAAATTCTGTTTTGCACTAAAATTAACATAAGTGATGACATCTATGACACCACAAATCACTGGTGAAATTAGTGGTGTTCAAGATTCATGTTTGGATAGAAACATTTTATAGACAGCCTTGTACCTATAATTGAGCTATAAGAATAAAGCAGGAGCAGCCAGTTCTCTCTCTCTGATGCATTGTTCATTTCTGTGCTGCCCCACCTCACACAGAACTCTGCAGACTTAACTAGAGTATTGGCTGATTTGTCAACAAGAATATTGTTTTGTTGGCCTCTAGTCAAATTTTATCCAAGGTATTTGTCAAAATGCTGAATAATGTGTTATAGGAACAAGTGATATGGTGGCTTATGTACTACTTTCTTGCTAATAAATATTGTACCATTGGCAGAATTTGGTCTAAAATTGACCTTTATCATAAGATATCATCTGGTAATAAGGTTATGGTTTCAGCGTCATAGAAGGTAATGATAACTGCTATAATAAATAAACCTGCAAATTCCAGTGTGTAAACACAACAGAGCTTTATTTGTAATCAAGGGCAATGGAGTTTCCATCATGATACCAACATCAAAGAAGAGGTGTGACACATTGTGCAGAAGTCTTTCAGCAGCTAGACTTAGATCAATTTAGTCTATTTTCTATTAATTAGAATATAGACGTTCGAACCCACATAGAATCAAGAACAGAAAATATTCCATGCTGGACAATACTACATACCATAAAGGCAAGCAAAGTCTCTGGTGGAAAGATATATGTCTCTGCTCTGAGATGCCCCTCTGATCTGTCTTTGTAGTCTCTCCTTCCAATGTCTATTTCTCTTTCTGTTCTCAAGAGGAAACAATTCTGAAATCCCTCTAGTTCTCCTTCCATTTCTGCAAGTACAGGTGGCCAAAATTTCTTTCAAAAATTATTAATCAAATGGTTTTATAAGATATATTTTATAGTATAATTTCTTCAAACATTTAGTAGGATTTTTATCAATTTTCTTTCTATTAAATTCATGAGCCAGCATAACTTAGAAGGTTCTTTCTGAGGCATAATTCTCAAAGCTATTCACTCCATTATTTCCCTACCACAATATCTCAGTTATTGAGATATGACTGGTGGCTATTTTGTGATTCTCTAAAATAATAGGTGGGAAAACCACATTTTAAATTTTTGCCCTAAGACTTACTGAGCCTTGTAGATCAGACATTTAATACTTATAACTTAATCTCTGTGTGTGTGTGTGTGTGTGTGTGTGTGTGTGTGAATGTACATGTGTGTTGTAATAGACTTCATTTTTTAGAAAAGTTTCAGGTTCACAGTAAAATTGAGAAGTTACAGAGATTTCCCACATATCCACTGCCCCCAAACATACATAGCCTCCCTCATTATCAATATTCCTAACAGAGTCCTCTATTGTCCCAATTGATAGAACCTACATTGCCACATCATTTTTACTCCAAAACAATAGTTTTCATTAGGGTTCACTGCCAGTGTTGTATATATTATGGGTTTGGACAAATGTATACTAACATTTATTCGTTATTACAGTATTATATAAGAATATGTTTACTGACCTAAAAATCCTCTCTGCTCTGCCTATCTTTCCCTCTTCTGACCTAAATTCTGGCAATTACTGATTATTTTCCTATCTAAGAAGATTTGACTTTTCCAGAATGACATATGTTTGGAATACTACAGTATATAGCCTTTTCTGATTGACTTCTTTCACTGAGTACTATGCATTTAAGTTTTCTCCATGTCTTCCCAGAAATCTATAGCTCATTTTTTTATTGTTGAAAAATATTCTGTTTTCTTTATGTGCCATAGTTTATTTATCTATTCACCTAGTAATGGACATCTTGGCTGCTTCCAGGTTTTGACAATTATGAATAAATATGGTATAAACATTTAAGTACAGGTTGTTGTGTGAACATAAGTTTTCAACTCCTTTGAGTAAATACCATGGAGTGAAATTGCTGGATCATATGGCATGAGCACATCTAGTTGTGTAAGGAGCTTCCATATTGTCTTCCAAAGTGGCTATAGCATTTTTCTTTCTCACCAGCAATGAATAAAAGTTCCTCTTGCTCCACATCCTTACCATTATTTGATTTATTACTTACCCATTGGAGATGAGAATTACTTAATATGATACTTTCCCATTTTGGAAGACTCTAAATTTTTTTTTTTTAATTTAGTTTGGCTTGAAAAACCATCCGATCTCCTCAAGTGAATTCCTTTTTCAAACATTTTGCTAAATGCTACCAATAACAATCAACAAACATTATTAACTTTCTGTTTTACAATCTAATCTAACAGATCTATAGACTTAGCTCACATATAGTCTGCTCCTCAAGTTACCTCATTCAGTTTCACAAAATATTTTCCAGTTGATAACATGAGACAGTGTTTGGGAATAGGAATACAATCTCATTCTGAACTCAAATTTAGAAAGAGATATACTTCTAAGTAATGTATATGTTTTTATCTTACATTTGGTGTGACTCATTACTATTCTTATATTCCTTTTGTTTTTTTGACACAGAAAGCATTGAGGCAACAATGTCTTGCCATTTATCAGGCATACAGATAAGACCACTAAACATTCACTTCAAGCACTTAGCTTACCCTTAATTTCATCTTATTTGGTTAATGAGGATTGTATCCTTATTTAAGATGCAAATTTTGGTTTTAGTTAAGGTACCTGTAACTGATGAAAAACATTTGCTCTAAAACTTCAGTGGTTTATATTTGCTCAAGAAAATTCCAGTTGGTGGCAGTAGGGAGGGTGGAGAGAAATACTATGTTCAACGCTGTTACTGAAGGGGCCAATATGGCGGAAAACCTGCCATCTTCAATGTGTCACTCTCAAATGTCACCCAGAGTTTCAATACACAATTGGTGCTAAGAAGAAGAAAGAGGGTTGGGGAATCATTTGAGTTTAGGCTTAAAAGTTGCACACTTCGGCTTACAGGTCATTGGCCCAAATGTGCTCACATAGCCCAGCAGATTCAAGAGGACAGGACATATACAGTAACTGTTCTATGGAAAGGGAGAATAAATCTTTGCTCTACAGCTGGATATTTTTTCCCAAGGCCTTGCTCACCTCTAACTCCCAGAGGTTATTGATAGCTGCCAAAAGTACCTTGAAAACGCCTCAGTAGCAAAACAAAATGAAACTGAGGGTTTCAAGCTAAGTGCTTGAAGTGCATGCTGGGTGGTCTTATCTGTGGGCCTGACAAATGGCAAGACACTGTTGCCTCAATGTTTTCTATGTCATAAGACAAAAGAAATATAAGAGCAGTAATGAGTCATGCCAAATATAAGATAAAAATCTAGACACTGCTTAGAAGTACATATCTTTCTAAATCTGAGTTCAGAATGAGATTTTATCATAAGACTTTATTAAAAATGTTTCTACAATAAATAGGAACTTCACTATATTTTTTATAGTGTCTCCAGTGTGGCCTTGCTATATAAAAGCATTAATAAGATAAATAGAAATATACAGTCATAGAAATATGCTGATATTCTGACTTTGTTCAGTGAAAAATATTCAACCACATAAAGTGGTATATGGACATTTCAGGAGTCCTCTGTACATTTTATTTATTTTTTGATTGCATGTTACTAGTGGCAGCAAATTTGAGGTGGTCACCCCCAAAAGGAACTGAATTACAAACAGCAAATCTACTCTTAATTCAGATACATGGTTTAAAAGTCAGCTGAGCTGGAGGATTAACATTTTCATTTGGAGGTCAAGTATTCTAAAGCAGACATTATTTGAGTAGAAAATCTTTCCACCTCTGCATAACCTGGGCCAAATAAGAGTTATAGTTTAAAGAAATATTTCCCAAAATGTGCTACTATCATCTGCCCAAAAAAGAATAGAATAAATTAGAGTCCAACAGTCTTTTCCATGGAGCCTGGCTATAAAATCATTAGGTTGAAAAACTATCAAAATAAGAGTTATGAAGGACCCATAGGACATCATTATTGATACTGAATTCTCATAGTTTAGCCCTTTGTTCTTTTCCTAAGGCATTAAGTTGTGGAAATTCAAAATCTATGAAAATATTATTGTTTTGAAATATCCATGCATTGTGTGCACAGTTTCCCAGTCCAAATAAAATCTACATTTTAACGCTGGTAATCATGTAAAGGAATTATTTGAAAAACAAAGTCATATATAAGTAAAGGAGCTAATTTTCTCCAAAGTAGTTTCAATTTTGTCAATTAAATGTTAAAGAACACATTTCAAACTGGTGTCATTGTCTATTAACTCTCTGACTATCCATAGTTATAGAGCAGACTAAATTGTCAATGAGGTAGATGGAGCCAGAAAAACTATACCATTATTATATAAAAATATGTTTATATGTTTTACCATGTTAAATAAGAAAAGTGAGGCAAACAAACAAAATGAGGACAAGCTACTGAGGTAGAAGAAAAATACAAAGCCTTGGGGAAAAGTGAGAATGGGATCACTGATTTGCATTTTGGGAATTATTACCTGATTCATCTTGAGATTCTTCATTTGGATTCTGACTATCCTGGGAGATTTTAGGTGCAGTTTTGTAAGATTTTCAAGATCTATATTGAGTTCTTAGACTTTAGCCTAGTAATGATTCCTGTACATTGAGTCACAGGGCACGCAAACATCATAAAAACTGTCAATGGCTTTATGTTATTTCTAATAGATTTCTATACTAGGTGACATTGAGAATAAAAATGGTCAATAGCTGAGCTTTGGCAAAATTGTGTAGTCCTTTGTTAGACTGCTGGCCTAAGTTCTTGAAAACTATAAAAATAAAAACTAGTCATAGATTTTATATATATTAATTCATTTTTCTCTAGTATTTGTGTATTCAGCAGATACAGAGTTGAATCTTGAGGACATTTATGTATGGTAAGAGGAGATAGGCTGTATTGGTGCAGAAACACCTCTTACTTGGGCAACTAAAATAGTCATCTAGGTGGCCTCTGTTTCTACTATTACTCTCCAAATGTTTGTTTTCTGTATAAAAGCTTGAATAATCTTTTTAATTTTTTTAAGAGACAGGATCTTGCTCTGTTGCCCAGGTTCAGTGAAGTGGTGAGTGATCATTGCTCACTGCAGCCTTGGACTCTTGGGCTCAAGCAATCCTCCTGCCTCAGCCTCTGAATAGCTAGAATGACAGGTGTGTGCCATACACGGCTAATTTTTCTTTTTATTTTTCTGTACAGCTGGGGTTTTGCTATGCTCTCCAGGCTGGTCTAGAACTCCTGGCCTCAAGCAGTCCTCCTGCCTTTACCTTTCAAGTTGCTGGGATTAAAGGCATAAATTACCATGCCAGGCTAGAATAAACTTTTAATAAGTAAAATGGAGATCATTTCATTTCCATCTGCAAAATCTTCCAAAGACTTCCCATCACATTCAAACTAAAAATCCAAATTCCTAACCACGTCCAGCATAAACCTTACATGATCTGGCCCTTTTCTATTTCTCTGACCTCATCTTACATCACCCTTAGTGACTCACTCTGGTCTTGTGACACTGACATGCTTCTAGTTCTTACAATTTTCCAACTATGTTCTTTCATCAATTGCAAGTGCAATTCCCTCAGCTTGGATCTCTTTTCCCACATATCATTGCATAGCATACTCCATTTCATTCTGATTTTTGCTTTGATGTCATTAGTCTCACTGTAATCTTTCCTCATTCTCTAAAATAAAAGAACCCTGTCTTCCTAATCGGTCTTCATCTCCTTACCCTGCTTCATTTTTCCGGAGGGAACTTACTACTAACCACAGTTGTAGAAATATATTATTTTCTTTTCCATCTTGGAATGTACTCTCCATGAGTTTAAGAACACTATCAGCTTTATGTACTGAAAGATAGGTTCCTTCAATGCTGCCTAGAACTTAGCAGAAGCTCCTTTTTGTTGTTGCTGTTGAAAGATTGAATGAGTTAATAAATTAAAATATAAAATAAAGTGTCTAGTAGTAGCCATATAGAAATAAAATGACTGCATGAATAGACACAAACATTAAATATTATGAATGCTATATAAGAAAGTTAAGGGAACTATAATGCATGATTCTGATTTATTTTGAAGATCTGTCATAAGTTACCCTGAGGAGCAGATATTTAAACAGTAACCTAAAGAATGAGTGTGAATTATTTTCAAAGAGTGGAAAGAAAAGCAAGAAAAGTAGAAACCTACAAAGAATATCTGAGGCTAGAAAAACCTAATTGATGAAAGATCTTCATTAATATGAGGAGAGGTTAGGTTGTCAACAAAAAAGAAAAACCAAAATGTTAAAATTTCAATAAAAATAACAAAAAATAAGGAAAGAAATGAGTTAGAAGATTTAAACTAAAATTATATAATGGCTTAATCCTGAATGGAGTGTTTGCTTTTTAACTTTTTTGATGGGGTACATTGCCAAATTGTATATATAAATATGTATTTATATATAAAATATTTTTTAATTGTTAAAAGTGTATACACTATCTCAGTGGCTCATGCCTGTAATCCCAGCACTTTGGGAGGCCGAGGCGGGCAGATCACGAGGTCAGGAGATCGAGACCATCCTGGCTAACATGGTGAAACCCCGTCTCTACTAAAAATACAAAAAATTAGCCAGGCGAGGTGGCGGGCGCCTGTAGTCCCACTGCACTCCAGCCTGGGCGACAGCGAGATTCCGTCTCAAAAAAAAAAAAGTGTATACACTATCTATATGTTTCTTTTCTCTCTTTTTTTTTTCTTTTTTTGAGACTGAGTCTCACTCTGTTGCCCAGGCTGGAATGTAGTGGCACAATCTCCACTCACTGAAACGTCCCCCTCCTGGGTTCAAGCAATTCTCCTGTCTCAGCCTCCCGACTAGCTAGGATTACAAGTGTGCACCACCAAGCCCGGCTAATTTTTGTATTTATAGTAGAGACAGGGTTTCACCAGTTTGGCTAGGCTGGTTTCAAACTCCTGACCTTAGGTGATCCACCTGCCTCGGCCTCCCAAATTGCTGGGATTACAGGCCTGAGCCACCATACCTGGCCTCTATCTATATATTTCTAATAGCTAAAATAATATATATGTAATGTAAAACATTTGAAAAAGTCAGAAAAACACAAGAAAATAATATTTTCCATACTTATTAGTTAATTTAAAATTACCGTTTTCCTGGCATTTTGATATATATTATCTCATGCTTTTTATATATCTGTCTCTAAATATCTTTTGATATAAAAAGCAACAAATATGCAAATAAATTTGTGTTATAAAAGTATGTTATTGCTGTGCCTGATTTTGGCCAAACGCCTGAGAAGCAATGTGTGAATTATTTCTGTATTTTGAAACAATGTTTACTTTTTAATATGTTGCAAACATTTATTATGTCAAAGATATTCTCATATAAAATGAAGTTTATTGACTCTATGGTAGTATATATTATTGCATAACACATAACTTTAACCAGTATCCTCTTAAAGATTTATTTATTTATATTTTCCCCATGTCAACATAAGAAAAATTTGCTCACAAAAATATTTTAAATATACTAATTAAAAACTATAATAAACTTTCTGTGCATATATTTGACTATGTCTTTGAAATAAATACTTAGAAATGAAACCATTGAATCCAAATATATTAACAACATTAAAAATTTAAAACAGGCTTTCTCTTATACAACAAATTATCACAATAAAGTGAACATAAAATTGATTAATATACTATGCATCTTGCACAATTTTTAATGGCATAAATATGGCTTAGATTTAGTAACCATCAGTAACTAATGCTTTTAAAAACTATTGCTTGAACAAGAGATATTGTAGATGATAATCATGTGGAATAAAGGCTATTAAAATGTTAAATATGGCTTAGATTTAGTAACCATCAGTAACTAATGCTTTTAAAAACTATTGCTTGAACAAGAGATATTGTAGATTATAATCATGTGGAATAAAGGCTATTAAAATGTTAAGAATGGATATTACCTGCCCTTCCAATATTAATGCCAGTGGTAATAGGAAAAAACAGTTTTGGATAAAAAGCATAATATTATTAAACTCTGGCTTTGCTCAGTGATGCTTAGACTTATAGCAAGAAATACAAAGTGTAACACTACATTTATTGTTGAAATTCCTGGAAGAAAAATAACTGCTATATTTTATTATAAAAGTAATAGTTTCACTTGGGAGAAAATGGTTAGAAACTAAAAAGTCCTAAACTTTCTCATTGATAACCATTTTTACTCATTTGCTGTTTTGCATCAGAGTTTCTTCTTTTTTTCTTTTTATTTTTTTTTGACACGGAGTCTCGCTCTGTTGCCCAGGCTGGAGTGCAGTGGCACAGTCTCGGCTCACTGCAAGCTCTGCTCCTGGGTTCAGGCCATCCTCCTGCCTCAGCCTCCGGAGTAGCTGGGACTACAGACGCCTGCAACCACGCCCGGCTAATTTTTTATATTTTTAGTAGAGACAGGGTTTCACCGTGTTAGCCAGGATGGTCTCGATCTCCTGACCTCGTGATCTGCGTGCCTCGGCCTCCCAAAGTGCTGGGATTATACACGTGAGCCACTGCGCCCGGCTGCATCAGAGTTTTTTCTAATAATTTTTGTTTGTTTGTTTGTTTGTTTTTTGAGACGGAGTCTCACTCTGTCGCCCAGGCTGGAGTGCAGTGGCAAGATCTCGGCTCACTGCAACCTCTTCCTCCTGGGTTCAAGCAATTCTCCTGTCTCAGCCTCCCGAGTAGCTGGGACTACAGGCACCAGCCACCATGCCTGGCTAATTTTTGTATTTTTAGTACAGACCTGGTTTCACTGTATTGGTCAGGCTGGTCTTGAACTCCTGACCTCAGGTTATTTGCCTGCCTTGGCCTTCCAAAGTGCTAAGATTACGGGTGTGATCCACTGCGCCTGGCCATACTTTTTAAAAAATATAGCTTGTATTATAAAAGAGAACTGTACTTATTCCCAAAATAATTTTATAAATAGAGCAAAATTATACTCTTGTTAGCAATGTTGAGATGATTCATTTATCTGCTTTTTTGCTTATTTGAATATCATTTTGTGAATATTAAATGTTGAAAATTTCAATGAGCTGAATTGCATTTCTTTAATTACTAAAGTCTTTTTTCCATATATGTATTAGTCACTGTCATCTGTGCTTTTGTAAATAAATTATTCTATTCATAAAATTTATCAATTTTTCTGTTTAGTTGTTGCTATTCTAAATGGATCATTTTATCTGCATTTATTATTTAGGCAGGAGAAAAAAATAAGAAAAAGCAGGTAACTATATATTATTAGTAAATATGGAAGCACTTAATGTAAACAGTGTAGACAAAAACAATTTTACAAGTTATGTTTTTGACTAAGTTATGATTTGTTAGATAATAAACATATACTCTCTTGGAAAAAATGAAGTAATAATAATGTTTGTGGATATTTGTTTTTACCAGATGTTCAGACATGATTAAAAATATATACTCTAGAAGTGATTTCAGCAAGATGTCAGGATAGGAAGCTCTGAACTCTTCTTCCCTGACAGACACACTGACTCAACAGCAGTACATTAATCAATTATTTTTATGAGAAAGTTAGAAACAAGCTTGGAGACTCCTGTACCCTAGGCAAGTGAGAAACCAGCCACTTCACAACTGGTAGAAGCAGTGGAGATACCTCTTGCCATAATACCCATACCCAGCACAAATCCATATGATCAAGATGGAAGCCCTGCTCCCAGCTTCTTCTTGAGAAGCAAAGGGGTTGGAATGCACATTTGGTATCCCAAATTTTCGGCATGTTACCTGAGAGACTGTCTTCAATCTTGCTGGTCCCAGAGAGCTAACAGTATTTGGCATATGGTATCTGCTGATGGCTATGGAGAACAAAATGTTGTCTTGAAATAGTGAGTAGGCACTCAGTATAGCTCTACCCCTTGGCTAAACACAGAACTAGTGTGCAAATAACTCCAGTTACCAGTTTCTCTCTGGAGAGGAAAAGAGTCAAACCATACAGTGTTCCAACTTTGCTGGTAGCTCCTTAAGGAATTAACTTCTGCCCCACCTGTCTTGCCATGCTAACAGGATCTGGCATACTTTAGATGCTTGAGGGCTGCTAGCAATAAAGACAATGGTTCAAACTACCACAAAGATTTGAGCGGTCAGGAAGATTGGTGAAGGTCTTGGCCTATAATAGGCCAATACACAAATACTGGGAGACGTGGCAGGTTTTTTGTTTGTTTGTTTGTTTGTTTGTTTTAAATGTAGGTACCAACACAAAGAGGAAAACATGAAGAATGAGAGAAATAAGATCCAAAGGGACAAGATAAATCTCCAGAAATTGATTCTTATGAAATGGATGTATATTAAGTATCTGACAGATAATTCAAAATAACCATCATAAAAATGCTCAACCAGCTCAGGAAAATAATGCACAAATAAAGTAAGAATTCTTTCAAAGAAATAGAAAATGTAAAAAGAAACCAAATGTAAAAAGAAACCAACAGAAATCTTAGAGCTAAAGAATACAATACTCAACTAAAAAAATTCAATAGAGGATTTAACAGCAAACTACAGCAAGCAGAAATAAAAGACTAAGTGAACTTAAAGATAGGTCATATGATATTGTACAGACAGAAGAGCAAAAACAGAGAAGAATGAAAAAGAATAAAAATAGCTTAAAAGAGTTATGGGACACTCTCAAGCAGACCAATATATGCATATGGAAATACCAGCAGGAGAAGAGAGATAAGCACCAGAAAGCTTACTAAAAGAAATAACAGCTGAAAACTTTGTAAATCTGTGTAGGAGATGGACATTCAGCCTTAAGAATCCTAAAGGATTCCAAGTAAAATAAACCCAAGGAAATTTACACCTTAGGTTCACACACCAAGACACATTGTAATCAAATTGTGAAAAACAAAGAGAGAATTTTTAAAGCAGCATGAGAAAAGTGACTTGTGATGTATAAGGGAACCTTGATAATACCATCATGAAATTTTTCTGCAGAAACCTTGCAGTCCAGAAGGGATTAGAATGTCGTACGTCAAATTGCTGAAAGAAAAAAAAAATTGTCAATGAGGAATTCTATAACTAGTAAAAAATATCCTTCAAAAATTAAAGAAAACAAAGACTTTCCCAGCCCCTATCCCCAAAAATTGAGCAAGTTCATCACTACTAGACCTTCATTAAAAGAAATATTAAAGGGGAATTCTCATCTTGAAAAGAAAAGATGCTAATCAGCAACAGAAGCGCATAAAAACATATAAAGCTTGCTGGTAAAGGTAAATATATTGACATACAGAATACTCCATTACCGTCACAATGAAGTACATATTATTTTTTAATTCTAGTATAAAAGTTACAAGGAAAAATTATTACAACTAAGTATAAATGAAAATATGTTAACAGATAAGCAATATAAAGAGCTTAAATTGTCACATGAATAACAAATTATGTATGGGGAGGAAGAAGTTAAAGTGTATAGTATTTGTATATGACTAAGTCAAGCCATTTCAGTTTAAAATAGACTGCTATAATGTGTTTTACATTAGCTACATGGTAGCCTCATGAAAATACCTGTGTAAATGTTACCCAAAAGATAAGGTGAAAGGAATACAAAAATATGTAAACAAAAAACAATCACAAGGGAAGACAGCAAGAGAGGACAAGAGGAACAAAAGAACTATGAGACAAACAGAAAACAAAAAAGCAATAATAAATCCTTCCCTTTAAATAATTACCTTCAACATAGATATATTAAACTCCTTCCATCAAAAGACATAGAGTAGCTTAATGGAAGGAAAAAAAGGAATATCCAACTTTCTCCTCTCTGTAACAGATTTACTTTAGATCTAAAAATCACACAGGCTGAAAGTGATGAGGTGAGAACGGATAATTCTTGCTAACTGTAACCAAGAGATAATAGTAGTGGCTATACTTATATCAGACAAAATATAGTTTAAGTAAAAAAAAAAAAAATTAGGCGACATTATATAATAAAAGGGTCACTCCTTGAGAAAGATGTTAACAGTTGCAAACGTATATGCAACCAATATCAAAGCACCTAAACATAAAGCAAACAGTGACAGTACTGAAGGGAAGAATTGAACAACAATACAATGATACTAAGAGACTTCACTACCCATTTTCAATAAGAATAGAACAACTAGGCAGAAAGTCAACAAAGAAATGCAGCTTTTAACTACACCGCAGACCAAATGGACCTAACAGACATATACAGAACATTCTACCCAGCAAGAGCAGAATGCACGTTTCTCTAGTGCAAAAAGAACATTATTCAGGGCTGGGCATGGTGGCTCACTCCTGTAATCCCAGCATTCTGGGAGGCCGAGGTTGGAGGATCACTTGAGGTCAGGAGTTGGAGACCAGCCTGGCTAACATGGCGGAACCCTGTCTCTAAAAAAATACAAAAATTAGCGGGTTGGTGGTCCGCTCCTGTAATCCCAGCTACTCCGGAGGCTGAGGCACGAGAATCGCTCAACCTGGGAGGTGTAGGCTGCAGTAAGCCGAGATGGTGCCACTGCCCTCCAGCTGAAAAAGGAAAGTTCCCATATCCCCCTCATAGGAGGTGCGACAGGGGTGTGGCTTACTCCCTTGGTCTCCCTGCTGCTCAAAGCACTAGGGGGAGCATAGACACGGCAGGCGCAGGCCCCTGGGCAGCATCTACGGGTGAGTGTCTGTGACTCCTGAAGTCCTAGTGGGCGTGTGTTACAATGTGTCCTTTTCGCTTTGCTGTCTGCAAATGGCTTGTATTAATCAGCTCAACAGACCCTCTGCGTTATAGCAAGGGCAGAGGGCCAGTGTGACAGCTTTCTGTACCCCGAGGTCTTGCCCAGGGTGCCAGGAAAACAGGATTACATGTGGGCTTGTAGGATGGGTGCAAGGCTTTATTGAGTGGTAGAGGTTGCTCTCAGCAAGATGGATGGGGTGCTGGAAGGCGGGAACGGAGTGGAAGGTGATCTTCCCCTGGAGTCCGGCTGTTCTCAGCTGAAGTTCAGAGGCCTCTTCCCTCCTTTTGTGCCATGCGGCCCTGCTGCTCTCTGCATCTCTGTTCCTCTACTCCTCTGGATGTTCAGCCGCTTGTGTCTATGCCCGCTAAGGTCTCAGGTTTATATAGACACAGGATGGGGGGCGTGGCGGGCCAGAGTGGTCTTGGAAAATGAAACATTTGGGCTTGAAAACATTAGTACTTGTTTTTCACTTAGGTCCGTGGGCACAAGCCCAGGGTGGAGCCTTCGCCAGAGACCCCGCCCTTCTCTACCCAGCACTTCTCTGCCCTGCTTCGGTATTACAGCCATCACACCCTGGCAACAAAGGGAGACTTTGTCTCCAAAAAAAAATAAATAAATAAAAAATAAAAAATTCTTGGGATAGATCACGTTACATTACAAAACAAGTCCTAACAAACTTAGGGAAATTTAAATCATAAGAAGTATCTTTTCTGGTCACAATAAAATGAAACTGGAAATTAATAAAAGAAGGAAACTGAAAAATTTACAAATATAAAAAGCAACACTTTTAAACAACCAACAGATCAAAGGAAAAATCTAAAGAGAAATTAGAAAAAACTTGCAACAAACAAAAATGCAAACACATCATTCTTAACTTATGGGATGCGACAAAAGTATCACTAAGAGGGAAGCTTACAGCAATAAACACCTACATTAAAAAAGAGGAAAGATCTCAAACAACTTAACTTTATATCTCAAGGAACTGGAAAAGGAAAAACAAATAAAACTCAATTTATCATAAAGAAGAAATAATAAAGAATAAAGCAGAAATGAATGAATTAGAGAATAGAGAAAGCAATACAAAAAAGAAAACCAACAAAACTAAGAGTTGGTTTTTCAAAAAGATAAACAAAATTGACAAACCTTTAACTAGACTAAAAAAAGATGATAAATCTCAAAAAATAAATTCAGAAATTAAAGAGGCGATAATATGACTGTTGCCACAGTAATACAAAGGATAACAACAAATACATATGAATGATTATACTCAAAGAAACTCAATAACCTAGAAAAAATGGAAAACTTCCTAGAAACATACAACCCACCAAAACTGAGTCACTAAAATACAGAAAATCTGAACAGACCAATAAGTAAGCAAGTTAAATCAGTAATCAAAAACCTTCTAACAAAGAAAAGTTCAGGACCAGACAGCTTAACTAGCAAATTCTATCAAACATTTAAAGAATAATTAATGCCACTTTTTCTCAAACTCTTCTGAAATTTGAAGAGGAGAGAACAAAACTAAAACCATTTAATGAGGCCAGCATTACACTGATATAAAAGCCAAACAAAACACTATAAGAAATCTTTAGGCCAATATCCCAGATGAACATAAATCCAAATATCCTCAACAAAACACTAGCAAATCAAATTTAGCAGCACATTGAAAGGATCATACACCATGACCACATGGGATTTATCCATAGGATGTAAGGTTGAGCAGACATATGAAAATCAATTAATTTGTTATATCACAAAGCAAAATGAAGACTAAAATCACACACTTACCCAAATAGATCCAGAAAAACCATTTGATAAAATTCAACACCATTTTATGATAACAACTCTCAACAAACTAGGAATAAAAGTAAATTACTGAATATTAGGCCATATATGACAAGCCCAGAGCTAACACCATGTTCAGTGTTAAAAAACTGAATGCGTTTCTACTAAGATCAAGATCGACAGAAGGATGCTCTTGTCACTTAAAAATTATTCCTGTTTGCAGGTTCTATATACAGAAAATCCTAAAGACTACCAAAAATCCGTGAGAACTAATGAATAATCTTGGTAGGGTTTTAGGATACAAAATCAACATCCCAAAATTAGTGGTGTTTCTATATACAAGTATCTATCTGAAAAGGAAATTAGGAAAATACTCCTTTTACAATAGCATCAAAGTAAAAAAAAAAATAGAATAAACAAAGAAAGTGAAAGACTGATACATTTAAAACTATTAAAAAAAGGTGAAAGAAATGAAAGAAGACATTTTAAAAAATGGGAAAACATTCCATGTTCATGTACTAGAAGTTGTGATATTGTGAAAATGTCCATACTACCCAAAGCAATCTACAGGTTCAATGCAATCTCTGTCAAAATTTCAATGTCATTTTTATAGAAATAGAAAATTCTAAAATTTTTATAAAACCACAAAAGATCTCAAATAGCCAAATAATTTTGATAAAGAACAAAGCTGAAGGCATCACACTTTCTGATGTCAAAATATATTCAAAGGATATAGTAACTAATAGTATGATGCTGGCATACAAACATATAGACCAATGAAACAGAACAGAGAGCCCATAAATAAGTCCATGCATATACAGCCACTTATCTTTGACAAGGGTGCCAAGAATACACAACGGGGAAAGTATAGTCTGTTATTAAAAATGATGCAGGGAAAACTGGATATCCACACACATGCAAAAAAAAAATGCAATCAGACTTTTTTGTTACACGATATACAAAAATCAACCAAAAACAGATTAAAGACTTAAACGTTGGACCTGAAATTGTAAAACTTTTATGAGAAAATATAGTAGAAAATTTTCACTATATTGACCTTTGCAATGATTTCATGAATATGACACCAAAACTACAAGCAACAAAAACAAATACAGAACAAGAGAAACTAAATCAAATTTAAAAGCTTCTCCTCAGCAAAGTAAACCATCACTAGAGTGGAAAGACACCCTGCTAAATGGTGGAAAATATTTGCAAGCCATATATCTAATGAGGTGTTGAAGTCCAAAATTATTTAAAGAACTCCTATAACTCAACAGCAAAAATACTGATAACCCAATTTTACGAATGGGCTAAGTGCTTGAGTAGACATTTCTCCAACAAAAATACAAAAACTCCACAGTTATATAAAAAGATACTCGACAGCACCTGCTTCATGGAAATGCAAATCAAAATTACAATGAGATATCACTACATACCTGTTAGAATGGCTATCATCAAGAATACAAAAAATAAGTATTGGCACACCTGTAGAGAACTTAAAACCCTTGTTCATTGTGTTGGGAATGAAAGATGGTGCGGTCACTATGGAAAACAATATGAAGGTTCTTCAAAAAACTAAAAATATGACTATGCTATTATCTAGCAAGTAAATTTCTGAATGTTTACCTCAAACAATTTGAAATCAGGATCTCAAAGAGATATTAGCACTGTCATATTTATTGAAGCATTATTTACAATAATCAAGATGAGAAAACAACCTAAAAGTCCTCTGAAAGAGAAGTGGATTTTTAAAAATGTGATGTATACATACAATGAAACATTATTCAGCCTTAAAAAAATGAAATCCTACAATATGTGACAACACGAATGAAACTTGAGGACATTAGCTGAGTGAAATAAACTACACGAAAGGACAAATACAAATACGGCATGATTCCACTTATATGAGGCCTCTAACACAGTGGAAGCTCACAGAAGGAAAGCTTAGAATGGCAGTTGTCAGGGACTGAGGGAAAAGAAAATGAGTTGTTCAATGAATATAAAGTTTAAAGTTCCAGCCACGCAAGATAAGTAAGTTCTAGAGACCACATGTGTAACATAGTGCCTATAGTTATCCATGCAGTAATGTGCCCTTAAAATTTTTTTAGAAGGGTAGTTCTCGTGTTAAATGGTCTTACAATAATAATAATAATAATAATATACTCTAACAATTACAATGACATTGAGCAAAATTTATCTTTTCTATGAGCTTTATTATTATAGGTTAGTTAAGACTTTAGCTCATTTTTTGCATCTTTTTTTGCAAAAGAAACAGAAAAAAATATTGTTTTCAATAGTCACTCCATTCTAATGGTTTTACAATATCAATGACCACAGCTATTGTTTCATATTGCTATATAATAACAAAAATATAATTATAAATTGATTCATTGTTAATTAATGTAAAATTTTCCCCATTTTTCAGTAGCAAATCTAATTTTCAATTACTAATATTCTTGGGTCTCCACAATAACTTTCCAATGTGTCAGAGTTGCTAAATTTCTCATTGTAGTAAGTGTAGCATATATATTTATCATCACCTGAAATAACATGAATTTCTATCAAACGCAATACTGAACCATAGGGTGAAACCTAGTAGTTGTAATGTGTTTAAAAAGACTATATATATATATATATATATATATATATATATATATATATATGCAGTCAAAACAGTAACAAGTTTCAGTAGGACATTTGCCTAGAGTGACAAAACACAATGGGGATAATTAATCTTTCATAATAAAATGAAGAAAACATCCTAAGAAATGCACATATGTTTTGGAGATTCATAGAGAGACCCATAATTGTGTCCTAGCTGAAAGTATGGTCCTATTTTTCTGGATGATTACTTATGGTCAATCCTTTTCACATTTTGTTTGTATTTCAATAACAAAGACTTAAAATAAATGTAAAGAAAGATTTAAAGAAAAATGAGTTCTAAAAGACTGTGTTAGAAGGAGAAAAGCAACCTTCTTTTTCCAGTGTGAGATCTTAGGAAGATCAAAGGCTTATGTTAACATTTATGTACCACTTTGGCATAACTATTCTGACTCATTTCCAACTAGTTTCTCAAAAGAGCCTGGTTAGAATGCTAGGTGTGAAACTGTGACTCAATAGCAATAGAACAAGCTGAGGCTAGCCAGGTTCTTTAATTAAGGCATATAAATAACGAAACATGAAACAAAGAAAGAGAACAAAACCAAAACTCACAAAAATCATGTCCTGAAAAGCATATATATATATACAAAACTGGTTTCTGAAGGATATAGCATGGTTAAAGATCTTCTTTTGAAGTATTGTTCATCTCTAGCTTCACAACTGAGTTCGCATAATCTCCATTTCTATTTGCTCAATTCTTCACATTCTTCTGCCTTAAGATAAATCTCTTTTTGATTCCTGTACAACTCTAATTTGACTGGAATTTTTTGGCACTGCCAATGAGACTACTCTGAAAATAAATTTTATTGAGGTATAATTAGCAAAATTTCTTATTACCTCCGTTGTAATTCTTTCCAATTCTCCTTAGAATTCTTCTAAACCCACCTTAAGGAACCCACTTATCTACTTTTTGTCACTATAGATTAGTTGGCATTTTGTATAATTTTATATAAATGGAATAATATATCAAATCTTTTGTTTGTTTAGCTTATTTCCCTCAGCATTATTTATTTAGATTCATCCATACTGCAGTGTGTATGTATATTCTTTTGTATTGCAGAGTAGTATCCCATTGTATAGATGTAACAGTCTGTTCATACCTGTACCTATTGGTAGACATTGTATTTATTTCCAGTTTGGAGCTATTACAAAGAAACTTGTTGTAAACCTTAATGCACAAATCTTTGTATGGATATATGGACTATGGAATGATTGGATCATACAGTCGTATGTAAACTTTTTAAGCATTTGCAAAACTGCTTTTCAACTGATTGTGTTATTTTAAATTCCCGTCAGCAGTTTATGAGAATCCTGAATTCTTCATATCTTTTTCAGCACATTTTGTAGGGTTTTTTTTTTTTCTTTGAGACAGGGTCTCACTCTACAGCACAGGCTGGAGTGCAGCAGCACAATCTTGTCTCACTGTAGCCCCAACCTCCCGGGCACAAGCAATCCTCCCACCTCAGCCTCCCTCCCAAGTATCTGGGACTATGGGACTACAGGCGAGCACCACACCCAGCGAATTTTTATATTTTTTGGAGAGACGGGGTTTCACCATGTTGCCCAGACTGGTCTCAAATTCCTAGGCTCAAGCCATCCACCCAGCTCAGCCTCCCAAAGTGCTGGGATTACAGGCTTGCACCACTGCATCTAGCCTGTGTAGTATTTTTAATTGTAGCCATTCTAATAGTTGTGTATTGGAATTTTGTTGTAGATTTTATTAGTATAGTCATAACCACTAGTGATGTTAAATTCTATTTCCTGTGCTTATTTGCCATCTGTATACAGCTGAACCTAGAACAATGCAGGGGTTGCAGCGCTGACCCCTGCACAGTCAAAAATTCACTTATTACTTTTGATTGATCAAACTTAACTATTAATAGCCTATGTTGACCAGAAGCCTTACCAATAGCATCAACAGTCAATATACACATATTTTTATGTTACATGAATATATACTGTAAATTTACTTATTTTATTATTAATACAATAAAGATAGAGAAAATAATGTTCTTAAGAAAACCATAAGAAAGATAAAATATACTTACTATTCAATAAGTGGAAGTGGAGCATCATAAAGGTGTTCATCCTCATTGTCTTCACATTGAGTAGGCAGAGGAGGAGGAAGAGTGTTGGTCTTGCTATATCAGGAGTGGCAGAGAAGAAAGAAGTAGAGGAGATAGATGGGGAATCAGGAGACACAGGAATACTCAATGTAACTCTTATTGAAAAGAATCCATGTGTAAGTGGTCCCATGCAGTTCAAACCTGTATTGTTCAAGGATCTACTGTACCATCTTTGATGAAGAAGTTCATTTTATCAATTCATTTTTTTCAGCATCATCCTTTCACTGCAGTATCTAAGAAATCTTTGTATAATTTGAGTCACAAAGGTTTTTTTCCTATCTTATAGAAAATTAAATTTTACACTTTACATTTAAGTCTATGATCCATTTTGTGTCCATTTTTATACAGTGTGAAGCATGTATTTAAGCTTAAATTTTGCATAAGCATATCTAGTTGTTCCCCAATTGTTTATTGAAAAGTTAGTTGTTTTTATATATGTAGGTCATTTTTGTACTCTTCATTTTATTTCAATTATCTATTCATTTAACACAGATGCCATTTTGTCTTTATTACTCTTATTTAAAAATAATTTATAAAATATGTAGGTAATTACATAAATGTATTGGGTTTTCTTAAAGTTTTTTTCTTTAATCTATGCTATGACTTTCACATTTTCATTGAGTTTTAGAATTAATTTATCAATTTCTACCGAACAAAAAAGACAAGCAAAACGACAAAAAAAAAAAAAAAAAAACAAAAACCTCCTGAGGTGTTTGCTTGGTGTTATCTTTAATCTCTACATCAATTTAGGAAGACTTAGCATTTTTATAGTAATTGGTTTTCTAATTTATGAATACGGTATAACTCTCCATTATTTGGTTCATCTTTAATTTATCTTAGCAGTGTTTCCTGGTTTTGATTGTAAAGGTCTTGTACATATGTTGTCACTTCCTCTTAAGTGATTTTATATTTTGACACTATCTAAATGGTATTAAAATTTTAATTTCTAATTGCTTGTTGCTAGAATATAAGCATGACTATTTTACATTGATTTTGGATGTAGTTTACTTGCTAAACTCACTTATGATTTCTAGAAATATAAGGGAGCTTCCTTAATCTGATAAAAAGACATTGTGTAAAACTTACCTGTAACCTTATCTTTCCCTCTGAGAATGGGAGGGCACAAAAAAAAATAACAAAATAAAATTATCCGTGAATTATACTGATTACTTTTTCAAATGTCAAACATGGGATAAACTACACTTGGACATTTTTTTTCCCCCTATTTTAGACCAGGTCTCACTCTGCTGCCCAGGCTGAAGTATGGTGGCATGATTTTTGCTCACTGCAGCCTCGACCTCCTGGGTTCAGTTGATCCTCTCACCTCAGCCTCCCAAGTAACTGGGACTACAGGCACACACCACCTAATTTTTGTATCTTTTGTAGAGATGGGGTCTCACCATATTGTTTAGACTATATTTGGACATTTTATTAGTTCTTAAGGTGGCTGTGGATAAATTACCATGAACTGGCTAGCTTAAAGCAACAAAAATTTATTCTTTTAAGTTTTGAAGTCCAAAGTCATCAGTTTAATTCAGTCAAAATCAAGCTATTGGCCAAAATGTGCTCCCTCTGGAGGCGCTAGGAAGAATCTATTCCTTTCCTATTCCAGTTTCTGATGAGTGTTGGCATTACTTGTCTTCTGGCTGCATCACTTCAATTCTGGCCTCTGTGGTCATATTACCTTTTCTTCTCTCTATGTCAAATCCTCCTCTACTTTCCTCTTTTAAGGATATTTTGTATTGCCTTTAGAGTCCACCTAGATAACATAAAATGGTCATGCCATCTCAAGATCCTTAAATTAATCACATCTGCAAAGTCTGTTTTACCATATAAATTAATACTTACTAGTTCCAAGAATTAGGGCATGGATATCTTTTGAGAAACCATTATATACCTACCACAGTCTCCCCTGTGAACTCTCAAAATTTATGTCCATGCGAAATGCAAAATGCATTCACCCCAATCCCAACATTGTCATAAGCTCTAACAACTACAGCATCAGCTAAAGTTCAAAATCTTATCTAAATATAATCAATTTTAAACTCTCAAATCTTATTATCTAAATTGTCTAAATTATTATAGGCAAGACTCTAAGTAAAATCCATCCTGCACCAAAATTTCTCTCCATTTGTAGATTTGTGGATCTAGAAAACAATTAGTTGTTTCCAAAATACAATGATGAAGGAAGCATAGAATAACAGTTATTTATGTTCCCATTCCAAAACAATCAAGGAAAAAAGGATGACCAATTCCAAAAAATTTTAAATATCCCGTACATTCCACTAGGATTCCAAGTATAGAAATGATCCTCTGTGCCTAATAGCTCTACCCTCTGCATCCACGGCTTTGGCCTCTGCATCTGGCCTCTGAGTCATTCTTCCTTATTCTTAAAAGGTAGCACGTGTTTACAGATGAGTAGGTTTATCAGCCTGTTTTCTCAACAACTTGGGAGTCTGGTAGCCATAGGAGTCAATAAACTTATTGCCTTGGAACTGGATGTGGCTGACAGTGGCTCCTGAGAGCCGCTTGGCAAATAGGAATTGAGCAAGCCACTAGTTAAATCATTCATTGTTTGAATTGACCATGTCTGGGGCATTTATATCACAAAAAATTAGCAAAGAATTTAAATCAAAACTTTTCCCCCCTTTCCATTAGGGCTGATTTACCAATGTACCACTACATATACTGTGTCTAAGTAATTTTTTCTAATTTTCATCATAGCAAAACTAATTAGATCACATTAGTAAGATTACATATATATATATATGAAGTTTCACAAACTGGTGTACAACTTATGTGGCCTTTATATGAAGAACAAGCCATGAAAGAGACAGTGGCCCTTGAAGTCACTTTCTCTGATTAGCAGACCTAGAAATACACAATTGTGTGCTGCTGTTCTGGTAGTAAGTCCAACAGTGTTTATCGCATGCCATCTACCAGGTAATTTAATATGTGAAAAACAAAACATGTTTATTTCTTAGAGTCTTTTAATGTCATCACTTCAGGTGTTTCTTTGGATAACAAAAACACTCTTTTTAAACTCCATTGCTTATAAATAAACTTAATTAAAATATACAGTGTCATGTCAGATATGTTCAGTAATTAAATCAATCATTTCTTCAGTTACTGACAGAGATTGATAGCATCCTGTCAACATAAAAGGAAATATTAAGTACAAAATATCAAAACTTTCACAAGGAGCAAATATTGCTGATAGAAAAACAATAACTACACATGAAATAATTCAAGAAGAATGTAAAGCATAATATCCAGAAGTGGATAGAAGAAAACCTGAACCAAACCCAACAGCACAGAGGATATTGTGAATTTATACTGATGAGTCCAGCTAGCCATCGCTGTTGAAGAACAGCACTAAATTACACTGCTTGTCCTCAACATTCCTAGAAAGGTCCAAAATAATTGATATCAATCATAAGGGTGTATGTTATATATTTGCCTATCAGCTAGCATCTCATACAAGCCTTATTGAGAAGAATTTATTTTTTCCTGTGGAAGAAAATATTCCAGAAGTTCTTTTATAATTAAAAGATTAACTTTCTAATTTTTAAAGTTATTTTTACATTCTGCTTACTTTTTTTCTATTAGGTAGCAGTTGTAGGTTTTCTTAGTATACAGCATTTTTTCCCTCATGTTTTTTCACAGTAAGCAAGAAGCTAAAATGCCACTTACTTTTCTAGACTTCCATACAATTAGGGATTACTGTGTGACAAAGTTCTGGCCAATGAGACTCTGAAGGAAGTCCACGTTGAGGCTTGGGAAAATATTTGCTTCCTTTTAAATGGACGAAGTGCTGATTTTTTTTCCCTTTCCTCCCGCTCCAAGAGTGATGCGGTTCTTGGACCTTTGGAAGTCATATTGCATTAGTCTGTTTTCACGCTGCTAATAAAGACATACTGAGACTGGGAAATTTAAAAAGAAAAAGAGGTTTAATGGACTCACAGTTCCACATGGCTGGGGAGGCCTCACAATCATGACAGGATGAGAAAGGCCTTCATGGTGAAAGACCACATGGCGGCCGAAAAGAGGGAATAAGAGACAAGCAAAATGCGTTTCCCCTTATAAAACCATCAGATCTCATAGGACTTATTCACTACCACGAGAACAGTATGGGGGAAACTACCCCCATGATTCAATTATCTCCCACCAGGTCCCTCCCCACAACACATGGGAATAATGGGAGCTATAAGTCAAGATGAGATTTGGGTGGGGACAAAGTCAAACCATATCACATGTGATGAAGAATCACAAAACATTCAAGGACAAAAGACCAATATACAAAGAGATAGTAGATGAGAAAAATGGAAAGCTTCTTAATGGTGATATTAGGCTGCTGAACAAGCCCGAGATTGCCTTCATCAAGAATCCTTCTTAAGAAATTCTATGGTTTAAGACACTATTATCTTGGTTCCATGTTCTTCCAACTATATCATTTCTAAAAGAACTATAGTTGGATAAATAGGGAGAATGAGGAAAGACATCTAAAAAGGAAATAAGGAAACAAGGAACAAAGGAAGGAAGGAACCAAGAAAATAAGAAAGTAGGGGAAGGAGAAAGGGAGGGAGGAAGAAAGAAAGAAAGGGAGAAACATATTGGCAGTGTTGATAATATTAACTGCTGATGGAGAATATGGCTAAAAGACAGCGAAGGATCTCCTGCTGCTGCATCATATAAAGTGATTTCATGGCATACTGTAAATTCACTGAACCTGCTACTTCATGTTAACTGACATTTGACCAACTGGAAGTTTCAAAACCCTGGCAGCAAGTTCCAATATCTTCGTATGATTCTGGAGATTTATTATAGTAACTTAATGCTGTGGCTAAATGAATTCTCCATAAATATTCTTTTGACATGGCGATTACCTCCTAATCTCTCACAGAGAAGAGGTCAATGTCAGACAAATCTGAAAGGAAGGATGCTGAGACTTTGCTGTGAGAGAAGCAGTGGTAGGAAGGATCATCATGTCCAGGAGCAAAACCCGCGGGAACGCCTGCAAACCCATGGGCGATAGAGACTGGGTGGACTCCAAAATTGCATGTTTTTGCCAGAAACCCCATAGCCTCCTCCCCACCATGTTATTTCAGCCTAAGTAAAGCAGTAACATCCTTTAATAGAGATTTTTGACCAACTGTGCTTTCCTATTCCCCAACATGCTGGTTACTACTTACTCTCTCATTAAAGTTGTTATCTCATTAAAGACTAGTAATTTGAGAACCAATTTTCATTTTAGGTCACTAATATAACAGTAGTTTGCAAATAGGCAATTTGTTTGCTAATTCTTCTATATACACTTTTTTTCTTGCAATCTGACTATACAAGTTTCATTTTAAATGCTTTGTTATTGGAAAAAAATATATAACTAGATAATGAATATTTTACATCGCTTAAACTTGTATAAGGTATTAGATAATATCAATATCTGTAAAGATAATATCTACAATTTATTCTAGAACATATTACCTTTTTTAAACATTTTTTAGTGTATATTTACAAGGATACATATTTTTAGTGTATTTGTGCCTACAATGTAATTATTTTATGATATTAGCTAGCATTTATTTGGTATTTATGCCAAGCAGGGGTTTAATACAGGTTAGAAGACTCACCTCACTTAATCCTCAAAACAGCCCTATGAGTTTGTTATAATGACTTAAACCATTAAATATGCGAGAAAACTGAGGAAACTGAGTCAGAGATATATTGAATAACATTCTCAAATACTTAGAGATAATAAATTCTAAGACCAGAATTTGACCCCAATGTGTTTGACTTTAAGTGTACTCATATAAAATGATCTATAAATGGAGAATGGCACAACATATAATAGGTAAAATTGACTAAAGAACTCCCAATAAACATTGACATCATTTGCTTTAAATTCTTTCATCCATTAATCCTCTTCTTTCATCCATTAATCCTCACTTAAACAATCTATTTCTAGGTTTACTAACAAATAGCATATTTGTTGTTTAAATTGGAGTTGACTGGATAGCTATGCAGGATCTTTAAATGTCAAATGAGAGTCTATGGAAATAGATTGGGATTCCAATCTCTCTACTAAAGGTCTTCTATGGAGCTGTAAATGAAAAACAGTGTGTGAGAACATTGTTTTAGCACCTGTTTTATTGCCTGCAGTTGATGTAATTAGTGTATTTAAAGACAGCCCTATTGGTTACACCATATGGTTTGCAATCATTAGTGTAATAATAGATGTACCATTTAAGATGAAGCTCCACGACTGAGTGCTATTGTTCCATTATGCTAGCATAATAGGGTGTTTTCAGAGAGTTGACTGAATCCCAATTTTGAATCTCTGACACACTTAGGTTCCCTAGCAGAAGAAATGTTGGGTGATAAAAAGCAAATTTACTATCGTTATTTGATTTAGATATTAGTAAATATTTCTATGCTTTCTTTGGCACAGCTGATCCTAAAATAATATTTTAAATAAACTATTATTAATAATGATAAAGAATCTCATTAACATTTTAAAAAGTAAAGATGTATTATGTTTTGGTATACTAAAAGTGAGTTTCCATTGTAAAAAATGCAATTAGCTTTTCATTCACACTATATTCAGTTGTTATTATAATAAGAAAGATGTAAAATGCATAAGAACATAACACAGGTCCTTATAAACTATAGAAAAAGTGCCTTTAAAACCTTGAAAATATCCTTCGTGTTTACAGTTTGTTCCTCAGTGACAACACTTAGATGTTAATCAGTGATTCTATCTTCTCACTTAGTACAAGCTACAAGAGGTGACAAGCAAAACAAGCATCCCATTGGAGATAATATTGTAAGAAAAATAAGAAGACACTAATTTCCAGTGCTATTAAACAACCCTTACATATGCACATACACACTCATTTGCAGACATACTTGTGTAAAGAACTTACATTTGTGACTGTATATGTTTATAAATAATATAAATTTAAATTTGCATGTATATTTACTATTTATCCATAAAACCAAGATTAATTTCCATGCTGAAAATCTGAGTTTGGAAAAGTTAAAATATATGTAGACACTAAAAAGGAGGACTTCATGACTATATTTTTCTCCAACACGTAAAACATGTTTGTGTAAATTACAATTTTTAGATTAAATTCCCCAATGTCATTGTTCTCTCTTTTTTTATGAGAATCTCTTTAAATTAATGAAGACAGCAACAAAACACTTAGTATTCCATTGTCCTGGGGAAGACCTTAGTCTTCCTATCCAGGAAGATAATATCCTTCCAAAACAAGACCTTAGTATTGCTATCCTTTGCTTTTCACTCCAACTGCTGACCTGTTCTGCTTTGCATTTTCTCATCTATTTTATATTTGCAGAGGACAATACTGTCATAATGCACTTGCCAATAAAGGTAGCTTGATTTACCACCCATGAGGCAACACTCCTTTGCTCTGACTTGTGTGATCCCTACACCCCTTACACTTGCTATTGTTTTGCTCTTGACTATGCCCTTGTCATTTGTCTTTAGTCAACCCTTCAACCACTATTAGGCCTTCTTTTTAAGTACATACATTTTTTTCACTTTTCCATTCAACTACTATGTTACTGGTTTATGTATTTACTATACTATACTTTTACTGATATTTCAGAGTATACTCTTTCTGCTTATTTTTTAAAATTTAAGTGTAAAACAGCCTCAGGCAGATCCTTCAGTAGGTATTCCAGAAGAATGTGCTACTATCATAGGATATGACAGCTCTATGCTTGTTATTGCCTCTGAAAGCCCTCCAGTGAGATAAGACGTGGAGGTGGAAGGCAGTGATATCGATCTTGATCCTGTGTAGGTCCAGGCTATGGTGTGTGTTTGGGTCTTGGTTTTTAACATAAAAAGTTTAAAAAGTTACAAAAAAATTACAAATAAGAAAAATCTTATAGAAAAAGAATATAAAGAAAATATTTTTGTATAATGGTATAATGTGTTTGTGTTTTAAGCTAAGTATTATAAGAAGAGTCAAAAAGAAAGAATTAAGAAGTTTAAAAAGTAAAAAGGTAACAGTAAACTAAGGTTAAATTATTATTAAAGAAAAAAATTTTGTAATACATTTATTGTAGCCTAGGTGTGCAGTGTTTATAAGGTCTATGTTGGTGTGCGCAGAAATGTCCTAGGCCTTCACAAGCACTCGCCACTCACTCAGTGACTTACCCAGAGCGACTTCCAGTCTCGTGGGCTCCATTAATGGTAAGTACCCTATACAGGTGTACCAATTTATTTTATACTGTATTTTTACCATACGTTTTCTTTATTTAGATATGTTTAGATACACAAATATTTACTGTTGTGTCACAATTACCTACAGTATTGAGTACTGCAACATTGTACAGGTGTGTAGCTCAGAAGCGACAGGCTATATCTTATAGCCTAGGTTTGTAGTAGGTGGTCTCATCTAAGTTCATGTAAGTACACTCTATGAATGTTTGCACAGTGATGAAATTGCCTAACGATGCATTTCCCAGAAGGTATCTCCTTCGTTAAGCAACATATGAGTGTAAAGTGCTTAAAATCTGGTGAAAAATAGGCACTTACAATAGTATATGAAAAGAGTGACATATTATGTTCATTTACGGGTCAGAAAAGCCTTTTTAAAGTAAATAACCTGTAAACGGATGTTGAAATACGTGAAGTATGTGTAGAAGTTAAGTTAGCAAATGACAGGAAAAGAATATTAAATATAAGAACAAAGTATTTTGTGCAATGAATCAAAAAAATTACAGTAGTGTGTTTAGAAATGAAGGCAAGTTTAATCCTGCTAGAATATATCTTACAAAGGAAATAGGGTGGAGATGTGAAGCTAAAGGGAAGCTGTAGCCAGCAGCCAGATTAATAAGAAATCCAAAAGCTTTAATAAATCTCACTAACAGTTTAAAGAGTAACCTAAATGCAACTGGATAGCAATTGAATGGCATTAAGCAGAAGAAGAACAAGATCAGATCCAAATTTAAGAGTATCATTTTGCTTACAACGTAGAAAATACACAGGGAACAGGGAAGAAAACTTGTTGCTTTATTATTAAAATAATGTACAGCTGGGCACAGTGGCTCATGCCTGTAATCCCAGCACTTCGGGAGGCCAAAACAGGTGGAGCACCTGACGTCAGGAGTTCAAGACCAGCCTGGCCAACATGATGAAACTTCATCTCTCCTAAAAATACAAAAAATTTAGCCAGGTGTGGTGGCAGGCGCCTGCAATCCCAGCTACTTGGGATGCTGAGGCAGGAGAATCACTTGAACCTGGGAGGCAGAGGTTGCAGTGAGCTGAGACCACGCCATTGCACTACAGCCTGGGCAACAAGAAAGAACCTCTGTCTCAAAAAAAAAAAAAAAAAAAAAAACTCTGTCTCAAAAAAAATGTGTGTATATATACACCAATCAGCACTCTGTGTCTAGCTAAAGGATTGCAAATGCACCAATCAGCACTCTGTGTCTAGCTAAATGATTGTAAATACAACAATCAGCACTCTGTAAAAATGCACCAATCAGGGCTCTGTGTCTAGCTAAAGGATTGGAGGACCCACCAAGTCCTCCCAGGTCTCTGCTGTAGGAATTGATGGACAAGTCTCCAAACCCCGAGCCACCCCTCCACTCTTCTGCTCCCTACACAACTTCTCCTTCACTTACTCTTCCTTAATCCTGCCCTTATGTCCAACTCTGCTCCTGGGCAGAGACATCCTTTCAAAACTCCACACTACTCTCCACCTGCATGGTGACCTACTTAGAAATTCGGCTTTCCCCTGGGGCCCAAGCTATGACCCCAGCCCGAGCAGCATTAACAGATAATCTACCCCTGCCCTCCTCCCGAAGCAAAATCATTTTTTTTTCCTAGGGGTAGCAGGCTTTTTAAAAATATGGATTCCCAACTCTGCCCTCCTAGCTCGCCCCCTCTATGAAGTGGCCAAAGGCCCTCTCAATGAACCCCTAAATCCCTCACATAATATACTCCCCAACTTCCACAAACTCCAAACTGCTCTAGTCACTGCACCAGCTCTGTCCTTACCTGATATCTCCCAACCTTTCACTATCTATACTGCCAAAAGCTGAGGAATAGACCTCGGTGTCTTAGGACAACAGAAAGGAAATCCTCCTTCCTTCGCTCCTTGGAGCCTACCTTCTAAACAATTAAACAACACAGGCAGAGTGAGAGGAGGTGCCAGCTGGGCTTCCTGGGTCGAATAGGGGCTCAGAAAGCTGTGAAACTCACTCATTTCCTGCATCAGGACTTACCTCGGTCCTGGATGAATGATATTGAAGATATATGCTTAAAATATTCCTTACACCAGGATTTGTGCATGTGTTTTCTTCCCCAAGAAAGCTATAAACAACGAAAATTTCACTGTAAGTTTCCATGTCCTTCTTTCCCTCTCTCCCTCTCTCCCGTCCCCCTCCCCCGAAACTAAAGTAAAACGAATGTTAACTGCCTGTTTTTCTGTGACCAGCAGAGCTTATCTATACTCCCAATTCCAATTCCTTATAAACATACTTTGTAAAGTCCTGTAAGATCCTGTCTCCTTTGCCATGCCACTGCAAAGTCATAAAGTAGATAAAACCTAAGTTGCAATTCTGGTTTTCCTCAAAATCTAAGATATGTCACAAAATATTTTACTACCTTTGTTTCTCCCTCCTGTAACAAGCTTCCCGCCTCACGTATCTCCTGCCTTGAAAAATTGACAAGGCAATCACCCAAAACCAACAGTGGCTACCCATTCGGGACCCCTTCCATGCTGTGGAAGCTTTGTACTTTCACTCTGCTCAATAAAGCCTACAGCTTTTTCTCTCTCTCAGTCCGTGTCTCTATCACTTGCCATGGTCAGCTGCTACACCAATTCTTTGGTGTGGCTAGGCAAGAACCTTAGGCGTTACAAGATGGTGGCCAATCTCTCTTAGAGCACTAGCAGCAGCGGCCACTTTAACTCTAAAAAAGCAGAAAACTAACATTCAGCCAAAATACCACCATTTACAGTCCTTATAATATGCAGGATCTCCTTTCCTCCCGAACATTAGGCTTCCTTCCTCCTTCCCGAATTCAATTACTCCGCACCCTCTTTATCAAAAATCCCAAATTTAGTCTTGCCAAAAGCACTTCCCTCAACCCAGCATCCTTACTCCCTGTATCTTCTTCCCTTTCTACTCATTCTTGCACTGACATCCTAGATCACCTGCAGCCACACTTTCCAAATATTTCCTCCGAGCCTCTCATCAACCCTGATGACCAGCTATTTATAGATGGCTCCTCTTCTGGGCCCACTGACTCCCGCAAAATTGCTGGGTATGCAGTTGTTTCCCTTGACCGGGTAATTAGAGCTAAACCCCTACCTCCAGGAACCTCCTCTCAAAAGGCAGAAATCATAGCTCTCACCAAAGCCCTAACCCTTTCCAAAGGCAAACAAGTCAACATTTACACAGACTCCAAATGTGCATATCACATTCTTCCATCTGGCGTGAGAGGGGATTTCTTACTGCCAAAGGGAGCCCCATCACTAACGGTCCCTTTATTTACCAACTCCTTCAGGCCTCACACCTCAAAACTGAAGCGGGAGTTATACACCGTCAGGGACATCAAATAGGAACAGATAAAATCTCAAGAGGGAACAGAAAGGCCGATGAGGCAGCAAAAGAAGCCTCCCTTTCTTCCGCTCCTCCCTCCCCCTCATTACCCCTGCAATGCAACCCCAATGCTCCCCCCACTGAAAAGACCTTATTACAACAACAAGGAGCCTTCCTCCAGGGGGAATAGATAGTTAAGGACCAGAAGTTAGTCCTTCCCCAGGGCCAATCCAACAAAATCCTAACATCTCTCCACCAATCCTTCCATAGTGATGCACATCCCCTGTATCTCCTCTGCCGCCCATATTTCTTCTCCCTTCACCTATTAACCTTACTAAGAAACATAACTTCAAACTGTCGTATATGCTCTGTTACCTCCTTTCAAGGAGCCCTCCATTCCCCATTTATTATACTACTCACCCTATTGTTTACAGTGAAATTATATAATGTAACTCCTTCCAATCGGAATACTAGCCAAAAAGTCTCCCTCATTTTAGCCTTCTGCCTAATCGTTACCCTTATAGCAGAAATCACAATCACTAACAAACATTCCCATATCCCCCTAGATGCCCTACTTTTGTCTATCCTGCCACTTCACTCTCTTACTTCACGTCCTCACACAAGATATTTCCTGGTTCCGCCCACGGAACTACACCCTAGAAGCCTTTTTCAAGTGGATAACCGACCTTTTCTTCCGGGGCTCTCTCTGTGGCTTCACTCCAGGTAAAACCGAACTATTTACTTTTCTGCTCACTCTCTGCCTTTCTAACTCACCTCATAATCAATACCCCAACCCTTCTTTCAGCCCAACCAACACCTACAACCCCTGAACACCTATACAAAACACTCAGTCTCACACATTTCTTATTAAAAAACTCCAATTCCTCCCTGGCATAAGACTGCTGGCTCTGTGTATCCCTCCTCTCCACAACATACAATACAATCCCTGCCTCAGCCTATAACTGGACTTCCACCCAAGTAAACTACCATCCTGAAATCCTCATTAACAACCCCCTCAAACTCGACATACAGGCATTAACAGAAATCTCCTCCCACCCCCATTAGGTAGCTAGTTCGGTCCAGCTGTTACAACCTTACATCCCTACTTACGCATCCTATCCCCCTACAGCAGCCCTGATAAACCCATATCAGGAGCCATAACAACTCACACAATCTTATCCTATCCAGCCCCACTGTGCGTCCAACGACATCTACCCTCTGGCATTCCCCTTGGCAACTATACCCTACAACTCAAACCTTCCACCAAACATACTAGTCTCAAAGCTGCCAACAATAAAAACAGGCTTGGCTTCTCTAGCTGCCCCCCTGGCCCTTGACACCTGCCACCTCCTTAATAAAAATTTAGAGCACTGCAAAGGCCGACACTTTCCCTGTTTATGCCTCTTCCTTTGGCTCCCCTCTCCATGCACCATCCCCTGCACCCACCACCTGCAACGGGTCTCTTTATCCCAACATTCAACAACACTCCCAGATAGATTTTAGTGGACACAAAATGCTTCCTCTTACACTGGGAAAAAAAGAACCTCAAAGCCTCCCAGCCTAAACCACACACCCCTTTACAATCACTTACAGCAGCAGCCCTAGCCAGGACCCTAAAATTATAGATGTATGAAAATAACAAAATAGTACTGTGTCCAGAATTGGTTCCTTCCAGTGGGTTCTTGGTCTTGCTGACTTCAAGAATGAAGCTGCAGACCTTCACAGTGAATGTTACAGCTCTTAAAGATGGTGTGTCCGGAATTTGTTCCTTCAGATGTTCAGATGTGGCCAGAGTTTCTTCCTTCTGGCGGGTTCGCTGACTTCAGGAGTGAAGCCACAGACCTTCACAATGAGTGTTACACCTCTTAAAGGTGGCGACCCTGAAGTTGTTTGTTCCCCCCTGGTGGGTTCGTGGTCTTGCTGACTTCAGAAATGAAGCTGCAGACCCTCGCAGTGAGTGTTACAGCTTATAAAGGTAGTGCGGACCCAAAGAGTGAGCAGCAGCAAGATTTATTGTGAAGAGCGAAAGAACAAAGCTTCCACAGCGTGCAAGGGGACCCTGGGTGGGTTGCCACTGCTGGCTGGGGGTGGCCAGCTTTTATTCCCTTATTTGTCCCTGCCTATGTCCTGCTGATTGGTCCATTTTACAGAGTGCTGATTGGTCCATTTTATAGAGTGCTGATTGGTCTGTTTTACAGAGTGCTGATTGGTACGTTTACAATCCTTTAGCTAGACACAGAGCGCTGATTGGTGCATTTTTACAGAGTGCTCATTGGTGTGTTTACTATCCTTTAGCTAGACACAGAGCGCTGATTGGTGCATTTTTACAGAGTGCTGCTTGGTGCATTTACCATTCTTTAGCTAGACACAGAGTGCTGATTGGTGCATTTACAATCCTCTAGCTAGACAGAAAAGTTCTCCAAGTCCCCACTCAACCCAGGAAATCTAGCTGGCTTCACCTCTCAGTACATCTTTTTAACATTCACAACCAGTTCTATCTGCCAAGTCAAGGCATACTTTTCCTATGCGATACCTCAACCTATATTTGCCTCCCTTCTAACTGCACAGGCACCTGCACCCTGGTTTTCCTCAGTCCAATCTATTACAACTCTCCAATCAGAAATAAATTCTTTAGCAGCAGTAGTTCTTCAAAACCACAGAGACCTAGACTTACTAACAGCTGAAAAAGGAGAACTCTGCTTTTTTGTACATGAACAGTGTTTTTTTTATCTTAATCAATCTGGCTTAGTACAAGATGCTGTGAAAAGACTAAAGAACCAAGCACAAAAATTAAGGACAACGTCTCCCGATGACCAGCGTGGCCATCCTGGTCCTTTAGTACCTGGTTTCCATGGCTAATGCCCCTCCTAGGCCCAGCCATAACCATTCTTCTTTTTCTAGCATTTGGCCCTTGTCTCCCACGCCTTCTCACCCAGTTTTTACAGGACCGTATCAGAACCTTCACCCACGGGACAATACAAGATATGATGCTGCTCCAGGAATACCAACAGCTCCAAGAACAGCAGTCCCTACCGTCCAGCCTTCCCCCAAAACTGTCGCCCCTTCCCAGCAGGAAGCAGCCAGACAACAACCAGATAATGGCGACACTCTTCTATTACCTATTAAAAGTCTGGAATATCTCTGTGCTGCCAACCCTCCCCCCAAACCTTTTTATCTTTCTAAGCCCTTATCTAGGCGCCTTGGTGAAGCCAGCAGACTTTACCTATAAGGTCTTGCTACAATAAACAAACCCCAATTACAAACCATCTGGACATACAGGGTGAGGTTGTGGGAAGCATAAGCAAAGTTTACCTACATCCTCCCGAAGTTCCTTCATCTAGCTGCCATAAATGTCACAAGGTGATATATGGCAAAGTTAACCCATAAACGACCCCAGGGTCTCTCTCCTCCATATAAACCCCTCATTTTTTAAGCTCAGGGCTGCCTCCTCTGTCTGTAATGGAGCAGCCAGCAGGTTAATAAAGGCTTTCCTGAACTTGGGTCTCTCTCTCTCGTCCTTTCTCTCAGCTGACTTTACACTCCTGTGGTTTTATCAACATTATGATTTTGAATTGTAGCACCAGGATTATACAATAACCTAAATGTGTGTATTTGAGATATTGTGAAATATATATTTGGTTTTCATCAATACTTCTTGGCATACAACTCCTAAAATCCTTGGAATATATAAGTGCTGTCTTTTTGTATGCTAATGTTGACCGAGAGCTTCAGGATGGGTTATCCTGTAGACAAAAGCATGATTGCAGGGTTGGAATATTCTGCCCCACCCCCACCTCCAGGAATGGGAGACAAGCTGATGGTCAAATTGATTACCAATGGCTGATGACTTAATCAATCATGCTTACTAATGAAGCCTTCACAAAAACCCAAGGGGACAGGGTTTGTACAACTTTTGGATAGGTGAACACATAGAGGTTCCTGAAAGGTGCTGTACCCAGGGAGGACATGGAAGGTCCATACACCTTCATCCATACATCGTCCCATACATCTTTTCATCTGTGTCTTTGCTATATCTTTTATAATAAACTGGAAAAAGTAAGTAAGTGTTTTCTGGAGTTCTGTGAGCTACTCCAGAGAATTAATTGAACCCAAAGAGGAGGTAGTGGGTGGGAATCTCAACTTGAAACCAATTGGTTAGAAGTTCTGAAGTCCTGGACTCGTGACTGGTGTCTAAAGGGAGGGCGGTTTTGAGGACTGAGCCCTCAACCTGTGAGATTTGTTGCTATCTCCGGGTATACAGTGTTGGAATTGAATTCGAGGACACCCAGTTGGTGTCTCCTACAGAATTGATTGCTTGCTTCGTGGAGAGAAACCCACTCCCCTACATTTCATTACTGAAGTGTTCTGGGTTGATTTTTGTTGTTGTGTTGCTGGTGTGACAGCAGAGGAAAAACAATTTGGGTCTTTATCCAGACAAAACTCTAACAAGAATGCCAAACCAAACGTCATATTTCTCTCTAAATTTCATCATCCTCATTGATTCTTTTTATTGAAGAAAGATGCAAGTTACAAACATGGGTATTATTCTTTATTTTCTCAAATCCTTCAACCAGAACATCAAATTTTTCAATAAATGTTGTTGATGTTCTCTTTAAAATATCTCATGAATTCAAACCTTTTTTTTTCATTGTCCTACCCCATGGGCTCACTACTTTCTGCCTTAACTGTCCTCCCTGATTTTAAGTCCCCATTTCTTCTTCAAATCATTTCTATTTTTTTTTTCACATAACCTATCAAGGATCTCACTGCTGACATTTATATTGTCACTGGACTGGACTGATCTTTTGAAAATAGAATTTGGTTCATGTTCTTTCTTCTACTATATGTTTCTAAGTTGGCGTTTTCTTAATTTAGACCTATAATACACACACAAACACACACACATATATATACATATACATATACACACATATATATACACATATATATACACATATATACACATATATACATATATACACACATATATATACACACATATATACATATATATACACACATATATATACACACACATATATACACACATATATATACACATATATATATACACACACACACATATATATATATATACCTATAGAGAGAGACTTTTAGTATGATCTTGCTTCTGGCCGCTTATTTATCAATCTTACACTGTCATTCTCCAAACATTCCAGCTAGTTTGAATTAATGAGAGGTATTAAAATATATTTTTAAGCCCTTGATCTTTATCTTCTACCATATCTTCATCGTCAGTATCCTTTCTTTATCTCATGAATGAAGAAGGGAGAAAGAAGGGCTTACTCCTTCCTATTAGTCTTCACAGAACTCCACAAAACAATACAGTTGATATCTTATTGATCAGCATTTAATTACACAGATATACTTTATCTTATAGATAGCCTTAACTTTAAAGAAGGCTGGAAAACATAATGCTTTGTTCTGGTCCAAATACAATCAGTTTTCTTTCAATAAAGAGGAAACAATAATGGATACAGAAACTAATAATTAACTGTATGTCCATAATTTACTACTCTGGCTCTATACCTACTCATAAGTGTGCACTGATTTATATAATAACAAACGATCCTATTCCCTGAAAGAAAAAAATTAAACAATTATTGCATCTAGCAAAAATTCTTGAATCTCTGAATGGAGTAAGGATCTATACACCAGGGCTTTGTGCTGCTATTTGTGATACAGCGATCTATAAACTAAATACTAATTAACCTGCACAGCATACAATAGAGGAGAACAAAAAGAATAACCACAGTAAAAACACCCATGTGGAAACAGAAAATTGAAAGTACATAAGTCCCTACAAATGCAGTTTGTGGGTTGGAGTAGTAAAGATTCCATGAACTAGAAGGAGAAATAACATAATTTTTTGGCCCATTTCACAGCCTCTTCCAATCACTGGGAAGGACTTGATCATTTTCTATCTTCTGTGCCCATATTTGAGATGGGTATTGGAGAGTACATATTTCCTGGGCATGTCAAAGTTTTAGCAGCAAATTTCTTATTAATTGGAGTGAGGGAGCTCTGGTGCTTTTTTAAAACATTTAACAGTCTTGGTCTGTTTTATGCCAAGTTAGCATTCATTTGACATTATAATTCCATCAACAATTCAAAAGGTTTCTTGTCGGTTTTTTGTAAGTTCCATGGACATATTTAAAAGTCAACCCTTTTGTAAGATATTGGTTTTTAAGTTTTTAATATCTTTATGTATTGGTATTATCCTAAATGTACACATAAGGTTTCTGGACCAGAGAAAATTATTATTATTTACTTACTACAAATGATAACTGTGTTGTTTCCAAGTGACTCAATTCTTACACAATGAGGTAATAAAAGACAGCTGTCACACTCCATGTACAGGTCTATACAGGAGAAAAATTCGGTTGCCCTCACTCCCTGAGTCTCCTTGGAAACACTATGGGAAGGATCCTGAGTCATTACTTTAATCTATTGATATGTAAATAATTCTCTCCTGAGGAAAAATAAGACCAGCGTCTCCAGCTTTATAACTCTAGCGTCTCATGATCCCAAGTTTTATTCACTCTTGAAATATTCTTCCCAAGAAGTAAATCTCTCTGAAGTTCTCATTATCTTATCTGTCAGAAATTAACATCCAGAGATCCTAGGTCCCAAGTTTCAGCAAAATTTTCTTCAAAAGACCTGACTGTGAAAAAGTATAAAACATATTTTACCTACAGTCCCACAGACTTTGAGCTTGAACATTACCAGTTTTTATTACTTGTCTGTATATTTTACTTATCAACCTACCCCTCAAATTAACTACAGCTGTCTTAAAACCATTTAAAGTAATAGATTTGAATGAAGAGGTAACATATCTACTTTCCTTCTCAAAGTGTTACAGGACAGGGGTTCCAATCTAGACCTCAAGAGAGGGTTCTTGGATCTTGTGCAAGAAATAATTCAGGGTAAGTCTGAGTGCAAAGTAAAAGCAAGTTTATTAAGAAAGTAAAGTGATGAAAGCACAGCTTCTCCATATACAGTGTAGGACGTTCCCGAAAGTAAGAGGAGGTACATGTACACTCTAGGTACAATGCTTGTATATGTATAGGATAAAAAAATGATCTTGGGGAGATGTGCTCGGCTACAAAGTTTTGTGATAAAAGATTAATTTTATTAATGACTATATTTTGCAAGAATATATATTATTATCTTTCAAACAAAATTAGGAATGCCTTTGTTCTCCAGGTATCAGGATATCTGGACGATCCCAATTCTGGGTCTTTTTAGTAAACATTATTAATTTGATCCCTTAACCATAAACATCTAGAGGCTAGGAATGCCTAACTTTCTGAAAATGCTGCCTAGTAAGTCCCAGGCTCATTTTCCTAGCCCTTACTCAAAATGGAGTTGCTCTGGTTCAAACACCTCTGACAAAAGGGCTTATGAGTATTTTATGATTGTCATGCATATTGCCTAAGACTGTAATTTTACCTCCTCCAGTTATAATACCTTTAACTTAAGGAACAGAAGAAAGAGATGACACCTTCAGTATTCCACATTACAAAATATTCAGTTGACTAAGTTTTTATTCAATGAGTAGAGGTCTCTTAACTTATCCATCTCTGTTTTAAAATTTTCTGGCTTTAATCTGATCTTATCTGTCTCAGGTGTTTACTAATAAAGAACTGCAAATATAGACCAAATTTTTATAATTTATTCAATTATCACTTTTTTTTTTTTTGAGACAGAGTTTTGCTCTTTTCACTCAGGATGGAGTGCAATGGTGAGATCTTGACTCACTGCAACCTCTGCCTGCTGGGTTCAAGCAATAATTCTTCTGCCTCAGCCTCCCGAGTAGCTGGGATTACAGGCACATGCCACCATACCCAGCTAAGTTTTTTATTTTTAGTAGAGACGGGGTTTCGCCATTTTGGCCAGGCTGGTCTCAAACTTCTGACCTCAGGTGATCCACTTGCCTCGGCCTCCCAAAGTCCCAAAGTGCTGAGGTTGCAAGCGTGAGCAACCACGCCTGGCCTCAATTATCGCTCTTACTGATAAGTATGAAGAAAGACTTCTAATGTATAGTTATCTGTAAAACATATTACAGATTAGTAAAGTTTCTCAGCCTACAAAATCAGTCATCAGTGCTTCTAATACCTCAAATCTTTTATTTAGCCAAATTCAGTTTTTATATTACCTGAAGCACTTTCCTTTCAGATACAAAGTAAAGTACCGGTTAGGATTAGGTTTGGTTAAAGTAATGGAAGCTTAAATACAGGAACATGAACATACCAGGCGGGAAAGTATTTCAAGGCTGGTATTTTGGATCCAGGAGGTCACCAGAGACACAATTTCTTTCTCTCTTTTTGGTGAGCCATGGTGACCTCTATCCTCAAGGACACCTCCTGGGCTAAGATATAGCTGCTGATGCTTGAGGCATTGTATTCATGTTCAAGACAGCTAAAATGAGGAAGAAGGCAGGAAGCATTTATTCTTTTCTTTGCGGAACACAGTTTTGCTGAATGTGATTGGCTGTCTTAGTTACATGCCTTTTCAGAAGATTGGGAAATGTGTTTCTATAATAGTTTGCATTAGAACCTTGAAGAACATTAAAGTTTCTTCAGTAGTAAAGTAGAAAGAAACCAATCCAGCCGTCTCTGCCTCAATTAAGCAAATTCTGTGATACTTGTGGAATCCCAGAACTATCTTCAATTTCTTTTCTTAATACCAAACCTCATGAATAAGTGAAGCAATTTAAAAAATTATAGCCAGGCTTCTGTTTCTGTATCTTATTGGTTAGAAACCTGATTTTTAGTCTCAGTATAATTCTAAGCTTTTAAATGTTATACCCCAAAAACCCATGTTACTCACTTATTTTGGTTTTTTTTTTGAGACGGAGTCTTGCAATGGCATGATCCCAGCTCACTGCAACTTCCACCTCCCAGGATCAAGTGATTCTCCTGTCTTAGCCTCCTGAGTAGCTGGGATTACAGGTGTGCACCACAACGCCCAGCTAATTTTTGTATTTTTAAGTAGAGACGGGGTTTCACCATGTTGGCCAGGCTGGTCTCAAACTCCTGAACTCAAGTAATCCACCTGCCTCGGCCTCCCAAAGTGCTGGGATTACAGACGTGAGCCACTGCCTGGCCTCTTATTTTGTTACTTATTTATAGTCAGTTCTAGTTTAGGCTTGATATTTAAATTCTAGAGAAATCAGCATAAGGGGGATTTAAAGCCTTGAAGCTGAGTGAGATTGCCATGAAAAAGAGGACAGTTAATGAAAAAAAGAGATATGAGGACTGAGGCTTGAGCACTACACCATTTAGAGGTCCGGAAAAGAGTGTTCAGGACAAGTCAGAAGAAGACAGTAAAATGAAAGGAAAATGGAGAACATGGTACCTACTAAAACAGTAAAGAATGTATTTCAAATGGCATTTAAAATTTGTTAACAAATGGTATGGAGAAGACAAAAGATAAAAAGAGTTTACCAGTGAATTTGACAATGTGGTAGTTATCTTGACAAAAACTTTTTGCGGAATAATGGGAACAATACTTGTGTGGAGTGGTTCAAGAGAGAATGAGACAAAGCTAATTGTGGACCGTGAATATAGAAAAGTTTCGTGTGAAAGAGGAGAGAGAAGAAATGTTAGTTGGAGGGCAATGTGGAGTCAAGGGGTGGAATTAGGACTTTCTCTTTCTTCCCAGGATATATTAAAGTTAAGGTAATTGATCCAGTAGATAGGAAAACTCAATAAGAACAAGAAGACCTAGTACCACATTCCTATGGAGACTGATGAGCATTAGGACTAGGTACACAAGTGGAGGAATGGGTGGAATTGTGTAGTTCATCCATGAAGTATGATTAAGAGTCGGAAACCAGGATGTCAAAACCTATTTGAGGCAAAATGTGGCTCAAATTGTGCTACATCACTGTATTTGTTTCCTAGGGATGTCATAAAAATTACCACAAACTTGGTGGTTTGAAACAACAGAGATTTATTGATTTATTCTATTGCATTTCTGTAGACTAGAAGTCTGAAACAAATATATTGTCAGGGCCATGCGCTCTCAAAAGGTCTAGAGAAGAATCTTTCTTGAAATAGTTCCTTGCCCCTTTCTATCTTCCAGTGGTCTCTCCCCAGCAATCCTTGGCATCTCTTGTTTTACTGTGGCATCACTTTAATCTCTGCCTCCGTCTTCACATAGCCTTTTTGTGTGTGTGTCTCAGTTTTCTTTTTCTGTTTGTTAAAAGAACACTTACATTGTGTTTATGATCCACCCTAATTCAGCATGATTTCATCCTGATCCCTACCTTAACTACATTTGCAAAGATCCTATTTCCAAATAAGATTACATTCTGAGGCTTTGGGTAAAGTTACTAAGACCAACTATTATCTTTACTATTGCTTTAATAGAAAGTATTTTTCATATTTTTCATAAAAAGCATTGTCTACCCATTTGTAGGTACTACTTTCTCATTATAAAAATCTGAGTGCCATGCCTTCTGCCAGGACCTTGGTGAGACATTTATAAGGAAATGATATTCATTTCTTGGAACCAATAATTGTCAGTTTTATTAATTATAGCAATTGTATGAGAAAGGTCACACAATTTTCCTTAACTGCTGTGAGTTTAGGAGTAAAAAGCAATTTCCAACAGTGGAAATGGAGCAATGTTTTCTGAAATAGATCAGTCTGATACAATTAAATAGATCATTTAAACTTTGTTTATTTTTGGTTCAAGATGTACCAAAATGTTTTCAGTAGTGAAGCACATTGAGATCTCCTCTTGAAATGAGTTATCTTTTTTCAGCCAACACTTATCATCTATGATATTCAGCATTCTGTGTAAATGATGGTTCTAAATAGTAGCTGCATGCACACACACACACATATATGCATTATATTATATAATGTATAATAGAGGATATATAATATGTATGTATATTAAATTTAGTTATACGAGTATTTGAAAAAACCCAAATAGCCACTGATTTACTTAAATGTTTAACTAATATCAAGCATCTTGAGTAACTTATAAAAACTGTAACAAGCCATTTAACATTAAATGTATATTATTTTATTGGAATAAAGGCTCAAAGCAATTGTTCATGAATCAAGAAAAGAATCCCAGATCTTTTAGTTAAGAACGATTTTCTCTTCTTTTATAGAAATTATGTCTCATGGGCTGGGCACGGTGGCTCACACCTGTAATCCCAGTACTTTGGGGGACGAGGCGGGCAGATCATGAGGTCAGGGATTTGAGACCAGCCTGCACAACATAGTGAAACCTTATCTCTACTAAAAATACAAAAAATTAGCCAGGCATGGTGGCAGGTGCCTGTAATCCCAGTTACTCGGGAGGCTGAGGCAGGAGAATCGCTTGAACCCAGGAAGAAGAGGTTGCAGTGAGCTGAGACTCCACCATTGCACTCCAGCCTGGGCAACAGTGCAAGACTCCATCTCAAAAAAAAGAAAGAAAAGAAATTATATCTCATAATATAAAGATAGAATATTAAATATACAAATTTATTTCTTACAAAGTTCTTTAATTTTTTCAGTGTATTATTCTAGACTACTCAACTGTAGTATGTAGTAAGATCTAGAGAATAGTGTCTATATTTTATACATGAATTCCTTTTACCTCCCAAAGCACTACAGAGACATAGCAAGCACTAAAGAAAAACAAACCAAAAACCTCATAAAATTGTAAGAGAAAAAGTAGATAAATTAACAAATGTATACTCAATACCATATGATGTACTATATTTCAACTAAACTCAGAAATTTCCTAGCCACTTCTATAATTTCAAGATAATAATAAATAGAGCTCAGATTGCCATGATATTTACTACTTGTTGAACTAATGTAAATTTGTAAAATTAAAATACCCTTTTAAGCTATTAAAGAATCTGAAATAATTAACTGTGGAAAAAAACTGTTTAAACATATTAACATAGAAGTCTGTTTAGAAATGTTGCAGAACTAAAAATCGAAGGTTAAATTAAGGCTATTAGTCAAGATAACCAATATACAGATATTTTCCTGCTAATACTATTTTGAATTAGGGGACATGGATGTATCTATAAGCAGTTCTAAAAATAAATACATATATTGAAATACTAATAGGAAACATATTGCACTTAGTAAAATCAGGCAACAAGCCTAAAAGAGATAAAATATGCTTTTCCTCCTCATTTGCTTTGCTCTTATTAGGTAGTCAATTTAGTCAGAGATACATAGGGTGTTCCTTTGCAGCAGGATACTTAGTTCTTTCAGTCAGATAGAATTTCACTCAAAAATACTATAATTGACACCTTGAAGAGACAGAGAGATGTAAATCTTATGGGCCAAAAGACATGTACAAGAACTCAGGGCAACACGACATTTTTTTAAAGGGCAACTGTTCTCCGTTTTCAATCTCTATGTCCTATAAGCCAAGCAATTCTCTTTCTACCAGCCAATGAATTATCTTGACTAAGACCACTTCTGGCATTTTCTCAGTACCTGCAGTGCTCATTCTGGCTGTACTATATCCCACAGTGTGGGCAGATGGCTCCAAAAAATTGACTAATGCAGCCAGCAGTGGTCTCTTTTGACATGTTGTGAATGGGTGGGTGATATTTCAGACCAAAAATAAGGGTTTTTTTTTCTTTTTTCAATCTCAAGTGTGAGGAATTCTTATCAAGTGTTCTTCATAGAGGGTAATATCTCATCCTTCTCAGAAATACGGCTTCTTTTCAGAGCTAATCATGTTACGCTGAGGAAAAAAAAAAAAACCTTTTGAGCATTATATCCTCAGGACAAAAAGAGTCTGCAAAGTCAAGGTCTGGGAAGTAATTATGTATTATAAAGATGAATTTTTATTCATGTGGTATTATGGATCAAGGTATGACAACTTTCAGTAGTTAAAAAAATAAGCTAGACAATACTTTTCCTTGAAGAAAAATGAGTCTTGGCAAACTAAAATGTACTGTATGATTCTCCACCTTGAGAGTGCCTATCAACAGCAATATAATTGACACAAATTAAGTTTGACAGGTTGCTGAAGAAGGCTTAAAAATGCATTCTTCTGCTTTCATAGAGTGTACAAGGGTGTGCACACAATCACACTAGAATAATCTCTAAACTGCTTTCCATTTATTTCTTTAATCTACAAATTCATTGTGGGACAAAAAGATTAAGGAATGTCACATCTATGCAGACATGGTAGGTGACAAGTAGAGTTATATATAATAGGTATATTTATGAAAAGAAGTGGGAGAAGCAAATGAGGTTAAGGATTGTATTATTTCAAAGTAATCTCACATGAAAGATTCTTATCAATCAGACAAAACAAGAATAAAAAATCTGTTTTTCAAAACCTCTTTATTAACATGACTTTAAGGAAGTCAATTATATATATATTCTTTGGCTAAAATATAGTTAAAATGTAGTTTTTAACTATATTTTTATAGTACAAAATGATATGGTCACCAGCAGAGCTTATGATTCCTCAGTACTCTATATCATTATTGATATTTAGTGTTGTTGAACTTTTCCCTGTTTTACCAATCAAATGGATAGAAAAATAGGAATTTTAATAAGTCATAAAGTGTTTTTTTACATTTTTCCTAAAAGAGTTCTTAAATATTTTTTAGAAATTGCACATAGATAGACCAAATATATAAACTTTATAAACAGAATGGCAGTTATTTTGTTCTAATATGTATGTGTGCCTACATGTAAAACATGTATTTATACACATACACACACACAGATATATGTATACATTCAAAATTTTATATCTGCACTTGGAAAGAGCAACATTTTGTGTTTTTTATAGCCCCCATGATGTCCAGTCCTTACAGGTTCTCTAAAGCAGAATCTCAAGAAATATCCATTAATCAAGATATCAACTTTAAAAAGCCTGATTCAAATATTATTATACTTTCAATGTCATGAAAAACCCAAAGGAAATATATTTAAATTTTTGTAAGATAAATAACTAATACATAAATATAACTTATCCCAGAAGGAGTTTAAGCAACCAAATGAGAACTTGACAGTATTTATTTGATAAGTTGGTCAATAATAATAATAGCTTAAATTTTTTGAAGGTATCACAATTTGCAAGGCATATTTGCACCAGTTTTAACTATCATGATACTTAAATTTCTGAGTTAACAGAAGGCATTAAAATTTTTACTTTCTAGCTAAAAAACTGAATTTCAGACTGGTTAAGTTTCAGCATTACATAGTTCATAAACGTTAGTTTGTATCTATTTCTCTATCAACAGTGCTATTAAAATATATTTACAGACAATAAAATTAACCCTTTTAATTTGTACAATTCCATGGTTTTAATAACATTCAGAGTTGTGCAATCATCACCACTATCTAATTTTACAATAGTTCATTATCATTCAAAAAGAAATCTCATACATATTAGAGGTCACTCCCTATTCCCAGCACAATTAGCCCCTGGAAACCACTAGTCTGCTTTCTATCTTTACGGATTTGGGTCATTTCACATGAATGAAAGTGTACCATATATTGTCTTTTGTGGCTGGATTTATTCACTTAGCATAATGTTTCCATGATTTATCCATGACATAATACATATTAGGACTTAATTTTTTTATTGATGAATCATATTTCATTGTAAAGATATACTTTATTTATTTATTCATTGGTGAACATTTGGGTGCTTTCTACTTATTTACTACTATGAATAAAGCTGCTGTAAATAGTTTTAGTGTAGATGTATGGTTTCATTTCTCTTGAATATATACCTAGGAGTAGATTCCTGGATTATATGATGTTTTATATTCTTTTATGAGGTGGTCAGTCAGGTGTGGCCACAATAGGGTACAAAGAAGAGGCTCAGGGAAAACAAGGTTCATTATACTCACAGGTCCTAGAAACAGGAGAAACAGCACACCACATGTATTAGTCCCTTCTCACATTGCTATAAAGAACTACCTGAGACTGGATAATTTATAAAGATAAGAGGTTTAATTGGTTCACAGTTCCACAGGTTGTGCAGGAAGCATGGCTGGGGAGGCCTCGGAAAACTTACAGTCTTGGTAGGAGGTGAAGGGTAGGCAAGCACTACTTCACATGGCCAGTAGGAGAGAGGGCAAGTGGGAAAGTGCTACACAATTTTAAACAACCAGATTTCATGATAACTCACTCACTATCATGAGAACAGCAAGGGAGAAATCTGCCCCCATGATCCAATCACCTCCCACCAGGTTCCTCTCCCAAATTCAGCATGAGATTTGGGTGGGGACACAGAGCCAAACCATATTAACACACATGACTACGTGGGAAAAAGAAGTGTGGTTGGGAGACAGAAGGCAGGAATAAGGGGAAAGCATTAGGCAACGACCTTTATTGGGGTTTCCATGGAAAAAGCAAGACAGGGCAAGGTGAACAGTGTAGGACTGGCAAGCCTGAATAACTTTACAAAATATGGAATAGTTTTATGCTTCCTAGTTGCTTGGCACCTGGCCCTGGGATGATTAAGGCAGAGGATTATTGCCTCTTGGGGTTTACTGGCCAGGTAGTGGAGGTATGGCTCTGGACTGGTTTGTTTGCACATAAAAGACAGGCTTGTGGCTAGGTTGTTATAACCTCTCAGTAAATGATCCTGGAAAAACTGGATATTTCATAGGCAGAAGGATGAAACTAGACTCCAATCCCTCACCATATACAAAAGTAAAATCAAAATGGATTAAAGATTTAAACATATGACCTGAAACCATAAAACTACTAGAAAAAAAAAAGCATAAAGAAAACACATTAGGACACTGGTATAGACAAAGTCTTTTTTGGTAAGACCTCAAAAGCACTGGCAGAAAACCAAAAACAGACAAATAGGACTATGTTAAACTAAAAAAGCTTCTGCACACCAAAGGAAACCATCAACAAGTGAAAAGACAACCTATAGAATGGGAGAAAATATTTGTAAGTTATGCATCTTAAAAGGGCCTAATATTTAGAATACACAGAGAACTCAATGAACTCAAAAGCAAAAAAATACCAAATAATCCCATTAAAAAGTGGAAAAAATATCTGAATAGATAGTTCTCAAAAAAAGACTTAAAATTGGCCAACAGGTGCATAAGTAAATGCTCAACATCACTAATCATCAGGGAAACAAATCAAAACCACAATATCAGCTCACTCTGGTTAGAATAGCTATTATCAAATAGATAAAAAATAACAAATGCTGGTGAGGATGTGGAGAAAACAGAACACATATAGACACCATTGGTGGCAATGCAAATTAGTATAGCCATCATGGAAAACCATATGGAGGTTTCTCAAAAAACTAATCATAGAACTCCCATATGATCCAGCATTCTCATTATTGGGTATTCACACAAAGGAAAGGAAATCAGTATATCAACGGGATACTTTTACTCTCATGTTTATTGCAACACTATTCACAATAGCCAAGATATGGAATTAACCTGTTTCCATCAACAGGTGAATGGATAAAGAAAATGTGGTATCTCTACATGATGGAGTACCATTTTGCTATGAAAAAGAATGAAATCTTGTCATTTGCAGCAACATAGATAGCAACGGAAGTTATTATGAAATCAGCCAGGCACAGAAAGACAAATATTGTATGTTCTCACTCACATGTGGGAGCTAAAAAGTTGATATCATGAATGTAGACAGTAGAATGATGGTTATCAAAGGCTGGAAAGGGTAGAGGGGATTAATGGAGGTTTGTATCATGGGTACAAACACACAGTAAGGTAGAAGGAATAACTTCTAGGGTTCAATAGCACACTAGAAACACACTGTTAGTTTTCTGCACAGCAGGGTAACTAGTTAGCAATAATGTATTATTATTATTATTATACTTTAAGTTCTACGGTACATGTGCACAATGCACAGGTTTGTTACATAGGTATACATGTGCCATGATGGTTTGCTGCACCCATTAACTCGTCATTTATATTAGGTAGTTCTCCTAATGCTATCCCTCCCCCAGCCCCCCACCCCCCCAACAAGACCCAGTATATGATGTTCCCTGCCCTGTGTCCAAGTGTTCGCATTGTTCAATTCCCACCTATGAGTGAGAGAACATGCAGTGCTTCGTTTTCTGTCATTGTGATAGTTTGTTGAGAATGATGGTTTCCAGCTTCATCCATGTCCCTGCAAAGGACATGAACTCATCAGACATGAACTCATCCTTTTTTATGGCTGCATAGTATTCCATGGTGTATACGTGCCACATTTTCTTAATCCAGTCTATCACTGATGGACATTTGGGTTGGTTCTAAGTCTTTACTATTGTGAATAGTGCTGCAATAAACATATATGTGCATGTGTCTTTATAGTAGCATGATTTATAATCCTTTGGGTATATACCCAGTAATGGAATTGTTGGGTCAAATGGTATTTCTAGTTCTAGATCCTTGAGGAATCGCCACACTGTCTTCCACAATGGTTGAGCTAATTTACACTCCCACCAGCAGTGTAAAAGTGTTCCTATTTCTCCACATCCTCTACAGCATCTGTTGTTTCCTGACTTTTTAATGATTGTCATTCTAACTGGCATGATATAGTATCACATTGTGGTTTTGATTTGCATTTCTCTGATGACCAGTGATGATGAGCATTTTTTCAATGTGTCTGTTGGCTGCATAAATGTCTTCTTTTGAGAAGTGTCTGTTCATATCATTCAACCACTTTTTGATGGGGTTGTTTTTTCTTGTAAATTTGTTTAAGTTCTTTGTAGATTCTGGATATTAGCCCTTTGTCAGATGGGTAGATTGCAAAAATTTTCTCCCATTCTGTAGGTCGCCTGTTCACTCTAATGGTAAGCTTTTTTTCATGTGTAGAAGCTCTTTAGTTTAATTAGATCTCATTTGTCTATTTTGGCATTTGTTGCCATTGCTTTTGGTGTTTTAGTCATGACGTCTTTGTCCATGCCTATGTCCTGAATGGTATTACCCAGATTTTCTTCTAGGGTTTTAATGGTTTTAGGTCTTACATTTAAGTCTTTAATCCATCTTGAATTAATTTTTGTATAAGGTGTAAGGAAAGGATCCAGTTTCAGCTTTCTACATATGGTTAGCCAGTTTTCCCAGCACCATTTATTAAATAAGAAATTCTTTCCCCATTTCTTGTTTTTGTCAGGTTTGTCAAGATCAGATAGTTGTAGATTGGCATTATTTCTGAGGGCTCCGTTCTGTTCCATTGGTCTATATATCTGTTTTGCTACAAGTACCATGCTGTTTTGGTTGCTGTAGCCTTGTAGTATAGTTTGAAGTCACGTAGCGTGATGCCTCCAGCTGTGTTCTTTTGGCTTAGGATTGTCTTGGCTATGCAGGCTCTTTTTTTGTTCCATATGAACTTTAAAGTAGATTTTCCAATTCTACTTTAAATAACTTGAAGAAAGTTATTGGTAGCTTGATGGGGAGGGCATTGAATCTATAAAATACCTTGGGCAGTATGACCATTTTCACGATATTGATTCTACCTACCCATGAGCATGGAATATTCTTCCATTTGTTTGTGTCCTCTTTTATTTTATTGAGCAGTGGTTTGTAGTCCTCTTTGAAGAGGTCCTTCACGTCCCTTGTAAATTGGATTTCCAGGTATTTTATTCTCTTTGTAGTAATTGTGAATGGGTGTTCACTCATGATTTGGCTCTCTGTTTGTCTGTTATTGGTGTATAGGAATACTTGTAATTTTTGCACATTGATTTTGTATCCTGAAATTTTGCTGAAGTTCCTTATCAGCTTAAGGAGATTTGGGGCTGAGATGATGGGGTTTTCTAAATGTACAATCATGTCATCTGCAAGCAGGGAAAATTTGACTTCCTCTTTTCCTAATTGAATACCCCTTATTTGTTTATCTTTCCTGATTGCCCTGGCCAGAACTTCCAACACCATGTTGAATAGGAGTGGTGAGAGAGGGCATCCTTGTCTTGTGCCCTTGGTTTTCAAAGGGAATGCTTCCAGTTTTTGTCCATTCAGTATGATATTGGCTGTGGGTTTGTCATAAACAGCTCTTATTATTTTGAGATATGTTCCATCAATACCTAGTTTATTGAGAGTTTTTGACATGAAGGGCTGTTGAATTTTTTTGAAGGCCTTTTCTGCATCTATTGACATAATCATGTGGTTTTTGTCATTGCTTCTGTTTATGTGATGGATTACATTTATTGATTTGTGTATGTTGAAACACTCTTTCATCCCAGGGATGAAGCCAACTTGATCATGGTGGATAAGCTTTTTGATGTGCTTCTGGATTTGATTTGCCAGTATTTTATTGAGGATTTTTGCATCAATGTTCATCAGGGATATTGGTCTAAAATTATCTTTTTTTGTTGTGTCTCTGCCAGGCTTTGGTATCAGGATGACGCTGGCCTCATAAAATGAGTTAGGGAGGATTCCCTCTTTTTCTATTGATTGGAATAGTTTCAGAAGGAATGGTACCAGCTCCTTTTTGTACCTCTGGTAGAATTCGGCTGTGAATCCGTCTGGTCCTGGCCTTTTTTTGGTTGGTAGGCTATTAATTATTGCCTCAATTTCAGAGTCTGTTACTTGTCTATTCAGAGATTCAACCTTTTCCTGGTTTAGTCTTGGGAGAGTGTATGTGTCCAGGAATTTTTTCACTTCTTCTAGATATTTTAGTTTATTTGCATAGAGGTGTTTACAGTATTCTCAGATGGTAGTTTGTATTTCTGTGGGATTGGTGGTGATATCCCCTTTATCATTTTTTACTGTGTCTATTTGATTCTTTTCTCTTTTCTTCTTTATTAGTCTTGCTAGAGGTCTATCAATTTTGTTGATCTTTTCAAAAAACCAGCTCCTGGACTCATTGATTTTTTGAAGAGTTTTTTTTTGTCTCTGTCTCTTTCAGTTCTGCTCTGATCTTAGTTATCTCTTGCCTTCTGCTAGCTTTTGAATGTGTTTGCTCTTGCTTCTCTAGTTCTTTTAATTGTGATGTTAGGGAGTTGATTTTAGATGTTTCCTGCTTTATCTTGTGGGCATTTAGTGCTATAAATTTCCCCTGCACACTGCTTCAAATGTGTCCCAGAAATTCTTGTATGTTGTGTCTTTGTTCTCACTGGTTTCAAAGAACATATTTATTTCTGCCTTCATTTTATTATTTACCCAGTTGTCATTCAGGAGCATATTGTTCAATTTCCATATTGTTGTGTGGTTTTGAGTGTGTTTCTTAATCCTGAGTTCTAATTTCATGGCCCTGTTGTCTAAGAGACAGTTTTTTTGTGACTTCCGTTCTTTTGCATTCGCTGAGGAGTGTTTTACTACCTATTATGTGGTCAATTTTAGAATAAGTGCAATGTGCTGCTAAGAAAAATGTATATTCTATTGATTTGGGGTGTAGAGTTCTGTAGACATCTATTAGATCTGTTTGGTCCAGAGCTGAGTTCAAGTTCTGGATATCTTTCTTAACCTTCTGTCTCATTGATCTGTCTAATATTGACAGTGAGGTGTTAAAGTCTCCCAGTATTATTGTCTGGGAGTCTAAGTCTCTTTGTAGGTCTCTAAGGACTTCCTTTATGAATCTGGGTGCCCCTGTATTGGCTGAACCACAAACAATAGCATGAGTGATCTGTGCCTTGAGGACATGTTCCTGCTACAGATAACTAGCTAAAGCCCATCCCTTTGTTTCCCGTTTTAGTTAATCTATAATCTATAGAAACAAGGCTTATCACTGACTTGCTGTCAATAAATTTGTGGGTAAAACTCTGTTCATGGCTCTCAGCTCTGAAGGCTGTCAGCACCCTGATTCCCACTCTGCACTCTAAATTTCTGTGTGTGTGTCCTTAATTACTCTAGCGCCACTGGGTTAGTGTCTCCACGACTGAGCTGGTCTAGGCAAGGGGTGCCCATACATGGGGCTTGAACCGGTATTTAAGGGTCACCAGAGTGACGGTTGGAGAACATGGAACTAAGCTGGAGGACACCTGAGTATTCTCAAGCAATCCCTGTGGTGAGTAAGAAGGGGAGCTCAGAAGCATCAAGGTAATAATGGGACAAGTGTGGGCTCTGGCTCATTCCACCTTGGAACCTTTTCACACTGATGATGAGGAGGAAGGAGAGTATAACGAATTAACAGAAGATATGACAGAGCAGGTTTCTTTCCCACCTAAAGCTAAAGTGGCAAAGGAGGGAGAGGTTTGTCCCTACCCTTCTGCACCCCCTCACTATTTTGAAGAAAAAGAGTGGCCTGACCCTCCAGATCTTTCTTTTCCTGAGGACACTAGGTGAGAAGTAGTTGCCCCAGTGACTCTTCGAGCAGGGCCTTGAGTGACCGCTCTCAGTTCTATTCAGGCAGGAATTCAGCAAGCTAGATGAGAGGGTGATATAGAGGCTTGGCAGTTCCCTGTTAGGTTACCGCCCCCGCACCCCGAGATCAACAGGGAAATATTGTAGCTACATTTGAGCCCTTTCCTTTTGAATTACTCAAAGAATTTAAATAAGCTATTAATCAATATGGACCAGGTTCTCCTTTTGTAATGGGACTGTTAAAGAATATTGCTATCTCTAGTCAGATGTTGCGAGCAGGAACTGTAGGATTACTTCTAGGTAGATCTAGTTTAAATTCAAAAGGAGTGCAAGTACATACAGGAGTCATTGATTCAGATTACAATGGGGAAATTCAAATTGTTATATCTACTTCTGTTCCCTGGAAAGCAGAGCCAAGAAAGTATATAGCACAGCTCCTGATTGTGCTGTATGTGGAAATGGGGAAAAGTGAAACTAAATGAACAGGAGGATTTTGAAGCACAAATAAACAAGGCACAGCAGCTTACTGGGTGAATTAAATTACTAATAAACGTCCTACCTGTGAAATAACTATTCAGGGAAAGAAATTTAAAGGTTTGGTAGAAACAGGAGTGGACGTTTCAATTATTTCTCCACAGCACTGGCCGTCCACGTGGCCAATTCAACCTGCTCAATTTAACATAGTTGGAGTTGGTAAAGCCCCTGAAGTATATCAAATTAGTTATATTTTGCATTGTGAAGGGCCCAATGAACAACCTTTGACTATTCAACCAAGTATAACTTCTGTACCTATAAATTTATGGGGAAGGGATTTATTACAACAATGGGGAGCACAAGTTCTAATTCCAGAGCAATTATACAGCCCTCAAAGTCAACATATGATGAATGAAATGGGGTATGTCCCTGGTATGGGGCTAGGAAAAAATTTACAAGTTTTGAAGGAACCACTTCAAGCGGAAAGACAAAGTTCCCACCAAGGTTTAGGATATCATTTTTGATGGCAGCCATTGTTAAGCCTCCAGAACCTATATCTTTAAAATGGTTAAGAGATAAGCCAATTTGGATAGTACAATGGCCACTAAGTAAAGAGAAACTGGAGGCTTTAGAGGACTTAGTTACTGAACAATTAGAAAAAGGACACATAGCTCCAACATTTTCCCCTTGGAATTCTCCAGTTTTTGTAATCAAGAAAAAATCAGGTAAATGGAGAATGTTAACTGACTTAAGGGCCATTAATTCAGTTATACAACCTATGTGGGCATTACTGCCAGGATTGCCTTCTCCTGCTATGATTCTGAAAAATTGGCCTTTAATAGTCATAGATTTAAAAGACTGTTTCCTTACTATCCCCTTAGCTGAGCAAGACTGTGAAGGGTTTGCATTTGCAATTCCTGCGTAGTTGATGCTATTCCTTTCTGTTTGTTAGTTTTCCTTCTAACAGTAAGGTCCCTCAGCTGCAAGTCTGTTCAAGTTTGCTGGAGGTCCACTCCAGACGCTGTTTGCTTGGGTATCACCAACAGAGGCTGCAGAATAGCAAATATTACAGAACAGCAAATATTGCTGCCTGATCCTTCCTCTGGAAGCTTCGTCCCAGAGGGGCACCCACACATATGAGGTGTCTGTTGGTCCCTACTGGGAGGTGTCTCCCAGTTAGGCTACATGGGGGTCAGGGACCCACTTGAGGAGGCAGTCTGTTCGTTCTCAGAGCTCAAAAGCCATGCTGGGAGAACCACTGCTCTCTTCAGAGCTGTCAGACAGGGACACTTAAGTCTGCAGAAGTTGTTTGCTGCCTTTTGTTTAGCTATGCCCTGCCCACAGAGGTGGAGTCTATAGAGGGAGTAGGCCTTGCTGAGCTGCAGTGGGCTCCACCCAGTTCGAGCTTCCAGGCCACTTTGTTTACCTACTGAAGCCTCAGCAATAGTGGATGCCCCTTCCCCTCCTCAGTTGCAGTCTTGCAGGTGGATCTCAGACTGCCATGCTAGCAGTGAGCAAGGCTCCATGGGCTTGGAACCCACTAAGCCAGGCACATGAGAGAATCTCCTAGTCTGCCAGTTGCTAAGACTGTGGAAAAAGCGCAGTATTTGGGCGGGAGTGTACCAATTTTCCAGGTACAGTCTGTCACGGCTTTCCTTGACTAGGAAAGGGAAATCCCCTGATCCCTTGCACTTCCTGGGTGAGGCGATGCCCTGCCCTGCTTTGGCATGCCCTCCATGGGCTGCACCTACTGTCCAACCAGTCCCAATGAGATTAACCAGTACCTCAGTTGGAAATGCAGAAATCACTCATCTTCTGGGTCAATCACACTGGGAGCTGCAGACCAGAGCTCTTCCTATTCGGCCATCTTGGAATGGACCCTTAACAACAATGTATTATGTATTTCAAAATAACTAGAAGAAAGGATTTAATATGTTTCCAACACAACATTGGTATCAAACAAATGATAAATGTTTGGGATCATGGCTATGCTAAATACTATAATGTGATCATTACCCATTGTATGCATGTATCAAAATATTACATATACTCCATAAATATGTACAATTATTATGCATCAAGAAAAAAGCCAGAGTTGCCAACTCCTGGAAGGAACAGTCTCTACCCAGCCAGAAAGATTTTTTTTTTTTACTTTTAAGATAACAAAACATCATAATATTCAGAAAATATGAAGTATGTACATACATACAATAAATATGGTAACTCTGTTTTTAACATTTAGAGATTTGCCAAACAGTTTTCCAAAGTGGCTACAACACTTATAATTACAATTTCATAAGTAAGGAATAAATGTTATAATTTCTTTCTATCCTCACCATTTTTTTGGTCTGATTTTCTTATCTTAGCCAACCTAATGCGTATGAGTCATATCTTTGTGTGGTTTTCACTTGCATTTCTCTGCTGATTAGTGATAATGAGCATTTTGTCATATGTTTGTTGGCTGCTTCTATGTATTCTTTTAAGAAGTGTCTGTTCATATATTTTGCTCATTTTATAATGGGATTATTTGGTTTTAGCTTGTTCAATTGTTTAATTTCCTTATAAATACTGAATATTTGATCTTTCTTGGATGTATGGTTTGTGAATATTTTCTCCCATTTTGTAGGTTATCTGTTAACTCTGTTGCTAGCTTCTTTTGCTGTGCAGAAGCTCTTTAGTTTAATTAGGTTGCACTTGTTAATTTTTATTTATGTTGCAATTACTTTTGAAGACTTAGTCATTTTTTTTTCCAAGGCCCACATCCAGAATAGTGTTTGCTAAGTTTTCTTCTAGTATTCTTATAGTTTTAGGTTTCATATTTCAACCTTTAATCCACCTTGAATTAATTTTTGTATACTGTGAAACGTCAGGGTTCCAGTTAATTCTTTTGCATATGGTTAGTTAGCAATCCAAGCACTATTTATTGAATAGGAAGTCCTTTCCCATTGCTTATTTTTGCTGATTTTGTGGAAGATTAGATGGCTATAAGTGTAGCTTTATTTCTGGGCTCTCTATTCTGCTCCATTGGTCTACATGTCTGTTTTTGTATGAGTGCCATGCTATTTTGATTACTACAGTATAGCATAGTTTGAAGATGGCTAGTGTGATGCCTCCAACTTTGTTCTTTTCACTTAGGATTGCTTTGGCTACTTCGGCTCTTTTTGGTTCCATATGCATTTTAGAATAGTTTTTTTCCAATTTTGTGAAAAATGACAGTAGCTTGATGGAAAAGCATTTATTCTGTAGATTGCTTTGGGAAGCATGGCCATTTTAATGATATTGATTCTTCTAATTGATTCTAATGATATTGATTCTTCCAACATTCTTCTGGGCATGGAATGTTTTTCCAGTTGTTTGTGTCATCTATGATTTTTTTAGCAGTGTTTCACAGTTTTTTTTGCAGAGATCTTTCACTTTCTTGGTTAGATGTATTCCTAGGTGTTTTAATTTTTATGGCTATTTTAAATGGGATTGAATTCATGATTTCACTCTCAGCTTGAATATTATTGGTGTATAGAAATATGATCAATTTTTATATGTTGATTTTGTATCTTGAAACATTGCTGAAGTCTCTTATCAGTTCTAGGAGCCTTTTGATGGAGTTCTTAAAGTTTTCAAGGTATAAAATCATGCAGTCTGTGAAGAGAGATAGTTTGAATTCTTCTTTTCTTATTTGGATGTCTTTTATTTCTTTCGGTTGCCTGAACGCTCTGGCTAGGACTTCCAGGACTATGTTGAATAGGAATGGTAACAGTGTGCATCCTTGTCTTGTTCCAGTTCTCAAGGGGAATGCTCCAGTTTTTGCCAATTCAGTAGAATGTTGACTGTGGGTTTGTCATGAATGGCTCTTACAATTTTCAAGTATATTCTTTTGATGACTATTTATTGAGTTGTTTGTATCATGAAGGGATGTAGTAGGATTTTATCAGAAGTTTTCTCTGTGTATATTGAGATGATCATATTTGTTTCTAATTCTGTTTATCTGAGGAATCACATTATTGATTTGCATGTGTTAGCCAACCTTGCACTCCAGGAATGAGGCATACTTAAACATGGTGAATTAACTTTTTAATGTGCTGCTGGATTTCGTTTGCTAGTGTTTTGTTGAAGATTTTTGCATCTATGATCCTCAGGAATATTGACCTCTAGTTTCATTTTCTTTTTACTGTGTCTTTGCCAGGTTTTGGTATCAGGGTGATGTTAGCTTCATAGAATGAGATAGAGTCCTTTCACCACAATTTTTGAAACAGTTTCAGTAGAATTGGTACCAGCTGTTCTTTGTACATCTTGCAGAATTCAGCTGTGAATCTGTCTGTTCTGGTGCTTTTTTGTTTGGTAGGTGTTTTATTATTATTATTATTGGCTCAATTTCAGAACTCCATATTGGTCTGTTCAGTGTTTCATTTTCTTCCTGACTGAATCTTGACAGATTGTGTGTTTCTATGAATTTATTCATTTTCTCCAGATTTTCTAGTTTTTGTGCATAGAGGTGTTCATAATAGTCTCTGAGGATCTTTTGTTGTTGTTGTTGTTGTTGTTATTTTGATTTTTAAGATGGAATCTTGCTCTGTCACCCAGGCTGACATGCCATGGCACAATGTCAGCTCACTACAAACTTCACCTCCCAGGTTCAAGCAATTCTCCTGTCTCAGTCGCCTGAGTAGCTGGGATTACAGGCATGCACCACCAAGCCTGGCTAATTTTTGTATTTTTAGTAGAGACAGGGTTTCACCATGTTGGCCAGGCTGGTCTCAAACTCCTGACCTCAAGTGATCCGCCTGCCTTAGCCTTCCATGGTGCTGGAATTACAGGTATGAGCCACCATGCCAAGCTGTCTCTGAAAATCTTTTGTGTTCCTGTGGGGTGAGTTGTGAGGTCATCTTTGTCATTTCTGATTGGGCTTATTTGGATCTTCTCTCTTTTTGTAATTAATAATCCAGCAAATGGTCTGTTTATCTTGTTTATCTTTCAAAGAACCAACTTTTGGTTTAATTGTTTCTTTGTGTGGATTTTTTGTGTCTAAATTTCATTCAGTTCCACTCCGATTTTAGTTATTTTTTTCTTCTGCTCGCTTTGGGGTTAGTTTATTCTTGTTTTTCTAGTTCCTCCAGGTATGACGTTAGATTTTTTGTTTGTTTGTTTTTGAGACAAGGTCTTGCTTTGTCACTGAGGCTGGAGTGCAGTGGCATGATCATGGCTCATTTCAGCCTCAACCTCATGAGAGCAAATGATCCTCCTGCCTCAGCTCCCCAGATATCTGGGACTCCAAGTTCACACCACCACACCTGGCTAACTTTTTAAATTTTTGTTGAGATACGATTTCACCATGTTGCCCAGGCTGGTTTCAGACTCCTGAGCTCAAACAATCTGCCCACCTTGGCCTCTCAAAGTGCTGAAATTATAGGCATGAGCCACCATGCCCAGCCAGATTATTAATTTGAGATCTTTCTAACTTTTGGGGGTAGGCAGTTGTGCTATAAGCCTTCCTCTTAACACTGCTTTTGCTACATCCGAGGAATTTTGGTATGTTTTGTCTCTGTTTACATTTATTTCACATAATTTTTTGATTTCAGTCTTGATTTTGTTTACCTAAAGGTCTTAAAGCAAGTTGTTGCATTTGCATGTAATTGTGTCCTTGAGAAATATCCTTGATATTGAATTCTATATTTATTCCACTGTAGTTTGAGAGTATGTTTTGTATGATTTTAATGTTTTAACATTTCTTGAGACTTGCTTTATAGCCAAGCATGCAGTCAGTCTTGGAGTATGTTCCACATGCAAATGAGAAGAATGTATATTTGTGATTGATGGGTGGGGTACTCTGTAGATGTTTATTAGGTCCAATTGGTCAAGTGTCAAGTTTAAGTCCAGAATTTTTTTGTTAGTTTTCTTCCTTGATGATTTGTCTAATGCTGTCAATGGGTGATGAAGTCCTTGACAATTATTATCTAGCTGTTTTTTTGTAGGTCTAGAAGTACTTGTTTTATGAAACTGGATGCTCCAATATTGGATGTTTATATATTTAAGTTAGTTAAGTCTTCTTGTTGAATTGAATTATTTATCTATATGTAATGTTCTTTTTTGTCCTTTTCTACTGTTGTTAATTCAAAGTCTGTTTTATCTCATATGAAAATAGTGACCCTGATCTTTTTGTTTTCTATTTGCATAATAGTTCTTACTCCAACCCTTTACTTTGAGTCTTTGGGTGTTTCTATGTGTGAGGCAGGTCTCTTGAAGACAAAAAACAGATGAGTCTTGTTTTTTATCCAACTTGCCACTGTATCATTTTTATCTTCTAATTTTTGTCGTTATTTTTGTGTGGATAGCATTTCTTTTTACTTTTCCTATATTTCCCTATAATGTTGTTGTTGTTATTATTATTATTAATTTTCTTTCCCTTTTCTTTTTCCTCCTCCTTAGGGGGTGTGACTGTAGATAATGCTGAGTAGGGTCTTTTGGCTTTGTTTCTATTATCCTGTGAAATTCTTCTGATAGATTTTATTTTGGGCTGTGCAGTTTATCTTACAAGCCCATAGATGACACTTTTAGGTAAGAGCTGGCTGCGGCTGGTGTGGCTGGTTATATACTTGATCCTTGTTTACTGACAAAAGCTCTCTATTGCCTCGGACAGTCAGCTGAGTCATTAAATGAACAGTGGTCTGAACTCTCTGCTCAGCCCCAGGAGAGTGAGAGCCACAACAGTTGGGGCTGGACCTGGCAGGTCCACCTCCTGGTTCCCTGATGGCAGACACAAACACCAGTGCCAAGAAAGAATACACTGGGTGGCCACCAGGCACCCAGAGGTATGCCTAGGCATGGAGCTTGGAAACCTCCTTGGCTGCAAGTTCTCTGCATGGGGATCAGCGGCAGTCTAAGCTTCTGATCCAGGAGAATGGGTATTCCAGATGCCTGGATATCTGTCTGGGAGTGGAGCAGAGAGGTCCCTTCCGCCAAAATCTCTGTGAAGCAGAGATGGGGTAACTCAGGCTACTGGACCAAGCCAGCAGGTGCTCTGAATGCTTGGAGATTTTCCTAGGTATGTAGCAGGGAGGGTCCCCCCTATACCAGGATCTCTGCGCAGAAAGGAGGAGGTGGCTCAGGCTGCTGAACCAGGTGAACAGGTGCTCCAAATGTTGGACATCTGTGTGGGCTTGGAGCAAAGAGAGCCTCGCTGCATGACAAAATATGTCTAGGAATGGTGTTCAGGCTACTGATCCAGGAAAGTAGGTGCTCCAAATATCTGGATTTCTCTCCAGGGATGGAACAGAGAGGGCCTTGATGCACTACAATCTCAGAGGAGCCGGCTGGTGCACCAATGACACATGCCAATCAGTTCCAGGTTGCGAAGCCACTCCTGGCTGCAAGTCTTGCCACACAGGGAAAACTGCCACTATAGCAGCTCTCCTCCTGCCTCAGGCAAGCAAGAGGGTAGATCACAATTTCAGTGCCCACTGCTCAGGCACTTTCCATAGTTCTGGCTATGGAGGTCCCTACCCCACTCCAGAGAAGGTACTCCAATCTCTGGCCCAAGATGAAACGCTTTCACAGCCATGTTGCCAGAACACCAAAGAATGGCAGATTTTGTATATGCTCAGATTAAAAATGGCATCCTCTTCTCAGTACTGGGTCTAGGAAAATGTCTGCAGCTTTTCCCAATGTTTTTTATTTTTCCTCACAGGGTCTCCAAGCCTCTACCCAAGTTAACTCCAGGGATTGGGAGAAGCAAAATCCTCTCCCTTGGCCTGGGTTGTTCAGATGCTCAGTGGAAAGGTGAATCATAGAGAGAAGCTCTCTGCCTCTTTCAGCTACTGAGTCTTCACTCATTTTTATCAGCTAGATTCCATCATGGGGGCTGCTTGCTATCATCCTCCTCTCCAGGATCTGGGATGTCCTTCAAAATTCTGGTAAATTCCCTTGTTCTTTCTAGAATTAAAGCTCACAGAGCTGATCTTTATGAACTTATCTTGCTATTTCTGGGTTGCTGAGTCAGGATGAAAGCCTCTAATCCACCACTGTAGGAAACAAACAGACAAACAAACAAAAACTGTCTTGATTAATACAGCCCTGCACTAAGTTTTAAAATAAGGAGTTGTGAGTCCTTCAAATCCATATGATTTTTCAGAATTGTTTTGGCTATTCTGAATCTTTTGCATTTCCATATAGACTTTAGAATCATTTTGTCAGTTTCCGCAAAAAGGCAGATTGAATGTTGAAAAAGATTTTGTTGAATCTGTTGGTCAATTGGGTAGCATCACCCTCTTAAAAATATAAAGTTTTTTGATCCTTAAACAAAGGATATCTTTCCATTTATTTAGGTATTCTTTAATTTTTTTCAACAATACGTTGTAGTTTTAAGTTATGTGTCTTGCCATCTTTTGTGAAATTTATTCTCCAGTAGTAAGATTTTTTTGTTTATTGAATTGTAAATTGAATTTTTTAAATTTTATTTTTGGATTGCTCATTGTTAATGTATAGAGATAAAATTCATGTTTGTTTTTCGTTTTGAGACAGTGTCCCTCTGTAACCCATGCTGGAGTACAGCAGTGTGATCAGTTTATGGTAACCTCAAAATCCCAGACTTTCGTAATCCCCCTGCTGCCTAAGTAGCTAGGACTATAGACCTATGCCACAACACCCAGCTAATACTTTTAATTTTTGTAGAGACAAAGTCTTGCTTTGTTGCCCAAGTTGACCTCCAACTCCTGGTCTCAAATGATCCTCCTGCCTTGGTCTCCCGAAGTGCTGGGAATACATGCATGAGCCACCATGCCTGGTCTATGTTTGTATACTGAGCATGTCAATTGAAACCATGTTGAACTTATTTATTATTTATACTAGTTTTTAAGTGGATGCCTTATGACTTTCTATATATAAGATCATGTCATCTATGAAAAGACATAGTTTTACTTTTATTTCCCAATCTGTATGCTTTTCTTTCTTTTTCTTGACTTTCTTGACTAAAATCTATAGTACAATATTGAATAGAAGTGGTAAGAGCATACATCCTTGTTCGTGAGTTTATAATGACAGTTATCTTTTACCATTAAATATGATTTGAGCTACAGATGTTTTCATATATTGCATTTATCAGTTCTATGACATCTCTTTTATTTCTGTTTTGACAATTTTATGATGAAACGTTGGATTATATCAAATATTTTTCTATTCTCCAAAGATGATCATATAGTTTTTATCCTATATTCTATTAATATTGTTTACTCATTGATTTTTGGATGTTTAACCTTGTAATTCTGCAATAAATCTCATTTAGTAGTAGTATATGACTCTTGTTATAAGTTTCTGATTGATTTTCTAGTATTTTATATGTAGAAAAACTTTGTTCTGTTTTCTTAGACATATTGGTCTTTAATTTTATTTTTTGCATGTGGTGTTATTTAATAGCGTTCTAGGCAATATAAAACTGTCCTCAAACATTGGCCTGAAAATTTATATTCTCCTCTTGTATTTCATGGGAAGTTTGTTAAGGATTAGTGCTAATTCTTCTTTAAAAGTTTGATAGAATTGGCTGAGCTTCGTGGCTCACACCTGTAATCCCAGCACTTTGGGAGGCTGAGGCAGGAGGATCACCTGAGGTTAGAAGTTCAAAACCAGCCTGGTCAACATGGTGAAACCTCGTCTCTATTAAATATACAAAAATTAGCCAGGCGTGGTGGTGGGCACCTGTAATCCCAGCTACTCAGGAGGCTGAGGCAGGAGAATCGCTTGAATCCGGGAGGCAGAGGTTGCAGTGAGTCAAGATCGTGCTATTGCACTCCAGTCTGGGCAACAAGAGCGAAACTTCTTCCAAAAAAAAAAAGTTTGGTAGAATTTACCAATGAAACCATCTAAACTTGTATTTTTCCTTGTGTAAGATTTTTGGTTTTGTTTTTAAATTGTTAGTCATTTTTTTTAACTTGTTATAGGTCTGTACAGATATTCTATTTATTCTTGAGTTACTTGTGATCATTTTTGTCTTTCCTGAAATTTGTCCATTATATCTAAGTTACTTAAGTCATTTATAAACAGTTATGCATATTTCCTTACAATTTTTTTGTAAGGTTCATAGTGAGTTTCCTCTTTAATTACAGACTTAGATAATTTGAGCTACTGTCCTTTGTTCTTGGTTAGTATAACTAAATGTGTTTCATTTTTATTGATCACTTCAAAGAAACATTTGATTCTATTGATTTTCTCTGTTGTATTCTATACTTGATTTCATTTATATCTTGCCTAGTATTTATTATTTCCTTTCCTTTGCTTGCTTTTAACAGAGTTTTCACTTCATTTTGTAGTTTGTAGTTTGTACTCTCTTTTTCTTTTTTTTTTTGAGAGGGGTTCTCACCCTGTCACCCAAACTGGAGTGCAGTGATGTGATCTCGGCTCACTGCAACCTCTGCCATTTGGGCTCAAGTGATGCTCCCACATCAGCCTCCTGAGTAGCTGAGACTGCAGGCACACACCACCATGCATGGCTCTTTTTTTTTTTTTTGTACTTTTGGTAGAGGCAGAGTTTCACTATGTTGCCCAGGCTGGTCTCAAACTCCTAAGCTCAAGTGATCTGCCTGCCTCAGCATCCCAAAGTTCTGGGATTACAGGTGTGAGCCACCACACCCAGACTGTACTTTCTTAAAGTGTGAGTTTAGTTTAGTGATTTGAGATCTTTCTTGTTTTTTACTATAGTTGTTTACAACTATAAATTTCCACAAAGACTGTGTTACTTGCATTACATAAGTTTTGGTATGTTGTTTCTTGATTTTCATTCATCTCAAAGTATTTTCTGATATCCCTTGATTTCTTCATTGACCTTTTTTTTACTTAGAATTGTGTTAAGAAATTTCAACATATTTTTAAGTTTTCTAAATTTTTCTGTCATGCATTTCACATTTAATTATATTTTTGTTAGAGAACATACTTTCTATAATTTCAATATTTGCACATTTAAGAAAGTTTGTTTTATAGCCTAACATAAATTCTTGCCTAAAGAATGTTTCATGTGCATTTCAGATAAATGCGTATTTTGTTGTTGGTTGTAGTATCATAGACATTTATTATGTCAAATTGGTAGATAATGTCATTTAAGTCTTGTATTTTCTTACTGATCTTCTGTCTAGTTATTGTATTCATTATTGAAATAGATGTATTGAATTCTCCAACTACTACTGCTTCTAGTTGTCTATTTCTCTTTTCAATTCTGTCAAGTTTTGCTTCCTAAACTTGGTACTGTGTTGATTGGTGAATATGTTTACAATTATTAAATCTTCATGATGGATTGCATTTTTGTTATTATAAAATGTCCTTTATCTTTAGTAAAAATTTTTCTATTAAAGTCTGTTTTTTTCTGATATTGGCACAGTGACTCATGCTTTTTTTTTTTTGGAGACAGAGTCTCATCTGTCACACAGGCTGGAGTGCAATAGCACAATCTCGGCTCACTGCAACCTCCGCCTCCTGAGCTCAAGCGATTCTCCTACCTCCTACCAAGCAGCTGGGATTACAGGGATGTGCCACCATGCCCAGCTAATTTTGTATTTTTAGTAGAGGTAGGGTTTCACTGTGTTGCTAAGGCTGGTCTTGAACTCCTGACCTCAGGTGATCTACCCGCCTCGGCCTCCCAAAATGCTGGGATTACAGGCATGAGCCACCGTGCCCAGCCCATGCTCTCTTTTTATTACTACTTGCATGGTTAACATTTCTCCATCCTTTCACTTTCAACCTATTTGTCTATTTGAATGTAAAGTGTGCCTTTTGTAGATATACAGTTGGAACACTTTTTTTTAATCTTTCTGCCCATCTCTGCTTTTTGATTGAAATTTTAACCCTTTTGTCTTTAATATAATTGTTGATAGGTAAAAAGTCTATCATCTTGCTATGTTTTAAAAAATATATCTTTTCTTGTTGTTCTTTTCCTCTATTACCACCCTGTTTTGTGTTAAATAGATATTTTCCAGTGTATCCTTTTAGGACCTTTGATGTGTATCTTAATTTATTATTTGGAGGTTTTTTGGTTTTGTTTTTTTACTTAGTAGTTGCCCTTGCGATTACAAACAACATCATGCCTTATGACAATCCACTTAGAGTAATACTAACTTTACTATTATTATTGTTATTATTATTATTTGAGGCAGGGTCTCACTCTGTTGCCCAGGCTGGAGTACAGTGAAATGATCATGGCTCACCATAGCCTTGACCTGCTGGGTGTGAATGGTCCTTCCACCTCAGCCTCTCAAGTAGCTGGGACTACAGGTGCATGACACTACTGGCTAATTTTTTTTAACTTTTCTTAGAGACGAGTTCTCACTTTGTTGCACAGGCTGGTCTCAAACTCCTGAGCTCAAGGCATCTTCCTTCCTTGGCCTTTCAAAGTGCTAGAATTACAGGCATGAGCCACCACACCTGGCCAGTAACTTAATTTCAATAGTATACAAAAAGTTTGCTCCTATTTGTTGGTTTTCTTCTCTTTTTGCTGTGATTGACATGCTAATTACATCTTTATATATTACAAGCCCATCAAAACAGTTTTATAAATATTGCTTTATACATATCTCATTTAAATCAAATGGAAGAAGACAAGCATTGTAAACAAAAATAAGTTTATTTTATAGTTGCCTATATTGTACCCTTACCCATAATTTTTGTTTCTTCATGTGGATTTGAACTATTGATTTGTGTTCGTTCCATTCATTCTTAGGGATTTTCTTTGTTATTTTTGTAGGGCAGGTCTGCTAATGATAAATTCTTTGTTTCTTTATTTATCTGGAAAAGTCTTAATTAACCCTCCCTTTTTAAAAGTTCTCATAATTTTTTGTTGAAAATTAGACATTTTAAATATTATAATTTGACAATTCAGGAAATCACATTTTAGCACACACTAGGGCTAGCTTTTTTTTTTCTATTTGTTGTTTTTGTCAATTATTAGTTTGTTTACTGTTTTATGGGGTCTAATTCTGTGAAGTGTATTATCTTTTGAGTGTAGCCAGTGAATTATCTGCTTGGTTACTGATTCATTAAAAATTTGGACATATTTTAAAAAAATGTAAGGCACCGGCCAGGTGGGGTGGCTCACGGCTGTAATCCCAGCACTTTGGGAGGCCGAGGCGGGTGGATCACCAACTCCGGAGATCGAGACCATCCTGGCTAACATGGTGAAACCCCGTCTCTACTAAAAATACAAAAAATTAGCCAGGCGTGGTGGTGAGCGCCTGTAGTCCCAGCTACTCGGGAGGCTGAGGCAGGAGAATGGTGTGAATCTGGGAGATGGAGCTTGCAGTGAGCCGAGATGGTGCCACTGCACTCCAGCCTGGGCGACAGAGGGAGACTCCCATCTCAAAAAAAAAAGTATGGCACAAGTAAGTCTGCCAGTGTTTGGTGCATATGTTAGGTCATACATTCAACGCTCAGGCAGGCAATTTACAACCCTTAGTCTTTACTTCCTGCCTACACAGGTCCCAGTTTTGTCAGAGGTAATAGATTAAGGCATTCTCAGGTATTTTCTAAGCAGTTACACAGGCCTACACATATGCATTGCCTTCTATGTCCTTGGATTGCGTTGGAAGTTTTTCAAACCCTCCTACGGATATCTCATTCTCAAGATTTTCCATTTATGACTTCTAACCAGCTTGTGTTTGTTCTAACAAGCAGTGCTGCTTCAGCCACTGCAATGTTAAACAACTTCCACTGATCATTTTTGACAAATGCCCTACAGATAGAGCTAGGTGAGCTCTACTTTTCTCAGGATGTCAAAGAGACAATCCCTGAGAAAAGTATTTTCTGAGGAACTGCCAGACAGATCAAATAGTGACAGATTTCAAGAGATTAGGCTTTGTGGAGAGCTCCAAAAACATTCTGTCCCATCCATAGGCTGCTAGACTTCTGGTTTTTTGAGACGGAGTCTCGCTCTGTCGCCCAGGCTGGAGTGCAGTGGCTTCATCTCCGCTCACTGCAAGCTCCGCCTCCCGGGTTCACACCATTCTCCTGCCTCAGCCTCCCGAGTAGCTGGGACTACAGGCGCCCACCACCACACCCGGCTAATTTTTTGTATTTTTAGTAGAGACGGGGTTTCACCATGTTAGCCAGGATGGTCTGGATCTCCTGACCTCGTGATCCGCTGCCTCGGCCTCCCAAAGTGATGGGATTACAGGCCTGAGCCACTGCGCCCGGCCTAATCTTCTGGTTTTAACAGCTACCACGTTTACTAGGCTGATGGTTTTCCAGGCCACTACAGAGCATGTTAAGAGGATGAGAATACGGCAAGCAAAAATAACAAAAAGATCAATTTCTTACCCAGATATAGCTATTTTTCTTGAATAGGTGCTCCATGAATTGTTGCAAGCTTTTGCTTTAATAGCTGAGTTCTGAAAAAGTTAGTTTTGGCATTTCTCGTGAGTGTTGCCATTGCTTTAATGGAAGTGAAGTCATTCACAGATCCTTATTTTACCATTCTTTGAAGTGCTTAGTGCCAATATTTTAACTTTTATTTTTAAATCCAACTTTCTGCTATATCATATCAATATGGGGAAAATTTTTATTTTTCCCATATTTTTATTTAAAAATAAAACTTTTATTTTTAAATCCAACTTTCTGCTACATCCTATCAATATGGGGAAAATTCCAGTAAGGTTGAAAACACTGGAAGAATACCCATGGTAACTAAACTAACTTGAGAAAGTCATTATATTGTAGAAACAGCATGACCATTTCAGTTAAACCTTCTTTAGTAAATTCCAGGTATTCACTGAAAGACCTTGAAATGTTCTTTTTCATCATTGATACACATAGGTTTTCTCATGTGTAGTTGGGCTAATATTATGTTCTAAAAGATTCTTGCAAATCTTCAATGATACATTTTAGTAAATTGAACTTTTGTTTATGACTTTTCAAGTATCGGTAAACTAATTAATACTAATGGATGATAGAACAATCTCAAAGAAATGCTGATTTATGCATGTTGATTTCATGTTTCCTGGAAGTAGAAAATATTGAGTCACACCATCAGGCTTGATTAAGAGTAGAAAAAGTCAAGGATCAAAGGCTTTAATTTATGTAATGATCTGTCTTTTTAGCCAAATATTTTCATCTATAAAATATTTCTTTAAGCATAATACCAAAAATATGATTAAGCTATTGTTAATTAAAATACTAAGTGCCTTTGCGATTTTGTAAAGTTTTACAAGCTCAGAGACAGAATACTGACTTATCCCTATGAATCCAATCTGAGCTTTTCTGAATCTGCTTACAGATTCTTTGATATTGATGTGACTTGTCTAGAAGCTGGACTTCAAAGACAAACCAATATCATTAGAAAAAAAAAATAATTTTCTTCCTTCCCCCCATCTTATGATCAGGGAAACTTTTAATCTCAGTTCTGAATAGAAAAAAGAATGTGTGTTTGAACTTTTTTTTCTCTTTTAAGAAAGATTGAAGGAAGACTTCAAAGAACCTGTCACAAAAGGTATCATACCTTGGGTTGAAGGTGTGATTTCTATAGACCTCAGTTCAGCCCTCAGGGATACGTATAGATCTATCTCCAAATGGATACAGGACTGCCTTAGATCTAGTCATTTCTTAAAAGTAAAGTTAGACTTGCAAAGACAGGATATAGAAAGTAGAATTTAAAGCACCGGATGCCACTACACAAACTATCAATATTGATTTAAGTTGTGTTCCTCCTATGAAACATAACCTCAGTGTCTTGCTTGCACTGGTTTTCTCCTTCTGCAGAAAACAAAACCAATCATAGAAAAGCCAGTATTTTTATTATAATTTGAACAATGTCCAGGAATTTATGTAGTCCATTATGGTTCTGCATTACCAGCCTCATGAAGGAAGAGATGAAAAAATGAGAGGAAAAAAGAGAAGAGGAAAGAGGAGAAAGAAAAAATATGTATAGTTATCCAGCAACCTATAAATATTTGTCTAGGTATCTGGGTACTGAAATATCTCATGTACCACATAAATATACACACCTACTATGTACCCACAATGTTTTAAAAGTTAGCATATGAAAAGAAGCAGAAATGAGAGGTGAACTAGCCCAGGTTTTGAGCCCATGTTGTAGAAGTCTCTAAGACCCAGTAGCTTCCTTGCCCTTCCTGAATATTGGTAGTTGGACCATTTCTTGGATTCCTAGGTGTAGTAAATTTTCTCTTTGTTTAAAAAAAAAGCACCTGGCTAACACGGTGAAACCCCGTCTCTACTAAAAATACAAAAATTAGCCGGGCATGGTGGTGGGCACCTGTAGTCCCAGCTACTCAGGAAGCTGAGGGAGGAGAATGGTGTGAACCCGGGAGGCGGAGCTTGCAGTGAGCCGAAGTCATGCCACTGCACTCCAGCCTGGGTGACAAAGCGAGACTCCATCTCAAAAAAAAAAAAAAAAAAAAAAAAGCACCAGCTTTAAACCAGAGAAGGTAGAAGTTTGAATTCCAGCTTTGTCATTCGTTAGATGCAGAACTATAGACATATTATGTCAGCCTTTGTTTCCTAACCTGAACAATGGGAACAATATAATGTCTATCTCATAGGAATGTCAAGGTTACAAAAATACAACAATGCATGTTAAATGATGGTCACAGTCTCTCACTCAGTAAATATTGTCTATTGTAGCCCTAACAAAAATCAAAAGAATTCACATCTCACTTATGTAAAAAGTTTTATTTGGGAATCTCTCACTGTTAACACTAGTATTTCTCTCCTCTCCAATTTTAGCTGTTAACACTAGTATCCCTCTCTTCTCCAAAGTTTAACTTTGAGTTTTTATTCATTTCTTCCTTTTTAAGTAAAAATTTGATCTCACTACAAATCAGCTCCTCTGGCTTACAGATACTTCTGACCATCTGTTGCCCATCTCTAGCAATAGCCAATTACTCACAATGCATCCAAATGTTCCAGAAATGTTTTTAATTAAAATATGTAAAAATATTATAGGAAGAAAAAATACATTGCTGCATCTCTACCTTTTACCAAATCTTTTCCAATTCAGAAAAGAATCATGTGTAGCAAGTCGAAGCTACTTCTTGCAACCAGTTTCTTCTCTCTTTCTTTCAACTTCTATGAATGACAAAAAAGACATACTCATTCTAATGAATACATCCTAATAAACGAGTCACAGCAACACATATGGCCTATTTCAACAACAGACACTCTAGAATCATAAACAGCATCTCTTTTATTTCTTCCCTTGGTCATGGTTTAGCACACACGTGTGAAATTTTATTTTCATCATCAACACTATCAAAAATGTTAACAAAATGTTTGGTACAAACAACAGAGATAGCTTAAAGCTTTAACATAGAAGTATCGTAAGTAATCCAAAGGCTCAGCAAGTTTAAAATCAGAGAGCAAATAGATAACAAGTATGTGAATTGAAATGGGAAATATAACTATGAATAGGAAGGCAAGACCCCAGTATTAATTCAAAGAACACATTTAAACAAAGTGATTCTTAAGTAGGTTTTAAAAGAAGTAGATTAAAGTAGTAATCATCATGATCATCATCATCGTCATTATCATCATCATCATCTGGTATGCTTTAAGCTGGGTAGACTTGGAAACTGTGCATTGTGGTAGCTAGACTGATTGTTCAATTCTGACTAAGGCCTGAGTTGCATCATAAATGATACCAAAGCTTGATTTTAAATTATCACTCTGCTATATAATTGATTTACCTTATTGACCTAAAACATGAATCTAAAGATGCCTCCCTCTTTTGTCTCTTCTTTGGCTCAATTTTTTAATGTCATTTTTAAACGCCTTTACACTTTAGAAAGTATACTTGTCCTTATCAGTTTTATCTTTTGGAAATTTCTAGGACTTAAAAACATATAGTATTATGAACATATTAGAATCCAAGCAAAACAAAAGACCCACATTTTTTCTAAGTGAAATTAATGGACATGATACAATATAAAATCTTAATAATTTATATATATTTTCTTATATATATTTTACACAGTGAATACATACTGTATAAAATTTATTGAAGTAATATATTCAAGGTAATATTATATCTCTTTTTCCTTGTTCTAAACTGTTTTTTAATAATTGTCACAGTAGTTTGAATATAGGTGGTCAATTCTCTCCATCCAACTTCAAGTGGTGGATGAAAAAATTGTTATATTTGGATTAATATTGATCGACTTTGTTTTCTTATTTTTATCTTTTTTGGCTCATTTTACACCTATCATCTGTATTTCTACTGTTGTGGATATTGAATTGTTCACTGGGACTAGATATTGTACATTTATTTTGTTCTTGAATTTCTTGACACGTGTATTTTGGTCTTACAAAAATAATTTCATATTGATGAATACTGAAGTTTATCAGCACAGAAGCTAAATCATATTGTGTATATAACATGAGATTTGATTTCAAAAAATAAGGAAGTTCTGTGCATTAATTCAGACATGTAATAATTGCCAAGATTACTTGTACTTTAAACATTTAAACTGTACACATCTGTGCTTCTGTTACAAAATTCATTCAGTATCTCTGACCCTATCAGTTAGGATCCCAGCAACTACTCACATTGGGTAATTTAAGGAAAGCTTAATAGATAGATCTTTTGACATAAAGGTGAAAGGAAAGCCACATTAGGAAAATTTAATTCCCAAGCAAGTAACAACCAGTTGCCTGTACCGCTCAAAGGTGACAGGAGGTCAGTGTTGTAAGATGCATCTAATAGGAATTGTGACTTTTAGTCACAGAACACAGCCATCCTACAAGGAAGGAACCAGGCTTCACTCTCCTCCTCCCCTCAGAGCTATTGTCACTGCTTATTACTAATCAAACTCAACTAGGAGCTAGAGAACAAGAAAGCCCACTGATATGGTCCACACAGGTCAGCCATCGGGGGCACAGAGCAGGAAGGAGAAAGTGGAAAGTCCAGTATGCTTGCTGAGTCTGTTTATTATGTTCAAGAAAGTTTTAAACTTTATTACTTATTTCACAGTGCTTAGATATAATGCCAAATACTTTCCAATCAAATCAATTACAGAAAGAAGAAAACCATATCCTCCAAATTTTCTTCTTATCATACTTGGGGTTTTGTTGAATAATCTCTCTCATAGCCCATTCCCCTCATTCCTCCTTCAAAAAGTCTTCTTCACAAGTATTTAATTTCTCTGAAAATTAAATGTACCCTGTCTTCATTTAATTGTCTTTATACCTGGATTTTTATTTCTTCCTACAGGTTCAGTTTAAATGGCATCTTCTTAGAGACAGTCTCTCAGTCTGGAAATGGAAACACTATGGGGTAATATGGTAATAAATAATTTAATTATAAAAGCTGTATTTTACAGACATGTAGAAGCAGCTGAGGAAGTAAACTGGAAGGAGGGCTCAGAGGATCAGAGAAATAGTCACTAATTGCTTTCTCTAAAGTGCTGATCATGACTGAAAAATCAGAGCGTGCAAGGAAATTGAAATACCAAGCACATGAAACTGTTATAGTGGGACTGGGAAGGCAAACTTATGGTGAGGTCTATGGGCAGATATAGCTACTGTGTAGCTGCCATCTCAAGCTACAATTATCCAGCCTCCTATGCCTCTATCTTCTACTGTGTCTAACCATGGCAACATTTAGAGAATAATGGATTGTGTTTCACTCTGATTTATCCAGATTCCTCAGTTGGATGACTCTAACTAGTATGAAAAAAAGACACTGGGAATCCCAGGGCCTGGCTTAAGCAGGTTGTCTTAGTCCATTCAGGCTGCTACAACAAATCACCTTAGTCTGCGTAGCTTATAACAACAGAAATTTATTAATACTCACAGTTCCAGAGGCTGGGAAGTGAAAGATAGAGGAGCTAGCAGATACATAAGCTGGTGAAGGCACATTTCCTTGTGCATCCTGACATGCTGGAAGGAGCAAACACGCTCCCTGAAACCTGTTTTATGAAGGTGCTCATCCCATCCATGAGGGATCCACACTCATAATCTAATACCTCTTGAAAACCCTGCCTCCTAATATTACATTGGTACAAAAGTAATTGTGGTTTTTGCCGTTGAAAATAATTAACCGCAATTACTTTTGCACCAACACAATACCATCAACTTGGGGGTTAGGATTTCAACATACAAATTTTCATGGGACACAAACATTCGTAGGACAGATGACCATAAAAGAAACCTAACAGCGACGACTTCCCCTTCCGTTTATCTCTATCACATAATTTCATTTCATCACAACTTTTATGGCTATCTGAAATCAGGACAAGAATCTATTCTGCCTTGTCTGCTGATGCCTCCCCATACTTAGCAAACTACCTGGCTTATGATAGGTTTTATTTTTTAAATAAATATGCTTTGAACTAATTAATAATGAATGAATGTTTGTACGGAGGATGAGTCAATAAATCAATCAAATATAATTAAAATGAATTTACATTATGGTGCATTAGGAGGTAAGAGCTAGTTTAATTTTCAAATTTATGCAAAATGTTGACTTACAGGCTAAACAATCTTTGACAAATTGCAAGATTCTGATAAGTCACTCTTTTCTCTTCGGTGTTGTTATCTGTGAACTCACGTTCAATTTACTCCATTTTCTTCGAGTCACAACATTTATTATCTATTCCACTTTGTATTGCCACCTTTTATATCCCCATTGTCCATGAATTCTGCTGTTTTCATCTATTCATAGCTAAAGAATGTAAAAAAAAGTCATGTGAACTCATTTGTTGTAAAAGTCCATATGTTGTTGTCCTTATCTTTTGCTTGGGTTTTGCAGAGTATGGTTTAGTTAATGCCAGTTTCTCTAGAAACATATTTTGTACCATCCTATTATGGCCACAATCTATGTATAGAAAAAAAAAAAGAAAAACAGAGTCAAAAAGTAGGCTAGAAAGAAATATGTTGCAAAGAGTACATTTCTTTGGTCCTGTATATCATTCACAATTTCTTTTCTTACATTCACACATTCCCCTACGGTGTCTAAATTATCCTCCACATTAACTTATTTTCCCTGTTTCAGTATATCAGTGTCCCCATCTGGCCTGTTAAATAGCATGCTCAACAGTGTTATAAAGTTGTATCTTAGTAGCCTGAAATAATCAATTCACTTCTCTAAGGACCTATTTAGCTTCAAGAGAGTAACATAGGCTCCTAGAAGATGTGTGGTTAAAAAACAAACAGAACAAAACTACGTCTTTTTATTAAATCATATTTTTCTCCAATAGTAGAAATAATTATAATTAAAAACAATAATTTTTGAGCCATGAAAATAACAGTAATCTATATTTTCCATTAAACTTTGTTTAACCTTGTATTCAAGGAACCACAGTTTTTAAACAATGCTAGATTGTAAGATATGCTGTTTCTGTGTAGCTGTAGGAATTATAAACTTAAACATTATCTCCTCTCAACATGCTCCTCCTCCACCATATGTACCACGAAGCTAATGAAAACAAGATCAAGTTCTCAGATATCTACCAAATAGAAATAAATGAAAATGAAAATTATCTCCTAACTCATAATCCTCTCAGAAAGAAATCATGCAATGGTGGACTTGGACAATTACAGAACTTTCTGATCTTTGCATTGAAGGATGTCTGGAAGAGGCTTCTGTATTAGAAGATGGGAAGTTTAGTCAAACATCACCCTAATCTTGTGAGAAAACATTTTAAATGGTCCATTTTCAAGGCATGATAAATCTAAGTACTGGCAGCCAGCCTACGGATGTGACAAAATGCACGGCCCATGCACCTAGAAAGTCACGATAAGTGAACAGAATGTAGAGGAGGGGTCAGCTCATAAAAGGGAAGGAAGTTTCATCATTGGGAAATTGAAACTTAAGCGAGGATGGGATATAACTTTATAAGGGGGATAATGAAACTCAGACGCTGTCCTGGAAGATTGTAACCCCATGGTACTCAACCAATGAGGACCTGGGGGAGAGAGGTGCATGCTAGGGGATAAATTACCTGCTGTAACAGGCATGGGTGTGCCTGCTGGGGATAAATTACCTGTTGTAACAGGCACTGGGTGTGCCTGCCTACCAGACACCCCATCTTGCAAGACCGTCATAGAAAGTCTCGCTTCTGCTGTTCTTCTTGACTCCGAGTCCATTGTTTGGGTTTGAATGGGTGAATGCGTTTCTCACAATCTGGATCTGTGAATCCCAAACAATGTTTTGGTGTTGAAATATTAAATTTTCTGGGTCACAAAGTCCAAAATAGAGCATAATCTTGCTTTATTCCGGGAAATTTTTTGAAAACATATAATATTTGATAAAATTGATTAAACCACCTGACAGTTTAATTTAGTATCCTGGCTGATTAAGTCCAGAGAAAAAAACCATTTATTTGAACTGTTTGTAGAATATACAAGAAAAGAAAACAGTCATACACACATATGCATAAAGAAAAAATTTATACATGACTGAGGAATAAGCTAACATGAAGTGTTATGAAAGGCCCAGGACCACATCTTATTACATGCTTGCCAATAGGTGGGCAGAGCTAAAATTAAATCCCAGTCCTGTGCCTTAGTTTCTTTGTTTGCGAAATTCATGTGAGATACCATAATTATAACATGTATCACAGTGTTTGAACATAGGTAATGATCAATAAGTGCTAAGTTATTATTGCTTTTACTTCTTCAACAAAGTTTCTCTAAATTCCTATCTTATGTTCAAATAATTTCTAGACATTGGAATACCTCAATAAACAAAATATATTCCAATAGAAGCAAAATATATTCTAGTAGGATCAGATGGATATGATACACACACATATACACATACAGATACACATATATGCATATGTGTTTGTGTACTATATTAGAAAATTGCTAGTGCTATGGTAGTGATGCATAGCATTTTAAAATTGTGATGAGGAAATGTATCAATGAGGATTTCATCTTTGAACAAATATTTAAATGAAATGAATGATTGAATCATGTAGATATGTGAGGAAAAACATTTCAGGCCTTTTCCTGATAGCATGTTTTGAGCAACAAGGTGCCAGTGTGAGTGAGGCTGACTGAGTGAAGAGGAGAGTGACGGTAAACGATGTTATCAAACTTCAGGGAGGGAGTCCGTATAGAAATTTGTAGTGCAATGAAAAGATTTAATTTTAAGTGAGCTGCAAAGACATTTAAAAGCTTGAGCAGAACAGTGATAATGTGGGATACACTATTCAAAAGTATATCCACTTTGGTTTTTGTTTCTGTTTTAATAGTAGAGTTTAGGGGATAGGGTGGAAGCAGTGAGACCAGAAAACAAGTGGAAATAATCTATGTAATATATGATAATGACTTGGAGCAAGAAGTTTATAGTGGAGATGGTGAGATGTGGTAGATTCTGAATATATTTTTAAAGAAAAGATGACAGGATTTGCTGATGGGGGCATGGAAGTAACAGAATATGGATGTGAGAATTAAAAAGAAGACAGAAATGACACTTTGCAGAAAGTGGTACTTGGATGAAGTAACTAGAAGAATGGTATTTATGGTATTTAGATGAGGTAACTAGAAGAATGCTAATCACTGTAGCTGGAGCAGACTTGGGAAAACAATGCCTGGAGTTTATTGTTGGACATTAATTCAGTTTTAAATATCTAGGTGGAGATACTGAATAGAGAAATTGAAATGTGAGTTCCGGTGTTCAAACCTTTTGAGGAAAACCTGGACAGGTTATTTGGATATACAAAGGGTTTTTAAATTTAAAGGTCTGAAGGAGATGTTCAAGTGAAAATATAGATGGAAGGGAAAAAAAAGGCACATCAATAGAGACCTCTGACATCTAGAGGTCAAGGGTATTAACGTGTTTGAAAAGACACAATGAAAAGGAGTAAACCACAATATGAGTAATAATAGAAGACAGTGGTATTCCAGAAATGTTGTGTTGAGTTGAGAAGTATTAGGTAATTTTGTTACATCAAACACTGCAGATAAGGCAACTGAAATTAAGACCAGTTTATTGGGTGCTAGGGCCTGCTCCACCAGCAAGCAAGAGCCAATTGCATGCATTTCTTCATGTTCTGTGTTCACTGACATCATGTTAAAAACTTGAAATTCACCATGGTTGGAGTATTTACAGCATGGAAATCAGCAGACTCTAGGAGCCAGAGAGAGATTTTTTTCTTTCCTTAAGAGGCATTGTTAAGCACTAACCAGCACACCAGTGACTAAGACGTGATGTTGGATCTAGTAATGTGTAGGTTACTGGAGACTTTGAGGTGAACATTTTCAGTAGAGTATTGAGGGGAAATGCCTCAGTGAAGTGGATTCAAGAAAAGAGAAAAGAAAGAAAAGCCAGCCATTGAGTATACGTAATTCTTTCAAGAAAAGTTTAGGTAAAAAGGCAGTAACTAGAACAAAATATGTGTCAAGAGAAATTCTTTATTTTATTTTTAAGATGGGGTTTATAGCACTTAACATGTGTTGTTAAGAGCTGATGAGATTGATTGAGGAGCTAGAGGAGACATATGACAATGAAGAGAGAAAAAAGTTGTTGAAAAGGATGGAAATATAGTGGTCAAGTAGAAGAGCTGTTTAAAGAATAGTATGGACTTCTCATCCATGACAATAAGAAAGAATATAGAGTATATGGCTAACAACATGCTAAGGAAATTTTGTTTATGACTATTTCTGTTCCCAGAGTGAAATCTGCAGCTGGAAATGAGAATGGGCAGAAAGCAGCCAGAGTTGTGAAGCTAAAGGATGAGATGGGAAGAAATAGGTTAATGAATAGGTAGGAAAATGTTAAAGGTTCCCCTGGCAGGACTAAGGGCCCCTTGATGCTAATAGTCATGATATTAAAATAAAGCCAGTAAACAGGACTAGCTTTCTGCAGCAACAATTGACTTCAGGAATAGGCAAAGAATTGCATCTACCAGCAGATAAGTATAAAAGAAAGCATGGCTGTGATAATGGAATTGATAATGCAAAACAGAGATTAAAATATGAACTATGGAATCAAAGGTAATTAAAGAGGGAAATGAAAACATTATGAAGATGAGGAGAACTTAAATGGCGAAGTATTTCAATGGAGTCCAAGAGAGTAGTTTTGAGCAACTTAAGGGTAAGCTGAATAGATAAGTATTAAAAATTCAGCTTCATGAAATTATATTTGTGGAGTTGTTAAAGGAAGTGAGGTCTAGTTACTGAGATACCGCATTATTGAAAAAAGCATCTATGTTGTTTGCAAACACTAAGAATTATGACAGAAAGAGTTTTTACTAAAATTAAAATGCATGAAAATTAAAATGCAAGGAAATGAAATCTACAAACATTGAGAGAAATTGAGCTGGACCAGAGATTGACTGCAAAAAGAGAGGTAACTAAAACCACTATGAGATATCATTTCACACTCACTAGAATGGCTATATTAAAAAAGACAAATACTGTTGATGTTGATGTGAAGAAATGAAACTCTCATGCCTTGCTTGTGTAAATGGGAAATTTGCAATTTCCACATTGCAAAACAGTTTGACAATTTTTAAAAATATTAAACAAATTTACTCAATTATCAAGAAATTTCCTAGGTTTATACTTCAGAGAAATAAAAACATATGTCCAAATAAAGTCTTGGAAGCAAGTGGAGATAATAAAATTATTCAAAATAACCAATATATTTAAAAAATCCAAATAACCAACAATTGGTTAGTGGATCAAGAAAGTTGCTACATCACTACAGTGAAATATTATACATTTGTGAAAAGGAATGAAATACTGATATATGCTCTGACATGTGTAAACCTGATGAACACTATGCTAATTGTAAGAAGACTGACAGAAAAGATCATGTGTTTTATCATTCCATTTATAGAAAGTGTTCATAAAATCAAATTTATAGAGACAAAAAATAGATTAGTGGTTGATTGAGTCTGGCATGGGAAAGAAGATCAGTTGTCAACAAGCATGAGAAATCTTACTGGTTGCACAATGCATCAAATTTACTAAATAATTTCCAAAACTATATAATTATACACTTAAAATGGATGAGTTTTATAGTAAGATAATTATACCTTAATTAAATTGCTTAAAAATGATAGCTAAGGTGGTTTTAAAAAGGAGGGTAACAAGTGAGGGTTTTTTTCTTGTAACATAAGATTCAAGGCTGCGTGCTTTTTTTGTTTGTTTGTTTTTTTGTTTTTTTTGTTATTTTTTACTTTTTTTGGTTGGGGTGGGGCAGGGAGAAGGAAAGGAGACTGGTATGGAAGCAACAATGAGCAAAGGGTACTTTATCGTACTTCTAATTCCAAGCTGTGGGAGAAAGAAAAAGAAAATCGTTTACTCCTGGAGAGATTCAGTGTCCTCAAAGTAGAGATAGCAGTCAGAGCAAGAAAGTAAAAAGAACATTCAGAGAAGGGATTGAGAATATAATGAATTTTGCTAGTGATTAAGAGTGTTTCAAAGGCTGAGGTAGAAGTGTTTCAAGAACTGAAAAGGCATGAGGGAATGGATCAGAAAAGGGGATAGATGTACAGAGCTTAAAAAGTGTGAGGATCCAGATTAACCTGTGAGTCCTGTTTTACCTTGGTAGTTGATACAAACCAAAATAAATGGTCTCATGAACTGAGAAGACTCTGAAATTCTACTCTTATTCCAAGCAAACAAGTTAGCCTGTCACTGTTTTCTGAATGCTGGCAGAAGACATTAGATTCCTGCATCAGAAATAAAGAACTTTTTAACTCAAAGTACAGCAAGCAGCATGCACTTCATATTCACATTGGTTTCTCTTGATCCAAGTAGAAACTGTGCATGCAGTGTTTGCATCATAAATAAGAAACACCAATATTAAGGAAATCAAATCATTTATATTTGGCAACAAGTTAACCTGCATCGAATTTGACTTGGAAAAGACATTTTACTAGATAATAAATGAGTCTGCCCTCTGATTCAGAAGGTAATATGGTATCTGTCTTCCAAGGCCGTTTGCTGTAGAAGCATCAGAAAGATAGTCTACAACAAATATTTTCAGTGCCTCTACTCACAAGACATGCCGAAATGCAAGAGATCCATGGAGACTGTCCCAAAAAACGGCACAACAAAATTGATCCTTGTGGTTTCAATCAGACTATAATAGTAAGACAATGAACTACTGGAGAAATAGAGTGAGTGGCAGAGGGTTCTTGTGCACTAATTGCTCTTAGATTTATGGAATTTTCAGCAGAGGTCTTATTGGAAATACATAGCGCTCTAAGGTTCTTTCTAATGCATACAAGTTACAAATTTACCCAGTTCTCAGATTAATGTGAAGACTAAGAAGTATTAGATTATTATTTAAAAATGTCCAATTTTCCCTCAGTTTCATAGGAGATGAAACTTTTTCACTTCTTTGATGATGGATTAAGCTTTATGATTTTCTTGGACACAAATGGTATACTTATAGACCTAAGTAGACACAAGGGGATATTTGAACTGTGCTTGTACAACTGGTCTTGCTCTTTTTTCAGTCTGTATTAACTCCATGGAAAGAACATGGACAATCCATTTAAGGACATCCTGGATGAGCTGGATGAGCCAACCCACAGTGGCAAAAGTAGAATTTAGCTGAGATCAGCAGAGCTGCCCAGACTAGCTAAGCTAGATCAGCCAACTGCCTACCAATCTGCAGATGGGTAAGAATAAATGATATGTGTGCGTGTTTTCTTAAGTAATTGAATTTAAGGTGCTTTTTTGACAATAGCTAAATAATATACAGCTTTAATTCAGAAAAATAAATTTTGACTGAAAGATGTAAATACGTTTGGAAAAAGGCAGAAGATTTATATGACCTGAAGAGAAACCAGAGTATAAGTAAATACTTTTGGAACATGAGATACCAAAGGGAAGTACAGTTTGCAACAGGGATCACAGAGGTGCCTGTGTGTTTGCTGACAAGACAAGCAGCTTGGGAGCAGGAATTCGTGGAAGAGTCTAGTCATCTAATTATGCCTTCAGGGATTCAGGCTCTTCAAATTCCAAAATCCTTAGCATTTTTTAGTTTGTTTCAGATTGGCAAAAGGCTGCATTACAACTCCATTATATTGTTGTTTAGCATTATTAATAATATTTACTATTATTTTAAAACACATCAATAATTATATAATAATAATGTGAGACTATAATTATTAGACTTACTGACATTGTAGACAGATTCATAGACGTAATTACAACTTCATGTACAGCTTGCGTTTGACTCATAAAACCCTGAACTTAACAAAATCTGTGTAAATGAAAGGATATCTTAAGAATCAGAGTCTGGGATTATTTCCTTTTAAATTAAGTAATGACCCATTTTTAACATAGAGAATTTGATTAAGAAGTTTTTTCTTTTGCAGATATTAGAATTAATGATGTGTTGATATTCATAAATATTTATTTACTACCACATCATATAAATGGGAATCCAAATGGAACACCACACATAAACAATATATAAGAAAACAAACAAAATAAATGCCCAATGTCCTATATGTGAAGTGAAAATTTTATTTTCCACCGAGGTAGTTTTATATAGTGTTTTGTACAGTTGAAATTATATATTTTTTTTTCTTTTTTTTTTTTTTTTTGGAAACAGGGTCTTACTCTGTCACCGGGGCTGGAGTGCAGTGGTGTGATCATAGCAAACTGCAGCCTCGACCTCCTGGGCTCAAGTGATCCTCCCACCTTGGCCTCTCAAGTAGCTGGGATTATGGATGCATGCCACCATGCCCAGCTAATATTTGTACTTTTTGTATAGATGGGGTTTTGCCATGTTGCCCAGGCTGGTCTCAAACTCCTGGGGTCAAGTGATTCAACTGCCTCAGCCTCCCAAAGTGTTAGGATTACAGGCATGAGCCACTGTGCCCTGTGAAATACTAATCATTTTTATCATCTTTTACCTATGCGAAGACAGTATGATCTGAAATGAAAACAGGCAATACTTATTATGCATTTTATATAAACAACCATTTCCCAAGTTTCACATTTACAAATTAGATATTCACTTATGGAAAGAAAAGAGAGAAACACAAATTTTATATCGGATGCAGCATTTTTATCTCATTTAAGCCTCATAAAAGCCCATTAACTTATTGTTAAATATTAAAATATTATCCATTTTTAATTTGGGAGAGGTAGTCATAACTGTTGTAACTTGGCCATGGTTTAAAATATACATCATTCAACATTGTTCCCTTCATCAAAACCCCTTCTATATTTTTATTTAAAGGTATTCATTTTCTACAACAAATATACAGACTAATTATGCTGCATTTTTTTAAAGGACATCAACTTGCTCTACACAAAAGAAGACACATTGAGAAAAAGGGAATTAGAAAGGCATAAGCAGTTTTATTAATATTATTACTGGCTGGGTGCAGTGGCTCATCCCCATAATCCCAGCACTTTGGGAGGCTGAGGTGAGAGGGTCACCTCAGACTGGGAGTTTGAGACCAGCCTGGGTAACATAGTAGTCTGTACAAAAAAACTTTAAATATTAGCCTGGTGTGGCGGTGCACACCTGTAGTCCCAACTGCTTAAGAGGCTGAAGCAGGAGGATTGCTTGAACTTAGGATTTCAAGGCTGCAGCAAGCTATGATTGTGCCACTGCACTCCAGCCTGGACAACAGAGCAAGACTCTATCTCTATTTAAAATATATATCTATATATTTAATTATTATTGTCCTTTTGGTCGTGCAAGCTAGAATAATCATTGTACATGTGCAAATTTAGCCACTTTTAAGTTTTGTTTATTTTATATCTAAAATTTGTCTTATTTTATAATAATACAATGTTAAAAACAATTTTTAAAAAGGTAGTCTCCTAGATTTAACATTTTGATGACTGAAATTGGATGAACTGAGAGAAAGAATCAAAGATAATGGGATTCAGAACAAAATTTCTAATTGATGGCAGAAACAAAAATGTTTGGAGGAGTAAAAAATGTGTATATATGTGTGTGTGTGTGTGTGTGTGTGTATATGTATGTAATTTTGGCATGAAGTGTTTTTACTGTATTTATACATATGCAGGAAGCATATTTCTGTAATGTCATCATGAGCTAGAAGTGGAGATAAGGCACAGGTAAGTTTAATAACAGCTTAGAAATATTTCTGCTCCTGGTGAAATTACTAAAACATTAGTTCCTTAAATAATAATCTCTGAAAGTATGACATTAGATTCCAGTATGACAATTATATGATGCACTTTACCCTTCTTAGTACTTGATTTACTCTATTTTTGCCAACATTGTATCTAAGTGAAACCAAAGGCTTTGCTTTTGAATCTCTCCCAAAGTTAGAGTAAAAGGGCTAAGATAAAGGTAGCCCGATTCTCAGGGCACTCTCTTAAATTCTTGTGGTATATCAAAACATCATTTTGTAGTTGTTGTTCAGATGGATGTGAAAGGAACTAAGAGCCTGGAGTGAACATAGGCTTCCCAAAAGGGTAAGTAAATACAGGAATTGCAAATGTGCAGCGTTCTGAGGAGTGGACCTGTGCCCATTAGATTTTAGTTTTTGTGAGTCTATGGAAGCTTGCATTATAAATGAAGAGGAATAATAATACAGAAAGAAATATCAGACAGTAAACCCTGCAAGGAGAGGACGGAGAACTGACCAGTGGAAAAAATATAAATGCCCTTAAAAGCGAAAGTGTTGAAATCATTTATATGATTATCCTTTAACCCTCTCAAATCAAGTTCAAAGGAGCAGCTTAGTTATTACTATTTAATTGTTTTGCTGATACTTTTTCGTATCTCAGTAACTTTTAAAGCAGCTGTTTCCAGCCCTTTAAACTTGAGGACTTTTTTTGCTTATTTGTGGTGGTGGATATCATGAAAATGATGCATGGACTTTTTTTTTTTTAACTCATCAGCTATCGTTACGTTAGTGTATTTTATGTGTGGCCCAGGACAAGTCTTCTTCTTCCAATGTGGCCAAGGGAAGCCGAAAGGTTGGAGACTAATGTTTTAAAGCATCCAGTTAATTTTTACACTTACAGCTATATATGGCAAGACCAGCTCACTGTATGTATGATAACTTATGGAATCTAGTTACCAATCCAGTTGCAGTTTTGATATTATAATTATTGATTCCTTCATTTAAAGATACTCCAGTGTTACAGATGCTCCAAGATCTGGTGTGACAAAATACCAAAAATTGTCAATTTCTTGTAAACAGTTAGAAGAATAATAGAGATTTTAAAGATTTAATCAGGCCCACAAAAATAGTTAAAAGAGAAAATCAGCAAAAGTAAAATTCTGAATTCAAGTTATCCCTTCAATGTCATGCTTGGAATTGATAAATTCTTCTTCTATATATGTAGCCAACCTAATGGCCAATACATTATCAGAAATTCAAGGAAATCTTGCACATTTGAAATCAGACAATATGTCACTGACTGGCGACTTTGCAGGTAAAGAAAACAGAAAAGGCATGCCATTGACCTTTTATATATAGTAACATTTGTATTATGATCTGACTTCAATAAGCCCACATTGACATAGGGTCATTATGATGTTGCAGGAAAAGCTACCTTTTAAAGTACTCTCTATTGCTTATTTCTTAAAAAATTAACCTACAGCATCTAAAAAAAAACCTTTCATTTTGAATTTCCCTATGCTACAAACATCATCCTTGGGTTCATTTGTTAATGAATATGGCATAGTATCCACATTATTATATTAAAATTGCTGTAAAATAATAGTAAATGAAGAAAAGAAGTAATAAGATAATTAGATGCATGAAACTTCTATCACACATCATCTGTCATTTCACATGTATAAATCTATACAATTTGTAAAGTAAGGAATCATTACAAAATTCTACACTTCCCCATAGCACCAGCAATGAATTTTGCTGAGTAAGAGAAGACCAAAAGTACCCTTTAAGATTTGCATCTACTGCTTTTGCCTTTATTCCTATTGTTCTTAGACTTCACTCTCTATGAAACAATGTTCTTTCAGTACTGTTTTCTTTCTTCAATCATATTTCTAAGAATCGTGCTTTTGAAATTTCTAATTGAAATAGTAAAATGTGTTTCAGCTATTTTTAAGAAAAAATATAGTACTTTGTATTGAATATTATCTATATTTTTGGGTTCGATATTTTTCAATGCTAGATTAATGCGGGAAGGGTAGAGAGAGTCAGAAAAGAATTAACGATGTAAAATAATTCATAATATACATTGTTTTTCCTAGTTCTACTTTTGTCACTTTTGATACTGAAAGGAAGGTGTATGCTTTCAAATTCAGTTATACTTGGAGTGTAAAGCTGTTGCAGGGTTGAAAAAAAGCGTTCGTCAATATCCTGGGGACCCATGCTTACTTCACTTTTGTTTAAACTAACATTGAAATCTAACATTTATCATGGAACAACTCAGAATCTGGAAAACTCCATATAAAATATCAGCCACAGAAATTTTTATAATGAAGGGTACTTCAATGTCTATTTCAAAACTGATTTGATGAATAAAAAAAAGGTCAAACTAAAAATAAATAGATCAAATCAGTTATAAGTGTAGTAACATATGCCCCATTTAATAACGAACTCTAAATTGGCAGCACAGTTTAAGTAGTATCATGAATGCTAATTCTGACAGCAAAGGGTTATGAACTACCTGTCGACTTGCACCCATCACAAGGTCAGGCAGCTATGAGCTAATGAAACCCTGAAGTACCAGAAGGTGAATGACTGACGTGACTAGGCTGGTGGGAAGAAACTGCTGTAGCATGGTGGCACATACAGAATGACATGGTGTCCTGAAATAGAAATGACTGTGATCCCATCTGTTTATAAAGTCTACTTGCTGAAGTTAAAACCTCCCTATCTAAGCAACGTATTTCCTAGGGGATAATTTTTTTACATCCATAAACATTCAGATGTTACAAGTGCTAAACATGTTCAGATTCTCCTTACATATGTGGTTTGCTATTTCTAAAAGGTTTCATTAAATATTTCTGACATGTTGAGTAACAATCAAGAATCGCATGTGGAGATTGTAGATCACATAATCGGTTTTACACAACAGCAGATACAAAATTTCTGAAAATGATGATGTCCACAAAGACTTGTTTTAAAAACCTAGTGTCCATGATAGTGATCAAATGGAAATATAATTTATGCTTGTTAAAATTCAGAAAATCAAAGCAAGCCCTAAGCACTAAAGCTCTGATAAAAGCTAAGGCTGTTAATGGGAACATACTTTTAAATTATCAAGTCTGCACTTTTATCATATCCTTCAACTATTTAAAACTCATGAAAACAAATCAGTTTTCTGCTTGTATCACTCTTTTTAAGGACTTCTTTATAGCCCTGACATGTTTTTTCCTGCTTATATAGATGGCTTAATTGTATCTTGGAAGTGAAATATAACAACAATAACAGCAAAAAAGAGGAGGAAATGAATGACTTTTGTAAATAGTTCTTATTCCAGAGAGCAATGTTAAGACAAAAAGAAATTAGATGAAGTAAAATGTATGCACATGCTCTTTTACACACACATGCACACACTGACACTAGTGAGCATTTAGAGTATATATTTAAAATTATTAGCTTCTTATTCCTTTAGGAAATCTTAATAACATTGGTATGGTATAGTACTATCAATGTTTGGTAAAGTTTATTTCTTCTTAGTCAAGAAATGGCTTTAAGTTGAAACTAGATTCCAACATAACTAACCTAGGTTTGGTTAGGACTTAGAAAATTGGAGGAAAACCACAGAATTATCAATACTTTTATCAGTCTTTAGGCTTTTTTCTAATGCACAAGCTATAATTGTGACAACAAATTACAACAATCCCTATATCTATAATTGAGCATATTTCCAATTTACCAAAAGAAAGCATTTTGAGTAGTTAACTGCAATTAGCTTGTGATGTCGCAAAACAGAGGAGCCTGAGAATTGGGGCTTAGTCCAAAAAATAATTCAAGGATGAGCCACTGGTATTAGACAGCAATCTTTTATTGCACTGTACTGCTCCCTTGAGAAGCAGGGCTAACTCATAGGCCATGCACCCGGAGTGGGTCAACCACTGGGCTTTGGGCAATTGCTTTTCTACTCACATAAAGCCACTTTCAATTACATGCAAATTAAGGAGTCCGTCAGTGCAAATAGAAGGGTGGGTTATCTAGAGCTTGCTAGGAAAGGGTTGGTAACTTCTGGGTCAATGCCATGGAAAGGAGTGGTAACTTCTGGGTCATTGCCATGGCATTTGTAAACTGTGATGGTGTTGTTGGGAGTGTCCTATGCTAATGAGCAATAAGGGGAGCTAGGGATTGCTTTCCACATCACCCGCTGGTAGCTGCCAATTTCTTTACTTCATCCTCTGGACCAGACACTGTTTTGGTCAGCACAGTTGTGACCAGAAAACAAGTTCTGCTGGTCTCATGCTCGGTGGGAATAAGTTCATACCTCTTAATGATATCAGAGGTGATCAAAAATAATTTTGGAGCCCCTACTATGTGTGTGGCACCAAGAAACAAAATACTGAAAAAAAAAAAAAGCATTTGGTGGCAGGCAGTGACTCATGCCAGTAATCCCAGCTCTTTGTGAGGTCAAGGCAGACAGATTGTTTAGGAGTTCCAGTTCCAGACCAGTCTGGGCAACATGGTAAAACCCCATATCTACAAATACAAAAAAAGAATAATAAAACAAAACATCAACTCTCATGAGGATTACAGTTCATGTAGATGTTAATCAAATAATACAAAAAAAATGAAATTTAGACAAAGATTTAAATACATACTTTAGATAGATGTTAATCAAATGATGGCATGACTTCTTGTATAATGATCAACTGAGCTACTTTCTACACAACATGTGGCATAGGGCAGTAGGAAACATGATTCTACTAAAAATATAACTGAGAAAAATGACCCAGTTTAGAGGATTAGGGAAGGTGTCCAACATATATTAGAATTTAACTACTACCTCAAGTCAAGTATGACTTAATTAGACAAGTGGATGTACTAAGATAAACCTGCTCAAGAAGAAACTAGCATGAGCCAGAACCCCATATTGATGCACAAGTCATCTTCCAAGAAATGAAGGAAGGCCAGTGTGGGAGAGAGAAGGAGAGCAAGTGGATGAAACTGGCGATGCTGAAGGGCCACAGTGTGTAGCGCCTGGCCAGTCAGTTTAAGGATCTCGTTCTTTATCTAAAGCCCAGTGAGAAACTGGGAAAATTTTAGGAATGTTGGAGCCATGTAAGTCAAATTTAAACACAAGCATCCATGGATGTAAAAGAGACTTAAAAACATAACTGAAGTGGACAGTGGAAAGAAGGGTCAGACTGCAATAAGGCTCTTTATGATGCCTGAGATGAGACTAGAGAGAAAAGTAGGGGTGAAAATATATAAGTCATGCTGGTATAATGCTGTAAATGACAAATAATAGTTATCAATGGAGACATTGGTGGGACTGCTTTGGGGAAATTGTTGTGAAACCAGAACTCATTTTAGAGTGGGTTGAATGGTGAATGGGAAGTAAAGAGAAGACAATTGCTGAAGTAATACAGATAATCTTAGGACACTTAGGAAGAATATTTATGCTAAAAGCAGAAACAAATTAAACGTTCTAAATTCTAACCCTTTTTTTGAACTTGAAGTTGTATATGACATTTTCCTATTCAATAGGTGCCACAATGAACATTTTTGTACTTATGTATTTGAGCCATCTTTTCAGAATTTCTTTAGTGTACAATCCAAGAAGTGAAACTGTAGTTTTGTCTCTATTTTAATACGAACTGTCAGATATCCTTCAGAAATTATTACAAATTTAAATAATCAACAACAGTGTATTCAGATTGCCTACTTGTTCATAGCCATGCTAATACTTGGTATTATTATTGTGAATTTCAATCATCTGAAAGGATATAATGTTATTGCAACATGCCTTTAAATTGCATTTGTTTAATTAGTATTATGGCTGAATATTTTTCCTATATTTATATGCCATATTTGCTCACTCTTTTTAATGACAATTGCTGCAGACCCACCCAACTTTGTCATGACTTGGTGAGCCTGACAGAACTCACTTCATGTCAGCCAGCCTGGCCACATGTTTGCTGCTCACTTGGTGTGCAATGATCAGATGTTCCAACTCTGGGGACTTGCAGCATTCCAGTTGCTCTGTTTTATTTTGTTTTATGGTGTTTGATTTTCTGTTGCTGATAACTAGAAATAAATGGCTATATTATCAAGCATTGACTTCGAACAGTAAACAGTGGATCAGATAAAGATTGACAAATTTTGTCTTGAATGAAAAAACAAAGTTTTTACATCAAGGAATTAGCTACTTGATCCACATATACCACAAAGTAAAGAACCACTCCTAACTTGGCTTTGTCTTATTTTCCTACATAATGCAATATTTTACTTTTCCTTTTGTAAGGGATAATTGGAAGGACAGCCGAGAAAGGAATGAGGCTAATAGACCCAAGTTCAGGCAAGCCGATTTATTGTCAGTCCTGCTGTGCTACCTCTTGACAAAAGCAGAGGAGGCAGGCCCGCTTACAGACTACTGTAGGGCTTTATGGGGTGAGGAACTGAGTCAGGGTGGGGAGCTGAGCTGAGTGTGCAGAAGGGCTGAGTCGAGGTGGGGGAGCTGAGCTGAGTGTGCAAGAGGGCTGAGTTGGGGTGGGGGAGATGAGCTGAGTGTGCAGGAGGGCTGAGTCAGGGTGGGGGAGCTGAGTCAGGGGTGCAGGTGTCTTGATTGCATCCTGGAGATGTTTTTTGCCAGCTTTGTTATGCCAGGTGAACAGACATGTTAACCCCATCCTGTAACTGCCTGGACAGTTACTACAGGGGTCAGTGAAGAGGGGTTTGTCTTTAGCCCTGGGGAAGCTGTGCAGAGGTCACAAAGGACTGCATTGTAAGACCCATGGGAAGGGAAGGGGAACAGTCTGGTTGTGGTGACCCTAACACTTTGTCTTTGAGTTTTTGTTGTTCTTCTACTTAGTATGGTCACTGCTGGTTGAACTCTCCATAATACCAAGTGCTATTATATGACTGGTGATATTTTTATAATAATATAACTAGAAGTTGTACATGCATTTTATCTATGTTTAAAGTCATTACTCTGGGGTCCTGTGCTCATTATGTTTCCAGTTAATTGACTGCACAAGTTTCTAAATGGATCAAAATTCCCATAAAACCTTTTTCCCATAAAACTTTTAAGTCCAAAAGTAAGTTTTAGATGCCTTCATCAAAGATGGCAGAGAAAAGAATGAAGAAAATATTGAAATCTTCGATTGCTTTAGGCATGTCTAAATTTAGTTAGTATATTGAATTTTATTATTATTATTATTTTTTGAGATGGAGTCTCACTCTGTTGCTCAGGCTGGAGTGCGGTGGCATGATCTCTGCTCACTGCAACCTCCGCCTCCCTGGTTCAAGTGATTCTCCTGCCTCAGCCTCCCTATTAGCTGAGATTACAGGCACACACCACCACGCCTGGCTAATTTTTGTATTTTTTAGTAGAGACGGGATTTCACCATGTTGGCCAGGTTGGTCTCAAACTCCTGACCTCAAGTGATCAGCCTTCCTTGGCCTCCCAAAGTGCTGAGATTACAGGCGTGAGCCACAGCGCCTGGCCCTATGTTTAATTTTAATTTGGTTCAATGAATTGTCACTTTTTCATATCTTTAATTTTGACTTTTGGCATTGTTTTACTGATACTGCCATCTACAAAAATAACAAATGACTGAAAATTTATCAACACTGAAATGATTTATTTCACTTGTTTTAAACATCAGGAAAGGTTTTTTCTGATTTTACATTATATATCACTTAAGAGCATATTTTTATCACAATGATAAGGACATTTTATTTTCAGGCCATAAAATAATAAATATGCAATAAATAAATATACATTATTCCATGAATCAAATCACATGGAATTAAACTTTACATTTGTAGGTTTGACATCTTGCTATTGTTGATTAAGGAAGTAAAGACCAACATTAGGTATTTATTAAATATACAAAATTCTGATCAAGTTGAAAGTGGTTTTATTAATTGACTTTTTAGCACTGGCACACCTTCAAATGGAATTTTACACCAAATTTAAATGTATGAATTCTATAAATAAGAGCAACATTGGTTGAATTAGAAATGGGAGTCTGGAAACTATTGATCCTCTTGCCCTTCCATTGTCTATTCATTCTACAATGACCACTCCTGAAGATTCATTGCCAAAAAACCCTAAATGTAAGATAAAAAATAAATAAAAATAAAACAACATGAAAATTACTGCATTAAGGCATAGGTGATGAGGTAATGCTTGGACAGAGGTTGGATATAAAAGTAAATACATTTTACCAGAAATTAAATAATTCCTGCTTTCAAACATATATTCCATATCAATATGTATGACAACCTAAATGGCAAAGGTTGACAATGGCTTTATATTACACAAAGGAGGACATAAACATACTGTAAAGTCGACTGAGCACGATGGCTCATGCCTGTAATCTCAGCACATTGGGAGGCCAAGGCGAGTGGATCATTTGAGGTCAGAGGTTTGAGACAAGCCTGTCCAGCATGTTGAAACACCGTCTCCACTAAAAATACAAAAATTAGCCAGGCCTGGTGGCTTGTGCCTGTAATCCCAGCTACTCGGGAGGCTAAGGCATGAGAATCGCTTGAACGCAGGAGGCAGAGGTTGTAATGAGCCGAGATCGTGCCACTGCACTCCAGCCTAGGCAACAGAACAAGATTCTGTCTCAAAAAAAAAAAAAAGTAATATCATTAATTATGATGAAAATAGTTTTCCTTCCTAACCTTATATGACAGTTCAGGTTCTTCAAGAGGCAGACACAAAGATGGAATTAAATGTGCAAAAGACTTGTTGGGAGAAATGCCTATGGACAGCAGATTAGAGGGGAGGAAGGAGTAGGTGAAAGAGCCTTCAGACCATGATGCCAGTCAGATACCTGTTAAAGAAGAGTGGAGCCAGGTGCGGTGGCTCACGCCCGTAATCCCAGCACTTTGGGAGGCCGAGGTAGGTGGATCATGAGGTCAGGAGATCCAGACCATCCTGGCTAACACCGTGAAACCCCGTCTGTACTAAAAATACAAAATTAGCTGGCGTGGTGGCGGGCGCCTGTAGTCCCAGCTACTCGGGAGGCTGAGGCAGGAGAATGGCTTGAGCCTGGGAGGCGGAGCTTGCAGTGAGCCGAGATCGCGCCACTGCACTCCAGCCTGGGCAACACAGCAAGACTCCGTCTCAAAAAAAAAAGAGTGGAAAAGAAGGATGCTTGAGGGTTTAGACTTCTGCTCAATTTTGCAAAAATCTCAACCAGGAAACAAAGTAAATAATGTCTGTTAATGGAGTCTCTCATTGGACATTAATTGTCTGAGCCCACAGAAATTTCACCTTAGCATGAATGTTGTGAAAGACCAAAAGGTGCAGTGGCTAGAGGCTGTCTACTACCCATACTCTCAAGGAATTATCTTCAACGGAGAGCTGAGCAGTGCACCTCTGTGGCCTCCTCTGGAAATCATTTAATAAAGACAGAATTATTTAAAGGAGTGACACTGAAATACTTTGGTCCCAGGACCCCTCTACACTTATAAAATGATTAAGAAACTCAAAGAGCTTTTGCTTACATAGATTGTATGTAACAATATGCATCATTAGAAATTAAAACTTCAGTTTAAAAACAGTGGGTTTACTAATTGATTATTAAATAACAATAATAAATGTATTCCACTAATATAATGTTTTTATAAAAAATATTTTCCAGACTAAAAAATAATCAGAAGAATAATGTTGTTTTACTTTAAAAAGTTTCTTATGTCACATCTGATTGTAGACAGCTAGATTATCATATCAGCTTTTGCACGCAATCTGTTGTGAAATGTCAGTTGAGGTTTGGTAATTGAAGATCAGGCTTACACAAATATGTAACTTTAGAAAAGGAAGACCTTAGGGATCCCTGAAAGAGTGTTTGGGGGCCTCCATGCACACTTTAAGAAGGATTGATTAAAGCGTTAAATACATCTCACATATTAACTATGACAATGTGTTTAATTTATAGAAGTTATCTGACAGATAGAGTATGTTTTTGTTAAGAGTAAGAACCAACTACCTTTCTTTTTTATTTTCCAAAGTACCTAGTATAAAGCAATGTACATAATAGGATCTTGGTAGCTTTAAATTAACAATATTGATATATCTTACATTATATTTTGCATCAAAGTATTATTTTCATACTAAATGTTTACCTATTATAAACTATATGTTATCTTTAAAATAGTACAATTTTTGTTTTTTTTTCCCCTTGGAAATAGACAAATAGGCATCCAGCATTTTTACAATTATATCTATGGAAAAAAAGTTTTATCAATGATATGTTATGCACTATTTTCTCTTCTAATCAGGCTTCAATGATAAGCAGTGTGTTCTGATTTTATTGCTTAACTGTGTTGTAATTTTCAACCATTAATGGCAATCTGATTTTTCTTCATTTTAATTATATGATATTGCTTTATGTACATGGCACTATGTGTATTGGTTTCTCCAATATTTCCATTTCACTGACAAATTAATCGCATAATATTTCCTTGAATTATCACCTTTTGGAGATAATTTTCTCTTGGAAAAATCAACCTTCCCCCATAAAATTGGTCCTAGTTTGCTGAGAAAAGGAATATATATGAAAAGAATGGTAAGTCTTTGTACAGATACTATCCAATAGAAGTAAAATGTGAGCCATTATAAAATTAAAAATTATGTAATTTTAAATATTCTAGAAGCCACATCACAAAGTAAACAAAGGAAATTAATTTTAACAATACTTTTTAATTAACCCAATATATCTAAAATATTGTCATTTCAATATGCAATTAAAACAGAAACTCTTAATAAATTGTTAAATTCTTTTTTATTGCTCTGTATCTTACAACACATCTCAATTTGAACATGTCTTCATTGGAAATACTTGATCTGCACTTCTATTTCACAAAGTTCACAATTGAAAAAGTAGATTTATGTACTGAAGGTGCTCTACAGGTATTTAAAAATTTTCCAGCAACTGAACTGAATGTAGGATTTGTTTTAAAATTTAAATTCACATGAATTAAATTAAATTTAAAAAGTCAGTTCTCAATCACATTGCCCATATATATCTAATGGCTACCGAACTGAGCAGCAGAGCTCAATGACACAACTTAAAAGATAATTTTAGTGTTTATAGATTATATCAACGTGTTTAATGGCATTTGAGCAAAATACTGTCATTGGCAGGGAGCCAGTATTGTCCCTAATTTCTTAATATATCTAAATACTTTAAGAAACACATTGTATTATTTGTTGGCATTTGACATAATGTCCTTAAATAAAAATATCTACTATTTTTTTCTGGGAAAGTTTTCTCCTGAAGCAAGTTCATTTTCCCTTGAGCAAAGAAGAGAGGAAGGAAATGAAAACTTTTCCAAGGAGATAAGAATTAATTCAGCCACACCTGTCAATGTGGTGACATGTGATCATTGGATGTGGATACCACATTTTCTAAAAACTCATCCAGTGAGAATTTCATAAATTCTAGACGTGTCTGATTGTTTGGTTAAAAAATGGTGTTTTAGTAAATGGCTCACATAATAAATTTTATTACCTTATGACCTTAATTATAAATTGTGTATGTATGTGGTGCGGTGGCTCCTGCCTGTAATACCAGCTACTGTGGAGGCTGTGGTGGAAGGATTGCTTGGGGCCAGGAGTTGGAGACCAGACTGGGCAACACAGTGAGAGCCCATTTCTAAAAACAACAACAAAAACATTATAAGTATTAAGACATAATGAGTGTGCAGTCATTTAATTGGTATGATATTGTAAAGGTAAAATACATTTAGAATAATTATAATTTTGAATGTTATTGATAACACTCCCTTTTGAAAGTGTAGTTTTCTGATGTCACTTTTAATGCTTCCACTATTTACAGAATAAGATAGATACTGCTAATACATAAATATATCAGTAGTGTGCTTTAGAACTATATGGTTCAATAGGCTAGCCACTCACCACTGGTAGCTATTGAACACTTGAAATGTGGTGCAGTAGTCAGGGTTCCCTAGAGGGGCAGAACTAATAGGCTATATATGTATGTATATACATAGGCTTCATATATATATATATATATATATATATATATATATATATATATATATATATATATGAAGGGGACTTTTATTAACTTACATATACATATATGAAGGGGAGTTTATTATTAACTTACATGATCACAAGTTCCCACAATTGGCTGTCTGCAAGCTCGAGGAACAAGGAGAGCCAGTCCAAGTCTCAAAACTGAAGAACTTGGAGTCCGATGATTGAGGGCAGGAAGCATCCAGCAGCGGAGAAAGATGCAGGCTGGGAGGCTAGGCCAGTCTCACCTTTTCATGTTTTTCTGCCTGCTTTATATTCACTGGCAACTGATTAGATTGTGCCTGCCAGATTAAGGGCGGGTCTGCCTTTCCCAGCCCACTGACTCAAATGTTAATCTCCTTTGGCAACACCCTCACAGACACACCCCCAGGATCAATACTTTGCATCCTTCAACCCAAGAAAGTTGACACTCAGTATTAACCATACATGTGACATGTCTGAATTGAGAGGTACTGTACAAATAAGCTAGACACTGGATTCCAGTGAGTATGATAAAAGGAATGTACACTATCCCAATTTTTATTGATTGAACGTTAGATTGATAATGTATTGGAAATATAGGTTTTAGTAATAAAACATATTACTGAAATTAATTTTACCTGAATCTTTTTGCTTTTTAAAATGTGACTACTAGAAAATTTAAAATTATTTGTGGTCCACATTATATTTCTGTTGGACAGCACTGCTCACTGAGTTAAAATACACTTTAAAATTGACTGAGCACATCGTATTTCCAAAATATTAGACTGTGCTTATTACATACATAGGCAAGATATGATTTTATTCTGTGCACAGTTACAATTAAACACTTTCTAATGGCTAATGTGAACTTTTATTTTTGTATAAATCATAGACATGCCTCCAAGTTAAGATCCATACTTTTATGCCAAACGTAACATATTTAAGATAAAACAAACCCAGCAAATGAGAAGCAAGTGCTTACCCTTTAGGATAATTAGTGTAATTTCTTTTACACTGCTTCTGGATGCTATGAGGCATTTAGTGTTTTAGAGTGGTAATACAGAAAATGATGACATGTATCCACATCTGTGAAATTAGCTTCAAATATCAGAACTTTTAAAGAAATAAAATATGTGTTCTTAGAATCTGAGCCCAAAAGCAGTTTAAGTTTCCAATTGTCCTCATCTTCTTAAGTCTTCTATTGTCTTTTTGCCTACTTTTCATTATATTAAGCCATGTTATGAGGATACAGATTTTCAGCTGTGATAGCATTTTTGAAAAGCAAAACCAAAAGAATGTCTATATTAATTTTAAGGTGTATTATCTCTGTGACTGATACCTCATTAGAATGTTGAAACAAAGGGATCTTAGCATTCACATGGTAATATAATCTCGATTTAAATGACAAGGAAGCAGACATGTCATTTATTTTTTTAACACAAATATAATCAACCATGTGCTAAGTATTGCCCTATGGTGACAAAATATTATTCTTGACTTCAAAGAGATTATAGTTTTTTGGAAAAAACAAAATGTACATTGAAAAATTTAGCATACCATGATAAACACTATCACATAGGAAAGACCAGGTTGCTACAGAAACACATAATAAACACTTATAAAAGGAGCTGGCTTAAGCTAGAGAGGGTGGGAAAAGGTCTGTTTAGGCTTCCTCCAAGAGAGGGTATCTTGGAAGTTAGAAATGCGCATTTGGATCATGTTAATGCTTAGAGGGATGTAATTTGTGAGTAAATTGTTTGAGTCCTACTGATCCTGGAGACGCTATGTGATTCTGGAGATGTGATCAGAGTTTGGGGTGTGCTTCTTACCCAACGGTTCTTTTTTAGTGGTGACCCCAGAACAATATCATATGTCTTAGGTGGATATTCTCAATGCAAGGTATAGTGATTCTATAATGCCCCCTTTGCTTTTTATTTTCCTTTCTTCATTCTTGTCACTTACACTAACTGATACAGTATCTATCCTAATCTTTCATATTTTGAATCAAAATCTGAATATGCTTCCTTCATGAATCCTTCCATGGCTAATCTAAGCTAATTAATGTCACACTTTTAACTCATATTCCTCTTATCTGAAATATAACTTATGTATTATAACTGTAAATGACATAGAACATGTGTCATATTCATATCTCCTATTTTATTTAATCTCCCCAACCATCCCATGAGATCCTGACAGCATCCCCATTTTACAGAAGAAATTTAGAAATAGAGTAAATATCTCACAATAAAATAACTACTAAATGATGGAACTAGAATTCTGAAATATAAATTTTATTAATATGTCTATTTTTGCCAGCATATTTGTGATATTATTATAATGTATTACAGACAAAAAACATATTTACACACATACATATGCATGTATATTTGTTGCAAAGTGCTTGGGGAAAGAAAATATGTCTATTGCTTTGATTTTTCACCATCTTGCTTTGGATTCTCAAGATGTAAACTGACCAAATCTCAAGAAAAGCCCCTAAAAAACCAGAAACATAAAATAAAATAGAGATTCTGTTCTACCTTGATGATAATATTAAGTATAGATAACATAAAATGTTCTAATGAGAAAGACTAAATAAATCTACTCTCATTTTGGAAAACCAGAGTGAAAATCTTGTATCATGGCAATTTTTGAAGCAGAACTAAAATAAATAAATACATAAGAAAACAAACAGAGAAACAAATACCACTAGAGAAATAAGCTTTTACCTAGAAATATAAAATCCTTTAGTACATCCTAAAACTAATAGCTAAAACCTCATGCCATAAGTCTTGACACTAATAGCCAGTCCATGACAACCATATATTACCTTCAGCCTACTGGGAAGCAAGACCTATATTTTAAGAATATTTACCTAATTTCTAGTATCTATTATATTAACATATTTTCCATGGCCTTAACTGAGTTAGGGGATAAAATGCAAAAGAAGGTTGGGAATAGATGATGGGACCTACCTGTTGTTTTTAGGTTGCTTAGGAAAGGGAAAATCTCCAAATTCCTTTGAATGAATCCAATAGACTGTTGCTTCACTGGCACTGGGAAGCAGTCAAGGATGTTAACATCTCTGTCATTGAGATATACAATAGATACAAATGGCTTCCAGTTGTCTATAGTATTGAACCTATATTGTTAGTAGTTCACTAGCTAATAATGAAAATTTAGTAAGGTAGAAATCACTTGAAAACAAATAAAATCAATGTTGATGACTGTTCCTAGTGAGAGCTTAAGAAAAATATGTCATTAATGATTTTGGCATAGTTGCTACTCATTTATAATGACTGGTAAATTTCCATTTTACATCTCTGGGCATTATGATGCAAACTGTATTTAAGAACCACAGGAACTCTGACTACTAATTTTTGATGGCCATCGCAGAAAATGGCTCAGTAATGCCTCCTGATCTGTTAGTTTAGTATAATTTTTAATCTTCCTATCATAAGGTCAAAATGTATGTGATTTCTGATACTTGCATCTTCCAACCTGAGTGCTTTAATTTGAAGCCTTGAACTGTCTTATTATATAGAACAGTCATATCGACCCCATCAAAACATATTTCTGGAGTGAACATCACATTTCAGCTGCCTATAAAGTCTTGGCTGTTTGTACTGAATTAACTACTTATGTTTTCCTATGTGGACACAGAAGCAGAAACTAAATCCTTATCTAAATTCACCGTATAAGAAATGTTGTTTTAGAGAGAACGTGGGTCTTAGTTATAATCTAGTGTAAGACATTCAACCTGCAGATGAAGAAAGCAATGCCTGGAGATGTTAAGTAATTTTAAAGCCAAGGGGTAATGACAAAAACAAAACAAAACGAAACGAAAACCAAGAGTATAGTATCTTGCTTTAGAGCAAAAAGTTCTTTTCATTGGTCATACATTGTCCTATAGATCACAACTATGGTCAGGGCATCTATATATGACCACTGATCTCTGCAGGCTCAACATGTGCACAAAGACTATCAAGGGCTCCAAGGTCTTGCCTCTTCACTGGCATGCAATATCTGTATCTTAAGCCACAGTCCAACTTGCTGCAGTATTGAATGCTGTTTCCTTAGCCACATCTATAGCAACTCCGGTTATAAATGTAAGACCAGCTAGCAAGTTTACAGGGTGCAAGGCCTTGAGATTCTAGACAAAGCTTCTGTAAGTCTTGACACCACCCACCTACTTCCAGCTCTAGCCTCTTTGTCAAAAAAACATGTTAGAAGCCTCCATCCCAACTCTTATGCCTAGAATTAGCTTGTAGTCTATGAAGACAGATGAGATATCAGAAGTCAGGTGAATTATCAGACAAATGTTGTGCCCTAGAACTATTGCATTGCCCATTTGGGGCCTCTATTTTCTCTTAGCAAATGGGAATGACACTTTACCCTCCCCTGCCCCCTGCCCTTGTGTTCTGAGAATATTTTGGCTGAGCTCATATTCTTCCTCTTTTATTTGCTTATCTAAAGACTCATCCCTACCCAGCACATCTCTGCCTGGAAATACAGTACATAGTAATTTCTACATGAAAATACATATTAGATTACATTTGTGAAAGTAGCTCAAGTCAATCTCAGTAGTGCTAATAGTAACAGTAATTGTAATAGCCAAAGTTTGTATGCTAAACTACCATAGTCTTTTTTTTTTTTTTTTTTTTAAGACAAGAGTCTTACTCTGTTGTCTAGGCTGGAGTGCAGCGGTGCAATTATAGCTCACTGCATCCTCAATCTCCTGGACTCAAGCCATCCTCCCACCTCAGCATCCTGAGTAGCTGGGACCACAGGCATGCACCACCACAACCAGTTAACTTTTTAATTTTTGGAGAGTGGAGGTCTCACTCACTAGTTGCCCACGCTGTCTCAAACTCCTGAACTCAAGCAATCCTCTCAGCTCAGCCTCCCAAAATGCTGGACTTACAGGTGTGAGCCACCAAGTCTGGCATCATAGTCTTTACAAAGGCCTAAGAACTGACCAAAAAAAATTGGTGTGGTAATCTAGGGCATCAGTTACTCATCGTATCTGCAAGAGTAAACTCAAGTGAGAAGTGGCCAAAACACACAAGATATTATGTTACATAAGATGGTCAGAGATCAGCAATCCGGAGCTTTTATAAATTTCACAAAGTTATTAGAAATCTTTCTCATTCTAACATTTAGTTCCACCATTCCTGCCATGATCATTTTCTGCAATGTTCAAAATACCTGCTGGAGCTCCAATCACTATATCCTCACGGAATTTATATGAAACTTACACAATATTTCTGCTTCACCAGAAATAAATCTTGTGGTCAAAATCTATCGAAGGGATGGTGGGAATTCAAGTTGCCACATTCTTGACTAATATTAGAGGATTTGAGAGTGATGAAGGTAGCAGAATCTGCCCTGCTATCTAAACCATTTTAGATGACAGACATGGACAGGAAGCATCTCAAGGTCAGAATATTATTTCAGCAGAGAGATATAAAGTCTTCTTTGAGGAAAAAAAATCTATAGTAAAACTAGTAAAACCATACATCTGCCAGCATAAAAGCTGCCCACCCTATCACTTCACTAAGGTTTATCCTTGAATTATAATGACAATGTCTAGTCAAATTTGAGCAAGTAATTGTAGCAACTTGATATCAGTGATTACATTGTGTAAGTTTTATTTTTCATGAATTCTCCTTTGCCAATCTTACATTTATGTCCATAATTTAGATTCAAAATTCACAGGAATATACTTTCTAAACATGAGATATGTTTTCTCACCTATGTATGTTATCTCCCTTGCATCTAGAAGTCCTGGAACTGAACTACTCCATTACTGTAAATGTCAATCCACCCCACATAGAACAAAGTATACAGTGACAGAGACATAGGTAAGAAGGCATGCAGAATGAGAAATAGCTTAAATTTGATTTAATAAGGAAACCAAGACCCCATTCTACCTTTTTTGGAGGGTAGATCCTCACAGTATTGCTGTATGTCCTTATATACTACTTACACACAAAAGTATCTGATGGCACAAAATACCTTGTAACCCTAGCCAGTGTTTCCCTATACCCATTTCCAGCATGGCTACATCAGAATTGCCATCATGATTTTGAAAATAGTTCCTTGGATCTCAAGGTAGACCTACTAAATTTGAATAGGGACAGGGTGGGAAAGGACCAAATGGATTCTACTTTTGAAATCTGAAAATACTAGCAAAGTAGATGTAAATCACAGAACAAATGTTTGATAGATAGTAAAAAAATCTATAGATAGTTTATAGTTTAGAATTAAATATATAAATATAAATCGTAATCTGAATAATGTGACATTATTAGCTCAGTGTTGCAGTATTGAGCAAAGTAGAAAAGTGGGCCAGGGTGCATTGATTGTCTTTAATGAGTGCTTCCTATCAAACGTCCCCTCCCTCTTTATTTTGTTATCATGGTAGATATACTCTTAAAAACTATAATACTTTTATTTTTGTCTGCCAGCCAACATATTTCTCTAATCCCTTCTTATTGTTAATCAAATATTTTCTGTTGTCTAGTATGATATAGCATGATATTAATAGTACATTTATATTTGAGTCTAAGATAGCTTTAACAAATCATAAGAATATATTATAGTCAGAGTTCTATAACTTATGGAAATTTTCTCTATACCAGAAACCTGAAAATTTATGCAAATAGGACAAAGCTTTTTTTTTAAAATCTGAGTAAGCAATTATTGTTTTTCTAAACAATAGGCAAATGTATTTGACCAGGATTTATCAAGTTAATACTTTATTACAAATTGAAAATTAAAAGAGTTTTTGAAAAAAGCTATTCACGATATCAAATCTATCTATCTCAATTCTGTTGCCACTTATTATGCTAGCAGTGTATGCTCCTGATCACAGAAGAGAGAGACAATGCTTTGGATGTATTATGTAGTAAACAAATTTTACTGGGTTTCTGTTATGAGCCAGAGATTGCACCATATTCTGAATATGCAAGATGGTAGGACACAATTTAGTTGAATTAAAAAAAACACTAAATAATTATAAAACTGTTCTGGAGCCTATAATAAAGTAATAATTGAAGTGCTGTGTGAACAAGAACAATAACAACAAAAAGAACAACTGTGCTTGAGAGCACTAAAAGAACTAATCAGAGAATGTGGTTTAGAAATGAAGTTGGAGGCCAGGTGCGGTGGCTTAGGCGTGTAATCCAAGCACTTTGGGAGGAGGAGGTGGGCGGATCACAAGGTCAGGAGATTGAGACCATCCTGGCTAACACGGTGAAACTCCATCTCTCCTAAAAATACCAAAAAAACCCCCAAAACAAAACATAGCCAGGCGTGATGGCACGAACGTGTAGTCCCAGCTACTCATGAGGCTGAGACAGGAGAATTGCTTGAACCTGGGAGGTGGAGGTTGCAGTGAGCTAGATCGTGCCACTGCACTCCAGTCTGGGCGACAGAGTGAGACTCCGTCTCAAAAAAAAAAAAAAAAAAGAAATGAAGTTGGAATTGATCAGGTAGAAAAGGGAGGAAGGACATATACAAAACAGCAGGAGCTGCAAGAGACACAGGTATATACAAGAACATGGTATACTTGATGGTGTACTTGAAAACAGGGGAAACAGTTTCTTTAGATTAGATCTTAGGTTTTCAGGGAGACCTGGCTTCTGGACAAAATGGATTTACAGAGATAGCAATTATCCTCTAGCCTGATAAAACATAGAGAACAGACATAGCCAGATAAAACATAGATAACAAAGTATGCAAAGAAAAATAAATTTTGGGAGCACTAGAAATGAGGCAACAAACACTGATGCCTCAGAAACATAAAAATGTGGTGAGACCTGTGATGGCCCCAATTTGTAATATATAATGCCAGGCTGCACTGCAGCAAAGAGGAACCCAGGCAGTACACTTCTGACACTATGAATAGAAGGAATGGAGCTGAAAGTTGGGTAAGACCAAGGAGGATAGAGTTCTCAGGGCAGAGTACCATGGAAGATAGAGCTGCATATTTAGAGAAATTCTGAAACCCATAGAGTACTTTTTAAGTATTCAGCATAGCACTTATCACCACATGACTATGAGAAAATGGTCTGAGGCTGGGGAAAAAAAATGCCTGAAAGGTTTAAAGGTCACAGTCTCTGGCACTCACACAGGACTGGGAATAGTGTCTGATCTCTCCAGGCAGAGTGGAAGCCTCATAATTCTTGGGGTGATGGGTAAAATAATCAGGATCATATAGTATAATTTGTGGAGGAAATCAGTCATATACCAAAGCCAATTCTTCTTCTGACTGTCAAAGTTTAAAAGAAAGACTTTTAATAATCAAACTGTTTCTAAGTAATTTGATCACATACCAGAAAAAGATATATACATATACCTTTGCATGTATGTGTATATATAGATATATAATATCTATATATACAGAATAATATCAATATCCAGTGCACAATGAGGTAAAATCAAAATTACTTGCATCCAATAAAAAATAGAAGGCATACAAAGAAGAAAAATGTTATCTATGAGTAGACAAAAATCAATCGATACTAATCCAGAATTGACATAGATGATAAGATTAGTAACAAGGGCATTAACTCATTTATTGCAACTATTTCACATTTTCTAGAAGCTAGTGGAAAGACTGAACATGCAATCACCTTTGTGACCACATGGCTGTCTGGGAGTTGTGGCTCGCTGCCACTGCTCAGCATCACAGGAGAGTATGGTATTGCATATAGTTATCTTGGGAAATGACCAAAATGCTAAGTTCAGAGTACAGTTTCTCCTAAATGAGTATCCCTTTTGTATCATTGTAAAGCTGAAAAATTGTAAGCTGAACCATGATAAGTTGGAGACCCTCTTTACATGAAACCTGTAGTTTGCTGGATGTTGTTTATATTTCAGTACACCTGTGGGTGTCTTTTTGGTTTTTGGTTTATTTTTGTTGCTGTTGTTGTTTGAGACAGAGTTTCCTTTTGTCACCCAGGTTGGAGCGCATTGGCAGGATCCTACCTTACTGCTGCTCCGAATTCCTGGGCTCAAGTCATCCTCTTACCTCAGCTTCTAGAGTAGCTGGGATTAGAGGCACATGCTACCATGCCTGGGTATTTTTCTTTTATTTTTGTAGAGACAGGGTCTCCCTATTTTGGTTCAAGACCCAGATGGGTCTTGAACTTCTGAACTCAAGCTATCTTCTCACCGCAATCTCCCAAAGCGCTGGAATTATGGGTGTGAGCCACCGTGCCCAGCCAGCTGTTTTAAAAAAAAACTATAAAGGAGAACTATATAAAGGAAAACTATAAAGGCTGGTGTGTGGACATAAACTTAAATGCATAGACTGCAGAAAGATTGTGCAAGCACCTTGAATACTATAGTGTTAACTGTATTCTTTAGGCCATTGTATTTTAAACTGGGAAGGCAAGAGGGCATAGCTGTATAGGAATTCCATCCTTGTTTTAATTAGATCAACACTGCCTGTACATGTAGTGAAAAGATTGTTTTCAATAAGAAATTATGCAGTTTAAAAAGCAGCTTTGAAAACTATTACCTTGATAATGAGGAGGAAAATAGCCAGCATGGCATAAATGTGAGAATGGTGGTAATTTATGCATTTCCCCATTTCTCTCCTTCCTCTGCTTGATCCAACATCCTTTACTGAAGCAGGCAGGAAATCATAACCCCATGTTCTCTGTGACCCTATAACACTATTTATTATTCTTTCCCATAGAATTGATATTTTAATTTATGCATTTGATTATGCCTAACACTTGTGGGGGGCTCACTTATTCCTAATTTTTTAACATATCTTGGTGTCCATCAAAGTGTCTATACAAAATCTTTCACAAAAGAGATGTTTTAATAAATTAAACAACATTAAATTGTTCATGATCCCAGAAAAGGGATGATTATTATATTATTAAAAATTCATCCTGACCAATAAATTACTACATATTATCCTTCCTTTAAGGAGCAGATGAAGCATCTTAGAAAGAGGTAAAAATAAAGGGAAAAAATGGACATTTCTTTATGAAATTTGTCGAATGTTAACTTCATTGTAAAATATTTTCCATTTCATAGACTGTATGGGAGAAAGAGGAAAAGAGACTAATATTTTGTACTGTATCCACTTCTCATTATATTAACACATTTAACCCTCACAACAGTCTTCTAAGCTACCCCTTATTAGCTTTCTTTTAGAGATAACTAACTTGAAACTTTAAGCAGTTATGCATAATTTCCAAAGATCACAAAACCAGAAAAATAGACTAGATTAAAATATAATAAACATTTTCTTCTTTATTCTAGATCAAGGTTTGCAAAACTTGGTTTCCTTAGTCATTACTAACTAAATAATTGCAATGAGTTTCATGCAATAAGGGCTATACTTTCAAATTAGTTTGGGGGAAAAAGGCCAAATAGTAAATTGGATGTTTGCATATTAAAGGCATAGCTCAATCCTGAAGAAAAAGAAATCTGCTTATACTTTTTTAAACTCAGCATTTCATAAACTTGTTTGATAATAGATACCTTTATAAAACATTATTTAATATAGCATATAACATGGATTATTAGTTTCTGCAGCTCACAGTTTGAGGAACGTTGATGCTGCAACTTTCCAGCAAATATTGTCTGCAAATTACCTATATATAAACAGTTCAATATTTTAATATTTTAATTTACAAGATAATTGGTGTTAATTATCTGCAAGCGAAGCTCAGAATACTAACTTTTAAAAGTACAACTTTTCCAAGTTTTGACAAACATAGGCCTCACTTATCACTTATTAAACTAGAAGAAAAAAGACATCATAGACACAAGTGAGATCACATTTCAACTAAAAAGTATTACCTTTTAAAGGTCCTACACAGGTGCAGTGGGGATTAAATTCCAACACTTGAACTTTGGGGGCTGTCAAACCATAGCACCCACGAAGTTCTCAAAGAGGGCTTCTTTTTAAGATGAAATAATTCAAGGATGGATATTAACAGAAAAAGGGGCCAGAAGAGGGAAAATGTTAAAAATGTAGAAAGCAAAATAAACAAATAATGCAAGCTCTTTGTAAGGGTCAAGAATGAGTTGAATGTAAGTGGTAAGTAAACTCATTTCCAGTGAATATACATCAATCATATCTTTGGAGAGCTACTTGGCAGTATAAAACAAGAACCTCAATATTGATTATATCTTTGACCAATAACTCTATTTTTGTTAATAGAAACTAATCCAAAGAATAGAGACTTTTCTATTGACAAAGTTATAATCAAATAAACTGTTGTCAAATCACATTGTTATTTGTAACAAATTCCAAGTGTCTTTTTGCTACAAAGAGAAATACTCATTTTTTAATATTTTGTTAATGGACAATTTGTTAATATTAAGTAATACTGAACAATCAACATTTTGGAACTTTAATCAATTGTACTTTCAACAGAAATATAATAGCGTTCTAATTTAATACTGGTTTCTGCATTTATGTGAAAATAAATTTTTAAAGGGGCTGTCACCCTGGATTTAAAGTAGGTCTTTTAACATTTTTATTCTTGTTCTAATTATCACTCTAATATTAATTATTATGTCTTTCCAAGCTTGTCCTAACAATGCAATAATAATTTATTAATTTATCTTTATCCTAGGGATTCAATAATCTTAATAGACTTAAAAAACTGCCATATCATATCCATCTAGGTTGCAGGATCTAAGTTTTCTACGAATTTACTTTTTATTAGGACAGTGCATTTCAATGACATTTACTCATGAACTACTCAGGCTGAGTTCCTTGGTCATTAGGTCAATATTTTTACATCTTACATAGGATTTGCTGCCTTTTATATAAATCTTATTTTAATGTTTTAAAGTCTGATGTTTTACTCCATTTGTTTTAAAGATTTACATGGCTAAAAGTACCTAATCCATTGTTCTGTCAACATAATATATGGCCCTAGTTTGTTGGTGTAATTGAAAACCTCTGTACGTCTTATCAGTATCTCATTATAATTAGCAAGGTGAGCTGGAGGTTTTACATACGTGAGATGAAGGATATAATCTGCATCGTTGGTGCTTTTCTATAAACCACATGGCTAATTCTTCATTTTGGAACATAGTCAACCATCCTCTCCCAGCATGGTTATTGAGTACAAATACCAATGCCTCTCCCTCTACAATCTCTCTCCTCCCAATGAAAAGAAAAGTCTTTACCTCTCCACCACCATGATTTGTCTGCCTTAGAAAACATCTACAAATAATCTGTTAAACTAATTCCAATGCTAATATTATTGTGTATCCTAGCCTACTGTTTTATTTATTTCACATAATAACTTTCATTTGAGGTAATGCTCAATCCCAGTGATACCATGGAAGAAAATTTTAGGTAGAAGAAGAAAATCTGATTGGGTAGAAAGGATTTTGTACCTGAAAACCACCAACTGTATGTAGTAAATAATCAAAATGATGATTATTTATGGGTAAAAATAAAACAAAAATATTGTATTATAATTTTAGACTTTTTTCTCTATTTTCTTCATTTTGAATAAAGTGTAATCTCAGGAAATTGGCTGACAGGATTGGACATTGTTTTTGTCTTAATTGGTAAATGCTGTGACCATGATATTGTATTATTGCCAAATGGCATGCCTATGCAAATTCTCCAAAATTAGTTTTTCTAATGATTATTACAGTTTCTATATACTAACTACCTGTTATATGCCGGCACTGTGAATAGACTAATTATTTTTCTGCTAACCCCATGAGAATGTATTACTATCCCTACATTGCAGATAAGAAAACTAAAGATAAAAGAAGTTAAGTAATTTGATAAAGGTCACTCAGCTAACAAGTGCCACAGCCAGTATCTGAAGATAGGTATTTTTTTTTCTAAAGTTGGTATAGTCTTCAATTATATTTTCTTATCTCTGTCTAGTGAAACTAATCCAGAGAGATAGGAAGAGGATACGAAGGAGAGGAACATTTTGGCTTTGGGGATACTTAGAGGATAAAGCTTAAGTATATATATTTATACATTTATATATAAAAAGTATATGTATACATATGTATAAAAAGGTGAACTTTTAAATGTTGCAAAATTACATTGAACCAATTGTTAAAATATTTACAGCTGAGTGCAGGTGTTTTCTTGATGATATACGCTGTTTTGCTTGGACACAACTAGATATCTCACAATGCCACAAGGGTGCTTGATGTTTCAGTGGTCTAAAAGAAACTGATTTCTTCAAGACACTGTTGCAGAATTTTAGTACACTTTATAATCATAGATCTTTCTGAGCTTCAGGAACCTTTTTCAGTTTTCTCACTTCCTTCTTTGATGTAACAAGCTTTCATAAAAAGCATACGCTTGCAAAGTGTTGATTACATCAAGTTGGGTGAAATGGGTAACACCTTGGATGACAGTATCATGTTAGAATTCAAAATACTTCAAAAATTTGGAAAAGCAGCCATAAACAAACAGGATAAAATAGTGTTTGGTGATGAAGAAATAAAAACAAATAAAATAAACTGAAAATGGAATATGATTAGTTTCAAGTGCCGTTATAGCAGAAAAACTCTTTCAAGTTGCCACTAATGTAATGAGGCTGCTTTGAACTCGTGTGCAGACATTTTGCATATTAACAAGGGCATTGGCTGGGTGCAGTGGCTCACACTTGTAGTCCCAGCCCTTTGGGAGGCCAAGGCAGGTGGATCATGAGGTCAGAAGTTCAAGATCAGCCTGGCCAATATGGTGAAACCCTGTGTCTACTAAAAATATAAAAATTAGCTAGGTGTGGTGGTGCATGCCTGTAGTCCCAGTTACTCGGGAGGCTGAGGCAGAAGAATTGCTTGAACCTGAGAGGTGGAGGTTGCAGTGAGCTGAGATTGTGCCACTGCACTCCAGCCTGGGCAACAGAGTGAGACTCCGTCTCAAAAACAAACAAACAAACAAAGCAAAACAAAAAACTAGGGCATTTGGAGTAGGAGAGTGAAGGTAATGCCTTTCAATCTCAGTTATTTTGTCAATGCTGACCTTTTGGCAGCCCCTACTGATAACTATACTGGCACCAGCAAAGGACCCTTCACCATGCAAAATTCCATGAGAATGTAGTTCAGTAGAATAACTTCTCTTCATATTAGCAGATAGAATTTGAAATTATTTTGTCATGATTTTCACCTTGGTGGCTGAAATAAAAGGTAGAAAACAACACTTTCTGCTGCCATTATGTAAATGATAGTAATGATATTAATAATGCAAACAGTAGCTAACATTTCTTGAGCGCTTAGTATATCCTGGTGTTTTTTAATGCATCATCTTATTTATGCCTCATAACAATGCTTTATGTTGTCAATACCATTTTACAAAAGTGAGCAGTGAAGTTTAGAAAGATTAAGTAATTTACTAATGTCACAGTCTGGTAGATGTGATACTCACAGTTCAACACAGATGGGTTTGAACTACAGAGCCTACATTTTAAACCTCTCCTCCTGCCACTGCCTTCTCTGGGGTAGAGGGATTCGGTTTATCTGGTTTCCTTCTGTTGAGATCATTTTGACTTTGGATATTTTAATTATTTCCAAGTGATTATTCTCTAGTGCTTTATACCACCAACGCAGTTATTTGGGTACATTCTGCCCTCCATAGGGACTTCCTCTGATTGGAACTCCTGTGAAAAATAGGCAGAAAAGTTTGCCTTATCCTGTTAGATTGAGTGTTTTTACTCTCCCATTAAGATTAGGAGAGATGTCCCTTCTGCCTTGGAGTTTTCCCTTCCCCTTACTTGCTCTTCTTTATTCTGATGCTACCTCATCTTGATCACAAAAATTTGATTTCACTAGCCTCATTGTACTAATATATATTATGTTTCTTCCTGGAATGATTTATATTAACTGAGAAAAAGTGCAGGCCTAAGAAATCAAAGAACCTAAAGATTACATGGAAAAGTAATTTCTCTTTAAAGGTTTAGGAAATGGTGATACTGGTATAAGTTAAATATAAGATGAAAAGAAAAAACTTCAGAGAACAAACAAATGAGTATCTTAAGACACATGAATGGTAATGGCTACCTGATTCTATTTGTATCGAGAATATACAAGACATCACAAGCTAAAATTAATTAGTTTAATAAGTGTTTACCGTGTGCCAGGCATTTGGCTGGATGCTAGGTTTACAAAGAAAAAAGCCCTTGCCTCACAGTATTTTCTAGCATTCAACATCAATAAGGGCTAATTAGAACAAAGAGTAACTAATACTATGGTACTAGCCAGTAGAGGATAATAATGGTGCCCATGGGAAAGACACCTATTTAAGTTTGGGAATTGTAGAGATTCCTTTTGTAAATGGTGTGTGAGTCCAATCTTTTGATAAACAACTTCAATATCCATATATCTGATCCTAGTAGCACAGTGCTTTCTTGTTTGACTTCTTCATCGCTAATGATAACAATATAAAGTTTAAAACTCTTGAGTATGATGTGCAGAAGTTACAATAACATATAAATATAGGGATTTTCAATAATAATTACATAAAGAGTTTTCAAAGTTTCAACGTTAGCCCAACATTATCTTTCTCCATAACTCTATTGGTACAAACAATACTCGAATCCTGTATGGATAAAACAAAAACATCTCATACTATCTATAAGGCTTATTATCCTTTCATTGACAAAAGAGGTTCTGAAAGACTGGTAGAATTTTCCTCTTTCCTCTCCTCCATCTATACTTATTGCTCCATCTTTGATTTTATCATTATGGCAAGATTTTTTCTCCTGAGGATGAGCTTATGTGTTCCAATTTCTATCAGTACCTCAGGCACTTTTTTTTTCTTCAGAGCTTTAGGCTAGCAACTCTACTTTCCTCTTCTACATATCCAATGTATGTCTCCTACAAACTGAGAATGTTCAAAACTGAATTAATAGTTTATCTGTCTCAAAACCGGTTTGATTTGTCCCTCTTCTCACTCACAACATCCAAGCGAAGATAGCTTTTTTGGTTTTGTGGGGACAGGGTCTTGCTGTGTTGCCTTGGATAGTCTCAAACTCCTAGTCTCAAGGGATCCTCCAACCTCAGCCTCCAAAGTAGCTAGGATTACAGATGTCTGCCACCATGCCTGGCTAAAAATAGCACTTGTTTATTTCCTTAAAACAGCTATTGATTCTGCCTACCTCACTCCTCCACTCCCAACACTTTTGTATAGATCCTCAATTCTATCTAAAGTTTTAATAAGAAATATCTTGTACCTGCATTGTTATTAATTCTCTATAACAGTTAGCCTGTAAGTCTTATTTTTCTAATACAGAAAACTTGTTTGAAAAACCAAACTTGATCAAGTAAGTTTTCCTGCTTAAACACTTTTAATGACTTTTCATTGTTTTTAGGTTAAAGTAGTAGACATATTTCACGGACAACTAATTTTGTGTGAGCTGATGCATTGCTACATCTCTGGATTTATCTGGTGTCTGTGTTCCTCCCGCTTCCTTTGTTATGGCCTCATTGATCTTCTTTTAATTTCTCGAACATATATTTGTTGTTATTTTCTTTTCCTAGGCCTTCAAACATGCTTTTTCATTGAAATTTTTTCCTGTCTGTCCCACTCCTTTCCACCGATGAATTCCTATTCAACCCTCAGGTCTCAATGTAGAGTTCACTTCTCCAAGCAATTCTTCATGGATACCCATTGCTCTTATTACTATTGTATTTCTGATCATTCATTTGAAATTATTTATCAACTGCCCTGTAGGTTCCAGGTGCTATTTATTTCTTAATAACTGTGATGAAGACAGCAACTAAAGGTGCTAGAAGAATACCCTTAATAAGCACGAAAGTATTTGTGGAATGAACATTTGGGTTATCAAGAAGTTAGCTGGGCAGAGAAGGAAAAAGAGAACACTTTAGAAAAAAGATAACAGTGTAAGTAAATCACAACACATGTGTAATTAAGGATGTGTAACTGACTGTGTGGTTCAGCATGATAACTCACCTGTGGTTAGAGCTCTATTATTCCATTAAACATGAGTCATAGCTTTCTTTCAGCACATCTTAATTTTGAACCTAAATATTTTCTGTAAGCTGGGTATGTGTTTTAAAGAAAATGAAGTTTGTCTTAGTCATGGCTGGGAGATTTGCATGTACTATAAGATTGACACAGAAAGAAATATTATGTTGAACAATTTTATGGCAGACATGCCCAAGGCAATTCAGATGAGAGAATTAATAACAATGCAGGCACAAGAAATTGCTTATTAAAACTTTGTTAAATGGAAGTATAATTCATTAAGGATTATATCATTATAAAATCCATCATGCTAATGGGGACTTCCATGGCCTTGCTTAGTAAATTTTACGTGACTTTTATGCTCTGATATTGTGTAAGGTTAAACTTATTTGTGCCCTCAAATGTTAGACATTTTATGGAGCACCAAAGTAACTAGCACAAAGTCTATAACCATTTCGAATTCCTCAGGCATTTTAACATTTCAGAGAAAGATAATAAAATCACATTGAAAGTTCTTTATAAAGTCTTTTTTTCTGATAACGAAACTAATACATTTGCATTAGAAATTTTGGAAAATAAATACAACTTCTTGATTTTAATTGTAATTTATCCTATATCTTAATATGCATATTTTTCATAATTGGCATTTTACTAAATGTAGCGAATATAAATTTTACATTCATATGAACTCAAGTATGAAATAGTTGTGGCTTTCTTTGTTTCTTTATAATAGACTTTCACTTCTAACTCTAGCTTCTATTCTTCCTGATGACAGAAGATTTGAGGTAGATATTTCAGCCTTACATTTAGACCTTTTGGGGTAAGCTGAGTCAATTTAAGGTCCTTCTCTCTCAATAGGCTAGCATATAACTTTCCCTGGCCGTCTACATTGGCATTGGTGGGAACAGGTGAGTAGTTCATGACCTCTTTTGGCAATTAATAAGATTTAAGTCCTTTCATCTCAGGTTTTGTTTCATGGTAAAGACTCGTTTAAGTTTGCAGTTTCTGAACAACTAGACTCATGCCATTTTAAATTGAATAGGAAAAACAATACATTGTTTCTCACTTCCAGTTGAAAGGACTCTCCATGAGATGGCCCCAGATACATACAAAGTGGTACCCTAGTAAGCTCTGTCAACTATTTTCTGCCTTATTTTGATAACATGGGGATGTTGCTAGAAATTGATGCCCTCTTTTAACTCTAGCTGGAACATGCTACATGTAGACAATATCCTCAGGTATTCTGCCCCCTAGAGTTCTAGATTCAATAGCCAGCTATATTCTACTTTTTGATCATAAAAGTTAAAAATTTGGCTTTTCCACTTTGATTAGGTATCTTTCTTGTGGAATGATGTTGATGATTCTAGCTACATATCTTCTTTGCATAGTCTCATGATGTATTAGTCCATCTTCACGCTGCTATAAATACAATACCTGAGACTGGGTAATTTATAAATGAAAGAGGTTTAATTGACTCACAGTTCTGCATGGCTGGGGAGCCCTCAGGAAACATACAACCATGGCAGAAGTTGGAGGCGAAGGAGAAGCAGGCAACTTCTTCACAAGGCGGAAGGACAGAGAGAGAAGAAACCAAAGGGGGAAGAGCTTCTTATAAAACCATTAGACCTCATGAGAATTCACTCAGAATTATGAGAACAGCATGGGGGAAACTGTCCCCATGATCCAATCACCTCCCACCAGGTCCCACCCTTGACACATGGGGATTACAGTTCGATATGAAATTTGGGTGGAGACACAGAGCCAAACCATATCACAATTTCACTCCATCCTACCATGAGTTTTCTCTCCATGCTCAAGAAGAGTTGATCAAGTTTGAATCTATAAATTACCTTGGGTAGTATGGCCATTTTCACGATATTGATTATTCCTACCCATGAGCATGGAATGTTCTTCCATTTCTTTGTATCCTCTTTTATTTCATTGAGCAGTGGTTTGTAGTTCTCCTTGAAGAGGTCCTTCACATCCTTTGTAAGTTGGATTCCTAGGTATTTTATTCTCTTTGAAGCAATTGTGAATGGGAGTTCACTCATGATTTGGCTCTCTGTTTGTCTGTTATTGCGGTATAAGAACGCTTGTGATTTTTGCACATTGATTTTGTATCCTGAGACTTTGCTAAAGTTGCTTATCAGCTTAAGGAGATTTTGGGCTGAGACAATCGGGTTTTCTAGATATACAATCATGTCATCTGCAAACAGGGACAATTTGACTTCATTTCCTAAATGAATACCCTTTACTTCCTTCTCCTGCCTGATTGCCCTGGCCAGAACTTCCAACACCATGTTGAATAGGAGTGGTGAGAGAGGGCATCCCTGTCTTGTGCCAGTTTTCAAAGGGAATGCTTCCAGTTTTTGTCCATTCAGTATGATATTGGCTGTGGGTTTGTCATAGATAGCTCTTATTATTTTGAGATACGTCCCATCAATACCTAATTTATTGAGTTTCTAGCATGAAGGGTTGTTGAATTTTGTCAAAGGCCTTTTCTGCATCTATTGAGATAATCATGTGGTTTTTGTCGTTGGTTCTGTTTATATGCTGGATTACGTTTACTGATTTGCGTATGTTGAATCAGCCTTGCATCCCAGGGATGAAGCCCACTTGATCATGGTGGATGAGCTTTTTGATGTGCTGCTGGATTCTGTTTGCCAGTATTTTAATGAGGATTTTTGCGTCGATGTTCTTCAGGGATATTGGTCTAAAAATATATTTTTTTGTTGTGTCTCTGCCAGGCTTTGGTATCAGGATGATGCTGGCCCCATAAAATGAGTTAGGGAGGATTCCCTCTTTTTCTATTGATTGGAATAGTTTCAGAAGGAATGGTACCAGCTCCTCCTTGTACCTCTGGTAGAATTCGGCTGTGAATCCATCTGGTCCTGGACTTTTTTTGGTTGGTAAGCTATTAATTATTGCCTCAATTTCAGAGCCTCTTATTGGTCTATTCAGAGATTCAACTTATTCCTGGTTTAGTCTTGGGAGGGTGTATGCATCGAGGAATTTATCCATTTCTTCTAGATTTTCTAGTTTATTTGCGTAGAGGTGTTTATAGTATTCTCTGATGGTGATTTCTATTTCTGTGGGATTGGTGGTGATATCCCCTTTATCATTTTTATTGCGTCTATTTGATTCTTCTCTCTTTTCTTCTTTATTAGTCTTGCTAGCGGTCTATCAATTTTGTTGATCTTCTCAAAAAATCCTCCTGGATTCATTGATTTTTTGAAGGGTTTTTTGTGTCTCTATTTCCTTCAGTTCTACTCTGATCTTAGTTATTTCTTGCCTTCTGCTAGCTTTTGAATGTGTTTGCTCTTGCTTCTCTAGTTCTTTTAATTGTGATGTTAGGGTGTCAATTTTAGATCTTTCCTGCTTTCTCTTGTGGGCATTTAGTGCTATAAATTTCCCTCTACACACTGCTTTGAATGTGTTCCAGAGATTCTGGTATGTTGTGTCTTTGTTCTCATTGGTTTCAAAGAACATCTTTATTTTTGCCTTCATTTCGTTATGTACCCAGTAGTCATTCAGGAGCAGGTTGTTCAGTTTCCATGTAGTTGAGTGGTTTTGAGTGAGTTTCTTAATCCTGAGTTCTAGTTTGATTGCACTGTGGTCTGAGAGACAGTTTGTTATAATTTCTGTTATTTTACATTTGCTGAGGAGTGCTTTACTTCCAACTATGTGGTCAATTTTGGAATAGGTGTGGTGTGGTGCTGAAAAGAATGTATATTCTGTTGATTTGGGGTGGAGAGTTCTGTAGATGTCTATTAGGTCTGCTTGGTGCAGAGCTGAGTTCAATTCCTGGATATCCTTGTTAACTTTCTGTCTCATTGATCCGTCTAATGTTGACAGTGGGGTGTTAAAATCTCCCATTATTATTGTGTGGGAGTCTAAGTCTCTTTGTAGACTTGCTTTATGAATCTGGGTGCGCCTGTATTGGGTGCATATATATTTAGGATAGTTAGCTCTTCTTGTTGAATTGATCCCTTTGCCATCATTACTGTTGATTTCATAAAATTTAAGTTTGGTTTTCTCCAAGTTTTAGCTATATTAAATTTCAAAATATTTACGAAAGCAATTCAGCAAATCTCAGTTTTCAAAATCTTATTGACCCTGCTATGTCTGTAAAAATTATTTTACATTATATTTTAAGTCATAGAATGCTTCTAATTCAATGATAGAAAAGGCTACAAAAAGGTGCTGGTAATGATGCCACAATTATGGTGGAATTTTGGTGGAAACAAAAAAGTAATTAATGTGTTCAATAAGTATAAAATGTATATAAAATTCTATATGTGTTTTTACTCAGTTGGTGTTATAATATATAAAATATCTCTCAAGTTGTTACCTTAAATACACTTATGATAATATTGTTTTCAAAATGGTAACTGTGCCAAGCATCTCTTTTGCATCCTTTCTGCCTCAAGTGTCCACGTTTCACATTTGTAAGGGCTCTGATGAACTTCGTACAAGAACAAACTGATATTTTATCACATTATGCTTTCATTCTGTGTCTTCCATTCTTAAGTTTGCCTATTACTTATAATGAGAGACTCCACTTAGCACAGGACAAGAGTGGGTCTGGATCGCTCACTAATCTGATGGCAATAAAGACTTACTTGCTGGTGGTCAGTGAGGTTGTGCTAAGTCTAACTGCAATAGCATCATAATTACTATGATTTTTGCCTGATGTTAATTATGACGAGTTGCAGGTGGTAGGTGAAGCATGGTGAAAGGTAACTTTGACACATTCTTTTTTATTTTTATGCCTTTTGATATCTTCTAAAAAGTGTAAGGCTTTAATATTTTATGGCAACTTCAAATTCTAATTCCTTCACTTAGAGATTTTCAGTAGTTGAAGTTTCATGTTTTGTAACACACCTAGATTTAAAATATAAAATTTGTCTCTCAATGGTGTACAGTTGCTGTTTTATTCTGCTGATTTTTTAATTTGTTTTCTAATAAAAAATTTTTAAAACTATCTTTTATTTTAAGGTTAGTGTCCTAAGGGTTGCCACAGTTTCTGCATGACTTAGTGGTCGCCCCTTGATTTGCACAGACTATATACTCAAATGCCTCAGGCCAGGTAGGCCTCTACTCTCTGCTGATCTCTTGTGTGGTTCAGGGAACACATTCAGAGTTCTGCCAGTTCTCATGTTGTACTGGTCCACTTTCACTGCTGATAAAGACATACCCAAGACTGGGCAATTTACAAAAGAAAGAGATTTAATAGTCTTACTGTTTCATGTGGCTGGGGAGGCCTCACAATCATGGCAGAAGGTGAAAGGCATGTCTCACATGGTGGCAGACAAGAGAAGAAAGAGCTTCTGCAGGGGAACTCCTCTTTTCAAGACCATCAGATCTCGTGAGACTTATTCACCATCACAAGACCAGCAAGGGAAAGACCTGCCCCATGATTCAATTACCTCCCCCTGGGTCCCTTCTACAACACGTGAGAATTCAAGGTGAGATTTGGGTGGGGACATAGCACCAAACCATATCACATGTCTATCTCAGCTTTGATTTTTCTCTGTGCTTTTTCAGGTCTCCCCTCATATGTGCATAGTTTTCCAGTGTGACAGGGATATGTGGAAGCTTACCCTCCTCTTCTACTGTTCTCTCACATTGACGATCTCCCTATTCATTGTTCACATTGTCTACTGCTTGCCCCAACTGAGACCAAAATAATACGTTTTCTGAGCTGAGGGGTTTTGTTGTTCATTTGCTACCAAGTTCACTACTTATAATGGCAATGACAGCAGGTTTCTATCCTCTGCCCGAAATCAAGCCTGTCTTCTCTGACTGAAAAGTTGCTGGTTTTCCCAGTCAATTTTGAAGTGATAAAAATTGCTGTTCTCACAAATTCACCTGAAGAATTGCAGGGGTGGGGATGGGGGTGGGGGAGGGGTAGAGTTTCAGGAGACTCAGGAAAGAAATCCATAGACCACAGCTATCCTTATTTGAATTTTTTTAAATAAACATTCCAAAACCTGTTTACTTTTGTTGAATTTCTAGAAATACAAAATGGTTGTTTTAGATAATTTTGTCCAGTTTTATTTTTGGTTTTTTGGGGAGACAATCTACTGCTCTTTGGACTCTGCCATTTCAAGAAATTAAAACTCTTCATTGGACCAGAAACAGTGGCTCACACCTGTAATCCCAGCACTTTGGGAGGCTAAGGCGGGCAGATCACCTGAGGCCAGGAGTTCAAGACCTGCCTGGCCAACACAGTGAAACCATGTCTCTACTAAAAATACAAAAATTAGCCGAGCGTGGTGGTGTGCACCTGTAGTCCCAGCTACATGAGAGGCTTAGGTAGGAGAATCGCTTGAACCCTGGAGGCGGAGGTTGCAGTGAGCTGAGATCACGCCACGGCAATCCAGCCTGGGTGACAGAGTGAGACTCCATCTAAAAAAATAACAACAACAACAACAACAAAATCTTCATAGTGTTTACTTTTTGCCATATTGAGAAGAGATCTTAACTGTTAAATGGAAGGAAATTAATTTACATTTCAATTAGAACAGGTTCTGAGATTCTTAAAAGTAATGTGTATAGAAGAGATATAAAAAATAAATATCACTTCACCTCACTGACAGCTTTATTTCATTTACATTATCATAATTTTACTAATGCGTTCATAACCAGCAGAAATTTGTTTATTAAATTTTTTCTAAAACAAATTACTGATTTTGAGTTCATCATGGAGTGTAGAAATGAGATTATTGGGGCAATAATATTCTTATGGTTCCAATTCACAGAAGAAATGTCTGAAAACAAAAACATGTTGACATTGTCAAAGAAGAATATTTTAGTAAATTGAATTTTAGACATTGAATTGGATTTTATTGGCAATTCACAGACCAGACAGCATCCAGTGTACAAAATAGAAAGAATTCCAATGGGTGTGGCAGAATTGTCAGTTTTTGTGAGGTAGCTTAAGCAGGGACAAGAAAACAGCATAGTGCAAAGAGCAGATTGGCTAATATCAGGTTACTTCCTCATATGACTCAAAGCAGAAGGGACTACCATGCTAGCTAATGTTGACTGGGCTCCTTTAGACTGATTGCTGTAAATATCCTGTTTTTTGGACAAATGGCCAGTTTTTATGTTCAGTTTGATTATGAAACATCTAGCACAAGTGACTTTATTCTAATATAGTCTGGTATGTGGGGATCTAGTCCAGGAGGTCTGAAACATGGCCTCTTATAAATTTTATTTAACAAGATCTGTGGAATCCGGTCACTTCTACTGGTTGTTCATAGGCATGAAGGGAGTGGTAAACTGAAAAACAAATATGCAGAAGTTTGATATAAAATAACAGAAGGGTAGCATGGTGCATGAAAATCCAAGCAGAAGTGAATTGTTTAGATCTATTTTTAGGAAAACTTGCTTCTGTGAATGCTGTTTATTTAGATGAGGTAAAGTACACTGCCACAATTTTGATTGGCCTTACTCTTGTTGAACATTTGCAACCCCAGCCATAGAATACATCAGGCATAATTGTGGCACATTGGACCAAATATGCATTTTCCAGGAAAGCTAGCCAAGACACCAAAAGACAGCCACATTTATCTTTCAAAGATTTCTTTGCTATATGTCTGCTTCCCTTTAATGTATATATACAACTGCAATTTGAGCCTCACCACTTCCAGATTTTAGTGATACATATAAACTATTAAAATACAGGAACACAGAAGACTTAACATTCTATTTATTTTTGCTCATAATGGGTATCTGAAGGTTAACCCACTTAAATAAAAATTGCCCAACATAATACAGTGTAACACATGTTATACTGAACGAAGTTATTTTCTATAGTGTCAACCTTTAGAAAAAAGTACAAGCATCAAGCATACTTTGCTCCAAACAGGGCATAGACCCATTCATATTTTATAAGGCAAATACCAGCAATATTACTGATAAAATTTTAGATGTAAATTCTTTTAATAGTCATGTAAGAAACTTCCACAGTTTTTATGAAGTTTTAGGATTGCCTAAGTAAAAACCTTAGTTGTCATTTATGCTGGTTTCCAGGACAGCATTACAGAACTTGACAAAAATGAACCTCATTTTTATCACTCTGAGTACTCTCCATTTATGACCTCCCACTCTGGTTTTTTTTTTTTTTTTTTTTTTTTGATTGATTGACTTCAGACTCCAAGGGGCTAGGGTACAGTTAATCCCTTTTATGTTGTCAATCAACTACCAATTTGATGTCTTTTCATAAGTGTTAAATGCTTAAGGAAATCACTTAGAGGTCAAAAACAATACCATTCTGAAATGCAGTTGAAAGTGTGTCCTTCCCATTACTTGTTTAAATGGCCTCTCTGGAAGACTTGTTTTCCACTGGGACTACAAAATCGTTCCATTTGAAAGATGACCTTAAGTTTCTACAGTATTCCTTTTTTTTTGAAAGGTAAAGGTAACATCTAGAAAAGTTTTTTGTTTTAGGTTTTGGTTTTTTTTTTAAGAAATGAATAAAACACCTATTTAATAAAGGTGATACCAGATTGTCTCACATGACTACTGAGAAGCAGAGGGCATAATAAATATATGCACACTTTGCCTCCATCTTCATATTCTTCACTTGTTGCCTTTATTTAAAGAGATTAAATAGATAAATAAATAAATAAATATAGTAACCACTCAGAGTCACTCATGACAAGGAATCTAGGAATACAGGAAAAAAACATATGCACTCAATTGATGTTTTGGGTTTTTTTCCTGTTTATGTTATTTTTTGTGCCAATGTTTTGATAGTCCCTTCATTATTTTGACTAAGATGTCTCTACAAAATAAGAAAAAAGATATTTACTTTCCCAAATAGCAGGCTCTTTCTCTATTTTGGAATGCTCAAAACTTGCAAATAAAAATGTACAGTATATACATTACTTATATTTAAATCACTTGACCTCTGAGATTGTCTCAAAATTCCCTCTGGAAGTGTAGTGCAGTCTTTCCTCAGGGGAAAAATCTGTGCTAAATACCAATAGCTAAAATAGTTCGTTTGTAGTGGGCAGCAATTATATCTACTGTGCATACTACAAGTATCTGCCAACATAGTTTCCCTCTAGTAACTGCTCAATGAATATTTGATTTCTTATATAGTTAATAATCCAATTACTATAAGTGGTTTTTCCCTCACAAAATACCACAAAATAAATTTAGAATGATTTAAAAGATTTTAAACCTTTAATAATTATAAAAATGAGAAATGAAAAAAATGATTTAAAGGTTCCTACAAAATATCAAAAGCTGGAGAAATAAATGGTTGGGTGATAACTAGCAGAGGGAAAAATTTGAACCCCAAATCTGAGGAGTGAGTGGAGACAGAAAATTCAATGCTAATTGGGTGCTTTGCACTATAGAACCTTGGAGAGGTGGACTACCAGGTGAGACCAAAAGTTGAAAAATAATGTTTGGAAATTCATTTTAAAATTACATATATGTTTATAATCTTACTATGCTTTGGCCAATGAGATTCAAGCACAAGTGATGTGTGTTATTGCTGGATTATGCCCAAAAAGAGAAGGTGCATGCCCCCTACTTCTCTTTTTCCCCTTTGTGCTGGCAGGAATGTAGATATGGTGGTAAAATACCATGACTTATGAAGCCACCAGATGAATCCAGCATGAAAAAGAAATAAACATCTATATTTTGTATATTTCAGGTCTCTATCACTGCATGGAAACCTGTAATAATTAATATACCCTTGAATAAAAACTCATTGTAGAATTTATAAAGTACATTCAAAGATAGTGAACATATTATTTTAGAGACAAGATCATATTATTCATATTGGAGAATAATAGAAAAGCAGGTTGTACAGATAGGTTGAGATAAGATCCATAAATATCTTAAAATCCAAATAAAAATGTGTGGATCTGATGTCGTCAAGAATCAGGAGCAACCAAAACTTCTTAAATAGCAGAGCAAAATGATAGAAATTATACACGAGGATGGGTAATTCTCCAGTGATATGTTATTCTTAGTATGTTTCCACATGAGAAGAAAGTTTGAAGTAAGAAATTTCAGAGGATCTTGAAATATAGAGATGTGAAGAGTCGTACATTCATTTCTTATAGAGATAATTATTTATCAATTGTATATAATTTGCTTATATTTAAATCACTTGCCCTCTGAGATTGTCCCAAGGTACCCTCTGGAAATGTGGTACAGTGTTTCCTCAGGGGAATAAACTATGCTAAATACCGATAGCTAAAATAGTTAGTTTGTGGGGGCAGCAATTATGTCTACTGTGCATACTACAAGTAACTATCATCATTGTTTACCTGTAGTAACTGCACTAGTTCTAGCACTTCTGGAACTAAATCAACATAGAAAGGAAGGTGATGTGGAAGGAATTCTTATCAATATTACTTAATATATTTTGAGGTAAATGTAGGAATTTGAAATACGTATATATTGTAAAAAGTTGAAAAATAAAACTGAATTTTGAATAAGAACAAAAGCCAGAGATGTTAAAGCAGATGTTAACTTCATGGGAACAACAATTTGAGAAAAATTTTAGGGATGCCAAACAGAACAAATTTTTTCAGAGGGGAGTGTGGAGGAATTAGCTTTCCATCCGTTCTGCCCCTCAATCCCCACCTTTCTGACACTACATCAAAAGAAGGTAAATGGCATCAAATGATCTCCCAGCATGCACCTAAATTAAGTCTTGGCACACCTCTGCCCTGAGAATTTTGCTTCTGAAGAAAACAGACAGATGGCAAGATTTAGTATATTGATGAATATGAATGGTTAAGGCCTATGTGAGTGTTAGAGTTGTGTCTACTAGCCCACCATCGCCTCACATTCCAACATCAGAGTGCATATCAAGGTTTGAACAATTTAAGAACTTTTCTATTTTGTATATGACTTTATAGGAAAAGTTTACATTTTGTTGGTTAGGAAAAACAATATAGATAAAATGAAAAACAATATTGCTTATGATTACTATTTCTTGTATGGCTATTAAATAATAACATGCTGTATAGCTGAAATTTATCTTTAACAACAAAAATACTATTGAATTTAATTGTTTAGTTGATGGCGATAACTTGATAACGACCACTAATATACGTTACCTCCTCTTAGATGAACAAAGACCAACAAGCACTTGCATAGAATACAAAATTTTCTTCAACATGTTATCTACTGAAAATGCTTTAGGCTCACTCTAGATAACACTTGGGAATTTAAAGTATCCTTTTGTTAAAAGTTAAAATACTTGCTTTATTTCACTGTAGAGATTTAAAAATGTTTTCCATTTAGTTACTCTATGTAGTAAGCTTTTATACATATTATTTACCTACATAGTAATGATCAACATGATAGACACATCACTTACATGCAATAAACATAGAGTACACATTATAGTGTTATAAATATTAAGTATTTTCACATATTACATGTCATATAAAGGCCTCAGAATATGATTAGCTTTAGATTCACATGACAATTTCATGTAGACAGACTGCATGAGTAAAAGAGTGATATTTAAAAAGGAAGTTTTATAATAATATTAGAAAGGCCAAAGGATTTTAGGCACAAAGTCATCAACACATTTTATCTAATTTTTTTTATATAATAATTATATTTTTACTTTGGAAATACTTCCTTCAGTAGCAATATATATATTTAAATAACTGATATTGTCAATAGCATAATAAACTGTAGACTCCTAAAAGTGTTATATAAACAATTATATATTTCAAACCCACTCAAATTTTAAAAATGAGAATACTGCTACTGAAAAAATACTTCCAAAGAAAAATATAATTATACATATTATATAAACAAATATATATATATATATATATATATATATAAAATTACAGGAAAGCTTTGGGTTTTGTTTTTAATATAAGGAGGATCTGCTGAATAGTTTTTAACCGTGTAGTGATATGACAGGATTTAATGTTTAGAAATGGCAGATGGAATAGCTGGGGACAAGAATGGACTGAGGGAAAGCAGATAACCGACTATGGTAGAAATTCAGAAGAGAGACAGTGATGTTTTGAGTCAGGCAGTGATAAGAATAAAATTCAAGGTATATTTTGGAAGTAAATTTTATAGGACAGCATGATGCATTGGATATGTAGTAGGAGGGGAAGAGCAGAATAAAAGATGGTCTGATGAGAAAATGCTGATGCCACTTACTGAAATATTCAAAGGTCACAGGGGATAGAAGATGGGAAGTGGTAGAGGGGAAATAAGTTATTACTTTTTTATGCATATTAAGTCTCAAATGCCTAGTTGTCCAACTGGAAGTGTTAAAATGGTAGACCTAAGAAGAACAATATAACTGGTTAATAAAAATGGAGCAAGAGATAGTAATTAATTAGGAGCAGTGATAGCTGATAGCTGCCCCTAAACCTATTTAATTTTGCTCAGAAAATATTATCAGTGAAGCTTTGACCTGAAAGTCCTATGAGACTATGAACATTTTACTTAGTTCTAAGCATGAAGAACAAAAAGCCTCAAGGCATTTCATATTTGTACTCTGCTTGTGAATGAAAATTGTCCTCAACTCTAGATGTATTGAATGAACAACATAGCATTCCCAAAGATGTGAAACACAATATAAATTGTGTAACCAGATAATAAGGTTGTGAACCAGGCTCCAAGAAATTGAATAAGTCTCCTGGGTCTTAGGGAAATGTTGATTAAATTAGCAAAGGAACATATAACTATATTTATTCTTTTTTTTTCTTTCTTTTGAGACATGGTCTCACTCTCCTCATCCAGGCTGGAGTTCAGTGGCACGATCACATCTCACCACAACTTCAACTTTCCAGACTCAGGTTATCCTCCCACTTCAGCCTCCTAAGGAGGTGGGACTACAAGCATGCACCACAATACCTGGCTAACATTTTTGTATTTTTATTCTCAAACTCATAGATTCAAGCAATCCGCCTGCCTTGGCTTTCCAAAGTGCTGGGATTACAGGCTTGAGCCACCGTACTGGGCCTAGTATATTTATTTATTGTTGTTATGGAAATCGTTGGTAAATCTTTAAAGCTATCTTTTAAAAAGTGTAGAGGTCAGTAAAAGACTGGCAAAACTATTATAGTGATTTATACCCGTAACGAAATATCAGAAGCTATAATTCTACATTTGTAAAATGTGAATAATGACAGAAATATTTTAAAAATCAAATAACAAACAATACCAAATACCCCCAATTCTCTCCCAATGCTTCCCAAAACTTTTTACAGGACCTAATCATAAAAATTAATCATAGAAATAGAGAGTTGATTTTCCATAATCTTTTGAAATTTAACATGTAATTAAAAGAATTTCAACATATTTAATTAATGATGTAATATAAAATAATTTCAATATTTAATTCATGTTTATATAGAGAGGAATTTTTTTAAATTACTGCTATCTTAGTAAATTCAATTAAACTAAAGGATATTTTGAACTCTAAAACTGTAAGTAGTTCCAAGTCAGAGCATTCTAAAGTAAGAAAGTATTTCTGATGCCGACTTGTATATTCTTTTTGTTGGTTTTCATGAGATGTTTCTCTTAAATTTAAAACAGTCAGGTTATGTATTTATAGCTTTTACAGGTAAATTTCAGCCTTCTACAGGATATGCTCTTCTATGAGGTTTACTGTTTTTCAGCACAAGTAGATTAAAAATGCTTAATGAGTCCATTACTAACAACAACAGAGAATCACACTCACAGTAAACAGTGTCTTAAGGTCAAAGTCAGAGGATAGCATAAAAATTTCAGAGATTTCTCTGTTCGCTTTAAAACTCTTACACTTTTTTTGTATTTTTTAGAAGTTTTAATAAAGATGGTATGTGAGTTACCTATGTGAGTTACTGAAGTAAACTTTTTTTTATGATTTGATATGACAGTCTTTCTTATGGTATAGCTGTAGTTGCGTGTTTACCATTTTTATGCCATTGTGACTCCATATATCTTTTATTTCATCACTCCCTTGGTGCTGCAGTTTATTTTTCAAGTTAAATAAAAACACTAGCAAAGAAACAAAGAACGTACCGTAATCTTCTGACCCTCATGCTGACAGTACCATATATTTTGAAGTAAATAAAGATACGGAATCAGGATTATGAAACAAGCATACACTTCAGAGAGACGTTTTATAAATTTATTGCTTGACTGTGTAGTGCAACTGCCATAGTTTTTGATGGACAAGGACATATATCTGGAAAATGAAACAAAGATAGTGGCTCACTGTAATTCAAAGATAATAACTACTAGAAGATACAATTGTTCAGCAAATGTGAGATTATTGGTTTCCTAGGGATTTATTAATTTGATGTATTTTAATCCTTGCCTGCCATAAAAGAAGAATATTGTCGCTCAGATGATGGGGTCTCACTCATTTTGTAAAGCGTTCTGATCATCTTTTTCATTTGTATCTGAAATTCATCTGGCAGTTGGAAACAGGCCCCTGCTGCACAGCAGTCACCTACAATGAATGTAAGAGCTCACGTCCAGGCTTCAAATGTCACCACATTGCCATCTTACTGTGAGTGACTGAAATTTACTTCACGTTGTTAGTGGTGCTGAAAATTGCCATGGGTTTCTACAGTTTATAATGTATTGTCTAAACTGAAAACATTTCCCAGATTGAATTGACCTTTTAGAAAACAGCACTTTCATCCTCAAATGCAGGACTGTTGCAATATTTTATTTAAAAAGGTTATTTAGTTATAAAACTTGGAAAAAGGGTAAGGAATTAGAACTTAGTATATCTCTCCATATAATGCTTTGCTGTCAAAAAACACAAAGCAAAGATCACTGATTACTTAACCATCCAAATGCCACATTGAAGAGTGTGCTGGCAAAAGCACATCTTGCTTGTTTCAATAGAAAAGAGCAATATATAGAGTGAATGTCTTTTTTATTCTGTATTTCTAATTAGTGTGCCATTTTGTTGTCAAAGGCAGAGTGGGACGTGTTCAAGTCTGTTGAGCCACCCTAAACAAAATACAAGTCTTAAAAGATCTATCCACAGAGCAGAGTACTTTCTCATCATCTTTGAAGACACACACGTGTGTGTGTGTGTGTGTGTGTGTGTTTGCACAGTAAAAGGTATAAATGAAAACGTTTAGGGAGAAATTTTGAGCATGTTTCAAAAACGATTTTACCAAGTGGAAAAATAAGTAATGGAACAAAAATTTTCCTAACCAAGTAATTTAAATGAACTTGACTATATGTAGTTGTAACACTAGTATGGTTCATGAGAATAGAAAAATAATTACAGCAAATTATCCTGAAGCGTAGAGCCAGCTTGGAAAAATACAGTCAAATTGATGTCTCTTATATTCTCTCTCATTTTTTTTTCTTTTTCTTTTTCCACTCTTTTGTCAGCCTTGGTAAGGGAATAAATAGGATGCTGTGAGTCAAATATTTTATATGACAACATTTCTAGATAAAACATTTAAATATTTTAAAGCACTAAATATTATAATTAAATTGTTTTCAAATGCCTTTTAATATTTAGAAGATACGTGAGAACGTCTTAGTCCTTTAGGTTTATTGTCATAAACATAGTAACTATAGAATCATCATGGTGCTAAATTCCATTGCATTTCATTAAACTTTCCATTTTATTTTTTCTTAAAGAAAGAAGATACCCATTCTGTCTCAGCTTTTGTACTGTGGTTTGGTGCTGCGCCCTAGTGTGTCATGGATATATGTGGTCACTGTTAGAATTGTGATTGTTGGCCAGGCGCGGTGGCTCACGCCTGTAATCCCAGCACTTTGAGAGGCCAAGGGGGGGCGGATCACGAGGTCAGCAGATCGAGACCATCCTGGCTAACAGGGTGAAACCCCGTCTCTACTAAAAATACAAAAAATTAGCCGGGCGTGGTGGCAGGCGCCTGTAGCCCAGCTACTGGGGAGGCTGAGGCAAGAGAATGGCTTGAACCCGGGAGGCGGAGCTTGCAGTGAGCCGGGATCATGCCACTGCACTCCAGCCTGGGCGACAGAGCCAGACTCCGTCTCAAAAAAAAAAAAAAAAAATTGTGATTGTTATCCCTTTAGAAGCAGGAGTGTAGCTCCCCATTTGCTCTTATTGCAGAAGCACAGGGAAAACATGGGACTTAAATAATGTAATAATGGTGTGCAATGTCATTAAATATTTTAAAAATACCTTATTAAAGATCAATATAATATTGATGGGTTAGGTAAATTAGAAAATAACTAATAAATAGTATGATGGGTATAATTCCAATTTATAGTTTCATTTTCTCTGATTTTTATCATTACTGTAGAGAGATCTGTTCTTTTTTCAAGTTACCATCTTTTTTTCTTTTCTGGCTTACCTTAAGATCTATTTTTTGTCTTTTTTATGTAGTGTGTTTCTCTAGGCTATCTCTGCATGAAGACTTGTTTCAATCATCCTGCTTGCAGTAATTTGTTTTCTGAATCTGATTATTTTTGTCAGATCTGAAACATTGTCCTCACTTTGTATTTCCTCTTCCCAATTCACTCATTAGCCTCTTTGTGATTCCTTTAGAAATGACAGACATTGGCGGTCTTTTCATTCAGTAATCCATGTCTTTAACTACTCTTTTGTGTCTTTTGCTGTTGTTTCTTTGCTGTATTCACGAAATTTCTTTTTTTCTTTTCTTTTTTTTGAGACGGAATCTCACTCTGTCGCCTAGGCTGTAGTGCAGTGGTGCAATCTCTGCTCACTGCAGCAGTCCTAGCAGGAGAGAGCCAGAACCTGTCTCCCGGGTTCAAGGGATTCTCCTGCCTCAGCCTCCTGAGTAGCTGGGATTACAGGTGCACACCACCATGCCCAGCTAATTTTTGTATTTTTAGTAGAGACAGGGTTTCACCATGTTGGTCAGGCTGGTCTCAAACTCCTGACCTCGTGATTGGCCCGCCTCAGCCTCCCAAAGTGCTGGGATTACAGGCGTGAGCCCCCCTGCCCAGCCAATTCACGCAATTTCTTAAGATCTAGCTTCCATTGTGATTTCTCTCTAGAGCTTTTAAAATTATTGACTGCATTTTAGGTTCAATAATTATATTTTAAAACGTAAATGTTAGTTAGGTGCAGTGGCTCATGCCTGTAATCCCAGCACTTTGAGAAGCTGAGGTTGGAGGATCCTTTGAGGCCAGGAGTTGAAAACCAGCCTGGGCAATGCAGTGAGACCACAGTGGTGACATGCGCCTATAGTCCCAGCTACTTGGGAGGCTGAGGCAGGCAGCCCAGGAGTGTGTGCTCAGAAGCTCCAGGCTGCAGTGAGCTATGATTGCACCATTGCACTCAGCCTGGGCAACAACAGAGTGAGACTCTGTTTCTTATAATAATAATAATGAATAAAATTAAATAGTAAAATTCCTAGTCTATTCTTATTCAAATATTTCTGACTAGTTTTTATTTCAACTTATGAATCTTCTCATGTGAAAGATATTATAAACACAAAGGTGTACATGGAACAAAATAAATTTTAATCCCTACTTCACACTACATACCAAAACTAATTCCAAATAGATTGCAGATATAAATATGAAACAGAAAAGAATACATCTTTTACAAGAAAACAAGAGGATATCTAATAATTTTGTGTTAGGCAAATATTTATTGAACAGGACACAACTTTAATATTAAAAGTTAAATAATTTGATGACATTAAAATTAGAACACCTATTTATAAAATGCCATAGAATGAGAGATTCTATAATGAACTAACGGAAATCAATAAAAAAAGATGGCAGCACAGTAGAAAAGACTTTAAGAAGCATTTCACTGAAGAAGATAACCAAATAATCTTTCAACATGTACTCAACATTGTCACTAATCAGGAAAATATGCATGTACATATTTTTAAAATAAATATTTCACTTCTAGGTATAACTGAGTACTCTATGGCAACCCAATGTTCCCACTGAAAATAGGTAGAAAAACAAAATAATCATAAAAGTCACATTTTTGAAGACATAAGAAAGTTATATAAAAATAGAAGATGATGGATTAAAATTCCAGTGCAGATTGAAACTTGCAGAATTGAGCTGAAAATTTGCTCCTGGCTTTTCACAGAAGAAATCTACCAATTTCTGCAGGCTGGAGGCTAAAGGTCTGGGTGTGTCTCAAGCACAAGGCAAAACTGGAACAAAGAAAAACCAGGAGTGGTTTAGATAGTTACTCAATAGCCAGTCTGCTCCACAAGACATTTGGAAATAACTGGAGCTGCTCTGGGCAGAATGCTAAAGAGTCAAGTTTAAGAAAAGGCTAAAAGAAGGGTGGAAATGTTTAGAGTGCCTGGGCTAAGGAAATGCCAGTTCTCTTTTGTAAACTATGAAAAGCTGAGCCCTAGCAGGAGAGACCCAGAAGTCAACTAAGTCTTATCAAAGCTTAAATTCATCCTTAAGCTGCTTCCTGATTGAATTACTCATCCTGACTGGAATCAGGGGAACAGTCCCTCATTCTACCTACTTAATAAAGAAAAAGGTGGATCTTCCCAAGGAAGGTAGTATCACCAGAGTCTTTATGATCATTTTAATCACAATATCTATCATTTATTTTAAAATGTAATAGATATTTAATTTTATGGGGTCATGTAACCAATAATCAAGAGAAAGAAAAGTCAAAAATAGAAAAAAGATACACAGGTAAACTCAAAATATTACAAGTAGCAGAAAAAGACTCCAAAATATCTGTGATTAATATGTCCAAAAAATAAACAAATGCATAAAGAACGTTAATGAAAAGACCATTTCAACAAAGACATAACATCTTTAAAAAATAAAACATACATATATGTACTGCACTCTAATTTACGAAATAGAATATTGCTAGTACATAAGAATCTTATGTTTCTCTCTCAGCTTGCCTAACCCTCCTTTCATAGATATAATAATTTATCGGCGAGGCGCGGTGGCTCACGCCTGTAATCCCAGCACTTGGGGAGGCCGAGATGGGCGGATCACGAGGTCAGGAGATCGAGACCATCCTGGCTAACACGGGGAAACCCCGTCTCTACTAAAAATACAAAAAAAAAAAAAATTAGCCAGGTGTGGTAGCGGGCACCTGTAGTCCCAGTTACTTGGGAGGCTGAGGCAGGAGAATGGCATGAACCCGGGAGGCAGAGCTTGCAGTGAGCTGAGATCGCGCCACTGCACTCCAGCCTGGGCGACAGAGTGAGACTCTGTCTCAAAAAAAAAAAAAAAAAAAAAGATATAACCATTCATCATGTCCTATATTAATTATTACCTCCTTCTTACCTCTTTCATATTCACTATTAAACAATACAATATTTAACTATAGCTCATTTTTGAACTATACATAAAGATAATTATATGTAATTTTTTCTCTAACTAGCTTCCATTATTCAAAATTCTGATTTTTAAATCAGCTTTGTTGAGGTATACTGTTGTCATTTATTAATTTTCTTTGCTGAATGGTATCCATTGAATTAAGACATCACAATTTAGCTATATATATTCTTTGTGATAACTATTTGGGTTATTTCCAATATTTATTTATGTAAATTATGCTGCTATTAATATTTTTGTATGTACCTCCTGGGGCATTTTACAAGTTTCTCTAGGGTATATATTAGAAAGCAGAGTTGTGGATCAATGCAACTATGCAACTTTTCTGATACATCCCAAAATGTCTTTCAAAGTGATTATACTAGTTTATACTCTGCATAGCAGTGGATGAAAGGTCAGATTGCCTAGCATGCTCACCAACTAAAAACTGCCCAACTTCGGTTATTTTTCTTGGTATGATGAGTTTAAAATAATATTTTATTATGGCTTAATATTTATTTTATGATTACTAGTGAGGTGGGAAAGATTGCTTCAAAATTTGATATTTTGTATATTGATTTCTTCAACAATATTCTAGTAAATATCTTTTACCTACCTTTTCCATTTGCTTTCATCTTTGAGCTTTGTAATATTCTTACAGCTTTTTGTGATGTTTTGCCGAAAAGATAGTTTTTTTATTTTTAATTAATTAGTTTTTTACAATTCTTAAACTTTTATCTCCCCCTGGTCCCAGCATCATTTTATCTCTTGTTATAAACATGCGATATCCAAAGATTTGGGAACAAAATTTACATATATGTGTGGGTCAATTTCAGATTATTTGGCCCATTTGTCCATAATTTCACTAATACCAATATATAATAATAACTTCACATTTATGTTAAATATTTATGTCTGGAAAGCCATGCCTTCTTCTTATTCTACTTTTTTAGATGACTCATTTTTTTCTAGCTCTAAAATGTACAGGTTTCAAAAATCCTTTTTGAATTATAAAAATTATTATTATGTACATGGATATTTATCTCATAAAGATTTTGGTCTCAAAAGGCTAATTTTTTGGATTTTAATAAAATCACAACAGATTTTCATTATTGCATTCTATCCTTTAACTCCTTTTATATTTTGTATTATTTATAAGCAAATAAAACTGAATTGACTCATTTATGATTTCTGCTGTCCTATAAAAAGCACAATGTATCCTAAGTTTCAATATATCTTTACGATTATCCATAAGGTTTTACATTTCATTTGAAGTTATATCTCCTAACTAATTGTTGCCGATGTTTATAAATGCAATTCAATTGACTTTGGTATATGGTTTTTTAAAATCCAGTGGCCTTACTACTCCTTGTTATTAATTTATTTTATTTATATTTTGACCTTTTTTTGGCATATTTTATGAATACAATTACATCATCTGCAAAAGTTGTATTTGAGTTTCTTTCCAAATATTTAAGCCACTTCGTAACTTTAAGGACTCTAATGCTAAAATAAGATGCAGAAACACTGAAGACCTCTAAATGTGATAAGTTGGTTATTCGGATGATTGATGAAAGGGCAAACAGTAGATGGTATTTAACATTTCAGTTGTTCATATAAAACAGAAAGACTTAAATTCTCCCTTACCATAATGAACTAAATAAAACAATATTTATAAAAGTTTTAATAAATGATGTTTTAAGTAAAACATAATTGATAGTATTTATTTTTTCATCAAGATAAATCTCAGAATCCTAGATTATAGTATAATATTCGATTTCTGCAAGAAACATAGCATAGTAAACAATGTTTAAATACCAGATGTAAATCAAGGAAGATTCCTAACAGAAGTGAAAGATGTGTCTAAGAATATAAAATACAGTTTCTAATAATCAATAAAAATAAGACAATAATCTAATATGACAAAAATTGATAAAAATATGAAGATTCAATTTTAAAAATAATTGTACAAGTGTCATGTATAGTATAAAGTCATACAAATTCACTAGTAAATACATAATTAGAATTTTAAATAAAATATGATTATCAGACTAGCAAATATTAAAATTATTGATAAAACTAGTTTTAGAGGGGATGTAGGAAATATGATGTCATATAAAATTGGTTACAGTGTACATTGTTGCAATTTTTGAGGTCATAATACAATATCTACCTACATTTAATTGGGCATATCATTTGAGGCAGCTTTTCCACTTCTTGACATCTCTCCTACAGAAATATCCACATGCACAAAAAATTGCATGTACAAATGGGTTTGTTGCAGCATTAAATGATTAAATAGTATCATTATGCTATTTAATACCATGTAACCATTATAAAATCAGCAGGTAGATTTATGATATTTACATAAAATATCCCTACAGTATTCTACCAAAATATACATCAAGATATATTTTACATTCATACAGTGAAATGCTACTACACAATAAAGAGGAATGAATTATTGATGTTCTCCACAACATGAATGAATTTTAAAATCAGTAGCTGAGTGAAAGAAGCCAGACAAAAAGAGCACATACTATATGATTCATTTATATAAATGTCTAGAAATGTTAATTAATCTGTAATAAAAGAAGGTACATCAATTATTCTCTGGGGAAGGTAGTGGAGGGAGAGGAGATTTATGAAGGGTAAAGGAAATTTTTGCCGCTGATGGAAATGTTCACTATCTTGATTGTGGTATGTACATATGTTAAGACTGATTAAATTGTACTCTAAGTGTGTGAGGTTGGCACTCTTTATACTTCAATAAGATTAGAAATCAAAAAAACCTTAAGAAGCAAAACACTTTAGGATGTTTAGATTTAGGTATTTTCCTGGCCTAAATTCCAAGAGAGGAATCTTTGTCACTTAGGTACAATCTACTAAGGTATCTACTCTATTTAGAAAACAATATCATGGACCATCTGTAGCCTGCAGTTAACTAAAATTACAGTTTATGATGGAAATAGCCAACATGATCTGATGAAATGCATATCATTGGATCTTGGTGGTAGAAGCGTATTTATTCACATATATAACTTAGCCACATAGAAGGGTTATTATATTTCATTGTAGGGGGGAATGAATGGGGTCTTAACTGATCACAACTAACTAAGAGCTGGAAGAGGTGATGTTAGCAGTCCCATTATCAGATTGGGTAAGTATGGTAAAACTGTAAAATAGCTCTATAAGTCCCTTCAAATAAATAGTTGAAGTTAACTATTACTTGATGAGGCTTCTAAATTTTCTAAATTCACTTACTAACTGTAGATCAAGCCTTTCCAAGATTATTATTCAAACTTTTGTGGCTTCCAAACTTTTTAAAGCAATAGACCCTTTAATCAAGCAAAATCTCACTCAAAACACCAACCTCAATCATCACACTTGTTGTAAATAAAAGCAGAATATTTTAACCATATATTTATTGTATAAGATTACATTTTTAATCCTTGAAATGAGTAAGAATAATATAACTAAAGAATAATAACCACAAGATTTGCAATATATGGTTTGTGGATGATTGTTGCTGATATTTCAGCCTCAGCATCTATTTCTGTATCTTGTTTGGATGGCAGAGTTTTTAGAAATTCAAGTTTCATACAGTTAAGCAGTTTCAAATAGTATTTTTATTAGTTCTCATTGAAAGCAGAGTATACTCTCCAATTAAACTGGTCAAGAAGCTTCAGATGATGCTGACAAATGTTTGCCTCTAAGGTGAAGCACTAATGTCCAACAACTGAATTCACTGCTTACCAAAAATTTAGGCAAGAAGCACCAAATATTTAAAGTACGTGTTAAAATTATCTAGTATAAAATTATCACAACTCAATGTGTTGTGAATTTACTTGCAATTGAACACATTTTACTCCTTGACAACCACACGTAAAGTGCACATAACTGAGACTAACCTGATATTTCACAATGGTGGGTATGCAAAAAACAAAATCAAAATAAGAAAAAAAAGTCATACAGAGTGACAAACTCAAATAACCAGTGAAACAATATAAGAAGTTCGGGTATACTAATCCAGATAGCAGAAAAGCTGTGGTAGGCAGAATTCTAAGATGACTTCCAGTGATCCATGACTTTGTATAATCCCCTCTCCTTTGAGTATGGGAAGAGCTTTTAAATTAATTTTGATGAATGGAATATGGCAAAGGTGATGAGCTATAACTGTCATGATTATGTTAAATTGTGTGGCAAAGGTAAAGGTATTTTGCAGATGTAATTAAGGCTCTTGATTAGTTGACTTTAAGTTAATCAAAAGGACGACTATCCTTGGTGAGCCTAACTTAATCAGGTGAAGCCATTAAAAGAACGTCCAAGGATTAAAGAAAGAAATCACACACTATCCTGAAGGTCTTTAAAAAAGCCACTACGAGTTCCACAGCTGCAAGGAACGAATTCTGCTAACAATCACCAGAGCTTTTAAGGACCCTAAGTATCAGGTAAGACTCAAACCACCATCAGCACCAAGGATCAAAGGACCTAGATGAAAACAGCTAAGATGTGTGTAGGCTTCTTGACCCACAGACCTTGTGTGATAATAGATAAGTGTTGCTTTAAGCCACTAAATTTGTGGTAATTTGTTATCTAACAATAGAAAAAAAAATTCAAGATATAGGCTAATTTCAAAAAGTATTTTATTTTTGTAAAACAAATAGTACATGTTTATGTATATCCATATAAATATAATAATGTAATATATTGATAGGAGTGAAGAACAAAACCTCAAATTTATAGAATGAGGAATTATGCTATTAGAAGTTAGTAATCTTATTTATTTTGTAATAATATGGGAATAAGACTTTTTGGAAAATGGTAGCCAATGACAATTATGCTATACTTAATTCACAATAATGAAGACTGTGCCTTAAAACAGAGTTTCAATACACATAATATTTGATTATGGCTTACTGTGTCAGCATTCCTGTAAATTCTCTCCCTTTCCTTTTTCTCTCTTTCTCTTTCACACACACACACACACACACACACACACATTTAACCGTCATACAAGAAATTGTAAGATAGTTCTTATCATCACAATCTTCATTTTTAAATCGCAAAGTTGAGTCACAGATACTTAGGAAAATTGCCTAAGCTCACAGAATATAAGATAGCATAGGTAGGATTTGAAGATGAGCAGTCTGGCTCCAAAATAAAATGAATCCTCATGATTAATAAAATACTATTTTACCTTCCAAATAAACATTTAAAATGTTGAAGAAATTGAAAATTAATTGGATTCCAACATGTTTATTAACAAGGTGGTAGAAGTGAGTAAAATTATTTTAGTTTAAAATTACATGTAACTCTAAGGAGACTGACTTTCTTAACTCCCTTTTAAATTCACATTAAATGCAAAAGACAATTGGTGTTCTTGCCCAGTGTTGCCTCTCTGATTCTAGGCATGTGAAACAAAACTAAAGACTTGGCTGCAAAGGAAAAAGAACACATTACAGATCTATTGTTGTTGTAACACCTGTTCTATCCCTAATTTTAGGGGTGAAATATAATAACATTATTGAAAAAGGTGGTATGTCTTTCAAAAACATTTGTTTTCCAAAGAGTAGCTCTCTTCATGTTTTTCAACAGAATTTACTTTTCACTGAAAGCTGCAAAGGAAAGCATTAAAACCACATGTGATGCTCCAGTAAAATGCTATTTTTTAACCTGTTCTCTACATTTAGAAGTTGTTCGAAACTGAACCACATGATAAATCAAATCTTATAGTACTGAATACAGAAAGAGAGATTAATATAATATCTTCTATTTTCCCTATTCTTTTCTATTTCAGTGCTTATATTCTGTCTGGCCACATTTGTGAATACAATTGAAGGAAATTCTGTATACAATTTTCACATGATAGGTTTTAAAAAGATTTCATGATATGATAGGTTTTGAAAAGTCTTCTTTCTTGATTGTCTACATTATTCCTTCTAGGCTTATTCATGACTTTTCTTGTATTATTATTTTGCCTCTAATACTTGTCTGCTTAAAAAAATTTAAAGTGTGAGTCTTCTCAAATTGTTTCGTAAATGAATGAAATCCCACAGTGAGAAATACAGTCAGGTGCCAAATAACAATGTTTTGGTCAACAATGGAAGAATTTGGTCAACAACAGACCACATATACAAATGGCAGTTGTTAAGATCATAACACTATGTTTTTACTGTATCGTCTATGTTTAGATTTGTTTAGATATACAAACACTTACCATGTGTTAGAATAGCCTACAGTATTCAGTAAAGTAACATGCTCAAAGGTTTACAGTCTAGGAGCAATAAACTATACCATGTAGCCTACGTATGTAGAAGGCTATACCACCTAGGTTTGTTTAAGTACACACTATGATGTTTTCACAATGAAATTGCCTAACAACACATTTCTCAGAACTTATCCCTGTTGTTAATCAATGCACGACTGTAATTAAAGACAAAACAACACTTTAGGAAAAACAAGGCACATCAGAGAACACAATTAATTAACTATTTCATGCCATTAGTTACCTTGTAATTGTTGAAGTGTTTCAAATAAGATAATCATCTACTCATTTTTGCTTTAGGCACTAGAAAACCAGACAAGCCTTAGTAATTGAAAGGAAAACAAATTGAGGAAAATGAAGTATATTAGTAAAAAATAATAGAGTGTGTTAAAAATTAGGGAGAAAACTTTTTTTAATACACCCCCCCACCCACACACACACACACAAATTTAAAGTGATAGTTTAGAATTACATTTGGGCCAGGCGCAGTGGCTCACACTTGTAATCCCAGCACTTTGGGAGGCTGAGGCAGGCAGGTGGATCACTTGAGGTCAGGAGTTCGAGACCAGCCTGGTCAACTTGGCAAAACCCTGTCTCTACTAAAAATACAAAAATTATTTGGGCATGGTGGCACATGCCTGTAATCCCAGCTACTCGGGAGGCTGAGGCAGGAGAATCGCTTGAACCCGGGAGGCGGAGGTTGCAGTGAGCTGAGATCATGCTACTGCACTCCAGCTTGGGTAACAGAGCCAGACTCCATCTCAAAAAATAAATAAATAAATAAATAAATAAAAATAAAATAAAATAAAGAGGAATTACATTTGACATTCCTTTTATTTCAGAAGATGCTATTATATGCTACATTGTTTAGTTGTCTATATGCAGAAATCTATTTATATGCCTTTTAAATACATGTTTGCTATGCCCACTGTTTTGAATTTTGATGCTTTATAAATACAGGTAATGTCTCCCTCAACACTTTTAAAACTTTCTAAGGGAAGGGAGACCATTCTGTGCCTCTACAGTTGTTCCCAGTATCCTACCGTACACTTTGCATAATGAGAAGCTTAATCCTTGAGTGAGAAGCAGTTGTTTATTTACTTGCTTAACCTTATCCACTGCATTTATTTGACCTTTTATAGACTCAAAATCTCATAATTGGCCTAACCCTTTTATGTTTTATTAAATTTCAATTATTGATACACAGTTTCATAAGTGGAGGGTTAAAAAACCTTCATGTTAAACCAGCATAATGCATGAACACTTCAATCCTCCCACTCCATGCTCTCAGGCATCTAGAGAAACACTTCTAATCTAAGCTTCTCTAGCAATGCTGAAGTCCAAAACTAGGAAGATATGCTTATCCAGACTGTAACTCTCCATGAATTTATTTCAAGACAGTAGAATTTTTACTGCTGCAGACAAAAAGACACTCATCATAGTTTAAAAGAAGTTCTCATTTAGCTTTCTTAAAAGAAAACCTTTAGACAAATTAAATTCAGCAGAGTTTATCTGAGCAAAGAACAATTCATGAATGAAGCAGCATCCTGAACCAGGACAGCTCCATCCAGCAAGAGTGGGCAGGTAGTATTAATAGAGAGAAATAGGAAATGACATACAGAAGCAGTATGATTGATTACAGCTCAGCATTTGCCTTTTATGAGCATGGTCTGATCAATTAGCAACCTATGATTGGCTGAAGTCTGACTCCTGTGATTGGCTGTAACTTCACTGTTTACAAACAAACTTTTAGTTAGGTTGCAGTTTGTTTATATACGAAGCTAGGTTGAAGTATACTATGTAGGAGTTCAAAGAATAAAGGCAGCTGTAGGCTACATTTAATTTAATTTTATAGTGTGAAGAACATGTTTATATTACTAATTGACAAAATAATTTTTATCAAAACATATCATTTTACTTTTAAAACTTTTAGTTGATAAATTGTATATATATAAAATTAAAAAAATTGTTACATTTTTTATTTTTCTGAAATGTTTAATTTTTAATTTTTATGGGTATACAGAACATGTTTATATTTATGAGGCACATGAGATATTTTGACACAGGCATACAATGTGCAATAATCATATCCGGGTAATTGGGGTATCCATCACCTCAAGCATTTATCCTTCCTTTGTGTTACAAACAATTCAATTATACTGTTTTCGTTATTTAAAAAGTACAATAAATTATTGTTCACTGTAGTCACTCTGTTGTGCTATCAAGAACTAGATCTTATTCATTTTTTAAACTCTATTTTTGTACACATTAACCATTCCATCTCTGCCCTCCATCCCCTCACCCCGTTGGCCACCCTTCCCAGGCTCTGGTGGCCATTCTTCCTCTCTGTCTCAATGAGTTTAACTGTTTCAATTTTTAGCTCCCAAAAATAAGTGAGAAAATGCAAAATTTGTCTTTCTGTGACTGGCTTATTTCACTTACCATAATGACTTCCATCTCCATCCATGTTGTTGCAAATGACAGGATCTCATTCTTTTATTTATAGCTAAATAGTGCTTTACTGTGCATATGTACCACATTTTCTTTATCCATTCATCTGTTAATGGCACGGGTTGCTTCCAAGTCTTAATTATTGTGAACAGTGCTGCAATAAACATGCGAGGGTATATATTTTTTCAATATACTGATTTTCTTTCCTGTGAGTACATATCTAGCAGTGGGATTGCTGGATCATATGGTTGCTCTATTTTTAGTTTTTTAAGGAACCTCCAAACTGTTCTCCGTAGTGGTTGTACTAATTTACACTCCCACCAATAGTGTCTGACGGTTCTCTACATCTTCACTAGCATTCCTTATTGCCTGTCTTTTGCACAAAAGCCATTTTTGCTAGCGTGAGATGATATCGCATTATATATTTGATTTGCATTTCTCTGATGATCAGTAATATTGAGCATGTTTTTGTATACCTGTTTTCCATTTCTACATTTTTTTGAGAAATGTCCATACAGATCTTTTGCCCATTTTAATTAGATTATTAGATTTTTTCCCGATAGAGTTGTTTGAGCTCCTTATATATTCTGTTTATAATCCCTTGTAAGATGGTGAGCTTGTAAATATTTCCTCTGATTCAAGGGGTTGTCTCTTCACTTGGTTGTTTCCTTTGCTGTGGATAAGTTTTTTAATTTAATGTGGCTCTTTTGTCCATTCTTGCTTTGGTTGCCTGTGTTTGCTGGACATTACTCAAGAAATCTTTGCTTAGTTTATTGTACTGGAGATTTTTCCCAATATTTTCTTTCAGTAGTTTATCATTTGAGGTTCTACATTTAAGTCTTTTATCCATTTTGATTTGATTTTTGTGTATGGCAAGAGATAGGGGTCTAGTTTCATTTTTCTGCATACAGATATCCAGTTATCCCAGCACCATCAATTGAAGACACTATCTTTTCCCTATGTATGTTCTTGACACTTTTGTCAAAAATGTGTTCACTGTAGATGTATGGAGTTAGTTTCTGGTTCGTCTGTTCTGTTCTATTGGTCAGCGTGTCTATTTTTTATGCCAACATGATGCTGTTTTGGTTACTATAGCTGTGTAGCATAATTTGAAGTCAAGTAACGTGATGCTTCCAGTTTTGTTCTTTATGCTCAGGATAGCTTTGGCTATTCTGGGTCTATTGCGGTTTAATATAAGTTTTAGTATTTTTTTTCTATTTCTCTGAATAATGTCATTGGTATGTTGATAGAAATTACATTGAATCTGTAGATTGCCTTAGGCAGTATGGACATTTTAACAATATTGATTCTTCTAAACCACGAACGTGAAATAACTTTCAAATTTTTTGTGTCCTCTTCAACTTTTTAAATCAATGTTTTATAGTTTTTTATTGTAGATGTCTTTCACTTATTTAAATAAATTAATCCCTAGGTATTTTATTTTATTTTCAGCTATTTAAACGGGAAACTTTCTTGATTTCTTTCTCAGATTGTTTGCTGTTGGCATGTAGAAATGCTACTGACCTTTGAATGTTGATTTTGTATGCTGCAACTTTACTGAACTTGTTTATCAGTTTTAATAGTTTTTTGGTGAAGTCTTTAGACTTGTCCAAACATCAGAGTGCATCACCCACAAACAAGGATAATTTGACTTCTTCCTTTCCTTGGATGCCTGTTATTTCTTTCTCTTTTCTGATTGATCTAGCTAGGATTTATGGTACTATACTGAATAACAGTGGTGAAAGTGGGCATCCTTGACATATTTCATATATTAAAGGAAAGACTTTCAGATTTTTTTTCTTTCAGTATAACACTAACTGTGAGTCTGTTATAAATTGCTTTCATTGTATTGAGATATGTTCCTTCTATACCCAGCTATTTGAGGATTTCTATCATGAAGAGATGTTGAATTTTCTCAAATGCTTTTTACACATCAGTTGAAATGATTATATGGCTTTTGTCCTGCATTCTGTTGATATGATGTATTGAGAGGTGACAGCATGCTGGCAGTCCTCACAGCCCTCGCTCACTCTCGGCGCCTCCTCTGCCTGGGCTCCCACTTTGGCGGCACTTGAGGAGCCCTTCAGCCCACCACGGCACTGTGGGAGCCCCTTTCTGGGCTGACCAAGGCCGGAGCCCGCTCCCTCAGCTTGCAGGGAGGCGTGGAGGGAGAGGTGCCAGCGGGAATTGGGGCTGCGCAGGGCGCTTGCAGGCCAGCTGGAGTTCCGGGTGGGCGTGGGCTTGGCGGGCCCTGCACTCAGAGCAGCCAGCCTGCCCTGCTGGCCCTGGGCAATGAGGGGCTTAGCACCCGGGCCAGCGGCTGTGGAGGGTGTACTGGGTCCCCCAGCAGTGCCAGCCCACTGGTGCTGTGCTCAATTCCTCTCCTGGCCTTAGCTGCCTTCCCGTGGGGCAGGGCTCGGGACCTGCAGCCCGCCATGCCTGAGCCTCTCACCCCCTCCCCGGGCTCCTGTGCAGCTGGAGCCTCCTCGAGGAGCGCCACCCCCTGCTCCATGGTGCCCAGTCCCATCAACCACCCAAGGGCTGAGGAGTGCGGGTGCACGGCGCAGGACTGGCAGGCAGCTCCATCTGCAGCCCCGGTGCGGGATCCACTGGGTGAAGCCAGCTGGGCTCCTGAGTCTGGTGGGGACGTGGAAAATCTTTATGTCTAGCTCAGGGATTGTAAATACACAAATCGGCACTCTGTATCTAGCTCAAGGTTTGTAAACACACCAATCAGCACCCTGTATCTAGCTCAAGGTTTGTAAACACACCAATCAGCACCCTGTGTCTAGCTCAGGGTTTGTGAATGCACCAATTGACACTCTGTATCTAGCTACTCTGGCGGGGCCTTGGAGAACCTTTATGTCTAGCCCAGGGATTGTAAATACAACAGTTGGTACTCTGTATCTAGCTCAAGGTTTGTAAACACACCAATCAGCATCGTGTCTAGCTCAGGGATTGTAAATACACCAATCAGCACCCTGTGTCTAGCTCAGGGTTTGTGAATGCACCAATCAACACTCTGTATCTAGGTACTCTGATGGGGCCTTGGAGAACCTTTGGGTCTACACTCTGTATCTAGCTAATCTGGTGGGGCCTTGGAGAACCTTTGTGTCTAGCTCAGGGATTGTAAACGAATCAATCAGCGCCCTGTCAAAACAGACCACTCGGCTCTACCAATCAGCAGGATGTGGGTGGGGCCAGATAAGAGAATAAAAGCAGGCTGTCCAAGCCAGCAGTGTCAACCCGCTCGGGTCCCCTTCCACACTGTGCAAACTTTGTTCTTTTCTCTTTGCAATAAATCTTGCTGCTGCTCACTCTTTGGGTCCACACTGCCTTTATGAGCTGTAACACTCACCACGAAGGTCTGCAGCTTCACTCCCGAAGCCAGCAAGATCATGAGCCCACCAGGAGGAGCAAACAACTTCAGATGCGCCACCTTAAGAGCTGTAACACTCACTGCAAAGGTCTGCAGCTTCACTCCTGAGCCAGCGAGACCACGAACCCACCAGAAGGAAGAAACTCCGAACACATCTGAACATCAGAAGGAGCAAACTCTGGACACGCCACCTTTAAGAACTGTAACACTCACCTCGAGGGTCCGCAGCTTCATTCTTGAAGTCAGTGAGACCAAGAACCCACCAATTCCAGACACAACATCACACTGATTGGTTTGTATATGCGGAACTTTCCTTGCATCCCTGAGATAAATACCACTTGGTCATGATGAATGATCTTTTTAATGTGATATTGAATTCAGTTTGCTAATATTTGTTGAGGATTTTTCATCAATATTCATCAGGAATACTGGCCTGTAGTTTTATTTTTTTGATGTGTCTTCGTATGGTTTTGGTATCAGGGTAATACTACCCTTGTAGAATTAGTTTGGAAGTATTCTGTCCTCTATTTTTCAGAATAGTTCGAGTAAGATCAGTATTAGTTCTTTAAATCTTAGGTAAAATTCTGCAGTAAAGCCATTGGGTCTCGGACTTTTCTTTGATGCAAGGCTTTTTATTCCAACTTCAATCTTGTTACTTGTTATTGGTCTGTTCAGGTTTTGGATTTCTTCAAGGCTTAATCTGGGTAGGTTGTGTGTGTCTATAAATTTATTCATTTTCCTCAGTTTTTCCAATTTATTGGCATATAGTTGCTCTTAGTAGCCTCTAATGATCCTTTGAATTTCTGTGGTATCAGTTGTAATGTTTCCTTTTTAATCTCAGATTTTTAAAATTTTGAGTCTTCTCCCTTTTTTCTTTTAGTTAGTCTGGCTAAAGGTTTATTGATTTTATCTTTTCAAAAAACAAACTTTTCATTTTAATAATTTTTTGTATTGTTTTCTTTATTTCAATTCCATTTATTTCTTCTCTGATCTTTATTATTTCTTTTCCTCTAATAATTTTGGATTTGATTTGGTCTTGCTTTTCTAATTCTAGAAGATGCTTCTTTAGGTTATTTGTTTGAAGTTTTTCCTCTTTTTTGATGTAGATCCTTATAGCTATAACACTGTTGTCTTAGTATTGCTTTTGCTCTATAGGTTTTGGCATGTTGTGTTTCTATTATCATTTGTTTCAAAAATATTCCAATTTCATTCTTAATTTATTCATTGATCCACTGGTAATTCAGTAGCATGTTGTTTAATTTCCATGTGTTCATATAGTTTCCAAAATGCCTCTTCTTATTGATTTCTAGTTTTATTCCATTGTAGTCAGAGAAGATACTTGATATAACTTCAATTTTTTTAATTTTTAAAGACTTGTTTTGTGGCCTACATTATATGGTTTATCCTTGGGAATGATCCATGTGCTGAGGAGAAGAATGTGTATTCTGTACCCACCAGATGAAATGTTCTGTAAATATCTATTAGGTCCATTTGATCTATAGTGCGGATTAAGTCTGATTTTTCTTTGTTGATTTTCTGTATGACTGCCCAATGCTGAAAGTAGGGTGTTGAAGTTCTCAGCTAAACTTATTTTTCTTTTCTTCTCTAATAATATTTGCTTTCTATATCTGGGTGCCTGGTTTTTGGTGCATATATTTTTAAAATTGTTATATCCTCCTGCTGATTCAACCTCTTTATCATTATATAATGGCATTTTTGACTCTTTCTATTGTTTTTCTTTTAAAATATGTTGTTTCTGAAATAAGTATAGCAACTCCTGCACTTTTTTCCCTTTATTTTCAGTCTGTGTGTTTGTTTACAGGTGAAGTGTGTTTCTTGTAGGGAACAGATTTTTTATTTTTGTAATGTAATACATTCAGCCACTCTGTGTTTTTTGATTGAAGAGTTCTGTCCATTTACATTCAATGTTATTACTGATAAAAAAACAACTTCGTCCTGTCATTTTGTGGCTTTCCACTTATTTTGTGGTCTTTTCTTCCTTTTTTCTTTTTTTCCTGTCTTACTTTTAGTGAAGGTGATTTACTCTGATGGTATGATTTATTTCCTTGCTTTCTATTTTAGGTATATCTTTTTTTTTTTTCTGATTTGAGATTACCATGAGGCTTGCAAATAATCTTTTTTTTCTGTACATAATTTTTTTATTATACTTTAAATTCTGGGATATATGTGAAAAATGTGCAGGTTTGTTACATAGGTATACATGTGCCATGGTGGCTTGCTGCACCCATCAACCCGTCATCTACATTAGGTATTTCTCCTAATTCTATCCCTGCCCTTTCCCCTACGCCCAACAGACCCCGGTGTGTGATGTTCCCATCCCTGTGTCCATGTGTTCTTATTGTTTAACTCTCACTTATGAGTGAAAACATGCAGTGTTTGATTTTCTGTTCCTGTGTTAGTTGGCTGAAGATGATGGTTTCCAGCTTTCATCCATGTCCCTGCAAAGAACATGAACTCATTCTTTTTTATAACTGCATAGTATTCCATGGTATATATGTGCCATATTTTCTTTATGTGGTCTATCATTGATGGGGAATTGGGTTGGTTCCAAGTCTTTGCTATTGCAAATAGTGCTGCAATAAACATACATGTGCATGTGTCTTTATAGCAGAATGACTTATAACCCTTTGGGTATATACCCAGTAATGGGATTGTTGGGTAAAATGGTATTTCTGGTTCCAGATTCTTGAGGAATCACCACACTGTTTTCCACAATGGTTGAACTAATTTACACTCCTACCAACAGAGTAAAAGTGTGCCTATTTCTCCACATCTTCTCCAGCATCTGTTGTTTCCTGACTTTTTAATGATCTCCATTTTTAACTGGCGTGAGATGGTATCTCATTGTGGTTTTGATTTGCATTTCTGTAATGACCAGTGATGATGAGCTTTTTTTCATATGTTTGTTAGCCACATAAATGTCTTCTTTTGAGAAGCCTCTGTTCATATCCTTTGTCCACTTTTTGATGGGGTTGTTTTTTTCTTGTAAATTTTTTAAGTTCCTTGTAGATTCTGGATATTAGCCCTTTGTCATATGGATAGATTGCAGAACTTTTCTCCCATTCTGTAGGTTGCCTGTACACTCTGATGATAGTTTTGTTTGCTGAGCAGAAGCTCTTTAGTTTAATTAGATCCCATTTGTCCATTTTGGTCTTTGTTGCAATGGCTTTTGGTGTTTGAGTCATTAAGTCTTTCCTCATGCCTATGTTTTGAATGTTATTGCCTATATTTTCTTCTAGGGTTTTTACGGCTTTAGGTCTCACATTTAAGTCTTTAATCCATCTTGAGTTAATTTTTGTACAAGGTGTAAGGAAGGGGTCCAGTTCCAGTTTTCTGTATATGGCTAGACAGTTTTCCCAACACCATTTATTAAACAGGGACTCCTTTCCCCATTGCTTGTTTTTGTCAGGTTTGTCAAAGATGAGATGGTTGTAGATGTGTGGCCTTATTTCTGAGACTTCTATTCTGTTCCATTGGTTTATATATCTGTTTTGGTACCAGTACCATGCTGTTTTGGTTACTGTAGCCTTGTAGTATAGTTTGAAGTCAGGTGGCGTGAAACCTCCAGCTTTGTTCTTTTCGCTTAGGATTGTCTTGGCTATATGGCTCTTTTTTGGTTCCATTTGAAACTTAATTGTAGTTTTTTCTAATTCTGTAAAGAAAGTCAATGGTAGTTTGATGGGAATAGCATTGAATCTATAAATTACTTTGGGCAGTATGGCCATTTTCATGATATTGTTTCTTCCTATCCATTAGTATGGAATGTTTTTTCATTTCTTTGTGTCCTCTCTTATTTCTTGAGGAGTGGTTTGTAGTTCTTGAAGAGTTCCTTCACGTCCCTAGTAAGTTGTATTCCTAGGTATTTTATTCTCTTTGTAGCAGTTGTGAATGGGAGTTCATTCAGGATTTGGCTCTCTGTTTGTCTATTATTGGTGTATAGGAATGCTTGTGATTTCTGCACATTGATTTTGTATCCTGAGACTTTGCTGAAGTTGCCTATCAGCTTAAGGAGTTTTTGGGCTGAGATGATGTGGTTTTCTAAATATACAATCATGTCATCTGCAAACAGAGACAATTTGACTCCCTCTCTTCCTATTTGAATACCCTTTATTTTTTTCTTTTGCCTGATTGCCCTGGCCAGAACTTCCAATACTATGTTGAAGAGGAGTGGTAAGAGAGGGCATCCTTCTCTTGTGCCAGTTTTCAAAGGGAATGCTTCCAGCTTTTGCCCATTCAGTATGATTTGGCTATGGGTTTTTCATGAATAGCTCTTATTATTTTGAGATATGTTCCATCAGTACCTAGTTTATTGAGTGTGTTTTAGCATGAAGTGGTGTTGAATTTTATCAAAGGCCTTTTCTGCATCTATTGAGATAATCATGTGTTTTTTGCCATTGGTTCTGTGTATGTGATGGATTACATAATTATTGATTTGTGTATGTTGAACCAGCCTTGCATCCCAGCAATGAAGTTGACTTGGTTGTTGTGGATAAGCTTTTTGATGTGCTGCTGGATTTGGTTTGCCAGTATTTTATTGAGGATTTTTACATCGATGTTCATCAGGGATACTGACCTGAAATTTTCTTTTTTTGTTGTGTCTCTGGAAGGGTTTGGTATCAGGATGATGCTGGCCTCATAAAATGAGATAAGGAGGAGTCCCTCCTTTTCTATTGTTTGGAATAGTTTCAGAAGGAATGGTATCAGCTCCTCTTTGTGCCTCTGGTAGAATTCGGCTATGAATCCATCTGGTGTGGGCTTTTTTTGGTTGGTAGGCTATTATTTACTGCCTCAATTTCAGAAGTTGTTATTAGTCTATTCAGGGATTTGACTTCTTCCTGGTTTAGTCTTGGGAGGGTTTATGTGTCCAGGAATTTATCCACTTCTTCTAGATTTTATAGTTTATTTGCATAGAGGTGTTTATAGTATTCTCTGATGGTAGTTTGTATTACTGTGGGACCAGTGGTGTTATCGCCTTTACCATATTTCATTGTGTCCATTTGATTCTTCTCTCTTTTCTTCTTTATTAGTCTGGCTAGCAGTCTACCTATTTTGTTAATTTTTCCAAAAAATCAGCTCCTGGGGTCACTGATTTTTTGAAGGGTTTTTCATGTCTCTATCTCCTTCACTTCTGCTCTGATCTTAGTTATCTCTTGTCTCCTGTGAGCTTTTTATTTTGTTTGCTCTTACTTCTCTAGTTCTCTTAATTGTGATGTTAGGGTGTCTATTTTAGATCTTTCCCACTTTCTGATGTGGGCACTTAGTGCTATAAATTTCCCTCTAAACACTGCTTTAGCTGTGTCCCAGAGATTCTGGTACATTATGTCTTTGTTCTCATTAGTTTCAAACAATTTTGTTACATCTGCCTTAATTTCATTATTTACCCCATAGTCATTTAGGGGCAGGTTGTTCAGTTTCCATCTACTTGTGTGGTTTTGAGTGAATTTCTTAATCCTGAGTTCTAATTTGATTGCACTGTGGTCCGAGAGACTGTTTGTTATGGTTTCTGTTCTCTTGTGCTTGCTGAGGAGTGTTTTACTTCCAATTATGTGGTCAATTTTAGAATAAGTGCTATGTGGTGCTCAGAAGGATGTATATTCTGTTGATTTTGGGTGGAGAGTTCTGTAGATCTATTAGGTCTGCTTGTTCCAGAGCTATTGATACTTGTATATGGTTCACGAAGTTCTTGTGCTGTGTTTTTTAGCTCCATCAGGTCATTTATGTTCTTCTCTAAGCTGGTTATTCTAATTAGCAGTAACCTTTTAACAAGATTCTTAGCTTCCTTGCACTGGGTTAGAAAATTCTCCTTTAGCTCAGAGGAGTTTGTTATTACCTATCTTCTGAAGCCTACTTCTGTCAATTTGTCAAAGTCATTCACTGTCCAGTTTCATTTCCTTTCTAGCAAGGAGTTGTGATTTTTTGGAGGAGAAGAAGCATTCTGGTTTTTGGAATATTCAGCATTTTTCTGCTGGTTTTTCCTCATCTTCATGGATTTAACTACCTGTGATCTTTGATGCTGATGAGCTTTGGATGGGGTTTTTGCGAGGGTGTCCTTTTTGTTGATGTTGATGTTATTGCTTTCTGTCTGTTACTTTTCCTTTTAACAGTCAGAGCCCTCTTCTCCAGGTCTGCTGGAGTTTGCTGGAGATCCACTCCAGACCCTTTTTTCCTGGGTATCACCAGCAGAGGCTGCAGATCCAAAGATTGCTGCCTGCTTCTTCCTCTGGAAGCTTTGTCCCAGAGGGGCATCCACCAGATGCCAGCCAGAGCTCTCCTGTATGAGGTGTCTGTCGACCCCTGCTGGGAGGTGTCGACTTCTATAGATAGAAGTTTTATCTATAAGCTCCTGACTTGGGCTGCTGCCTTTCTTTCATAGATGCACTGCCCAGAGAGGAGGAATCTAAAGAGGCAGTCTGGCTACAGTGGCTTTGCTGCAGCTGTGGTGGTTCCACCCAGTGTCAACTTCCTGGCAGCTTTGTTTACACTGTGAGGGTAAATCCGCCTACTGGAGCCTCAGTAATGGGCGATCCCTCTCCCCACACCAAGCCTGAGTGTCCCAGATTGACTTCAGACTGCTGTGCTGGCAGCAAGAATTTCAAGTTCTGCTTCTGCTAGCCTCATGTGGGCTGCACCCACTTTCTAACCAGTCTCAATGAGATGAACTGAGTACCTCAGTTGGAAATGCAGAAATCATCCTCCTGCATTGGTCTTGCTAGGAGCTGCACAACAGAGCTGTTCCTATTCAGCCATCTTGCCAGATCCACCACAAGTAATCATACAACCTATTATTTTGAAATGATGACAACTTAAGACTAATTGCATAAACAAACAAGCAAAAAGAAAACTAATAAAAACTTACACTTAAACTTTGTTCCCATTTTTAAACTTTTTGTTGTTTGTATTTATATCTTCTTATACGGTTTATGTCTAGAAAAGTTGTTGTTGTTGTTATTATTTTTGATCAGTTCATCTTTTTGTCTTTCCTCTTAATATATAAGTAGTTTATACACAATTACAATGTTATAATAATCTGTGTTTTTCTGTGTCCTTAGTATTACCAGTGAGTTTTGTACCTTGGGATGATTTCTTATTGCTCATTAATGTGATTTTTCTTTCAGATTGGGGAATTAACACCCTTTAGCATTTTTTGTAGGATAGGTCTGATGTTGATGAAGTCTCTCAGCTTTTGTTTGTCTGGGAAATTCTTTATTTCTCCTTCATGTTTGAAGGATCTTTTTGCTGGATATACTATTCTACAGTGTATTAGCCCATTTTCATGCTGCTAATAAAGACATAGCTGAGACTGGGCAATTTACAAAAGAACGAGATTACGAGATTTAATGGACTTAAAAGTTCCACGTGGTTGGGGAAGCCTCACAATCATGGTGGAAGATCCCCTTCATTCTTTTAAATTATTTTAATCTCTTTGCTAAATTTATCTGATACGATTTTGAATTCCTTCTGTCATGTTAAATTTTGTTGAATTTCCACAAACTAACTATTTTAAATTTTCTGTCTGAAAAGTCACATGTATCTATCTCTCTAGGATTAGTCCCTAATGACTTATTTAGGTTTTTTTGTGTGTGTGTGTGAGTTTCTGTTTTTCTGGATGGTGTTGATGCTTATGAATGTTTGTCAGTGTCTGGGTATTGAAATGTTAGGTATCTATTATAATCCTTGCAGTCTTAGGTTGTTTGTACCCATTCTTTTTGGGAAGCCTTTCCAGCTATTCAAAGGAACTTGGGTGTTGTCAACTAAGCTTTTGGTCACTGAACCTCTGTCTGCATTAAGGAGTACCCCAAACCCTGTAACACTGGCTCTTGCAAATTCATCGAGGTACAAGCTTGGCAGTCTTGGATAAGATCCAGAAGAATTCTCTCCATTATCAATCAGACTCTTGTTCTCTTCCTTTTCTTTCTCCCAGACAAATGGAGTCTCACTCTCTGTGTTGAGCTTCCTGGAGCTGGCAGAAGGGTGACACAAGTACCTCTGTGACCACCACCAGTAGGACTGTGCTGAGTCAGACATGACACCAGCATGGTACTGGGTCTTGCCCAAGGCCCACGGTAACCACTGCCCACCTACCACCTATGATTACTCATGGTTCTACGGCTCTACAATGAGCAAATAGCAAAGCCAGCTAGACTTTTGTCCTTCTCTTCAGGACAGCAAGTTCCCGCTGTCCCTGAGTGGGTTCAGATATGTTGTCCAGGAGCCTGCGCCTGAAGTCAGAAACCTTAAGAATCTATCTGTGCTCTATTCTGTGGCTAAGTTGGCACCCAAACCATAAGACAAAGTCTTGCCCATTCTTTCTTCCTCTTTCCACAAGTAGAGTCTCTCTCTGAGGCCACAACTACCTTTGGCCCATGGTGAACACTGCCTAGCTATGGCTGATATTCATTCAAGGCCCAAGGGGCTTTTAAATCAGCTTGTGGTGAATGCTGTGAGGCCTGGGACTCTCTCTTTAGGCAGTGGTCTTCCCTCTGGCCGAGGTAGGTCCAGAAATGCTGTCCAAGAGCCAAGGCCTGGAATCAGGGACCCCAAGGGCCAGCTGGTCAATCATGGTGATTGACTTGGTACCTAAGCTCCAAGACAAAGTCTCCTTTACTCTTCCTTCACCTTTTCTCAAACTGAAGAAATCTCTCTCTGTAGCCACCGAGCTGAAAATGTGCTGGATCACACCTGAAGCCACCACATCTCTGACTTTCACCCAAGGCTCACAGTGAGTACTGCCTGGGTATTGCTGGTGATTATTCAAAGCCCAAGGGCTCTTTAGTTATGAGATGATAAATCCTGCCAGGACTGGGTCCTTCCCTTCAAGGCAGTGACTTCCCTTCTGGCCCAGGATGTGTCTACAGATGTCATCAAGGAGCTAGGGCATAGAATGGAGGATTCAGAACTTCTGTGTGGTACCCTATCCTACTGTGGCTGAGCTGATATCCAAGTCACAAGACAAAATCCTCTTTTCTCTCAAGTGAAGAGATGGAGTTTTGCCTGGAGCTGCAAGCTGTGGTTCTTGATGTTGGGTGAGGGGTAAGGCAAGTACTCCCTTGGCTGCTCCAGCTGGTGTCTCACTCGGTCATATGCCCCCAATTCCACTTCAAGCCCGGCACAGCACCAGGATGTGCCCAGGGATTGCAGTCCTTCTGGCTTAGACTGCCTTTCAAGTTTATTTAGAACCCCACAGCACTTTAGCCTGTGGTGGTAGCAGGGCTTGCCAGAACTCAGATTTTGACTGCTGGAGTGGGTGATTCCCCTCTGGTGAGGGCTGGTATAAATGCTCCTTGCATGCATACAGGCTGAATTCTGCCCTCTGTTAGTTTCCACTGTGACAGAACAGCACTGAGTTCCAATGTCAAGTCTTACAATCACTGCATTCTCCTTCACCAAGTACACAGATTCTCTCTCCACACCATGGGGCCAGGGCCACTGCCAGGAGATGGGGAAAAGGTGGCATTGGCAATTTTAGGCTGCCTTTACTAATGTCTTCAATGCCTCTTTCTGTGATATGAAGATAAAACCAGGTATTGTGATTGCTCACCTGATTTTTGATTCTTGTGAAGATGCATTTTTGTGTGGCAGTTGTTAAATTTTATGGTTCTGCTGGAAGAATGATTGGTGAATGCTTCTATTTACCCATCTTGCTCTGCCTCATGATCCCTTACTTATAATTTTAGTTTAAAAATAAGTTTCAAAATTAAAAGAAATAACATTGAATAATTTCAAAGTTAGAAAAATACAAAAAAAATTTCCTTTTTCCATTTTTATTTTTGTCTCCTTTTAAATTAGGAGTATAAATCTTAAAGAGAGGAGGGTAGATGAATATTATTCTATCTTTCTAGAAGCAGATACAAAATTCTGAACCATAATACTTAAAAGAAAAGCTATATTAGGCCGGGCGCCGTGGCTCACGCCTGTAATCCCAGCACTTTGGGAGGCCGAGGTGAGTGGATTACCTGAGGTCAGGAGTTCAAGATCAGACTGGCCAACATGATGAAACCCCGTCTCTACTAAAAATACAAAGATTAGCTAGGCATGGTGGTGCACGCCTATAATCTCAGCTACTCGGAAGGCTGAGGCAGGAGAATCACTTGAACCCGGGAGGTGGAGGTTGCAGTGAGCTGAGATCGCATCACTGCACTCCAGTTTGGGCGACAGAGCAAGATTCCGTCTCAAAAAAAAAAAAAAAAGAAAAGAAAAGCTATATTATAAAAAGTTTCTGTTGGACATAACAAAGTATCATTTAGTATCCTAAATTACAATGATAAATGTGAGAAATTTCCATTTCATACAAGAGACAAGCAAAGATGGGCCACTCAGTTATCTTTTATTCTTCCAATTTTATCCTGAGACACACTGGTACTTTATTTATATATTTATTTAGTTTGCTTTTTTCCAAAAATGAAAGGCATCAGTATGAATAAGAATAAAAACAGCAGTCAATGAGTTTTATTATAAGAGAGAAGAATTATTCCTATTTTCTACAGGTTTCAAAAAAGTTAGTTAATATTTATAAAGCAATAGTTTAATGAATTACAAATAGTAAGATATCAGAAAACTAAATGAAAAAGACTTTATGTGACTAGGATAAATAAGTTCAAGATGAAGCATCATCATAGATCAGATAAACAAGCCCAAAGTTCATTATTCAAAGAGACTTACAAGCTTGCCTTCAACTCAAAAAAAAAAACAAAACAAAACAAACAAACAAAAAAAAACAAAAAAAAACAGAAAGAAAAGGTGTTTCAAGATTCCAGTTACTTTCTGGCTTATGTCCCAGCCAGTCACTTCCCAGTGTAACACTAGCAAAACTGCTTCTTGCTAATCTTACTTCTGTCAAATTAAATACCTTCTATCTTTTCTTCCTGATTCAAAGATCATTAAGACATTTGCATTAGATTTTGAAATAACTAACTGAGTTATGGTTCTTACATTGCACAAAACTCTTACTTTCCTCTTACTGGACTTGCAAGCACAAGTGATTTTAAGGAAAAACATATCACTACTTACAATATTTTTGCAGACTAACATTATTAAAATATGTTATTATTTTACTACATGAACAAAAATTTCATCCTTCTCCCCTTGTTCTATATAGCTTTGAATACGATTTCTTATTTTATCTGTGCTCTTATATCTGTGCTCTAGAGTGAATCTTGAATTTCTCATTTTCTCCTTAATTTATGTCTGTTAGTCTCTTGTTCTAGTTTTTCACTCCTTCCAAGCTGCAGGAAGCCTGACAGTGAATTATTTAGTGTTTATGTGGCTGAATCTCAAGTCTTAGAGTTTCAGGCAGCAGACAAGTATTAAAGTGCCAAGCATAGATGTATAGCAATTGATGAGCAAATAGTACTATTATAAAAATATACAATTTAAAAAGCAAGATAATATTTGAACTTAAAATGATTTGTCCTTGGTCTGCCTAAACCATGCATTGGCATTTTCCATGTCATTTATCTAATGTTTATTTGCAACTTGGTAGAATCTTCATTATTGAAATGTAGGGTATTTTTACAATTATTAGATGTAGAGTTTTATGAAAACATATTACTTTGATTTTAGATTTTTATCTAGCTTGTTTGGTACACAGTATTAATTTGTATAAGATAAGTAACATTTAAAAATATCAAAGCTAAAATATGTTTATATGCTATAATTAATTGAATTTTTTCAACTCACTTATATTTTCATAATTGGTTTACCAGGATATTACACCTTCATACTTCACAAAATCTTCTAAGACTAAATGAAATGGAGATTGTATTTCATCTCTTCATCTTATTTCAACATCCTCTACAAGCCTATTTCCCAGCCTGTGGAATAAGCAAGATAAGATGACAGTTCCCTCTGGAGTGTATCAAAACATGCCATAGCAATAAAAACCATGATAGCAGATATTAAAGTTTCTGACCCCAGTTGTGGATTCTCAGCTTCTTAGCCACTGGAGAATGGCCTTGAGCCTGGCCTCACTATCTCTCTTTCTCTAGTCAGTGTACATGGTGTTTCACAAACACTATGAAACTAAGAAATCTTTTTTTCAGAATTGAGTTCTAGGGATGATTTAAATCTTTTAACCCAATGGCAAATTCCTCCAACCTGCAGGGTTAATCAACCATTCAGTCAATCAACTTTTGAAGACCTGAAGGAAAATGTTACAGAGGTCTACCTAAGACACATGGGGGGTCACATTAAAGGGATAAAAATGTGTTGTTACTTAAAAGATGTTACAACTGAATTATGGAAATAAATGATACATGTAATTGGAATAGATATGACCAAATTAAAAATAAACTGACTGTTGACATAGCCCTTTATTTTCTACTGTGTTTAAGACACTATGTTAGACATAAAGATGAATTAGGCAAAGAGACTTCCCTCACAGATCCTTGCACTAGAAATAAGAAAGGTTAATGCATACATAGAGTAGAATAGAATATAGTAAATGATAAGTGCTGTTAAGAAAGATATGAATCAACATCAATAGAAGATCACAAGAGAAAGTGATTCTTTTCATGAAGTAAAATCAAGAAAGACTTCCTAGAGAGAGTAGGATTTGAACAAGTCTTGAAGAACAGATATAATTTAGTTATGGAAACTGAATTAAAAAAAAGACCATCCACAAATAGAAAAAAATGTGGCATGAATAAATTTTAAAAATGACTTGTACACTAAAGAATTTTATATTAATTCTGTAGAATATAATTTTCAAAACTATTTTCTGGAACATCAGTACCTGTTGAGATGTAAATGGATATTCCATTAGAAATAAAGATTCTTTAGAAGAATAAAATTTGTGAAAGAATGAGTATCCTATAAATCAAGAGATCCATAGGGTTAGTACTCATGAAGTAGAGACTGTTATTACAATTATGAATATTACTACTACGACTACTACCAACACCACCATTGCTATTTCTAAATAGAAACTAAAGCCATTGGAATGTAAGGATGAGACGTTATGGGCTTAAGAGTGAGCAAGTAGCCTGAATGGCGCTCTGCCTTGTAAATGTAATCAGCTATGTTTTTGAATGAGAACAGAAGAGACAGGGTGACTTTGCTAAAACAGAGGCCAGATTTTGTCGCTTTTCTAATTATTACTTTGCACTGGTTTCTTGTCTCACTTACAGAAAAAGCCATGATTCTCATTCTGGTCTTTTAAGGCCTTCTGTCTAGTCTCTACTATCTCTCCATCATTATCGCCTGTCTCTCTCTCTAAAATACTGCTTTAGCCACACTACTCTATTACTACCAAACTTTAGTATAACTACACAACCCATTATGACTTTTTTATAACTTTCAATCCCCTTAACTTGTTAAATTTTTATTTATCAAACTTATCACCCTCTCATATCCAAATATTTTTCCCTCTGTCACTAATAGTCAAATGACTCCTCTATTATAAGACTGCTGGAACAAATTAATTTATGTATTTCCAGTGCCTATAACAGTGCCAGGCATTTAATAGTTACTCAAATAGGTACAGCAAGAACTCAATGAAGAGAAAATTAAAGGTGTGGAATCATTTAAAAGTGTTTTGCTATAGCAAGTGTAAAAGGAAATAGGACTTTAACTTAGGTGAGAATAGAGAAGACATTAAAGAGTAATATTTAAACAAAATCATTGTTTTAGGCATGCATTATAAGGGAAAGGGGTGGGCTGTGAAGGCAGATGGTCTCTTTTCAAATCCTAGACTCCCAGCATAGTTGTGTGGCCTTATGCACAATACTTTATCTCCCTAAACTTCAATTTTCTCCCCTATAGAACAGAGGAAATGCTCCCTTTTTAGATTGCTACAGTTTATACAGAAAATCAATGTATAAGGTATGGCCTAGGTGCAAATAGGAATCATTACAATGTCATTGACTGGAAAATATTTTTATTGGGGTTGGATGTTTTATTTGTGTTGTCTTTACAGTAGATTTTAAGTGTAAAAAATGCACAAAGTTCATGACTTTTATATTTTCCATAGTTCTTAGTATGTCCCATTATTCTTATTACTAACAATACTGAAAACAAAATAATAATAAAGCTCCCCCCATTTCTTGAATATACATGACCTCACAGTAATATTAACTATGCAATATACTGAATACGTTTTATATATTAGAAAGCAAGCTCATAGTATTAACCTAACTTGTACATAGGAACACCACATATAAATGAAAATCCTGGGATTAAAATTGAAATATTTTTGGAATTCAGATGTTATCTCATGCTCTTTTCATACACCTACTATAGCTCTTTAATTGATAGATTTTTTTTGCTAGTTAAGGGTTATCATTGTCTCTGTCTTTTAAGTTTTCAAAGGTTCAGCTTCCCTTTGCTTATCATATCTTACAAACATACTTAAATTGGCGATTCAAGTTACCTCTTTCTTCACAGACTTCCAGTGACTTCTTACTACATGCTAATCCAAAAATAAATGTTAGATTGTGACCTTTAAATGTTTACTCCAAATTGTCATTTCTACCTATTATTTACCATCTAAGTTTATGACCCTTTGAGCATAGCTCCACAAATACATGTGCAATGCAGAAATTGTGGCTCCAAAAGTGTGGCACAGTCTTAAATAAATGAGTGTAGATGAACATAATTTGGATTATTTTTTCAAATTCCCACCTTATTAGCTTAATAGACTTTTATAAGCAAGGAACTCCAAGCATAAGAATTTTTAAAAGCTCAAAATAAGAATGAAATTTTTTAAATAGAATTTATTAAGGCTCCTTCAGTGACTTGAATATATTCCTCGCTTTACACCTCATGTTTGGAGGTGTAAAAAAGTAAAGTTTTTCAAAATATTCTACTCTGTATCCTCAGTGCCTAGCTTAATGTCTATGGGGCAGCAGCATGATTATAAATCCTGTCCTTTATACTTGGTAAGAAAAAAAAGACATGGAGAAAGAGAATCAACAAAGCACTCATCTCAGAGTTAAAAGCTAAAAAATGAGATAGAGTCTAGAAAATATATTGTATATGTATTTTCAAAAAGAAGAGGCAATTGTTTACTAGATAGAAGCTGGAAAGAAACAGCATGAGTGAAATGAGTATAAGATTGAGATGGCTATTTCATAGAGGACAGAAAATAAATTAATGTGACTGGAAAGTAATAAACATATAGATGTGATTAATTTAAATACTTATGTTGGTAATAGGTACAACTTTTCTGCTATTCTTTTTCCTAGTTTGAACATAGCATTATGGGATTTGAGGCTCAATGAGTCTCTATTTTAAGTATTTTCAAGCTTATGGATTTTAAATAAATTTACTATACAATGTATTAATTCCTATCACAATGAAAGGTACAGCCATCTACTAACTACCCTGTTACACAAATGTGCCCTGATCTTACTGGCCTTTATATCTTTTTACATGTTTTGTTAGTCTGTACGGCCCTCACTTGCCTGGACTCTTACTACAAAATGTAGTAAAGGCCTCACATCTTTAGTAAACTTCCCCTGACCTTTACTAACCTTGTGTTAAAAATATATCCCTTGTGCACTCATAGCATCATATTATTTATTCCCACCACCCCAATCATACTTTTCAATCACAACCACATCACAATTGCCAGTTTACTTACTTGTCTTAGTCATTTTTCTTCAAGATAACCTACTTAAGGCAAAGACATTATTTAAGTTCTAATCACTTATTGTACTGCTGGATAAATATTAATTTCAATTGCAGATGACAGTTTTGAGGAGAACTCAGTATCCATAGTTGAAAAAGCAAACCTTTTTCTATAAGTTAAAGGCAACAGGAACCTTGCAAAAGGCAAATAGGAGGAAATTAGTCCCACTAAGTTCAATAGAAATGTGAGATAGTCAATTAACACCTTCTCTCTGATGTTGCCATCTGCTCTGAAAAAGAAGTATGAAATTTATATAGATGGTGTCGGCACACAAGGGAATCTCCTGGTCTATGGATTGCAAAAACCATGGGAGAAGCATAGTATCTGAGCTGGATAGCACAGTCCCTCACGATTTCTCTTGGCTGGGGGAGGGAGGTTCCTGGCATGGTACTGGTACCAAAACAGATATGTAGACCAATGGAAAAGAACAGAGGCCTCAGAAATAACACCACACATCTACAACCATCTGATCTTGGACAAACCTGACAAAAACAAGCAATGAAGAAAGGATTCCATATTTAATCAGTGGTGCTGGAAAAACAGGCTAGCCATGTGCAGAAAACAGAAACTGGACCCCTTCCTCATACCTTATACAAAATTAACTCAAGATGGATTAAAGACTTAAACCTAAAACCTAAAACCATAAAAACCATAGAAGAAAACCTAGGCAATAGCATTCAGGACATAGGCATGGGCAAAGATTTCATGACAAAAACACCAAAAGCAATTGCAACAGAGATCAAAATTGACAAATGGGATCTAACTAAACTAAAGAGCTTCTGCTCAGCAAAAGAAACTATCATCAGAATGAACAGGCAACCTACAGAATGGGAGAAAAGTTTTGCAATCTATCCATCTGACAAAGGTCTAATATCCAGAATCTATAAGGAACTTAAACAAATTTACAAGAAAAAAAACAACCCCATCAAAAAGTGGGCAAAGGATATGAACAGACACTTCTCAAAAGAAGACATTTATGTGGCCAAAAAACATGAAAAAAAGCTCATCATCACTAGTCATTAGAGAAATGCAAATCAAAACCACAATTTGAAATCATCTCATGCCAGTTAGAATGGTGATCATTAAAAAGTCTGGAAACAACAGATGCTGGTGAGGATGTGAAGAAATAGAAACACTTTTACACTGTTGGTGGGAGTGTAAATTCATTCAACCATTGTGGAAGACAGTGTGGCAATTCCTCCAGGTTCTAGAACCAGAAATACCATTTGACCCAGGAATCCCATTACTGGGTATATACCCAAAGGATTATAAATCATTCTACTATAAAGACACATGCACATGTATGTTTATTGCAGCACTATTTACAATAGCAAAGACTTGGAACTAACCCAAATGCCCATCAATGATAGGTTGCATAAAGAAAATGTGGCATATATACACCATGGAATACTATGCAGCCATAAAAAAAGAATGAGTTCATGTCCTTTGCAGGGACATGGATGAAGCTGGAAACCATCATCTTCAGCCAACTAACACAGGAACAGAAAACCAAGCACTGCACGTTCTCACTCATAAGTGAGAGTTAAACAATGAGAACACATGGACACAGGGAGGGGAAATCACACACTGGGGCCTGTCGTGGGGTGGGGTGCAAGGGGAGGGAGAGTATTAGGACAAATAATGCACGCAGGGCTTAAAACCTAGATGACGGGTTAATGGGTGCAGCAAACCACCATGGCACATGTATACCTATGTAACAAATCTGCACATTCAGTACATGTATGCCAGAACTTAAAGTAAAAAAAAAAAGTCTTTTTTTAGTTATATAAGAAATAAAATGCTCAAACAACAATAACGTTGTAATTTGAATTCTTGATTTATACCTAAGTTTAACAGTTTTCAAGTAGGTATATATGCTTCTTTGCTTATAACATAAAGTATATATTTGTTTTAACTTATTCAGTGTTTATTGGGAAATATTATATGGATTGATTCTGAGAGCATTTGCCTTCAGGTGAATGATTCTTCTATATTACAAAATGAGCCAGAGCTTCTTTGTCAAAAACTCTATGAAAATAAGATATTCAGATTATTTGAGATATGTACAAGGCATTGTTGTCATTAACTTAGTGGCTATTTCTTAATGTTTTCTCTCTGATCAGCTTTAGTTCCCTCTTCAATGGAATTGTCATAACATGTTACAACATATGGATGTTGAATTAACTTTGTCTCATTATGGCATTTAATTTGATATCTATAAGTTAAATAAGCTTTTATTTATCTTATCAGGTTTATCAAAGACAAAAAACTATAATAAAGAGCCTCCCTGCTGCCAAGCTCACCTTCAAGGAAATATCATGGATTATTACTGCCTTGGTTAAAGTCAATTACAGGAGCAGCAGTGTTATATGCAAGAAAGTGCCAAGCTCTAATAAAGGCAGTTTCTAAGTATGATAATTATAAAATCACATGAAAACATTTATTGGGTTCACAGCAAATCCTTTATGAAATTGAAGATGCTGGAGCTGAAATACAGCCAGATTTGGTAACAGCATGCGAACAACCTTCAGAGTCAAAAAATCATTCAAAAATGTCTAATCCCATAACTGCATCAAAGCTGGCAGGTGCTCACTAAAAAGAACATTAATTTGGGAGATTTAAAGGGGATTTTAAAGATAACCTTCTGTGACCAGTATGCTAAGAACAGAATGTCTCCAGATAAAAGTACTCAATATTTTACAATCAATAGCAAAGATGAAGAGAGAGTATTTTTTTTTTTTTTTTTTTTTTTTGAGACGGAGTCTCGCTCTGTCGCCCAGGCTGGAGTGCAGTGGCGGGATCTCGGCTCACTGCAAGCTCCGCCTCCCGGGTTCACGCCATTCTCCTGCCTCAGCCTCCCAAGTAGCTGGGACTACAGGCGCCCGCCACTACGCCCGGCTAATTTTTTGTATTTTTAGTAGAGACGGGGTTTCACCGTTTTAGCCGGGATGGTCTCGATCTCCTGACCTCGTGATCCGCCCACCTCGGCCTCCCAAAGTGCTGGGATTACAGGCGTGAGCCACAGCGCCCGGCCAAGAGAGAGTATTTTTAACCCCAGGGTGATTATACAGTTTCATTACGGGTCTGTGTTTACATGGATGGAGTGGAATCTGGGCAAGAATATAAAAGTAAGACCAGAATTGCTTCCATTCTTATACAATAAAAATTGCAACAATCAGAACAATGGACCATAATCTGAAGGTGTTTGATGTATAACAGCAGGAGCATGGTCCTGCAGAATACTTATGATCACCTAGATAAGGACTTTGAAGGGCAATAGTGGTGAAATCCTTTGCTCTTGCTTCCCAAGTTTCCCAGCAGTGCAATGACCTGCATTCTCTCTTAACAAACTTTGCAGTGCTATGCAAGCCAACTTAACAATTTTTTGTAAAGTCTCCAACACTTACCTGTGTCTTCTAGTGAGTTCTGAATCACTATATTAATAAACTAAAATTCAACAAGGGAAGGGCTTTAGAGAAAAGCAGAAAATGTACTGGATCAGAATAAATGACCAAAATGTGATGCATATATTTGATCTCACTAAGAAATGTCAAAAGTGACATTCATCTGATTTAAACTTACTAGAGTTTGTGGATCAAAGGGGTAAATGATTTTCTAAAAAACTGTATTATCCCTTAATGTTTATCCTTGGTTATATGAGCTTGAAAACACCGGATTAAAAATGTCGCATAAGAAACCTGCAAAAGAAAGAACTCGGGAAACAATATCGCATTAATTAGTGATCCAAGGGAAAAGAAGCTAAGAGTTTAGAAACTGTCTCTTGATGCTTTTTCTAAATGTGGACAAAATACTCTTCCATCAGAATGACTTTAGAAAGAGCGTGATAAGAAAATCACACAAATTGACAGGAAAGTTATATCCGTGTCCTTAGTACTTCCTAATCTTCAGTGCTTCCTTGAAGTAGACAAAGATGGGTAAGTGCATGCAAAAAGTTTGCATGTTATTTCATCAGGCTAACTTGGATTCACTCCTGTGATATATAATCAACTATATGTAAGGTCTTCTTTCTACCTAAGCTTCACTCTCTTCCTTTTGAGCCTACAAAGCTTCTCAGTTTCTTCAACTAAGTCTTTACGAAATTTTTCAATTCAATTGTCTACTTATTTGAACCCAGCTAGCAAACCCTAAGCTAGAGCAATTCAACTGACTGATGTCTTTGTGCTTATACCTAGGCAGTTGAATCTGACTGGAGAAAAATCACAAAACCCTCAGAAAATTGCCTCCACAAAGTAATGTTCTCTGACCACAATGGGGCCATTTACACTGCTTTTCAATTCTTCTCAGTTCTGATAAGATTTTTCTCCATTTTCCATAATACCTAATCAAACCATTTCTTATCTCTACCATCCTACTCTATTACCTTTCCATTTATTTTTAGCGGAAAATCTTGTCTCCTACTTCACAGAAATAATAAAGTACTCAGATAAGAACTCCTTTAAATTCCTGACATCCCATCTACAAAAGTGACAGTGTATTATAACTAATTTCTTTCTCTCATTATGATAACAAATATATCATCCTGATTGAAGCTAACTCCTCTACCTGTTCTCTGAATCCTATAAATGCTACTTCAGGAATTTCATTTCAATTCTTAGACCTTATTTTATTTTTTCTAGTCTTTCTCTCTTTTTCTACTTGCATTTTTGAAAAATCCTCATGCCTCTCCCATCTGTTCTTTAACTTCAAGCCTCTCCAGTTTTATCTCTATCTCTATTCCCTAATATTGCTGAGCTTCTTGGAAAAAAAAAAAAAACCATACATCCAAAATCCCTGCATCTGCTTCCTCTTTTTCCATTTACTGTTTAGATCGTTGCATTACAAATTCTATTCCTTATTCATCCACTGAGCGAGCTCTTAGCAAAACTTTTACTTATTTTTTTTTTATTTTTGCTATGTCAAAAGAATATTTCTATTCTTCAGGGAGTATTTGATGTTGTAAACTATAACCTCCTTCTTGAAATAAAAATTCCCTTAACTTCCTCAGTGTTAGGCTTTTTTGATTCTTCTCTTTTTGTCTCTCTTTGGATGTTTCTTCTCAGCCTCCTTACAAATTTACATTGGTGAACTGATCCATTCATAGGACATTACAATCTTTGTGCTGATGACTCCATTGACTGATTTTGCAGAGCTTGTCACTAACTCACGTCACTTGACTTAACACATTGTAGCATGGCATTCTGTATATTAAGCTTTGAAAAGATGACTGCAAAATATCTATATACACTTCCAATCAGAAATCTTCATTTTTTTATCTCCCACAAATCAAATTAATAGGCAAGCCTTGAAATCCTAAGGTTTCTCTGGTGGGTAAGAATAATAAGATATTTTGTAGTGTCTATCCTGCCTTTGTGAGCTTCCAGCAATAAGCAAAGATTAAATTTTAAAAGCAGAAGCTTAAAATACAAGGAAATGACTTTATGATCTTTTATTAGGGAAGAGAATAAAAAGATGAGTTTCAGACTAAGAATATGTATTTAAAACGCTGGTAACTGATAAAATATTAGTATCCAGAATTTATAAATAATTTTTTGAATAAATAAGCAAAGTATGTACAACAGGCAAAATCCATAAACAGATATTTCAAAGGAAAGAAAAACCACAGAAGCAAAAAGCATGCAGTGTACCATATCATTATATAAAAATAAGTACAATTAAAATCCCAGTGCAGATTAATATCCAGTACATTTCAAAAGTTAAGATGTCTGACAAAACCAAATGTTGGAAAGGATGCTAAGCAATGCCATTATTTCCATTAACCAATTCTAATACTAGACATCTTCTCTGAGGAACATTCACTCATGAATACCAGGAGCTGTTCATAAGTAAGTTTGAAGTGATATTGTAGATCATAACAAGGGAATAAAAAAAACCCAAATGCTCATCAATATTAGAAAAGATAAATAAATTACAATGTATTCTACAAAAATATTATGCTACCATTAAATAAAATACAGCTATGTGTATCAATATAGATGAATGTTGAAAATCATATTACTCAAAAACAAATTTATATAAGCTCGAAGATAGGAAAAAACAAATAAAATATATCTTTTATGTATTTCTGTGTGTGTATACTAGAAAAAATAAAAATAATGTTTATATTGCCAAATTTAGCATACTAATTGCTTCTAGGTCTAAGTAACAAAGCAAAATTGGATTAGTTAGGACTATACAGTAGGCTTTAAATATACTTACAATGTTGTGTTTCTTAACCTGAGTGGTAGGTGTTTTCCTTTTGTTATAATTCTTTAAATTATATATGCCTGTCATTTACATATTTTTAATTTACAAAGTTCATTAGAGAAGAGAGCTATCTTATTAACCAGAAGACAGTATAAGGTCTATTTTGAAAGACGGATGTCTCTTGAGCTAGGCTTAATTATCCCTCAACAATGCCCATGTCTTAATTCCCAAAACCCATGAATATGTCACAAAGCAAAGTAAATTTTCAGACGTGACTAAGTTACAGATCCTGAGATCAGGAGATTCTTCTGGATCATTGAGGGTGGCCTCAATAAAATCACAAGAGCCCTTGAAAGTGGTAGAGGTAAGCAGAAGGGAGCGTCAGAGGAAGATATGACTATAAAAAAAAGCACAGAGAGTTACAAGTCTTTTGGCTTTGAAAATGGAGGAAGGCCACAGGAGCCAGGGTGTGTAGGCAGCCTTTAGAAGCTGGAAAAGGCAAGGAAGCAGATTCCCGCTTAGGCATCCTAAAAAGGAACACAATCCAGGCAACACCTTGATTTGAGTCCAGTCAGATTTTTTGAACAGCTAACACCCAGAGATCTAAGATGCTAAAGTGTTGTAGTTTTAAGCCACTAAGTTTGTGGTGATTTGTTAGAGCAGCAATAAGAAACATATTTCAGAACATTCAGCATACTATTTTATTGTAGGCCTCCTTCATGTCTAAATGACACTTGGGAACAGCTGAAAAGACAAAAAGAACAAATTAAACAAATGCTGCTCCTGCCACCACCATCATGACTGCTACCATTTGGTTTGCGCTTAGTATGTGTAAGGAATTTTGCATAAATTGACTACATATATCATGTATTAGCTTGGTGCAAAAGTAATTGCGGTTTTTGACATTACTTTTAAGGACAAAAACTGCAATTTATTTTGCACCAACCTAATATTTAAATGTAATCATAAACCCATACAGCCAGAATCATTATTCCCTTTTGATAAATAAGAGAAATAAGGCCCTATTGAGTTAAGAAAATTACCAGCTGTTAAAACTCACACTGATAACCACCGCACTATGATTACCATATTTCATGTGATTAATATTATTAAAAAATAAACAAAATTTTGTGAAATCATAAGAGATAAAATCATGTGTGTGATTGACAACTCATTTATATAAAATGAATACATTATTATGCATACATGATGTTATGATTAATATAGCTACAATATAATTGCATACATCAATATATAATTTTATTGAAGGATTCCTATATGCTGTGTCAACATTTGCAAAAGTACCAATCAGGTGAAAATTCCTCCAAATGTCAGCATGAATCCTAAGAAAAATTAACAATTAATACTACAGTACTAGCCCTCAAACTCAAACAATTGTAATAGAAAGAAATGTTTATTAATAGTTCTTAGTCAACCTATCTCATGCATGTATTGAATTTTAATGAATATTGGTTTACTCATTTGCTCTAAATTTAACTGGAACACTACCAAGAGGGGATTAATCTAGATAATAAATATGTTTCTCATTTTTCCATAAGAATCAATCATTATGACATTTTTACTTTGTTCCCCATAGAAGTCAAATTCTACTGAAGTGACGGAGTGAGAACAAGAGCGACTAAGATAGAGAAAGAAAGAGAGAGAGACAGAGAGAGAGAGAGAGAGAGAGAGATGTTATGAACAAGGGTGAGTTTGGATTATTGAGGGGGGGAAACATGGCAACATTGAAGAAAAAAAAAGTTTCTGGCAGTTATTTCTCTATTGTAGCAGTTTTTTTTAGGTTTTATGAAAGTGTCAAATCAAGCACCAAGGAAAATGGTTTACAAATGCAGAACTCTAAAAAAAAAAAAAGATAAAAAAGAGATCAAAGACAGCACAAAAAATGTTATGTTTAAAAAGATGGATCGAGATCAGCTTTCCATTTCAGTGTTATTTGGAGTCAATTCAAAGGCCACTTTAACGTTACACAGAAACATGAATTGATTTTAATGGCATCTATGAAAAAAAAACTTTGCCTCAAACACTGTAACGAAAAGATTCCAATGAAGTCGTTATGCCTATAATGTTGTTATCATCACTCTGTGCCTCAAAGCTGGACTTGTATATTAAAAGATGGAAAATATTTGAAGAAAGAAAAGTCAAGCTAGGACTTAGAACTCTGGCGCAAAAATTCTATATCATCGAGCCCTAACTTTAAGCCAGTCAGCTGCCAGCTTACAAAGCACACATTTGTGTCATGTTTCTATAGATCACACATTTTAGAGACAAAACTTATAAGTTCACCTGAAAGATACAGATGTAGAGTTTGATAATAAATATGGAAAATAAATGTTTACTTATATTTGTTTTAAAGTCAGTGACAAATAGTTATAAACTTTTACAAAACAGAATTGATCCAGATTCAACCCATATCTGCAGCTTTATAAAAGTTTATATTCGCTGTTTTTATTCACTGATTCTAAATTTGTTCTTCCTTGTGTATACTTGACCAAATGCTTGTGAATTTCAAGCTGTTCAGATCAAATAAGCATTGAAAAGTAAATAAAGGCATTTCTAGGACTAAAAAGGTGATATGATGGATTTGCACACCGGCAGAGAATCCATGAAGAAAATGTATTCTCATCAGAAAAAACCCTCTCGCCATTCCACTCTCCGTGAGAAACTTACATTCTAAAATTGAAGGCTGCAACCTTCCTTTTGTTGATTTTATAGTATGTATAATAGAAGTTAGCCTAGCTATTCATGGTCCTGGATATTAATATACTGAAATACTTGTAAGTATAGTACATGACATTTGGATGTGGCCACTTTGACGCAGACACAATTGATGTTGGGATCCCTTTGTTCAGACCTTGAAAAATTAAGTTTTTACTTTTTTAAAATTGTCATGTCATATACCTAAGAAACATCCTCACTCCACTCCTGAGCTACAAATTCACCACATCCTTGACTCCAGCAGCACTGGGATCAAAGGTGTGGAGAGAATCTTTTGAGTATAGTGTGGAGAAATGCTGGCCAAGGGTTAGAGAGGGAAGCAAGGGGAAAGAAATAGGACATGATTTGGAGACATTATGAAGTTCAGAGATGTATAGTGCACATGTGATGTAATTCATAAGAACAGCTTCTTGAACTTTTAAAAATTATTTAGCAAACAATTTTGTTACAGCTGCATCAGAACAGCTGTATCTGTTAGAGATGATCAGAAAACAGATGGTACTCTCAAAAGGTTATTTAAAAAGTTAAAGGAAGAGGCTTTTCCATATACGTAGGCAGGGTTAAGAGAAGTGACATGGGATGCTGAAACATTCAGGATGTAGCAGCCATGCAAATCTGTTACCACTCCAGCTCTAAACCCAGAGAATGCAGCTATTGCTGAGCTCTGAACCCATTCAGTAATTAAAAGCCAAGGAAACTGATTTGAAGCTTTAAATAGAGGATGACTTTTAGGAGGAAAGAAGTAGTGGGAAACACTGGGGACTGGATCTGAGATAGAAAATAAAAATACCTAGCACAGCTCATCCCTCTTGTTTCTCACTGTTCTTCCTGTCCATCAGTTATCAAATTATAATTAGCTGATGTCAATGTAATTACAGCCCTACCCAAAGCCTACACTGAAGCACTAGCCAACATCATTATTCTTATATGATCAAAAGGGAAAAACACACACAGACAGGCAGGATAAAGGGAAATGGAAATACTTAATAGAAAACGTAGATTATCCTTTAGCAGGAACATGTTGGTGCTCTCTTAGTCTTGTTTTTGTTTGTTTGCTTATTTGTTTGTTGTTAGATTTGCAGTATCAGATAATGCCAGGCTCATGATGGGCAGTTTGGATCTCATAGTCCCTTAATGCTCACGGTCAAGCATTCGGTTTTTGTTAGGGCCCAATAGGAAGCATGGAGACGTTTTTCAAACACAGAATAGTTATCTCCTGAAAAAGACATGCCTTATTCCAAAGCCCTAGGGGTCCACACTATGATTACCATATTGAGATTTGTCAGAGGTTCCCAGAATATCCATATCTCCCAGAAACTTCCAGTACCATAAAACCCAATAGCAAGCCAGTTTGCCTGCAGCTTGGACTTGCTATAAAAAGATCTTATACAGATACTTTCTCAACAACAATATAAAAAGTGTATTCTCTTGGCAACTGCAACAGCTTCCATATTCAAGGAACTATATTATTTTCATCAGAAAGAGTGTTCCGATTTTTTAAAGGAGATTTTCTTGAGCAAGCCCCAAAGATGGCTTTTTTCTTCACTTCCACCCCTATTCCTCCCTACCCCAACCCTCATTTGCCCTTTTCTTATTATTTTCCCAGCTCCTTCCCACAAGGAAGCACTTAGCTCATTTTTGCGCAAAACGTAGGCAAGCTGAGGTCACCAATATCACTCCTGAAATAGAAGTCTGCTCACTCATTCAAGATAATTACTTCTTTTGCTCTCCTTTTTCAAAGAGGGATGATACATCAAATGAGGCTGAAAGCACTACTTCTCCAGGAAGTGACTTTATTTTAGTATTTTATTTTATATTGTGAAGTTCTATACCGCAGAATCTTCATAAAATACTTTGAGAAACTCTTTGTAGAGTGACAGTTTTAGTGGAGGTTCAATTCACATTAGATTTTCCTATATTAATTAGAGTACTGTGATTGGCAGGGCTAGGATAATACAATGTGTATTTTATGTACTGCAGCTTGGACAAAAATGGTTGGATATGCAATACGGAGAAGTAGGGGTTATGTTGTGAAAATTTACTTTACCAATTTGAATATTTATCTTATTGTAGGACTCCTGGGAGATTCCAAGTTTAACTCAACATATGGTCTGTAAATTTAAAATTAAATTTATTTGTATAAATTTGACACAATAGGAGTTAAGCTCAAACGAAGGAAATAAGCATATGGCAGATTTACCACTAACAGAAAGCCTAACGCTATGCGAGATAAGAAGAAGGGTTTGGTAGTTTTAGTTTTATATTCATGACTATATATCTATCTGGACATATTGCTTATGTTTATTGTTAGTTGTTATTCTAAAACATAGGTGAAAATTTTTTTTACTACAATGCATCCACAAAAGTAACTTCCATCTTAATATTTTAAATTGATTTGTAATACATATATTTTTTCATATATAATTATATGTATAAATGTATTTATTCACATACATACACATACATAGTACGGCCAACAGATATGTCCTTTTTTCCCTGATAATTTAACATCACACTTCTGTCTGGTAGGAATCTCTACTCTCAGGGAAGCTATACGTCTTCTGTTTTTCTGGGGCAGTTGTCCATAACTCATTCTTTTCTGCCAGTGACTTCTCTACACTAAGTTGCATGACATCACTCAAACCAATGAAATGTCAAGGAAGAATGATGGGGCTTTAAAAAAATTCCATTAGAAACACAAATACCTGTGAGCAGAAAGCATTATTTTTTTCTCCTTCTTTCCTTAAACATGAACATGATGCTTGGTTGCTTACAATCATCATATGTAGATGAATGAATGTTCAATGTTTATTAGAAAATAAAGGAGGGTTTGATCGACTCTGTTTTAGATGTTGCATTCTTCACTTCACCTGGTTATGTGTGCACCTGAAGAGGGTTTAAGCATTGGAAGCAGCTCTACTTCCACGGTGCAAGAGGAAAGAAGGCATCTCTCATTAAAAGCTAGTCCTCCCTATAAATAGTACCCCTTTATGCCTTCTCAATAATTGTATACTACTGCTTACATGTTTTGTGTCCTATATTATCAACAAGACCCTCTCAAACCAATACATGATTACTTACAATCAAGCCTAACCTATTAAAATATAAAACCTATTCATTAAACAAATATCACCCTCTTGCATCAATGCCATATTTTTCAGTGCAATAATTTATACTTTCTTTTTCTACCTTGCATTAGTTTTCTATTGCTGTTGTAACAAGTTACCACAATATAGTTAATGGTTTAAAACTACACAAGTTTATTACTTACAGTTCTGGTGGTCCGAATTTCAAAATGGGTTTCACTGAGCTATGACCGAGGTCTTGGCAGGATTGTACACTTTCTGAACATTCCAGGGGAGAGTCTGTTTCTCTGGCTTCTGCAACTTCTAGAGGGTGCCCACATTCCTTGTCTTCTGTTCCCTTCCGGATCTTCAAAATCAGGAACAAAGTATCTTTATTACATCTCCTTGCTTGCTTCATTACATCTCCTTCTCTGACTCTGACCCCTATAAACCTTACTTTTATAAAAAACCATATGATTACATTGGGCCCACACACCAGGATCATCCAGGATAATTCTACTGTATCATGATCCCCGACTTAATCACATCTTCTAAGTATTTACATTGTGTAACATAACACATTCACCGATTCCTGAGATTAGGGCTTGGACATCTTTGGTGAGAGACATTATTCAGGCCACTACATACCTCCCACTAGCTCTTCAGCCTTCTTAGTTTCTGTCACCATCATTCCACTAAAATCACCCTGAATAAATTCACTGTGGATCTAAATCTCTTAAGTCCAAAAGATAAAGTTTTTACCTCTCATATTCTTCCCAGCATTTCTGAGAGGTGACAGCGGTGCTGGCAGTCCTCACTGGCTCTCGGCGCCTCCCCTGCCTGGGCTCCCACTTTGGCGGCACTTGATGAGCCCTTCAGCTCGAGGCTGCACTGTGGGAGCCCCTTTCTGTGCTGGCCAAGGCCGGAGCGGGCTCCTTCAGCTTACAGGGAGGTGTGGAGGGAGAGGCGCGGGCGGGAACCAGGGCTGCGCGCGGTGCTTGCAGGCCAGCGCGAGTTCCGGATGGGCGTGGGCTCGGCGGACCCCGCACTCGGAGCAGCTGGCCGGCCCCACTGGCCTCAGGCAGTGAGGGGCTTAGCACCTCAGCCAGCAGCTGCTGTGCTCAATTTCTCGCGGGGCCTTAACTGCCTTCCTGCACGGCAGGGCTCGGGACCTGCAGCCCGCCATGCCTGAGCCTCCCCCAACCTCCGTGGGCTCCTGTGTGGCCCGAGCCTCCCAGACGAGCGCCGCCCCCTACTCCATGGGCCCAGTCCCATCGACACCCAAGCGCTGAGGAGTGCGGGCACACGGCCGGGAACTGGCAGGCAGCTCCACCTGCAGCCCTGTGGGGGATCCACTGGGTGAAGCCAGCTGGGCTCCTGAGTCTGGTAGGGACTTGGAGAACCTTTATGTCTAGCTAAGGGATTGTAAATACACCAATTGGCACTCTGTATCTAGCTCAAGGTTTGTAAACGCACCAATCAGCGCCCTGTCAAAACAGACCACTCGGCTCTACCAACCAGCAGGATGTCGGTGGGGCCACATAAGAGAATAAAAGCAGGCTGCCCCAGCCAGCAGTGGCAACCCGCTGGGGTCCCCTTCTGCACGTGGAAACTTTGTTCTTTCACTCTTTGCAATAAATCCTGCTGTTGCTCACTCTATGGGTCCACACTGCCTTTATGAGCTGTAACACTCACCGCGAAGGTCCGCAACTTCACTCCTGAGCCAGCAAGACCACGAACCCCACCAGAAGGAAGAAACTCCGAACACGTCTGAACATCAGAAGGAACAAACTCCAGACACGCTGCTTTTAAGAACGGTAACACTCACCGTGAGGGTCCGCAGCTTCATTTATGAAGTCAGTGAGACCAAGAACCCACCAATTGGGGACACATTTCAATGGATTGACAGCTTATTTTGGAAAGAGTTTTACTCTTGAAACACTTCTTTTTTAAGTTTTCTTGACAATATAGTCTCGAGTTTACTGGTCCCACTTCCCTTATTTGTACTTACAAATAAGTACAAATTTTAACAAATTTGTTTTGTTATTTAAACAGAGAACACACTTTACATACATGATTATAACTCCTAAATATGGGGAGTGCATTTTCTGCTGTTTCTCGCTTTTTCTACCTGTTTACTCTCAGAAATACACAGACTTTAAGCTACATGATTTATTTGTGGTAAATTAAACATCAAGTAGAATGACTTAGGACTGTGAGCTCTCCAAACTGGGGGAAAAAATACATCTTTTTTTCTGCTAGATGAAGGGAAAGAGCCAAGAGACAGATATTCTACCATCTTTTGTGCTCACCTCTTCAATTACGATTATGCCCAGGCTTCTTCCTGATTTTATTCTCTAAAACAGCAAGGTTGCACTACATCTGGACAACCTCTGCCAGCTTTGCCTACAATATAGTCACCACGCAAAGCGTAGTCTCCAGAATAGCTTTTCTTGCATACTAGGATTCTGAGAGATCTGTTTCCATCCCGTCATTTCCCTGGGCTTTACCTTCCAAATCAGGAATGTGTAGAAGTCTACTAAGATGAGTGGTAATAGTAGTGTTGTACAAAAATTTACTCTTTTCTTTGTTCATTTCCCATGATTCCTCAGTGACACTTGGGAGGGAAGATGTGAGCCCTCTCTCAGTGCTTTCTTTTAACCTGCTATCATTTCCATTTCTACTCTACAAATTTAGGGATATGAGGTGACACTTTTCTTCTATTTCTATGGCAAATGGGAATGTTCTTGCTTGCTGCGGAAATTGCTTTTGATATTTCAGTGCTGATCTAGAAACAGAGAACTGGATATCTCTGTTTAAGCTGCTACTATTTTAGAAATAACATCCGCCACACATTAGGATTTTTTTTATATATGACTTTTGCCACTTAAGCAAAATCTGCATGCAGAAGGAAATGAGGGGAGTCTCTACAACCAGAAAATATGTCTCTTTATCTTCAGTTTTTGACTTACATGTTCTCTTATACCCTGGTGTAAGCTATGATTAAACATTTCCACTCAAATGTTTCATAAAATGGAATCCACAGGAGAAGGAAATCTTAGGTCTCACAAATAAACAAATTTATAATATTTATGTGGGAAGCTAAATATAAGTATGCAATTTGAAAACAAAACAGAGTAAAATATATATTCAAAAAGAGATTCAAGATAAATATACATATAAACACATATATTTGAAAAGAAAGTCATAGTATTTTTATAGCTACCTTAGATTTTAGAATGAGTGAAGTGAAATTATTATTACAGAGGTGCTTATTTCCCTCATTTCTGCCTGATCTGGAAGTTACAGAAAAATATGATTTGATTACTTGTGTCTTCCATTCCTTTTCCTCAATGTATATCGTGGCTTTGAAGTTTATTACACAGAAGTATAATGGCTATCAAAGAAAAAGAAGAAATAGCACTTTTGCTATTTAAAATAAAGTCGCTTTGTGCTGGAAACTGGAATTTCCATTCTAAGAAAGTTTAATCCAACTGTTAACAGCTCAGTATGTGAAATAATGAGTCCAAGAGTCAATAGACACTTTTCTCCTATAGCAAAGGTCACAAGCCTCCGGTTGTCCACACTGGAGCTGTTTTGGATTTCAGGGTACATGCGCCTCATTTGAAAAGCCTTTCTGTGATTGCTGCTGTGTCTCCATCTGTTAGAGCACAGCATATTTCAAAGGTAAGGGTGGCACATTCAAATGCTGAATTTGGACAAGAATCTTAAGAAACATTATTTTATGGACAATTACAAAATGGCATTTGGTCATTTCAAGTAACATCTCAGTAGGGTTCCACTTCGGGGGCATTGTCATTTTAAACATCGGTTGAATACAATTTATTTATTCCAAAAATACCAGATGATTAATTAAATTATACATTTAAATGGCTATTAAACCAGGCAAGAATATTATATTTTTAAGGATAGCCAAATAGCACAAATAGATGAAAACATTAAATATCACTACTGTGCAGCATAAGGTGAACTAAATAGGGTCTCCTGCTTACAATTTTGCCCCTGCCAACCCCCTGCCTCCATCACTACTATTGCCTTACACATTATCAAATTTAACAATTTGAGAGCTGTCTCTTTGGTTCTACGGGTATATCTCTAGTATAACTGTTAAAATATAAATGTAGCAGATAGGTGATGTATTCTCTTACTATTTATCATCCAGGGAGTTATTAGGAAAAGCAGCAACCTCAGAGCTACTTAGAGTTTTGGGAAGAGAGAGATATGATAAAAATGCTGAGTGTTTAGAGGACAAACACTGTTTCTATATGAATTGTACTGGAGAACTGATTGTAATTGTTATAACCCTTCAGGAGCAGGCTCACAAAATGGTGAAGCTTGTTGAGTACTGGAACCAAACTCAAATCTAGATACCAAGGTTTGAATCTGGGCTACAGCCATTACTAGTCATGTGAATTTGGTTTTTCTGTTTAAATGCTTTCTGCCATGGTTTATTCTGTTGTAAATAAGGATGATGATAATACATACCTTATAGGTGAGTATTATATTAATAAGAAAAAATCAGTTAGGACAGTCATGGCCTATTTTAAGTGACAAATAAATGTTGGCAAATGTCAAAAATGTGAATGTTTAGTATACACAGATAGCTGTGAAACTACATATTCCTTAGACTGAAATTGCCAACAGCATAAAGCGTTCTCTTAATATTCATAGTTTTATTTATTGTAAACACATCCTAGTAATATTATCTTTAGTTAGTTTTACCTGTTTATAGATGAATTAGAAACTCCTATGTACGTTTCTGAAAAATCAATGAATACTTACCAAGTTGTTTTAAGTGTGTGCCATTTTAAGGTCTAATTATATGAATTATACTGACTAGTATAAATGTGGGCGTCTGTTCCTGTCTTCTCATAACATATTAAGCACTTTTAATTTAAATCTAGCAGTTTGCAATTAATTTAGCTCTTATATTTTCATGAAGCTTTTATCTATTTAGAGTTAAAACATGTACTCTACATATGTTTACTTATTGTCAAATTCCAAAAGCCACATTTTAAAACACCATAAAATATACTTTTTATTTCTGGTTGCTTAATTATATTGTGCTATATTACTGGAAAAAAATAGTAAGAATAAACTAATTTTTTATCACTTCCCAATGATTAAATCATATACTCTTTAATTTTTCCTCATTCTTCATTTAAATGTCATATAATAATTTTGTTTATTTTGAAAAAATTCTAAAAGGGTGACAATAATTTTAAGGCATTTCTAAAATTGGTGGCAGTATTTAGAATATAATGTTACTAATTATTAATGTTTTCACTCAGTGTTGGTTTCTGAGGTTTATGGATACTTTTTGTGTTTATGATAAATGTTTTATTCAATGAAATATGATACGATAAATAATTGTAATGGATACTGTTTAACATTCAATTAATATTAGTTTACTAAAATTACTATGTGCTGTATTTTATGCTTTCATACCAATTTTTAAGTTTTGTACTCATATGTGCATTCCATATTTACCCTGGTTACTTATGTTACTGAACAGAATGTGTATAAAGTTTAATCTCAGGAATAAAAAGTACTTATGATTATTATTTAGCATCTCTATATCTAATATGCAAGCAAGCCTATGTTATCCATGGTCTTAGCCTAAGTTTTAAAATTTAGTTAGAGAGCATAGCCATGTAGCAGTAAAAACCGAATGACTTGGGGCCCAGCAACCCATTTAATCCTCACAAGTAAGCTATGCAGAAAACAAGCCATGCATTCATTTTACTATTTAGGATTTGGGAAAACTGAGGCACAGAGAAGTTCAGTGAATTTTAAATCTCAACCCAGTAGATAAAGTGCATTTATTCAATTGAACAATAAAAGATAGTTTTTTAAAAAAGTTTTAAGCAGAAAATATCCAACAAGAAAGCAAAAGTTAATATTAGTACAAGAGTAATTACAATATAAGTCCATGAGGTGTATTAGTTTCTTAGGACTGCCATGACAAAGTGCCACAACCTTAGCAAAACAACAGAAATGTATTCCCTCACAATTCTGGAAGCTCAAAGTCTGAAATCAAGGTGTCAACAGGGTGGTGCTCCCTCCAAAGGGTGTAGGAGAGAATTCCTTTCTTTCCTCTCCTAGGTTCCCGTAGATTCAGGCATTCTTTGACTCATGGCCATATCACTCCAATTGTCTCTTTTATACATGTCTTCTCATCTATGTATCTGTCTCTGGAGTTCCTGAGGCTCTCTCTTATTAGGGTACATATGGTTGCATTTGGGGCCCACCCGGATAATTCAGTATAAGCTCCTCCTTTCAAGAGCTTTAGTTTAATCACATCTTTGGCCACACAAAGTAATATTCAATCTTTTGCCATATAAGGCACACAGATTCTGGGGATTAGGAAAGCAGCATGTCTTTTTGGGGGCCACCCTTTACAATATGGAATAATCACATCAATCAGAAAAGACAAGAATCCAAGAATAATCCAAGCATATCTTAATAATCAAAGAATATCTTGTCTATAAGAAATTCACTGAACTAAAAAGCATATAAAACTCTGAAACTAAATTGTTAAAGCCAGATATTACAGGCAATGTGAACCTGAAAATAATTCAATATAAAAATTTTAATGTAAAATAATATATAACATAAGCCAAAATTATCATGAGTAGTAACAATTTAAATACTTATAAATAGAGAATAGATAAAAAAAGTTATAAAAATTTAAAACCCCCAATTTTATATAGCCCTTAATTTTGTAAAGAAGAACTAAAAAATTAGGGGAAAAGACCAAATAAACTATTGTAGCTGGACATTTTAAATGTACCTCTCCCAAAGATATGCCAAACACATAATATAAAAGAAATATATATATATGTGTGTGTGTGTATATATATATAATTAGAATAATGTGATTAATATGCTTAAAACCAGAAAATAAGTAAAAGAATGAAATTTTCTTATTTTGACCTATCTGCACATTAAAAATTAATACCTAACATGATTCTCAGTGGAAAACTGTTAGAAATACTTTATTTAGAATATGAAACATGATAAGCGTCTTCACTATTGTAATTACTGATAAGCACAGGATAGAAATTCATAGCCAACAAGATTATTAAAAGACAAGCTATATTAGCTATGAGGATTGGTAGGGAAAAAGCAAAGTGCTGTTATTTGAAGATATGATTATCTGCATAAGGAAATAATAAATCAAAAGACATTTATAGAATTATGGAAAAAATTAGTAGATTTATTGTATGCAAGATTAACCTACAAAGACATCTGTGTTTACTATCAATGGTCACTAAAAAGTATAACAGAAAATAAAATATTATTATTCATAACATCACAAAAATAGATAGTAAAGATGAGTGGTTTTTCTTACCAAATACTAAAGAAAACTGCAATGCCATGCTCCAAACACAGCAGAGTGATGTTGAGTAGTGCAGAATCTTAGGAGTTTAGTGGACTGAATGGTGACCCGCCCCCAAATACATGTCATGTCCAAATCCCTGGACCTGTAAATATTACCTCATAGGGTAAAATAGTTAATATTATCTTACATGGCAAAAGTTGTGTTTTAGATGCTAGATTATCAGGGTAGGCTCTCCATGCCATCACAAGTGAGAGCAAGGCAGAGTGAAATTTTATGCACAGACTCACAGAGGAGAAAACAATATGAAGAGGAGGAGCAAGCCATGTGGCCAAGAGTGAAGGAAATCAACAGCAACAAGAAGCTGTAAAAGGCGAGAAATATAGAATCCCCTAGAGCTTCCAGAGGGAGAGTGCCTCTGCCAGCACCTTGGTTTCAGATCTCTGGCCCTCCAGAACTGTGAGATAATAAATGTCTCTTAAGTGACCTTTTTGGTGCTAATTTGTTACAGCTGCTACAGGAAAAGAGTAAATATTTCAATACCAAACATTGTTCTAGAGGAATACAATATTAAAGATAAATTTTCTTATTTTGTACTGGGTTTTCTGGAATTTGGTCTTAAAACTGATTAAATGTCCCTATTTCCAGTGATAAAGAGGAAACTAGTAGCCCAAGGTAAGATATTACAATAGAAATATACAGGATATCACCATTAAATTATTCTAACCAAATATATATATTTATATATCTATATATTTACATATAAAATGTTTGTATATAAAAATCTATATATACAAATATATATATATATATTGTGTGTGTGTGTGTATGTATATATAAAATTTTGGATTACCATTTTTTTTCCTACCTTAGAATATTTTTATTTAAAGTAATGAGCACAATGCGATTAGCTGGTTGCTCTAGGGGAGAAATTGAGGGTAAAAAAGACAGCACATCAGAATCTCAGCACAAGCTCTGATTAAATGACCTAAAATCTTCTGTATCTTCCCTGAAAGAAACCCTATTTCCTGCAGCTGCAGGATGGAGATTCTGAAATATAAACACAGAGTCTCATCCTGAGAGTGGATGGATCACAAAACAAATTGAATTCTCAACCATCTCAACAGGATGTCTTCTGTTAAACTGAGGCCACTGATAGGAAAGGAATGGGATCCTGAAAATTGCACTGAGGAAATATAGTCAGATTCTGGTAAAGCTGGAGACATCAGCTCCCTAGATTCTGCTGAATTTTCCTTTTCAGTAGTAGAAGCCTTTCCATCACTCCTGCCTGAAAAGATTAACCCTGCTTTGCCTGGAGAAATTGTAATAGCCTCCCTTGAGGTTGTTGCCTTTCAAGGCACTGCTGATTATTCTCAGCATCTCTCTTTGGGTGAAGCATAAAGTGAGACCTCTCTTTGGTTGAAGCAAAACATGAGCATACTGTACACTAAAAGAACTGCATGATTTTTTTCCAGTGTATAGAGACAGAAATCTGGGGAATATGTGTGAGAATACATATTAAGAGTGAAGGATAATGGTGGAACATAAAGTTGGATCAAGATGAATTTATTGCTATGGGTCAACTGAGCAAGAGCATTCTATTTTGTAGATTGAAGGGTTAAAAAAGCTCTAACAGTTTGATTGGTTGTCTGAAACATGGAACACATGGTGTTAAGTCTGCAGGCACCCAAAATACAAGAGTGGTGAAGGCTTAGGGGCTTTTACCTAGATTTGAGAGGATGGATGGGAAAGCCTGGGTACCCAGGCAGAATCCTGCCTCAGGGGCAGAGAGCTCTTGCAGAGTCTACTAAGGCAATGCCAAGCAGAAATGTGGAGTTGGAGCCCCTGCATAGGGTCCCTACTAGGGGACTGCCCAGTGGAACTGTGGAAACAGGGCCAAAGCCTCCTGATCCTAGAATTATAGAGCCACCAGCAGCTTGAAACCTGGACAAGCTGCAGGCATTGGACTTCAACCCATGAGAGAAGTAAAGACATGGGAATGGGACTGCCTGAAGCCCTGAGAGTCTACCCCTTGCACCAGTGTCCCCAGGATGCAGGACATGGAGTCAGTGGGGAGCTTTAAGATTTAATGTCTGCTCTGCTGGGTTTCAGATTTGTGTGGGGCCTGCTAGCCCTTTCGTTTGGCAGATTTCTTCCTTTTGGAATGGGAATGTTTACCCAATGCCTGTACCACCATTGTATCTTGGAAATAAATAACTTGTTTTTGATTTTATAGGCTTATAGCTGGAGGGAACTTGCCTTGAGTCTCAGATGAAACATTGGATTTCAAAGTAGTAAGTTGATGCCTGAACAAGTTAAGACTCTTAGGAACTACTGAGATAGAATCATTGTATTTTGTATGTGAGAAGGACATGAGATTTGGGTGGTGGCATTGGCTAGGGGCAGAATGCTGTAGTTTGGTTTGTTTGACCCCTCTAAACCTCATGTTGAAATTTGATCCCTAATGCTGGAGGAGGGACCTAAAGGGAGGTAGTTGTGCATGGGAGCAGATTCCTCATGAATGGCTTGATACCATCCTTGTGGTAATGAGTGAGTTCCCATTATATTAGTTTCTGCAAGGCCTGATTGTTAAAAAGAATCAGGCACCTCCCTCCCCTCTATTTCTTCTTCTCACCATGTGATCTCTACAAGTTGCTCCCCTTCAACTTCCGCTATAAGTGGAAGAAACTTGAAGCCCTCGCCAGAAATAGATGTTGGTGTCATGCTTCTTGTACATCCTGCAGAAACATGAGCCATATAATCCTATTTTTGTTATAAATTACCCAGCCTCAGGTATTCCTTTATAGAAAAATAAATGGACTAAGACTTTGGTCATTGACATTAATTTTAGGAGATCCAAATGACACTGTGGTCTATTATTCTGAAAAGAGGCGTATGCAAGTCAGATGATTAATGGAGTTTTAGCTCAGATCCATCCCATAGTGGTCTAGTGGATCCCCAAACCCATTATATGGTTATTTTTCCAGTTCTATAATGTATAATTGGAATATGTATACTCAGAAACGAGTATACTCCATACGGCAGACTCCATACATTGGTTCTGTGGATTGAGGGTATTATGGTAGGAAAAGTCATGAAGCAAGAGACATACTCATAACTACTGTTTGAAATTTAAAAATTTGATAGCATGTTTATATATTTAACAATTAAATATTTTAAATTATCCAACAATATATTTAGAGCTATTTATTACAAGAAAATAAGGGTGTGGTCAAAGCTTGTGTTACATGACACTAAGCAATACACTATTCAAAAAACTGGAAAGGTTAAAAATAAAACTAAACCAATATGGGATTGGTTAAACATGGGAGTAGTTAAATAATATATAAGAGAGCTATTGAAAGAAAAGCTTATAAATTATTTGTAGAGATACTAACAAGAAAAAAAGCCAATAGGTTTTATTTTTATTCTATAAAACAGATTATAAACTACAATATGTAGAGTATACACATATGTGCAACGTACATTGAAAATTATTGAATGTATAGAGTAAAATTCTGATAGTTGTTTTCTCTTACATACATTTAATAAGAACCTGTTTTCTTTTGTAATAGGGGCACAGTTGGAAGAACTGGTTATTTTCCCAGGGCTTTGACTGGAATAGCCTTGTGAGAGGTTCATCAAGTCCAATTTAGGAGAGCTTTTGTGGACAATGATTCTTACTGCACTTTATGTGAGTAATCAGGCCAAGTATATGGGACTGAAGCTTATTTTGCAGGTAATTTGGTGATGGTGTGATTTGTCTTTGGTGCAAGTGGGAGACCATAGGGAGAAATGTGTTTCAGAAGAAAACTTTTTATTAGATTAACCTTTGATTCCTCAGTGGCCACATGGTCATTCATGGTATGGAGCTGCCAACAACACCCCTCCTCAGTGTGAAGCAGCCAGAATGAGCCACAACTGGATTCCTAATGATTGAGGAACTGATAAATAGAAACGAGGGACTGAAACTGGCCCAATAATCCCATAGGCTGTTCTTTTTGATAAACATAGAAAATGACCCTTCTGCTGTTAAAGCTTGAAACTTGCATTTGTTTTACCTGTGTTCCTTCCTCAGGAAAGGACCTTCAGGCCTCTCAAAAAAAGTGTCAAACAACTGAAACTCACCAGGTTGCGGCACCAGATGCCTCTTTGCCCCTCCCTAATTGTTGTTTTCTTAAACATGGTTACATTACTTCCCTGCTGTATAAACTCCTAGTTTTAGTCAGTTAGGAAGATGGATTTGAGACTGAGCGGCCGTCTCCTCAGCTGCAGCACCTGATTAAAGAAAGCCTTCTTCCTTGGCAATACGTGTCATCTCAGGGATTGGCTTTCTGTGTGGTGAGCAGCAGGACCTACACCAAGCCCCTGGTGTTTCGTTAACATGTTCTTGCCAGAAAAATAAGGCCAAGAGCAGGTACAGCTTACACTTATAAATGATTAATATATCCATGAAAAATGTCTAAAAAAAGAAGAAAAATTGTATTACCTTGATCTTAAAGATTTCATAATAAGTTATTCATGGATACATGGATTTGTCATAGGAAATGTGGGAAAAGAGATTTTGTAAAAGAAAGGGAAGCAAATTAAAGGGTAAAAATACAACAAGAAGGCAAAGAAGGATGCCAAGTGAAAAACAATGGAAACAACAAATTAGTATAGAATTTAAAAGATACTCTATTGAAGTAGAAGAGAGTGAAAAAAAGCTCTAGCTATTTACATAAAGTATAGAACATGGACAAATGAAGATGCTAGTTTTTAATACATTACAAAAAACAGCTTTGATTAATATGTTAGTTTGGGGAATAGTTGTCAGCAGTTGCTCAGTAATCTCAGTAATTTCTAAGTTCTAGTGGGTGAATGTTTTGCAATCCAGTAAACCCCCTGATATCAATGAGGTTTTCCAATCATAAGTAGATGAGATAGCAGGTTATAGTAAATGAGGATAATTGGCAATCTATTTTGAGTTATAATTAATCCTTATGCTGACTGAAGAGGTTGTGAGTAAACCAGGAACTGGAGATGTTTAGCATAGTAATAACAATTTCAACCAAGTCTCTGGCATAAATTCAAATTAATGGAAACAAATAATATTCATGCCTGAGGTAGTTAAGCTTATGCCAAAGTGCCAACATCTCTTCAGCAAAAGCAAAGTGAGAATGAAAAGAAATAATTAACAATAAAATTTTAATTATAGAAATTCATTAATTTGGGTCAAGTAAGAAAGGGCTTATGAGTTCACCCAATATAGAACTATGAACCAATGTAATTTATTTTGCCATTAATACAAGAGACCTTTAATCAGCAAAATACATGTTTCCTTAAAAACATCTCCTTGAAATATAGAACAATTAAAAATATAAGCTTAATAGAAAAATAAAAAATTTCAGAGTTGTGCTATTTCTACAATGTTCTATCTGATTTTTAAGTGAAGAATCAAAATGAGTAATAACATGTATTTCCAAAAGAAAAATCCAAAAATATATCTACTAAAAGTTGTTAATTTTGAGAGATGACAATGTGCTAGCAGCCCTCGCTCACTCTTGGCGGCTCAGCCTCAGCTGAGCTGTGGGGGCCCCTCTCTGGGGTTGGCCGAGGCCATAGCCAGCTTCCTCTGCTCACCGGGAGGTGTGGAGGGAGAGGTGCAGGCAGGAGTTGGGGCTGTGCATGGCGCTCGTGGGCCGGTGCAGGTGCCAGGTGGGCACGGGCTTGGCGGACCCCGCACTCAGCATGGCCAGCTGGTGCCTGCTGGGCTTGACTGGGGGATGAGCTCCCTCTGGGCTGCTGGAGTGCCTGGGCTAGGTGCCACAAAGTCCCATGGCAAGTGCCATCGAGAGGTGAAGCCGGCTGGGCTTCTGGGTCAGGTGGGGACTTGGATAACTTTTCTGTCTAGTTAATGCATTGTAAATGCACCAATCAGCACTCTGTGTCTAGCTAAAGGATTGTAAACACACCAATCAGCACTCTGTGTCTAGCTAATCTGGTGGGGACTTGGAGAACTTTTGTGTCTAGCTAAAGGATTGTAAACGCACCAATCAGCACTCTGTGTGTAGCTAAAGGTTTGTAAGTGCACCAATCAGTGCTCTGTGTCTAGCTAATCTGGTAGGGACTTGGAGAACTTTTGTGTCTGGCTAAAGGATTGTAAACGTACCAATCAGCACTCTGTGTCTTGCTAAAAGATTGTAAATGCACCAATCAGCACTCTGTCAAAATGGACCAATCAGCTCTCTGTGAAACGGACCAATCAGCTCTCTGTAAAATGGAACAATCAGCTCTCTGTAAAATGGAACAATCAGCAGGATGTGGGAGGGGCCAGATAAGAGAATAAAAGCAGGCCACCTGGGACAGCAGCGGCAACCTGCTTGGGTCACCTTCCACAGTGTGGAAGCTTTGTTCTTTCACTCTTTGCAATAAATCTTGCTGCTGCTCACTGTTTGGGTCCACACCACCTTTATGAACTGTAACACTCACTGTGAAGGTCTGCAGCTTCACTCCTGAAGCCAGCGAGACCCCAAACCCACCGGGAGGGACGAACAACTCCGGACAGGAGAAACAAACAACTCCGGACGCGCCACCTTTATGAACTGTAACACTCACCACGAAGGTCTGCAGCTTCGCTCCTGAGGTCAGCGAGACCACGAACCCACCAGAAGGAAGGAACAACTCCAGATGCGTCGCCTTTAAGAGCTGTAACACCCACCGTGAAGGTCTGCAGCTTCACTCCTGAAGTCAGCGAGACCAGGAACCCACCAGAAGGAAAAAACTCTGGACACATCTGAAGGAACAAACTCCAGACACACCATCTTTAAGAACTGTAACACCGTGAGGGTCTGCGGCTTCATTCTTGAAGTCAGCAAGACCAAGAACCAGACACAATTCCAGACACAATTTGACCCAGGGGAAAACCAGTATTATATATTTTTAAAATATGTTTATGTCTTAATATTATATGAGGAATTTCTATGGACTAGAAAAGAAAGCCTGGGCCAACATTCTAATGATGATTAACCTTGACAGCATAGTAAAGAAAATCCATGATTTGTGTTAAGACAGAGCTGATTACAATTTTATCATTTACTCTGTAATAAAGTTTGCAAAGTTACTTCGTTTCTTCGAAACATGTTTTCCTGTTTCTAAAATGTTGATAAGATGCCTAACAATAGGGGTATTTTGAAGACTGCATTAAATTATATAGCAAATATAACAATCTAGTTGTTGAGCAGTCCACTGTGGACTCAGTTGTCAGTTCCAGGAACGGACTCTTGGTATCAGAGTTCCCAAGGAAAACACTACATGATTAATCACTGGTTGGACCAAGGCTTTACTTACATGTAGAGGCAGAACAACATCTGCTCCAATAGTCTGCACTGGTCCATCAGGGCTAGTGGGTTCCCTGGGAGCCCAAGCAGGGCGATTTGCTTACAAGCACACCTCTAGTGCTGCAGTGGAAGAAATCTCTCCCACTCTGTGGAATATAAAATACTGAAAGCTAGGGGTAAGTCAGAAGCCCTGAGGCACGTGCTTAAGCAGAACAAGGGAGTGCACATTGAGCTTGAAACAGGGAAAGACATTCCTGCTCAAGGTGATAAGTTCATCACAGACTATGTATCACTTGATAATGAAGTGTACCAGGACCAAGACCCATTCTTCTATGGCCGATTGGGGATGAAAAGATACATAAGACTGCCTTTCCTGGCACAGGAGTTCTGCCTATATGGAGTAATTATTCAAAATGCAAATTATAATCATCATCATTTTCTGAAAGCAAAACACCAACTTCACTCCAATATAATCTTAAAGCTTCTTCAGTCCCTCTTCTATATATCCCAACAAGGAGCATTTTTTTTTTCCTAATGAGCTCAACTTCCATGCCTGCAGCCAAGCCCCACCAAAATCTCTTGATATGTTTTATGAAGTCTATCTTTAGTCTTAAACAAACTTCTTATTGCAACTTTTTGCAACTTTTCGAAGTTTAAAAACCTATTTTTTTGTCTGTCTCTTCACGCTGGTTTTACCACTTATCTTTTCTGAAACACTGTTGTTTAATATGAGGAAACCTATAAAACAGAAAGTCTGTCAAACAAAAATTGGGAGGATAGAAATAAAAATTCTCATCCAGAAGTCATCTTGGTCACTCTTCTGTTATTATCTTATTTGAAGTAGTTGGCTCTTCCTAACCATGTTATGGTTTATTTCATGGAAATCTTACTTGCTCAATACTTTTTATGTGTGTTTGTAAAATCTGATTTGAAAAATTCAGCATTTATACTGAATTAGCTTTGCAAGTTATAGATTAGCAAAAGAAAGGATTAGTGGTTCACGATGACATCATAAAATTTGAGCGAAATGAATGCAAATGTCTTGGACAAACTGGGCTTTCATGTACATGATTTGCTTTATAATGTGTCTATAGAAGAATGTGGCTAGGCACGGTAGCACATGCCTGTAATCCCAGCACTTTGGGAGGCTGAGGCGGGTGGATTGCCTGAGTTCAGGAGTTTGAGACCAGCCTGGGAAACATAGTAAAACCCTGACTGACTATATCAAAAAATACTAAAAATTAGCCAGGCATGGTGGTGCATGCCTGTGGTCCCAGCTCTTCAGGAGGCTGAAGCAGGAGGATTTCTTCAGCTTGGGAGGCAGAGGTTGCAGTAAGCCAAGATCATGCCTGAACTCCAAACTGGGCGACAGAGTAAGATCCCGTCTAACAACAACCATAACAACAGCAAAAGAATGTGTAATCTCTTATGCTGTTCTGTTCTGGTGCATTCCATTTTGTTTTACGTTGTCTAATCGTGTAGGAAAGGCTGTGTCTTATGGAAGCATATGATTCAGCAAACTTGTACTAGAGGTCTTGGTGAATTTGTGGAAGTGGACATGTTAAAATGAGAATAACTGAAGTATCAACATTTTGAGATATCAGTTAGTTTGTGGTGCCTTTTCAATGATGCCAGCAATGTCAGAATCCAACTTGTAGCACAGGCAATATGAATTAAATTCCAAAGACAGATACATTATGAAAGGGAAAAGTCTTTCAGAATTATTAAGCACACTAATTCTACAAGAGTATCCCTGGAAAGGGCGGCGAATATTTATTATTGTAAAATTTCTGCTTTTAAAATTATTTTCTAATGCCTGAATAGGCAGTTATCTTGCTCTTTCCTTTTCAAAAGCATTCCTATGTGTACAATGTCATAGTTGTTAATAATATACTTTCTTGTGATAGCACTTTATTCTTGTCTCACAGTGTTAATTAGCTTTACAAGTCAGTTTTCTTGAGGCAGGAGCAGTGAATAATACCAATTCATTCAATAAATACTTTTGATGAAGGAATGAATACCTGGATAGTAAATATGCAAATAATGCGGAGGTAAATACACAAAAAATAGAAAAGTTAACAAAAAGCCAAAAGTCCAATTAATACTGTTTTTCCAACATTTGCCTTATTGAGGTATTATGTTAAAGAACATGAGGTGCAGGGAACAGTGGAAAACACACGAATAATGAAGGTTATCAGACCTCACTCCAAACACTGGCTCTGCCACTTGCTGATTTTGTGATACTAGGGTAATTATTAATTCTTTGGTGTTGTCAATTCTCTCATTGGTATGATGTGTAGACTAGCATAGATCTCATTTTTCTCCAATGGGAATTTGATAACATTAAGGTACTTTAAATTTCTCTCTCAAAAACTATTGTTTATGTATGAACATATAGTAGATGTTAAATAAAGGTAAGTCTTTTTACTACTAATTTATCAATTGCTCTATAACTCCTCATTATGGGGATGGCATGATAGATGGACATGATGGTTATACAGAGCTTTAGGACCTACTAAAAATGTAAGTTTCTCTATTAATTTGTTCAATTACATAGTAGACTATTAACTAAATCTATTTACTATATTCATCTTAATTCATATTTTCCTTATCAAGATTATATTTTAAGTGATACAATATTTTTGAATTGTTTATTGTCAGAAACATTTCTACTTTCTACATTTTTAAATCAACTATTATTATTTTTTCAACTTTTTTATAGAGATGGAGTCTCACTACATTGGCCAGGTTGATCTTAAATTCCTGGCCTCAAGCAGTCCTCCCAACGTGTTGGGATTACAAGTGTGAGCCACCACACCCTGCCGTATCATTTTTAAGAGAAATGACATTTTCATGAAGTTTTGAAGTTGCATATGACAGTTTAGAGAATGAGGTAATTTTGACAAGTAAAGTCATTAAAATTGTTAATTTGTAGTTTCACAACCTGTGGCAATTGTAGATTCTTTACTGCTGCTTACATTGTAGATCTATGCTTAATGACTGAAGCATCATCACCTAGAAACACGCTAAGAAAATTGTGACCACCAGAAAGTGTTCTTGACATCCTATCATGATTCATTCAAAGTTGTTCTTCCAACAATCAGATTAAGAGACTAAACAGATTAAACTATGAATCACTGAGAATTTTAGTAATCAGATAAACTTATTCTTCAATTGCTGCTGGCAATATGTAAGAGATAGAAAGTTGATTTGATTTTAAGCATGAAGATAAGTGAAAATGGGAAACAATAGAAAGTATCCTTATTTTACCCAATTGTCTAATTATGCATTATTAAAATGATAGTGCTGATAGGTCTAATTTTTTCTGTCCTCAGTGCTACAATTCTATTAGGTGCCTCCAAAATATTTAGCCTAGATTACATCATTACCTTCTAATATCTCTTACCTTTATTAATGACTTTTTCCACCTGACCCCAATGCACTTCAGCTTAGAGGAATGCCCCACTTCCCATAATAACTATTAAAGTACCTTCACATTAATTTTAAGGCACTGAGTGTCTGACCTCTGCTTACCTCTTCATGCTTCTCACCTAACTTGTATCTGAATCCCAGTTCCCATAAGCCGTATACTAAACTTACTTTATTTCTTTGTATGCACTGTGCTTTCTCTCTGCCTCAAGTCTTCCCATGCTTCTGCTGTGACATTCTTCCCTTCTCAAATTAACCTGGCTACATTCAGATGTCATCTTAGACATCATTTTCTGCACTAGGTGCTAACCCTTGCTTGACCCCATAATTCTGAAACAGATGTTGTTCTTAAAAGCTCCCACAAAACACTGTTTACACTACTGTGTAATTGTCTGTTTAATTATCTGCACCTCTTACCACACAGTAAAAAATTTTATTCACCCTTGACTCTCAAGTCAACAGCATAATGCCTGGCACATTAGTAAAAAAATAGCCATTGAATGAATGAACTCATGAAGGGGCTTTTGGTTTACTTATTTTGGAGGGACAAGAAAACTTTTAAATGGAATGTATTTTTTATTTTTATTGTTACTTCTACAAAACAATGTAAAAGCAGCTAAATATTGATAGCAATGGGAGGCAGATAAATTCCTAGGCAGACAAGCATGGGTCCCCAGAGAAACCTGACCTTCAAGCCAAAGACAGTCTGAAGTCTGAACACCAAACTACCAGTTCTGGATAGAGTCTGTAAACTGGAGTGAGAACTTCCATTCCTGTTTGGTGTGCTGATTGGTCCTGGACGAAGGTCCTGGGCCAAGACTTCACTTCAGCCCTTGATTAGTTCTTTACACTGTTGTACCTCTTTCTGAATGGTGTTTTTTCCCCAAGCCTACCCATCAGCACACATTTCCCCATTCTAAGATCATAAAAACCTTGGACTCAGCCTTGCAGCCAGCAACCCTCTTTTGAGTACCCACTTGATGCTATGAGCTTTCTTTATGTTGCTCAATAAAATTCAGCTCTGACTTATTCTCCAGTGTCTGCGTACCTCATTTCTCTTGGTCATGAAACAAGAACTCGGAACTCAACAAACTGCAAGAGTGGTAACGCTCTCTCCCACTTGCCAAACTACAGGAGTGAAGAAGCCACAAAAATAACACTTTATTGATTATACTTAAAAAAAAACTCAGCTGTCTTTGTTGATATTAAATAATTCCTGGGCTCCAAAATCATTTACAAGTAATAAAGCAAGCCAGAAACAGTAAAATAGCATGGCGTTCAAATTCAACAAATCTGGACTATATTTGTTACCTTTATGTGAAGAACAAAAGTGGATAAATGAAGTTGCCCATGATCACACAAAGAATAAAATTGTTTCACGTTACAAAAATTAAGAAAATTTCAGAAATTAGAGGTAAAAACTTCTGTGGAATACACGGTTGTGATGGAGAGAGGTTCAGAAAAGAAGGGATTGTTTTTGAATGCCTTTAATGGATTACAATTGGGGCCAGATCCCCGACAACACCTGTCCCCTCACCACCAACTTTCCTAGGCAACTGTGTTTACGAAGATGAACCTTGGAGGCTTCATAGGGGAGTAGAGATAAAGAATGGGGCAATATATAATAAGAATGAATAAAACTCAACAGAATACATTGTGTGGAAAGAGTCAGGTTCCCTCACTAAAGACCCACAAGGTGGGTGAGATTATTTCCTGCTGTTCTTACTCCCAATTTTTTCCACTCTTTCTGTCTTCTCACAATAGAGGAGGGGATTTCCTGTTGTGGTAATAGAATGGGTTTAGAGAATAACTGCCAGAAACTAACAATTTGTGAAGAAGAGCACCAACTACAAAACAGAAAGTACAAATTATCTTGCCACTTGACAAACCAGGTCCATCCACCCTTAAGAAATGTTTCTCCTTTTTAAAAAACTTTTTTAGTAATTAAAAAAATTTATTATTATTATTATCTTTTAAACTTTTATTTTAGGTTCAGGGGAACATGTGCAGGTTTGTTACATAGATAAATTTGTGTCACAGTTTGTTGTACAGATTATTTCATCACCCATGTGCTAATCCCAGTACCCAGTAATTATTTTTTCTGATCCTCTCCCTTCTCATGCCCTTCTCCCTCAGGTAGGCCCCAGTGTCTACTGTTTCCCTCTTTGTGTCCGTGACTTCATCATTTAGCTCCTACTCATAGATGAGAATATGTGGCATTTGATTTGCTGTTCCTGCATTAGTTTGCTAAGTTTGATGGCCTCCATCCATGTTCTTGCAAAGAATAAGATCTCATTCTTTTTTATGGCTGCATAGTATTCCATGGTGTGTATGTACCACATTTTCTTTACCCAATCTGTCTTTGATGGGCATTTAGGTTGATTTCATGTCTTGGCTATTGTGAATAGTGTTGCAATGAACATTTGCCTGCTGTGTCTTTATGGTAAAACAATGTATTTCCTTTAGGTATATACCCATTAAAGGGATTACTGGGTCAAATGGTAGTTCTGTTTTCAGCTCTTTGAGGAATCACTGCACTACTTTCCACAATGGTTGAACTAATTTACACTTCCACCAAGAGAGTGTAAACATTCTCTTTTCTCCACTGCCTTGCTTTGCTAGGATTAGTTATTATTTGACTTTTTAATAATAGCCATTCTGACTGGTGTGAGATGGTATCTCATTGTGGTTTTGATTTGCATTTTTCTAATGATTAGTGATATTAAACTTTTTTCCATATGCTTGCTGGATACATGTAAGTCTTCTTTTGAAAAGTGTTCATGTCCTTTGCCCAATTGTAATTAGGTTGTTTTTTTTGTCTTACAAATGTGTTAATTGCTATAGATGCTGGATATTACACCTTTGTCAGATGCATAGTTTGCAAATATTTTCTCCCATTCTGTGTGGTTGTCTGTTTACTCTGTTGAACTTTCTTTTGCTGTGCAGAAGCTCTTTAGTTTAATTAGATCCCATTAGTCAATTATGCTTTTCTTATGATTAATTTTGGCATCTTCATCATGAAATATTTTCCAGTTCCTATGTCCAGAAAGGTATTGCTTAGGTTGTCTTTCAAGATATTTATAGTTTTGGGTTTTACATTTGAGGCTTTAATTCATCTTGAGTTGATTTTTGTATATGGTGTAAGGAAGAGGTCCATTTTCAATCTTCTGCATATGGCTAGCCAGTTACTTCAGTATTTATTGAGTAGGAAGTTCTTTCTGTATTGCTCGTTTTTGTCAACTTTGTCAAAAATCAGATTGTTGTAGGTGTGCAGCCCTATTTCTGGGCTCTCTATTCTGTTCCATTGGTTTATCTGTCTGGTTCTATAGCAGTACCATGCTATTTTCATTGCTGTAGCCCTGTAGTATAGTTTGAAGTTGGGTAACATGCTGCTTCCAGCTTTGTTCTTTTTGCTTCAGATTTCCTTCAATATTCAGGCTCTTTTTTTGGTTCCATATAAATTTTAAAATAGACTTTTTAAACTCTGTGAAGAATGTCAATGGTAGTTTGATAGGAATGATATTGAATCTGTAAACTGTTTTGGGCCATATCATCATTTTAATGATACTGATTCTTCTAAACTATGAACATGGAATGTTTTTCCATTGGTTTATGTCATCTCTGATTTCTTAGAGCAATGTTTTGTAATTATTGTAGTGATATTTTACCTCCCTGGTTAGCTGTATTCCTAGGTATTTTATTCTTTTTTGTGGAAATTGTGAATGGAATTGTGCTCCTGATTTGGCCCTTGGCTTGACAGTTGTTGGTTTATAGGAATGTTAGTGATATTTTGTACATTGATTTTGTATCCTGAAGTTATTTATTAGCAGCTGAAGTTGTTGTTTATTAGCAGAAGGATCTTTTGGGCTGAAACTATGGGGTCTTTTTGATATAGAATCATGTCATCTACCAACAGGGATAGTTTGACATCCTCTTTTCCTATTTGGATTTCCAGGATTTCCAATACCATGTTGAATAGGAGTGGTGAGAGAGGGCATGCTCATCTTATGCCAGTTTTCAAGGGGAATGCTTCTAGCTTTTGCTTATTCAGTATGATATTGGCTGTGGGTTTGTCATACTAAGAAGACTCATTATTTTTAGGCATTTTCCTTCAATACCTAGGTTTTTTTTTTAGAGTTTTAACATGAAGTGATGTTGAATGTTATCAAAAGCCTTTTCAACATCTATTGAAATAATCGTGGTTTTTGTCTTTAGGTCTGTTTATGTGATAAATCACATTTATTGATTTGCATATGTTGAACCAACCTTGCATCCCAGTGATCGTGGTAGATAGCTTTTTGATGTGCTGCTGTATTCAGTTTGCCAGTATTTTGTTGAAGATATTTTGCATCAGTGTTCATCAAAGTTATTGGCCCAAAGTTTTCTTTTTCTATTGTGTCTCTGTCAGGTTTTGGTATACAAATGATTTTGGCCTCACAGAATGAGTTGGGGATGAATCCCTCCACCTGAATGTTTTGAAATAGTTTCAATAAGAATGGCACGAGCTCTTCTTTGTACATCCAGTAGAATTCAGCTGTAAATTCATCTGGTCCCAGGCTTTTTTTGGCTGGTAGGCTATTTTTTACTGATTTAATTTTGAAGCTCATTATTGGTATGTTCAGGGAATCAATTTTTTCCTGGCTCAGTCTTGGGAGGGTATATATGTCTAAGAATTTATTCATCTCTTCTAGGTTTTCTAGTTTGTGTGCACAGAGGTATTTGTAGTAGTCTTTGAGGATTATTTGTATTTCTGTAGGGTCAGTGGTAACATCTCCTTTGTCATTTCTAATTTTTTATTTCAATATTCTCTCTTCTTTATTAGTGTAGCTAGTGGCCTATCTTATTTATTTTTTCAAAAATCGAACTCCTGGATTCCTTGATCTTTTGGATGGTTTTTTGAGTCTCTTTTTTTTTTTTTAGTTTGGCTCTGATTTTGATTATTTCTTGTCTTCTGCTACCTTTGGGGTTGGTTTGCTCACCCTTAAGAAATTGTCAACTTTCTAGATACTTAATTTTAAAAAGTCATCAGACATTTTGAAGTGAAAGACTCTAAATAAAGGGAGAAGTTAGTGCAAACTGTGAGAAACATTAAGCAGAGAGCATTTCAAAGAAAGTTTAATTATCAGAGGGATAATATAATATATTGCATTGTGAAAAAGAATGAGCTTCTACAAAAAGAAATGATAGAAAATAAGAAATATTAATCAGCACTTAAAATCATGAAAGCTGAAATTTGATAAAATTAGCGACAGGTTGCAAGTTGAAGTTTATCTCCCAAAGAGTATAATAAAGTGAAGAGTTGAGAAGATAGAAATTTTAGAAAATTAAGGAAGCATTCACAAAGTTAGAGGAAATTTCCAATAAAATATTACAAAAATATTTACTGGAACTCGAGGACATAAAACTCAAGATAGAAAAAGGCTTCCAAGTTCAAATATTACAAAATAAAAACAAATGCAGGATTTAATATAATTTTTAAAGTTTAGATATCCAAGAATAAGCAGCCAATTCCAGAATTTTCCAGGGTAAAAACAAGATCATGATAAAAGAATCAAGTACAGTGTTAAATTCCTCAACAACATTGAGAATCAAGTTTGATCCCTCCCCCCTCCCTCCCTCCCTCCCTTCCTTCTTTCCTGCCTTCCTCCTTCTTCCTTCTCTCTCACTCTGAAACTGCAGTATGGGAATCAGGTTTGACTGGAGCGCTGCCTTCATAAGTCTGAGGTGAAATTATTTTAATCTTAAAACCTTAAAACTACAGAAACCTTAAACCTAGGAAAAGAAAGAAATAAAGCTAATTTCAGAAAAATGAATTATCAAAAATTTATTCCCTAGTACCCTTCTTGAAAAACTCTTAAAAGATGGCTTGACAAAAAGTGAGATTAAATGAATAGAAATAAATCTAGGGGTTCTCGAAAATAATATGTGGGACTATACAACTGTAATAATAACAAAGAATCAATAGATAATATCAAAATAATATTAATGATTGACTATAGGAACATTGAAATTATAAATAAATAGAAAAGTAAAAGCCAGCCCCTCTCTTGAACAATTTTTTAAAAGGGTTGAAAGCAGTGGACTGAAAAGCAGAATCCAATTTCCTTGTGTGAAAGAGGGGAATGGAGAACCGAAATAATGCTCTGTTATAAGCTTTTAAACAAAAGTTTGCATTTAAAATATATACTTGTTAATATAAAAATAAAAATTAATTACAAATAAAATCATTCTTGTCATTTTTCCTTTAGTATTCAAAAGAGTCAGAAATAATATAAAGACATGATGGTTTCTAAAGAAAACCTCAAAATCCATGCAAGTAATTACAGTCCCAGTACTCCATACCTTTAAAACACAGCAAGTAGCTAGGCACAGTGGCTTATGCTTGTAGTCCCAGTACTTCAGAAGGTCGAGGCAGGAGCTCCACTTGAGTCCAGGAGTTCAAGACCAGTCAGGCCAAATATAGCAAGAGCCCATTTCTAAAAAAAGAAAAAAAAATGCAGCATGTTAACAAATAGTAAAAGTTAAAATTTCCAGAATGTTGTTTTCTGTGATGTAGTTGTTGATTAATAAAGCTTACACGACTTCTTTTGTTGAATATATTAATAAAATTCCTTTGACTCAGGTATTTTACTTTTGATATAAGAATTCCATTAACTCCTGAGAAAACTGTAAATTCAATTAATATTTAAAACTATATATTGAATGGATTTTGAATATAGCAAAAGTAATCTTGAATTTTATCTGTTAATTGTGCATAAAAACCTAACATTTTCAACATTAACTTCAATGACTTTGATGCAGCAGTGGACTGTCTGGAGCGGCTGCTGCAAAGATTCCAGCTGCAGTGGGGGGAGCCGCGGCCATGGCTGTACGTTCTGTGGAGTCCGTGGGAGCTGGGAACAGGCGGGAGCCCCGCCCCTTTCAGAGTTGGCAGGGTAGGAGCCGGGTCCATGCTCCCAGTCACAGTTGCAGCCACCCAGCCATGGCTGCGGATCCAGGCATCCCTGTGCTCTTGGGGGCCTGGGAAGCCCCTCTGCCCTGCAGGCTTGAAAGTGCCTGCTCCCACTGCCTGGCCTCTCCCAGCTCCCAGAACCCACTTCGATTCTGGAGCAAAGTTGTGGCCAACCTTGGGTGCTGTCCAGGTGTGCACACACTTGGGGTGGTGCTGACACACCACCCTCCTGTTGCCTCGGCTGCCTCTGGATTTTGGGCAGCAATGAGCATGGGAGAGAGGCTGAAGTGGCCTGAGGGCAGCTCAGCATAGGCCTGCAGGTTCCCCTCCACGGGGAATGGCCTGGGCACTGGGGATGGCAGGCTGATGGTGGCGGGAGGCAGACAGGCTCCTGGACAGAAAAGCACAGGTCACTGGTGAAGCCCCAACTTCAGGCTTGAGAAGACCTGGAGCTGGGAGCTAGGCTGCCAGTTCCATGAACCAAAGTGAGAAGATATGGTGCTTTTTCAGGGCCCACCCATAGCCTCCCATAGACAAATCAGCATGTACTTCCTCCCATTTAAAGCCCATAATAACCCTGGACTCAGCCAGATTCAGGTAGATGATGGAACATCCTGCCTGTGGAGAAGAGCTACCTACTGTGGGCCTCCTCTCTGCTGAGAGCTGTACACTCATCAGGAGGACCTGCCTGCAGAAAGGAGCTATCCAGTCTCAGACTCCTCTCTAGGGAGGGCTACACACTTGATGCAATCTCCTCTCTGCTGAGAGCTGCACTCATCAGGACAATCTTCCTGAAGAAAGAGAGAACTACTTTGGGTCTCCTGAGAGCTGTACTGTTGCTTAATAAAGCACCTCTTTGCCTTGCTCACCCTCCAATTGTTCATGTACCTCACTCTTCCTGGATGTGGGACAAGAAATTGGGACCTGCCAGACTGAAAGAGCTGTAACACAAACAGGGCTGAAACACCTCCCTGCCTCATCACATTACAGGCAATGAGAAAAATAAGAGAGGAGGAGAGAAGAGCTGCAGCCCTTCAGGGAGCCCAGACTTAGGAGCTCCCTAAGCCAGGGCAGTGACGCTGTCTTTGGGGCTCTGCAGTTCCTTGTATCTCCAAGTTTCTGGGCACCACTGCATTCCCTGGTGCTGGCACCAGTGCTGGTGCCTGTAGCTGCCTGACCCACCACAGCCAGCGTGCCTGGCTGTGCACAGTGGCCAGACCCCACACTTGCTTACTCACATACCCCCTCATTCTGTGCCTGGCTTACCTTTGGCAGGCATGGGATCTAGGTTGGTAGTGAAAGCCAAGCACAGTCTGCCAGCCCATGTGGGCAGAACAAGCCCAGCGGGCCCAAGCAAAACTTGGGCAAAGGGGCCACTGGTGACAGACATTTCCAGCTGGTAAAGCAACATCCTAAGGATCCCGTGACAACTTGAGACAGGCTTATATTTAAAAATCTCATTTCTACATAATTCAACATAGTTAAAATTCTAAACTTGTCATTATATATATTTATATATACACACACATATATATGTATGTATGTATATAAATTATATATATACACACACATCTAAAGGAGAGTATAATGGAGAGAATTTAGTAATTTAAAAATGTAAACAGCAGTGTAAATCAGGAACACCAGTAATGCATGTTTTCTAAACCAAGGTAAATTTTAAGCCACATGCTCTTCTGCTCCTAGAGGGACATTTATAATATTCTTAATAACAAGACAGAATAATTCCACTTTTCACAGCAAAGAAGCATTCTATAAAAGACTGTGCCACATATATTTCAGGGTTCATTGCCTGAAAGTGGAATGTAACAAAGTGCAATATCTTGAGGCAAATTTATTCAAACCAAAGGAAACTTATACTTCCTCCATTGCATTAATGTCTTTTATCAAAGAACAAGTTGAATCAACTGTCTCCCACTTCAACCCTCCAACTGCTGATTTTAGGTTCCACACAGGGTGAAATATTTTGATTACAGTGAGGGCTACTTATATCACAACACTACCACAAATAATAATGGCTTATTTCCTTATGTGTGTGACAGAGACAAAGAATAATTTTGGGTGGTGAATTGCTTTAATAAATGGCTCATAGAAACAGATGTCATAGAAGTCACCTTACCTTGGGCAACTTTTTTCCCTCCACCATTACTTCTACAAACTAAGCTGGAGAAATATCCATTTAATTATCCATTGTAACCCATCAAACCACTTTGTACTAAGAAATTGTTTGTGAACTTTAGAGAAACTTAAGTTGTTATTGTTATTGCCTTTTGATTGTTATAGCAGAAGAAAAATACAAATTAATGATTTGATATAATAACACATATGACAAACTATTTCACCCTTCTAGCATTATTGTTAAAAAAAAATAATGGCTATGGAGATGTTGGTATACCATTCTATGTAGTTTGTATTTTATCCTGTTATTTTTGTCAGGAGCTAATAGAATAGAAAGGACTAGGATTTGAGTTCATATATCACTAATTTTCTCTGAAATATCTATTCCCTCTTTTTTCCTTCAGTAACAGAAAACCCCTGCCCACACCCTAGCCTTTTAAAGTGGGTTATTGGCTGAAAAGTCAGAAGACTACTTCTTTGCCTCTCTTTACCCAGATATATTTATGAAATTAGATTTGTGACAATGGGATATGAGCAAAAATTGACATGTATAAGTTTCAAACGATGGCCTTAAAAAGCAGTTGCTCACCTCCACTCCCTTTCCCCCTTCCTAAAGACTGTAATGTTATGCTGGTCATAGTGAATCAACTATAATCATGTATATGAATCCCATTCCTGAGAAGAATGCAGAGCAAGAAGACAAGGAATTTATGTCCCTTGGTTAATTCTGGAAGGAAAAGCCTGACTTTTTCTGGACTATTCACCAACTCCCGAATTGTTGTGTAAGAAAGATATTAATATCTACTTTCTTAAACCTCTATATTTGGAGGGGTAGGCTATTGGTTACAGAAACTTAGTGCATACCCTGTGCATAAAAAAAAAACAAAACTAGCAATAAGATGCATGGGGAATAAAATCCTAACCTATGTGACACTGGCTTCATAACCAGGGACTGGGAAGCAATAAAAGAAATAGCACAGAATGGAACTCTTCTGATCCTGTTCACGTTGTGGGGAGCATTAAGTAAAATAACCTCCTATGACAATTGGAATGCAGGTCACATTTATACAGAATCTGTAGCTCTAGAAATGGCTAGAAATATATTAGACCATCATTCTTATTTTTCCACAGCCTCACCAGCATCTATTGTTTCCTGACTTTTTAATAATTCCCATTCTGACTGGCATGAGATGGTATCTCATTGTGGTTTCGATTTACATTTCTCTAATGACCAGTGATGATGAGCTTTTTTTCATATGTTTGTTGGCCACATAAATGTCTTCTTTTGAGAAGTGTCTGTTCATATCCTTTGCCTACTTTTTGATGGCATTGTTTGTTTTTTTCTTGTAAATTTGTTTCAGTTCCTTGTAGATTCTGGATATTAGACCTTTGTCATATGAGTAGATTGCAAAACTTTTCTCCCATTCTGTAGGTTACCTGTTCACTCTAATGATAGTTTCTTTTGCTGTGCAGAAGCTCTTACACTGTTGGTGAGAGTGTAAATTAGTTCAACCATTGTGGAAGACAGTGTGGCGATTTCTCAAGGATCTAGAACCAGAAATACCATTTGACCCAGCAATCCCATTACTGGGTACATATCCAAAGGATTATAAATCATTCTACTATAGAGACACATGCACATGTATGTTTATTGCGGCACTATTTACAATAGCAAAGACCTGGAACCAACGCAAATGCCCATCAATGATAGACTGGATAAAGAAAATGTGGCACATATACACCATGGAATATTATGCAGCCATAAAACAGAATGAGATTATGTCCTTTCCAGGGACATGGATGAAGCTAGAAGCCATCATTCTAAGCAAACTAACACAGGAACAGAAAACCAAACACTCATGTTCTCACTCATAAGTGGGCATTAACAATGAGAACACATGGACACAGGGAGAGGAACAACACACACTGGGGCCTGCCAGGGGGTGGAGGGCAAGGGGAGGGAGAGCATTAGGACAAATACCTAATGCAAGCAGAGCTTAAAACCTAGATGACAGGTTGATAGGTGCGGCAAACCACCATGGCACATGTATACCTATGTAACAAACCTGCACATTCTGCACATGTATCCTGACACTTAAAGGGAAAAAATATATATTAGAATATCTCTGTTTGTTGCTTTTAATTCTGTAGCTCTTAACAAGGTAACATGATAAATATGAGCTCAGAAAGGAATTAATTTCAAGCAGAAAGAGCAAGGAATATTGTCCTACTGTAGAGACTTCTTTCTGATCATATCAATATAAACTGACCAAGGATTAAATTATGTGGGGTTTTTCAGTGTTGTAATGACCACCACTGCTTAACCTCCAACAGCATGACAATTGAGGCCTCAAGCTTGTTTCAGAGTTTCCATTTAAATGTCCCTTGTTACCTAGTGCTAACGGGAATTAGCCTAGTGGCAAGTATTAGATTCATGTTGTTCCATTTTTAAGAATATATTGGTAGAGATCACATTAAGGTAATCACAAATAGCCTGAAGGAGAAGGATATTCTGGAACATAGAGATGCAAACCATGTAAAAACCATGTCTAGAAGTATTTGTCTATAGGTACTGGTACAAGAAACTAACTGGAAGCATAAAAAAAAAATCCTACAAAGTTGAAGCATGTGGTCAAAGAAACCACATCCTGGCTAGAAAACGTCTATGTCCTTTCAAGCCCCAAAGAAAAATTAGTACTATAAATTCTGTGCCAGCACAAAGCTGGGCAGGCCTTAGTAGGGCATACCTTCCAATACCAACATTAGTAATGGCCATAGAAAATAATAAATGAGGAGATCCTTCCAAAGGGCAGAGCCCAGGACCATGAATCCAAAGCAGAGAAAGTTATGTCCAGCATGCAAAAATTAAAGTGGCAGATGGACTTAGGAGTTGCCAAAGAATGATCTTCACGATTTTTGCCAAGTACAATTTGATAACTACTATAGAAGAATGATTATTATGTATTCTTCATTCCTCTTTTTCTGAATGAATAATGTCATTATTCTGCTCCTACTCTACTGTGATATATTGAGCATATAGGCGAGCAAATAAATCCATGTGTTTACGTACAGGTTGCTGTAACACAAGGAGCCACATTTGATGTACTGGAAAGACGCTCATTCAGAGATCCGGGACTGACTTTGAGCTGGGTACAGAATAGGATTTTGAGCTATTTTCCTAGAGCGTGTCAGTATTTTGGGGGATATGTTTTGTGCATGAGAAAAAGGATACTCATCTTTTCATGATTTTTTCTTATGAAAATGGAATGGCCATCAGCTAGAGACAGTATTCCTTAACTTTTTGCTAGCATTCGAGTTTTGCTGTGTGATTAAGTTCTGATCAAAAGTAAGGAGCAGATATGTGTGCAAATTATAGGTCAGGTCTTAATAGGGAGCTGCCTAATCTCCATTCTCTTTTTCTGTCTTCCTGTTGTCAGGAATAAAGGCATGGTGATATGAATGAAGAGGCACCCTAATGAACAGTGAACAGCAAAGTACTTAGGACCAAAGTTGCTAGATTGCCCTGGAGCAGAAAAACCTATCTTCCCTATTGTTGGAAAAAGAAATGAATTTTTATCTTTTATCTTCTTACTAATATATGAGAGAATAAATATGAGCAGATTTACAATTTAGAATTATACCCTTATTATTCTAGAATGTTATCTGTGGCCTGCATGACAGACTAGAAAGAGATCGAGGGTCCAATTAGATGTGTAGAAATAGTCCTTGTAAAAAGAGATGGCATAAAAATGTAACACAATGGCAATAGCAATAAAGATGGTGAATCTGCTTTGACAGATGTTTGAGAAGTAAAAGTGACCACACACCTTAAACTAATTAAATATGAAAATAGAGAAATGGAGTAAGTCTTAGATAAGTCCTAAATTTTTCAGTTAATGCCTGTGATATGCTAGGAACTTGGTTATTTGCTGTGAGTAAAGAAACGAAAAAGCCCCATTAAAGAAATGTATAACTTTGCTTAGAAGACAAGAACATTTTATTTTTTGTATATGTTTCTATGTGTGTATACATGTGTATGGGTATATGTGTGTGTATATACAGGTAATATTTGTTTAATTATAAGTGAAGAACAGTCTGTAATGGCTATCAGCTTTCAGGAGAGAAAGCCATCTTATTACAGGAGGGGACTTCATAAAGAATATTCTCCTTAGCCAATCATAAAATGATGAATCAAATTTAGATAGAAAACAGACGGAAAAGATAAACTAGCCATATGATTAGTGGTTAATTTTAGCCATTTAGAAAGCCCAGTTATGTTCAGTTCAGACTTAAAGAAGAAAAGAACCCCCACAAAAGCCCCAGTTTGAAAACTTGTATTTGTCAGAGATTGACCATTTTTTAATCCATGAGTTATTTCTTTTAAATAGTTTATACAGATAAAAAATTATTTTTCTTGTTAACATATATAAGCATGCACACAAATGTATTAACTAGAATAATTTGTATATATTTCTATTCTATTATATATTTCATATAACATATCCTATTACATAATACATAGTACATATTTCATTTCTGAATATTTAAATTCTTAAATTTTATAACCACATAGGTTAAAAAAGTAAATTTCTTCAGGTGACTGGTTTAGGTTTATTTTAACATTTGGCACGATGCTTACCACGGTGTGGACCATTACCAAAGATCTTTAAATATCAAACTGTCGACGTGTTTCTTTATTCTGCTTCCATCGGGATAGTGAAAGATTCTTTACATTGTATTTTAAAGACTTAATAATGTAATGATGTGTGCAATTTATTGAATGCTTATTACATGTCAGATCTTGTTCTAATAACATTATGTTCATTCATTTAAGAAAGAAAGACAAAAGAGTGGGAAGAAGGAAGGAATGAAGGAGGGAGGGAGGGAAGGAATAAGGAGGGAGAGTGGGAGAAAACAAAGCAAGGGAAGGGAAGGGAGGAAGGAGGGAAGATAGGTAGGTAAAGGTGTGTTTCATAAGATTATCTCATAAGATTCTAAGATTTGGGGGTGACTATGCATTCTTCAATGTTTGCAGTAATCACACAATTGACATTGCTGACATGTGTATTCTGAAATCCCCAAAAGAGAAACACATTCATTGTTCTATTATTTTTATCATCTTTCCTATGAATTCACTCTGTCTTTAGAGTATGTGTAGATAATGCAGTCTCTTAGTAATTCCCCTCCCAACTCAGCACCTCCATCTGTATTCTCTCTGTATTCACCCTCTACTTCTACCACTCTATTTTCTTCACTATTTTTCTCTCTCCTACCAGTTATGATCCGCCTATAAAAATATAAAATCCTTCTATATCTCCACTTCTGTAGCACAACTTTGTCCCCAACCCCTTTCCCATAAGGTATTATTAGCCTGCTAAACCAGGATAAGGATTCTAAGGCAAATCAGACAATGTCAGCATATTCTACAGAGGCTTTGAGAAAAGGAAAAGAGACCAATGAACATTTATGAGTTAAATTTTGTATTATTCCTAACACAATTATAAGCGTGCTATGCAAAAACTTCTGGAAATAAAACTTTTTATAACTTGAGGATTTAGTGTCCAGGGCATTCATAACATTAAAATCATCTGACTGTAGAAAGTTGTTAATAAATCCCTGAAGGTATATCCCATATTCTGGGAAACCGAGCACATACAATAGCAAGCAGTGTAATTCTATCTGGTTCCAGTAATTGCACCAATTTGTTTGAAAGATAGAAATGTGCCCTTTACTCTAAGAAAAACAAAATTGAACATCTATACTCAGTGCCTGTAGCCGATTGACTTTGTTCTGGGGAAGATCTTTTCAAAATCTAATATTGCCCAAAGATATCAGCACTGTCCACTTTGCTTCTGTAAATGCTCAGTCATTTGCTAAGGTTTTTTTTTGTTCAGTAGAATTCCTTCATCATTTGCTAATTTAACAAACATTTATTGCACCTCGATTCTCAAGTGTATTAATCCATTCTCATGCTGCCATGAAGAAATACCCGAAACTGGGTGATTTATAAAGAAAAGTGGTTTAATTGACTCACAGTTTTGCATGGATGGTAGCCCTCAGGAAACTTACAATCATGGCAGAAGACACCTCTTCACAGGATAGCAGGAGAAAGAATAAGTGCCAAGCAGAAGGGGAAGGCCCTTGTAAAACCATCAGCTCTAATGAGAACTCAGCCACTATCACGAGAACACCATGGGGGTAACCACCCCCATAATTCAATTATCGCCACCTGGTCCCACCCTTGGCACATGGGGATTATTACAATTCAAGGTGAGATTTGGGTGGGGATACAGAGAAAAACCCTATCAAGAATGTTCTAGACATTATACCTGCTTCTAGGAATACTAATGTATATTAGATAACACGGCTTTGTTTCCTGTAAATTTATGATCTTTACATGTGTAAATATATATGGATCACAGCATGAAACAAGAGGCTCAATAGAAGTATATTCAGGGTAGGAAGAGAAACAAAAAGGAAACACTGGGCTGGGCGAGGTGGCTCACGCCTGTAGTCCCAGCACTTTGGTAGGCCGAGGTGGGCAGATCACAAGGTCAGGAGATCGAGACCATCCTGGCTAACACAGTGAAACCCCATCTCTGCTAAAAATACAAAAACAAAATTAGCCGGGCGTGGTGGCAGGCGCCTGTAGTCCCAGCTACTTGGGAGGCTGAGACAGGAGAATGGCCTGAACCCCAGAGGCGGAGCTTGCAGTGAGACGAGCCTGGGCGACAGAGCGAGACTCCATCTCAAAACAAAAACAAACAAACAAACAACAACAAAAAACTAAACAAAGAAAGAAACAAAAAAACAAAGAACACTGAGTTCAATCCATGAAATGCAAGAAGACAACAGAATGCTAAATTTTGAAGTTTAGTAGATATTTGACAAGTGAAAATCATAGGAGGTCATTCTCAGTAGAGAGAATATCATCAGACAGTGTGCATGTAAACCAGCATAATATATAGGGGAACTGCAAGTCTAACTAGAGCACATAGTCTCAGCTGTTAGAGGATATCAGACAGTTTTGTAAGAAATCTTTACTTTGATTTAATTTTGGTTAAGGCATTTTACATTACTCCCAACACTTTGAATTTTGAATTCATCTTACTTTCTAGGTGTCATGTATTAATATTAACAATTTTCTCATTATGGATCCAAAAGAAGAGGAACCCATGGAAATTCCTTAGAGAATTCTATGTTTTTGTCATTCTTTTTCTTTTATGTTTTAAGCAAATAAATATTTATTGCTTACTACAATCCAGCCATTATATGTATTTCTTCATATATCGTATTGGAGCCAAAAACATATGAAAATATCATAGTGCAATCATTGATAATTTGTTTATTTTCTACTGAGCTAACAAATGCAAAAGAATACAATTTAAAATCTCAAATTTCAATGTTAACAGGTTACAATAAATATAGGACAATGTTTCATTAAGATGTGATCTCACCTTACATATGAATTTATCCATATTTTCAAAGTATTTCAATGGAATTAGACATGGATTGCATATCCTTGAAAACTAGGCATATCTAAAACATTTTGAGGGTATTAATAAAAATGTTTCAAACTTATAATAAATGTGTACACAATCCCTCATGTTTACATAGATTGGTTATAGAGAAACGATAGATAAATAGATGGATGGCTGGATAGATAGATGTAAATATAAATATATAGATATCCAGATAGTTGAGACTATTAGTTATCTGTCCATACAGCTTATTTTTATTTTTGTTTATCTATTTTCTTTGAGACAGGGTCTCACTCTGTTGCCCAGTCTAGAGTGAAGCAGAGTGATCATGGCTCACTGCAGCTTCAACCTCCTGGGCTCAGCCTTCTGAGTAACTAGGTCTACAGACATATGCCACCAAGAACCAGGTGATTTTCTTTTTCTTTTTGTAAAGATGGTGTCTTGCTATATCCCAGAGGCTGGTCTCAGACTCCTGATCTTAAAGAGTCTGCCAGCTTTGGCCTCACAAAGTGCTGAGATTACTATACTTTTAGTAATAAAACCTCCTGAAATTTAGATGGATGCCATCCAGCTAGAAATATACTGTACTTTCCAGTCTTCTTCCAGCTACGTACAACCACATGCCCCAGTTCAGGCCAGTGTGAAGTTAGCAGCCATGCCCTTTAAAAAGCCCACGTACCCTCATACCCTCCACTTCCACTTTCCTCCTTTTTCATATCCAAGATGTGGAAAAGAATGTGATTAGCCAGTGTTAGCCAAGCAGAGAAAAACAGCAGGGTTTGTGGGGAGGGTGAAACAACACAATATAGGGGACTTGCGACCTGGAGGATGACCAGGAGAAGCTGTGCTCATCATCTCTATAGAGTAGCTCAGCATTTTATTTTTTACAGCTTTATTGAAATATAATTTACAGAAATGAAATTCACCCTTTCATTGTACAGTTTGATAAGCTTTGATAAATGCACGCAGTTGTGCAACCACCATCAACATCAAGTTTTGGAACACTCCCATCACCCCAAAAAGTTTCCTTATGTCCCTTTGTAGTAAATCCCTTCCCTCAGCCCAGCTTCAGGCAACTGCTGCTACATCCCTAGTTTTGTCTTTCATAAAATCTCATATGAATAGTATCATACTGTATGTAACATGATGTTTTTAAGATCTATCCATATTGTTTCACCTATAACTATTTTGTTCCTTTTTGCTGTTGTGTAGATTCCATTGTATGAATATATCCACTCCCCTTTTTTTAATCCATTCACCAGATGATTGGCATTTGGGTTGTGTCCATTTGGAGGCTATTAATAATGATTTTAGGGAGATTTGTGAGCAAGTCTTTGTAGAAACACATGCTTCGTTTCTTTTTGATAGGTAATTAAGAGAAATTTCTGGGTCACATTGTAAATATATGTTTACATTTTCACTATCTGACAAACAGTTTTCCGAAGTAGTTGCAGCATTTCACATTCCCTATAGCAATATATGAAAACTTCAGTTTTTCTAGTTTGCCAGCTTTGGTATTATCAATCTTGTGTGTGTGTGTGTGTGTGTGTGTGTGTGTGTGTGTGTGTGGCTGTTCTTATGTGTTTGTAGTGCTATTTCATCATGGTTTTAATTTATACCTCCCTAATGACTACTGATTTTGAGCCATTTTTATATACTCATGGCTCTTCAAATCTTTTGTTGCTGGGTATGGTGGCTCGTGCCTATAATCCCAGCGACTAGAGAGGCCAAGGTGAGAGGATCGATTGAGTTCAGGAGTTAGAGTCTGCAGTGAGGGTAACAGAGTGACACTTCCATCTCTAGAACACAAAAATAAAAGTGAATTTTTAAAATTCTTTGATCAATTTTAAAATTGGGTTGTCTTCTGTTTTTTTTTTTTTTTTTTGAGACGGAGTCTTGCTCTGTCACCCAGGATGGAGTGCAGTGGCGCGATCTCGGCTCACTGCAAGCTCCGCCTCCCGAGTTCACGCCATTCTCCTGCCACAGCCTCCCGAGTAGCTGGGACTACAGGTGCCTGCCACCATGCCTGGCTAATTTTGTCTTTGTGTTTTTAGTAGAGACATGGTTTCACCGTGTTAGCCAGGATGGTCTCGATTTCCTAAACTTGTGATCCGCCCACATCGGCCTCCCAAAGTTCTGGGATTAAAGGCGTAAGCCACCTCGTCCGGCCAAAATTGAGTTGTCTTCTTATTAAACTGTAAGTACTTTTCACATAAAAAAAATCTTTTGCCATATTCATAGATATATAGTCAGAGATATATGTCTGTTATATGACATAGTAATATACATACATATAGGTAGATATAGAAACATCTATATACTACTACAATGGAATTGTCAGATACTTTCTCCCAATATAAAGCTTGTCTCTTCATATACTTGCATCTTTAAATCAGCAAGGGTTTTAAGTTTTGAGAAAGTTCTCTTTATCTGACCACCTCTACCTTTTATTTTAGGAAGAAATAAAATCCCTCTTTTGTTAAAACTTCATTTATTTTAGTCTCATTGGATGTCTTTTCTTCACTCTACATTGGTGATATCTTAAAATCATGACATCAGTAAGTTTTCCCCTCAGAAAAAGACAATATTTCTAATATTTTATGAACATCTCCAACAGGATGTTCATTAGGTATATCCCCACCAATCTGCTAAAAACTTCCAGCTTCTTCCCTTTGCTTTCATATGCTTTTGTAAATGATTTCTTTAATGAATTTTGTTTGAAAACAACCAAATTAATTTTCTTCCTCATTGCAATATATTGGGAACATTAGTTTTACATAGATCTGAAATATATCCTGTTTTTAATTCCCACTGACACCAGCATCGCATCATCTAACATTGCCTTACCTCAAATGTGCATCCTTGGCTAAGTCTGTTATCTTGTCCTGATATATGACTACTTCTCAGGGCATCCCAGATAGTATTGTTTGGTTGGTCTTGTGAAACCACAATTAAACCACATGACTCATGTTAATAGGATTTAAACACTACTCATAGCCTGTAAAATTAAATTTGAATTACTCCTATAAGCATTGTGTTTAAGCATCTGTTCTATGTCTCATATTGAAACACTTCTTTTTGAGTCGTGTGGTACCACATATTCTTGTTTTCTTTGTTCTCTTACATGAATGGCAACTCCTTTTCAATCTTTTTTCATTTTACACACTCTGTCTAAATCATCTACTTTATTCTCATGACATTTAGTTTATCAATATGCTAAAAGTTTCAAATAAGTATCTCTAGCCTGATCCTCTAGAAGGGCACACATTTGATTGCCTACTTGTCATTCCTATGTCAATTTCTTATCAATATGTAAGAACTAAGTTGACCAAAAAGAGCATTTTTCTTTTTCTTTGATATGTTTGTTTCCCTCTCCAACTGATTCTTACTGCAGTAAATAATACCACCAACTTACCATTTTCTGAAACCAGAAACCCATATTTATTGTTGGTTTTATTCTTCTATCTCAGCCCCCAAAGCCCATTTATCAGTACATTTATTTTCATATATGCTGCCACCAATCTGCTTTAGATAATCATCTCTTCTTGCTTAAACTATGACAGCACCTTTTTAACTATCATATATTTTTTCATTCTTCTCATCCTTCAAACCATTCTTTACTGGGCAACTACAGGGATGATACTGTATTTGGATCATGTCAATTCCTATTTGTAATTTGTCAATGGCTTCATTATATATGGAATAAAATTAAAAATCTCCAACACAGTTTTAAAAGCCCTGTGTGATCTTGGTCCTGCTACCCTCCTCTTCCTCATTTTTCTTTTTTTTTTTTTTGAGTTGGAGTCTCGCCCTGTTGTCCAGGTTGGAATGGAGTGGCATGATCTCGGCTCACTGCAACCTCTGCCTCCCAGGTTCAAGAGATTCTCCTGCCTCTGCCTCCTGAGTAGCTGGGACTACAGGCATGTGCCACCAAGTCTGGCTAATTTTTTGTACTTTTAGTAGAGACAGGATTTCACTGTGTTAGCCAGGATGGTCTCCATCTCCTGACCTCGTGATCTGCCCACCTCAGCCTCCCAAAGTGCTGGGATTACAGGCGTAAGCCACCACACTCGGCCTTCTTCCTCATCTTATGCTGCTCTTGCAGGCTGCTCTAATTCCCTCTGCTATACCATGCTTTGACCAAATCCAGGACCTTCACACTTGCATTTACTTCTACACAGAGTCCCATTTCACCCATAATCCCATAATAAGTCCTTCAGCACTCACCATAAATAATTCATTATCAGAGAAATATTCCATGAAAGCATAATAAGATAGTCAACCCTTTCTTAATTTTTAATTCTTATTTTAAGTCCCTAGTTGATTCCCTTTTCAGCCCTTATTATAATGTACAATTATTTAATATATTTATTAATATGTATTTACTTGCTTGCTTTATTATCCTTGCTAAATATAAACTCTCTGAGCACATGGATTTGGCCAGTAACCTTCTTGGTTCCACAGCATGGGCATGGAAGTCAATACAGTACATGAAAAATAGTAGGTATTTGGATATGTCTAATAAATGGATAAAACTCTCATTCATCTGTCTGGTCTACTTGATATTCGTCAGCATATTTAAAGGTATTTTATTTCTAATGTTTGGTTTTACTCTTCTTATTTTCCTTGAAATCCTATTATACTTTCTTTTAATTTTAATTTAATTTTATTCTTAGAGAAAATTCTCATTCTGTCACCTAGGCTAAAGTACTGTGGTGTGATCATATAGCTCAGTGCAGTCTCAAACTCCTGGGCTCAAGCAATCCTCCCACCTCAGCCTCCCAAATAGGTAGGACTACAGGCATCACCACCAACCACACCCAGTTGGTAGAGATGGAGTTTCACTATATTGTCCAGGGTGGTCTTGAATTCCTGGCCTCAAGTGCTCCTCCCACAAAGTATTGGGATTACAGGCATGAACCACACCATTCCTGGCTCCTATTATATTTTCAGAGCTCCACAGGAACCTTGTTCATAATGTTTTTCTTGAGATACTGCTGTCCCTTTCTCCAAAAGCCAATTAACCAATTAGTTAAAAAGCAATCAATTCAATAAACTGGTCATAATTTATTTCTCTGTGAAATTTCACAGCATTCTGATAAGGCATCTTTTCCTAAGGAGCTCTTATAATACATTGCTCTGGGTATTAGGTTTGTGTCTTATAAATTTTATATTTTTACATTCTATATCAGAGTGGTATGCTGTTCAACATTTGTTAAGAGTAATTCCTAACTTGGAATATTTGTATTAAAAAAATCCTTCTAAATGTTAACTACTAACACATTAATAGGTTATGTTGGCTGTGAGTCAGGCATACGATACATTGCAAAGACTCTTGAGATTTACTATTACTGTTTTGTTTGTATCAATAAAAAACATGAACAATTATGTTCTTTATGTGTTGTATGGGTATATATATAAATATATATATATATATATCTCAGAATGCTGATTATGCTTAGACTTCTATCAAGGCTAATAACTACAATCCTTCATCGTGTGAAGTAAAATGAATTCATGGTTGAATAATTTGATCCAAAAATCTAGATTTTATATATATATATAATCTAGCGTCATTAGAGAGAAAGTCTCGGTTGAAAGAAATCCTACTTCTGCAGAATTCTTGAGGTTAAACCTACGGTTATTGGAGGGGTTTGAATGTCTGTGGATGTGCGTTATGTTTGTGTGGGTTGCATCTTTTTTAGGGAACTGGGGTATTGGAAACTCATCCAGGATATGTACTCATCAATACAACATAACCTTGAAAGTGGTAGGGATACTGATTTGAGGTTAACATGAAACATAAACATTATTATAAAGAAAAGTTACCCTTTTCTTTATTATGTAAACATAATTTTCTTTTATTGTTTTCTTTTTTAAAAAATAAATAGGGCACTCCTAAGAACTTTAAATACAAATAGAGGGTGGATTCAACTCATAAAATAGTATGCTGCTTAATAACATGGATCTAGTAAAAAAAACTTTATTTTGTACATGAAAACCCATTTAGGAGACAGAGCTAATAAATCTTTACATTATAAATTATGATTTTACCGGGATCCACATTTATGATTAGTTGAGGGCAACATAAATTCTAGCTTTTCCTACACAAAAATACTGTAGCCAGCTGTCATGGTAAACTAAAATTTCTGAGGAATGCCATAAGTCAGAAAAGAGTGATCACTTTTTTATGAGGTAATATTAGGCAAAGTCTGCATAAAAAGTATGCTATATTGAAAGAGCCAGTCCTGAGATCTCAGAATGCTGATTATGTTGAGTCTTCTACCAAGGCTAATAACTACAACCCTTCATCATATGCAGTAAAATGAATTCATGGTTGAATAATTTGATCCAAAAATCTGAATAAAGTCTTAACTGTCTCTCAATTGCAAGTTTGCTATTTAATTTAATTGTTTCACTTTGGCTTATTCTGTTTATTCATTAGGACTTTCTTTCCTGATTTCATATGGCAATTACTAATTATATCTAACCTGTTGACTTCTAGTATTAAATTCTTTATTAGTTCTAGTTTTCTTCTAAGCTGGGGCATCATTAATTCTCTTATATTCTGTATGCTGTTTTTTTGTGAGTTTTCTTTATAAGCATCACCAGAAAACATGAATAATTATGATTCCCATGATTTCCATTGGTGTGTTTAAAGCAAAATCTACTCAATAGAGAGACTAGGCTGAGGAAAATATAATATATATAATTGTTTTGTAACAATTTGGCAAGTTTATTATCTACCTTTGTTGCTTCTAAAAATACGTTGTAAGTATAAGAGTTCTGTATCTGTCCATGTAGTTCACAACTATGGTTGGAGTTTAAGTGAGAAGCCAAATGTGAAAGAAGTCTAAATATTCAGAAAGGAAGAAAAAACTCTAATATTTGAATATGTCCAGAAGACAAGTGCCTTCTCTTATTCTCCGTGGACATTTTTAATCTTCCTTTTATGGATTCATATAGTTTTGATGTTATAATTTTTATTATATTCTCATATTTGTTTAAGCCTTTAATATTCAAATTTAATAAAGTAAATTTGTTTTCAGGAATTTATCAATATTTCCATTTTACAATCATAGCCTGCCTTGTATGACTTTACAACCTCCCCTTGACTCTTCACTTCAATTAGGTCAAGACTGCTGAAACATCAGACATATTGCTTTTCCAAAGCAATCTGTCTTCTATCTGTAGTTTTCAGAATTAAATTGTTAATCTAGTGCAAGAGAGAGATAGTTTCCAGAAAGAAGAGAGTGCAGAGGCAGAATATCTGAGAGGGAGAGGCAGAGGGCTTGGGCTTTCTGTGTCTGCATCTGATGACTACACAGGGAGGACAGACAGCAAGGGGAAGAACACCACAGACCCCTATTGCTCATCTAGTGAGCATGCAGCTAGAAAATCAGGGGAGGGGAATGAAGAGAGATGGCCTAAGCATATGGGAACTCATGGTTTTGTTTCCAAATATAGTGATTTGGAATTTAAACCAGGTAATTTAAACATTATACAGAGCATTAAGTACTTAGATTTTAAAAGAGGGAAGAATTGAAATAATTAGAAGTAAAACCTTTGAATTTAGACCTAATTTTAAATTCCATTTCAACTTCTTGATTTGCAAAAGACTATTCCTTTGCTAACTTGTAAAATGTAAATAGTAATAGTTCTTCACGTGGTTGTTGGCAGCAAATGGGGTGACAGTAATTTCTGCCTAGAACAAACATAGGAAACTCTTATGAAGGAAGCATCACTATCATTTTGATGTAGTGAAAAGGTACTTTGATATTAGATATATTAACTGAGCAAAATCTATGGTGTAGATGTCCCTCCCCCACAGCCAGGCTTTTCTAATAAAAAGAAGCTTATCTATTGCAGAGTATTTTGTTAAAAGTCTAGGAGGACATCATCTTTACACTGCAATATTTTTTCTAAATATTGCACATGGGAAATAACAAAATGCTGAAGAACAGGAACTGGGTCTTTGTCTGCTTTGCCTTTTCTATTACTTAATGTCAAAAAAAGGAAGAGATGACACATGAGAAAGAAGAGTGTTTATTTAAAAAGGAACTGCATAGGTTAATGCCATAATCTGGGCTGCAAGGGTCAGAGCTGCTAGCGCCCATAGGCATGACGGTATAAAGGGAGTGACCATCAACTAGGCATTACATTTTGTAATGTCTCCTGGCTTGTGGAAAAAGAGGCAGAACAAAAAGTAGACTCTACCATACCATCCAAAAATTGAGTTCCTTGGTATTTGCTAAAATGAGTTAAATTCTTATATCCACACAAAACCTGCACACAGATATTTATGGTAGCTTTATTCATAATTGCTAAAACTTAGAAGCAACCAAACTATCCTTAATTAGGTGAGTGGATAAATAAATTGTGGTCCATCAAGACAATAGAATATTATTCAGTGCTAAAAGGAAATCAGGTATTGAGCCACAAAAATACATGGAGAATATTTATTTGCATATTACTAAAAGCCATTCTGCAAATGCCATATATTATATGATTCCAATTATATGCTACTCTGGTAAAGGAAAGTCTATGGAGGTAGTAAACTGATTAGTTATTGGTAGCACTTAGGGGAGGGAGAGATGAATAAGTGGAGTGGGGGAATTTTTAGAACAGTGAGACTACTCAGTGTGATATTGTAATGGTGGACACATGTCATTATACATTTGTGGAAATCACATAGAATTTACATCAAGATTGAACACTAATGTAAACTATGAGCATTGGATGATAATGATGTCTCAATGTACATGCATTGATTGTAACAAGGTACCTTTATGGTTCAAGATCTTGATGGTGGGAGAGGTTGTGTTTTTGGAAGACAGAAGGTATATGGGAACTCTGAGTACTTTCTGCTCAACAGCTATGAACCTAAAATTGATCTAAATAATAAAGTCAATTTAAAAAATGTAACTAAGCTCACTGTCCTCCATCCCTCTAATCTCTTGCCTGCTTACCTGTGAGCTAAAAAATAAGAAGTACTTAGGGTAAAAGTGCCCTGTTAACATAATCCATGGAGTCCAACCAATCAGATCAGAGGGCAGGAGGAGATGGAGAAAGAACAAACCTGGAGGGATAAATGGAAGACATCTAGCTTAGACTTGTTACGAATGTTTCAACTACTACCAGATTTCCTACCACTGTTTTAGAAACAACATTTGGAATTATCAGGAAGTTTGAGCGTTCTCTTAGAGCTTGTTGGAAAAACTTGATATATGCTAAGTGTCCTTGATGCCTCTTGTTAAAAAAAATAAAAACAGAAAATACTACTGGATTATACGTATCATATTTAAATATATCCTATCAGAATAAGAAAAATATTGATACATATTATAGCATAATAGATAGAGTTCTAACAAATATTAAATGACTAGTAATATTTGGATAAAATAGAATTTTCAAGAGAATAACATAAAATAAATCCTAGGAATGGTGACCTAAGATGAACTTAGTATCCTTAAAAGAGTATAGTATAGTGACAAGGAACATGGATGTGACTGACGAATAGTATGAAAAACAGATTTGAAAATTTCTAGCTAGTTAATTCAGATAATGTGTTTTTCCTCTTAAAAAGAAATAAGTAATAAATTATCTACCTTAGAGATATTATAGTGAAGCTTAAGTAATATATAAAAAATAACTCACCGCAATGGTTATAAAAACCATCATTAAATATTGATTATACTACTCCTACTACTAAAATTATTAATATAATTAGATTTGTTTTTATCAGTCTGATGTACTGTTATTTTTCTACATGATCATGTATTTCTGCATTAGAACATGGTTAATGTCGTTGTAAAAAATAAGGGTCTGTGTTGATCTTTCTGAGTATGTTTTCAGTGTTTAACTTATGGGAAGAGCACATTTAGTGTCTTAAAGATAGTATTGGCTAGTCAGTACCTGGGGAAAGCTGATATTTATTATCTGTTTTATCACATGCAAGGGAAACATTGCTACTAAAATCTTTATATTGCCGCCAGTATATTGGCACTGCAGTGAGAGTAGCTGAGAAAGAGAGCTTAATCCAAGGTCGTCTACTTGAATCATATTTATGCTGAAGAACTCATTGCTAAAGAGAGAACCAAAAACAAAGATAATTTGACATTTGACAATCAGTACCAAAGCATGAAGTATAGAAAACCTGTAGCTTTAGGGATTGAAAAGTATCTAGAATTTTAGCCATAGTGATCAAAATACTTTAGTACACATTATTTAATTATGATACCAACATTTTTATTATGGTTAGTTTTCTGAAGACATTACTATTTCAACATAATAACAGTCTCAAAATTATATAAATCCCCAGAATCAAGTTTTATTATAATTAGCAAAAGATATCAATCATAAATGAATTATAATGCAGGTATCAGTTAACTAATTTAGTATTCTTCTTACATAACAATAACACTTTAGAGACTGTGAAGAATTGTCATTCACTCAAATTTTTTCTGGGATACTTAAGCCTTTTGTGGATGTGTAAGCTACTGGGATATGGACATTTATCTTTGATTGAAGCAGCTTTTCCAGAAAACAGGTACATCAGTAGCAGTGTTTGAAAGAAGAGAATGTACTCAGGTCAGAAGCAAGAAACCAAACAAGGAATGTTCATCGTGTCAAACATTTTCTCTAGAGACAAATGAAAAGGGTACTGACCAAACCTGTTACACTGATCTCAATTGTTGACTGATATATCCTTCTATTTAAGCTAGAATATAAGAAATATTCTGCATTTAAATATAATGTGTTCTGGATTCCAAAGGAAAGGAAAATCCATGAATAATGTATATATACATATAAAAAAGCATTCTCAGAAGAGACAAGAAAAAAAAATGATGTTCAATCATCTGTAGGCTGAAACTGCAACTTCATTCCGTGAAGTTTTGACAGGGTGGAGTGACAAGAATATTGTGAAAATGTAAAATATTAAATTGTAAAACTGAAAATAGGAAAAACTTCCTTTAAGTTCATTATTCTTTTATGGAAGTAGAAAAACAAAATGAGGATTACTAGCTCGGATTGTTTCAAACAATGTCAGTTTCACAACATTTTATTATTTTGTGGATTTTATTAAATATTTTATTTTTATAGGGATTTTAGAATTTAACACAGACTTTGAGCAATGAAGGGCCATGCTAGATCCATGATCTATACAATATCACATTACATAAAGTATTTTAAATTGGGGAGGAGGGAGAGCAGTGCAACCAAATACTTAAAAGCCATGTGAAGTTTCAACCCAGTGATAGAGGATGGACATCACATTATCTTCAGTGTTAATGTTTTGGCTTTGAGAAAATAAATATGCCACCAGAAACTAATTTTAGTGAATCACTAGCATGAGTTATGATTCAAGGAAGAGTTGGATTAATTTTCTAGTATATAGAAATAGCCTAGAAAGAAATAAAAGGCAGTATAGGAAAATGTGGCAGCAGAATTGGATCTCAGTATTTGCCAATTTTGTCATTGGCATTAAAGGAACATTTCAGAGAAGAGAGCTCCTAGTGGTTATTAATGTTTGTGTTCTCTTTCACTCTTTACAAATATATGGGGAGACTTTCTTTGTCTTGAGGAACAATAGTCCACTTACTTCAGTAAGAATGAGGGCATCACTGTTTGGTCTATGTGGGAATGCCACAAGCCACAGTCAAAAGCCGCCTGCATTTGATACTGAAGGCCTCTACTTTGTCTAAATCAGAAAGTCTTTCTGTTGATAATGGGTGACTGAGAATCATAAACCAATGATTAAATATATTAGAACATGTAAATCCATTAAGCCATGTTCTTTTGTTTCTCTGAAGGTGATTTTGTTTTAAATCACAGTCCACTACACATCTTTTCAAGCTATGTGTTTCTCACTTATTAGCAATTTTATATCTTAAAAATACAGTGAACAATATTCTCTAAGTGGAAGTTATTCTTTCATAGAAGTCCTGAAACAAAAAGGCATTTGTTCAGATTCTTGTTGGACTATGAGGGAGTGATGAAGTTGGGCCGGTATAAATATAACTAATGCAATCCCTGTTTCCCATACTGAGATCACCCTGATGACTTTCCATTTTCTCTTCATGTTGTATTTTTTCACACATTTCCTACCTGACTTGTGGGGTGGCTAATCAACAAAACCACCCAAAAATAAATTCATAAAAGGTGAAATAAGACATTTTTGGCTTGTAAAAAGTATCTAAAGGTTAGTACTGAGCTTTGCATGAGTTGTTCTTCCCACAGCCAGAAAATGCCACAAAGTGATAAATGGAATAACATATCAGAAATAAGCTATTTTTAAAATGTTAAAAAATGGGAAAGATATTTATCAAGTCCTAGAAAGTAAAAGGTTAAACAGTCATAAGATTGGGATGAGATGGAGAGGTTAAAGACAGTAATCAAGTAGAAGGAAAAATCGAGCTTTCCCTATACTCTTTTTGTTTCCTATGGGTTGTTTCAAGGAAAGGACATAGAAAGAGAATATTGCTGATATTGAATACTGATGTCTAATTTATCAAATCCACAGAGTAAGTTAGTCAATAATTTTTTATGTTTTTTCCTTTATGAAAGATTGCAGTGTACATTTTGCTTAGTCTGTTAAATGAATAGGAAGAACAGAAGGCAAAAATGGTATATCGAATTTTCATTTGGAGTCACTAGGTGCCCAAGGATTTCAATAAGTTAGATTTTCATTTTGGAGGGCAGCATTTCTGTCTTGAAGTTTTATTCACTGGAAAGATTTATCCTGTGATTCTTTTCATTATTCTTCAAAAGGCAACATTTTAAAAATTACTTTCTTTTCTACTATAATTTTACTTTAATAAAATGAATCAAAGTATTAAAGTGTTGTTGCCTTTCCATTTTGTTTGCATTCATGAGAAGAAAAGAAATAAAAGGACACATTTTATAGTCCCTGCGATTGGATAAATAATTTGAAATACAATTCGGAAATATAGGAAAAAAATTATTAGGCAGAAAAAATTCTGAGACTAGAAACGACATTATTTCTTGAAGCGAAAAGTAAGGTCTGCAACAATTGATGTGATGCTTCCTAAAAAGAATCTATTAGCCATGTTGAGGGAAAACTACAGAAAAATTCTCCAAGGCAATGCAAGGAAGCTTGAATATTGCCTCAAGGATGACCTCCTTGGTGAAGCTTACCTGAATATACTATGAAGAAAACTAGAAGCCCATATTCTATTTTTTAATAATAGTTCAATGTTAGAAATAAGACGTAAAATACAGACTAGTTAAACTAATTCAGTTCTTACTAGCTAGTCTATATAAATGGAAACAAACCAGAATTCACTGTGCATTAAGGTTGCTAGTTCCATGAGCTTATTAAGATTGTTACAATGTGACAGATGTTGAAATAAAAACAATAAAATAAGGCTTTTAGGGGTTGGATGGTAGTAGTGTTCTTTCAGAGGAAAATGTTCAGAAGAGATGATACCGTGCATAAGCTTGATTGATTTTTGCTGAAATATATTATTTTTCTATATTTATATTTATATTGACTAAAACAGACATTGATGATTTGTGGTATCAGTACCTCCAGATAGAACAAAGTTAAGATAATGGCAGTACTAGCTGTAAGTATTATAGGATAGAACTCTAGAAGTCAAATAAAAGATACATTATTATTTAAGTGCAGGACTTTTAAAGAGACTAGAATAACTGTAAAAAGAAATTTTGATTTAATGTATTTGGGGATTACTGAATTTATCATTGTGGTTAAGTGAGAAGGTGCTTGAAAATAAAGGGAATCCTAGGGAATTAAGAAAAAATTCAGGGGATTATGCCAGTAGTTAGTCTTTTGGACAGTAGGCAAGGATATATGAGTAAAATGGATTCTTATGTATAGCAATTGGTTTTGTAATTTCCTTCATCTCTCCCTGAATGTGGAGTTCTACTGAATAAGGCAGTTAGCAGGAAGCCGTCCACCATTCTCTCTACTTATAAGAGAAAGTAAAAAGAACAAAATTATTGATAGGTTTATTGACACTACCTGACTTAGTCAAGGAGAGTTAATGTACATTCAGAAAACTCTGACCTGGAAATAGGTTTTTGTTAGATTTCAGAAACAATTTATCTGAAATGGCCCTTTGACTGATTTACAGAAGGAGATCTGGGTCTGGTTTATCTCTACTGTGAATATTTGGTTGGTCTGATCAGCTGGTGGAGCATAAGAATGAATGAAGATCTGGCATTTATGTAGATAAATCATCTGAACTTTTTCAGGGAAAAAGGGGGAAAAGGAAAATAAAGGGGAAAAAGTTATGTAGTGAGAAACAAAATTAAATATTGTGGATTATGCTGATATGCAATCTACAGTTGCACAAGTTGGCTAGCACACAGGATCCTTTAGAACAGCAGAGGATCTGCAAAATATTTTGAAGGAGCTAATTTATTAATTTTTTCAAAAAAATTCATAGTCACACTATAGTTATAAAATATTTGAAACAATTGGGTTCTGGTCCAACTATTACTCTAGACTAACTAGTCGTACCATGTAACTTCCCTGACTATCTCCGCCTTAGTATATTCACAGATACTTATGAGTAAAACAGATTTTTATGTATAGCAATTGGTTTTGCAATTTCCTTCATCTCTCCCTTAGTATACTTTTTTGCTTGCTTGAAGTGACTACTGCAAGAACCAGATAAAATAATGTATGTTAACTTTGAAATATGTAAAAATATCATGTATTAATTATTCATGTTCTTTAAGTGTTATCGATATTATTTCTTATAGTCCTCTCACTTTACAAACAAGGGTATATCAATGAGTAGTTATAGAAAAAAATACATTTTCTTCTCATAAGGAGCATGTGATGTTCTGATATTTTTAAGTTTAAATATCTGTGAACTAAGTATCTGAATATGTTGGCCAGTTAAAGATGAGCAAAAAAGTGAAAGCAATACATATATAGTTTTCCTCAAAGACACATTTTGTGATTTATCTTTATTGATAAATTTAGTTTTAATTTAATTGATGTTTTTAATAACTTTTTTATTTTGGAATAATTTTAGTATTATAAGAAAGTAGCAAAGATAATTCACCTAGTGTCCATAACCTTCTTGCCCTTTCCTCTTAATATTAACATCTCACATTACCATGGTACATTTGTCAAAACCAATACACCAACATAGATATATTACTATTCACTAAACTTCAGAATTTATTTGGATTTTATTATTATATTCTTCACTAACACACCTTTTCTGTTCCAGGATTCATTCCAGGATACCACATTGAATTTACAATTAATTAATTTCAATCATGTAGTGTGTTTTAATCGCACAATTATATCAGAATGTACTTGTTAATACTCCTACGGATTACTATTATTTATAATTTTTTGTTATGAAAAATATAAATATCAGAGAAGCTGAACACAGTTGCATTCTTGAAGCAATCTGCTCTTTCTCCCATTGTTTTTTCAATCTGACCTTGGGTGGAAATCTAAGACCAGTTCCATAATGTTTTGTTTCCCTTTCATTCTCAAAATCAGTCTCCTTTTAACAACTGAAATATATAATCCAGTATACTTGTAAAAGCCTTGAATGTTGTTCAGATTACACTGTCTGCCTTTCTTCCCTTTACGGTTGGCTTCAGGCTTGGAAGCGTGCCATGGAAAGTGGATCATGTCATCAGGGTGATGTTTTTAATCCTGGAGGTTGGTTAGAATGAAGGGAGTTTAAAATGAGGCTGTGTAAAGAAAAATTTTCCCAAACTTGAAACCAATGCTAAAAGATGGGCAATATGTCATTTAAAGATCATATGGGGGCATTGTTTAATACGCTTATTTGATAAGTATCCAAGGGAATGCACTTTGACTCAATATTGACTTTTGTAAACTAAGTTCCACACTTAGTGAAGTTCCATGTTAATTTATATATTTTTGTATAAGAAATGATAACCCAAGAGGTAACTGTTGTTCCAGAGACAGTCCGCCAGCTTTGTAAATAACAGGGTAATCTTATTTGAATATTTCTTTATTAAATTGTCTACAAACCTCATGTGTTTAAATATTCTTTGAACTAGGTATGCCATCTTATTGGTTTCTTCATTAATTACTTTCTCTTTGACAAATGTTTGTTTTGCATTTGTTTGACTCATATTTTTCTAACATTTTGAAAATCAGACTTTAAGAGGTAAAAGGACCCTGTTTTTTAGGAGAGCTGCTATTTTTTTTTTTTTCTTTAAGATTCTCTTTTGGCAGCTTCTTACTACAGCCCCTTGGCAAATGATGCCTGTCCTCTAAAAGGTTGCTTTACACTTTTCTCCACTTATGGCTTCTAGAGAACCCATCCAGGTCTTCTGTTAGAGTTCCACTACTTCTGCAGATTCAAGTAACCATATATGCATCCTTTCCCCACCCCTACTACAGCACAGCTAGAACTGAATGTAGTTCGTAAGCAAACTGTTCCAACCATAGCCTTTTTTTTTTACCCTTCCCCAAATGAGGATGACATATCAGGCCCCATAAGTCCCAAACCACACAGAATGCTTTTTTAACTCGTAGTCTACCTGAAATCTCCCCACTTAGCTTGAAATGCGAAGGGAACAGCCCCCTTCTTTTTTATTTTCTTCTTCTCCCATGGCGGCTTGTTATATTAGCATCTCTCTCTGAAGAGATTTCCTGTTTTTTTTAGCGTACACTCTTTTATAAAGTAGTTCTTGCCACCTTTTCTTTTTCCATATTTCTTTGCCTATTCTTCACACTTGTACACATACAGTCTGTCCCTTTGCATATATAGTTTCAAATCAGCTAGTCCAGTACTGTAAAAATGTTGTTGATATTCTGTATGGAAAGTTATAAATTTATATTTATTTTTGAATAATAAGAATCTTCATAATTTTAAGCAGTCCTGTTTATGAATATGGCATGTTTTTCCATTCATTTAGATCTTTCATGTACTTCAGTATAACTTCATAATTTTTAATAAAAGTCTTACATATCATTTAGTAGCTTCATTCCTGTGTGCTTTATAGTTTTAGGTTTATATGGAATCTTTCAAAATTAACTCTCTCACTTAAACATAATTGTAAATTATTCTGACATTGAAATATTAATTTATGCTGAAGAACTTTGCTGTTAACTGCTTTATTTCTAATAATTTCTAGAGTCTCTAAGATTTTTCTGTCCTTCATAGATAATAATAAATTTGTTTAATTCTTGTACCATGCATTTATTTTTTCAGATTTATTAAAATTGGCCAGAATCTGCTACCCATCCCCTCCCTTCAAAGTTAAAGGGAAATTATGCTACTGAGTATCATTGTATTTCTGATTCTATTAAAAATATGTCTGAAATATTACCTGTAAATTAAATGACACTTTGAGTTTGTTTATTGTTATGTTTGCTTCATTTCCTTAATCAATTAAAGATTAATTTTTAACCTGTTTTGCTAAAGCAAAATTTTTTACCTTACTTTTTGCTAAGGTAAATTTTTCTTTTGATCACAAATGAGTTTTTATTAGGAGTATTTTTTTCTAAGTTTTAAAATATGATCATATGCTTTTTCTTTAAATATATCAATTTACATTGTGATGAATATTGTGTTAAATTAATCACTTTTTTTACATTAATACACTTTACATTCTTGCAATGGAGTTTTATTGTCTTATGCATAGATATATTGATAAATAGGATTGAGCAAAATGTAAAAATAATTGTGAGAAGAAAATGAGTTTAGGATAGCTGGCTTTTTAGAATATTGTGTTCTATACAAATTCTCTCACAACTCAGTCTCCCTCCGTTGTTGCATTAAATATGTATCTTTGACTTTAAAAATATATATTTATTTCAAATGCATAAAACCATTCTATATAATAGATAACCCATTTTTATTCAAGCACTTGAGATTGACATAGGTCAAACACTCAATACTTGGATTTTAAACTTGGATATTGATTATGGATTAGCCGTTTAGATCATTTTCTTTAATTGCTTCAATTGGAATAACTATGTATTTTTCTCTATGGATATCAGGGAATTAAAACATTCAGACAAGTTATAAATATACAATGCAGTTGCATTATGAAGGCAGAATTTTATGATTATGGTAATTAATGAAATATACTGTCAGTAAGTTTGACCAGCTTCGCTGAACGCAGCAGCATTTGCCAGGGATAGCATGACCATATTAGCAGCCTTGCTACCCACTCATTATCTAAAATATAAGGCTTGAATATGATTCATACAATTAATTGTCAATTTCTTCCAAGTTATTTTTATTTATATATAATGTTAACAGAAGTATAACTGTTCTACCTATAAATTTTCTCTGAAACTCTTAGCATGTCGCAAAGAATCTTGCACATTTTGGACGTTCGATAAATACTTGTTGAATGTTTGGCAAGCTTCTTTCCTTTGTTCTTATTAATAGTTAGCATCCATATTAATTGACCATCTACTTAGACAAATAGCCTTTAGGGAAAATTTTAGGTAAATAAAATTTACACTAGAAATGAGAAAATTCAGAATTAACAAAATATTACATAAAAAATACAAAAGTTTTTTTCAGAGAGGATATACATTATTCTAACATGTGAGTTCATTGTTATAAAAATAGAAATGTTGGATAATAAGCATTAAGTGATGGTCACTGAAATCATTAGGTAATAAATTTTCTATTTTGTTCTCTCTTCATTTGTTAGGTATTTGTTTTCGTAGTAGAGAACAATATATGTTGTACCTCCTGATTATTATTGACAATGAAGCAGGTCATGCCCAGGCAAATGTCTATTAATATCCTTCTGTATATCCAATATCACTGTAAAACGAAACAAAACAATCAAAAATATAAGGTGGATTAGCCCCAGTTCCTGACAAACTAATCCAATTTCTAACTTTTAACATTGGATTTCACAGCTTTCACAGAGAATACTTGAACTGGTTCATCAAAAATCATCTGTGCTACTGTAGCCAGGAGATATTTACAGTGTTACAAAGAAACTAGCAAACAGAACCTTCTGATAAAAATCTAAGTGGGGCATAACCCTTCACATGGTTAGAATCTATGGCAGTTCAAAAGGAAAAAAGAAAAACTGAGAGCTATCAACACTATCAACACACACACACACACCACTCTCACACACTTTGCTCCTTCCTCTATCCCAAATGAAAATACAAAAACAAACACAAATCAGAATGACAGGTGGCTAGTAATTTACAGAAGTTTTGAGTAGTAAATATTTTCAGTACTCTGGAACCCTGAATGCAAATAAATGATAACATGCTAAATGAAATAGTGTCTAATAAAACATATCTATCTCGTGTTATTATGCACATGTTGAAATTAATTTGTGTCCATGAATACAAAACGTTGAAAATGTACAAATTAAATTAACAATTGTTTATCAGGTGGGTAATATTAACCAACTTTCTGAACAAAAATCAAGTCAGATCACTATTTTATACCATATGTAAAAATAAATCCTGTAAAGAGTAAAATCCAAATTAAAAAAAAATGTTTAGAATGATATTTTGTAAAATGGGAGAAAGAAAAAAAAATCAATAACTCTTGGAGTGTAAAAAATTTTAAATGTCCAATGGGAGAACAAGCCAGAAAAATATAGAGTAACTAGGAGAAAGTGTCTGAAACATATTCAGGAAAAAAAGAAGTGGAATGATATTTTAAAATACCAATAGTTACTACAAATTCATAAGTAAAAGACCATAACCAAATAGAAAAGATGATAAAGGCTATCACAAGAATATAAAGAATAAGAGCGATTGTCGTTTTAAATGTTCAATAAGTACTATATATGAAAATATGTTCAACCATGTTATTTATCAGGGAAAAGCTAATCAATGGTAAATAATTTCCATAGATCACATGGGAAAATAGATAAAAGATTAGTAACATCAATGCTGGTGACAGTGGTCAAGATGACTCTCATACATTTCTGATTAATGTGCTAATTACAAAGATCTTCTAGAAAATAATCTGGCAGAATCTAAAATTGAAATATTCCATTAGATTCAGCAATCTCACCTTGTAATAAAAATATGGAAAAACATCTCTAACATATAAAGACATGTATTTAAGCATATTTTCTGCAGAATTCATTGAAGTGACAAAAATAAAAACATCCTAAGTACTCATTAATAGAAGAATAGCTAAATAAATGATAGCATTATCCACAAATATCTGGTACTATACAGATATTAAAGAAAAAATAGATTTATTCATACATATGCATTTAAAAGAAGCAAAATGCAGGGTAATATATATCATAAATGGCATGTTTGTGAAATTAAACTTCTATACACGTGTAGTTTAATGGACACAGAAAATTATTATATTTGGCAATATGCATCATATACAGTTAATATTTTCTCAATGTGAAGTGGAAGAGGAGGGATTGAGCGCTGAGTTTTATTGTTTACTTATTTTTGTTATTCATTGAAATAAGAATATTATGCTTTGGTAGTTTGAAAGGATAGTCCAACAGAACATAATAATTTTTACTGAAATATTCATACAATTTTTATGCCTAAATATCTTAGGATACAAGGCCTACTTTCTTGTGCAAAAGAGAGAAAATTTTTCATTCTCTACTTCGCAATTAATTCAATATCAATCCAAGAGCTGATATTGAACTTCACCAATGTTTATGAAATCTCTTAAAATGCTAGGGAACCTTCAGAGGCAGGTAATGCTTCCTTTAAGGGCATTTTAGCTATTTGGATGCGAGTTAACAGATTGTAGCTGTTGGAACATTGTGATCTAGTCTGAGTGATAAAGTGAAGTACTATAGTTCATGGCAATAAATGCCAACTGCAGTGACTTTATCAGTCAACTAATATTAAGAACACATTTGAGGGCATACTATCATTTCTTAGTACTTGACATCCAGGCACAAAATATTTTCTAATGTTTATTAGCACCATATCACTTCATAAAAGAAGGTGGCTTTGGTGGTTTCAAAAGTGCTTTAACCAGGCCTATAGCACACAGCTGCCTTTGACAATACAGACCTTCAGATTTTGTAGATCTATAAAACGTTTAAATTGAGTTGTGTGCATTTACAGAATATTCCAATGTCCTTGCAACCTTATAAAATAGTGAGACATCTGCATTAAAATAATTTTCATTTAATTGTCCCCAGAATAGAAATTAAAATCATTAGAATATTTAAAATAATCAAATAAAATAGTAATCGTATAAAATTGACCATTCTGATTAGATGTTACTATTTATATTGCCATTGGTTAATAAAATTCAAAATCATTCAACAGCAAGAGAAAATACATACAAGTCTCATTAAATTTAAACAAATCCCATAGGACAAAAGAGAAAATACTTTGAAAAATATGTGCTTGTCAAAGCTGTATGGTCAGAAGCTTAATTGAAAATAAACATTGACAATGATGTCATAAAATAGTTTTGGATCCTTATTCAGTTTAGATATTGACTTTAGAAAAGTGCTTCCTTCAGAATCTTCCTGTATATATTTTGTCTTTTTTGCACCACTTTTATCAATTACTAAATATCTTCTATTGGTGTAAATTGTTGAATATATGCTTTGGTGAGTTAAAACAGCTTTTCATGCAATATTTCCCTCTGGGCTTCTGATTTCTCTTATTCCTATTTTTTTCTTCTCTTTCTTTTTTTTCTTACAGCCTTATTGAAGTATAACTGAAATACAAAGAGCTACACATATTTAATGTTTGCAATTTGATAAGTTTGAACCTATGCAAACATCTATGATGCCATTACCACAATCAAAGTAATAGAAATAGCCAACACCTCCGAAAGTTTTCTTGTGATCCCCCCTCATCTTTGTAAGAACACAATGTGAGATCTATGTTCTTGACAAATTTTGAAGTGCACAACACTGTATAATTAACTATATATTGTAGGTACTGCAGACCTCTAGAACTTACGACTCTAGCATACTTGAGACTTTGTATCCATTAAACAACAATTCCCCATTTCCTTTACCTCCCAACATCTGGCAACCACTGTCTACTGTTGGTTTCTCTGCTTCTATGAGTTTGACTATGCTAGATGCCTCATTAAAATGGAATCCTCCACTATTCATTTTTCTGTGTCTGGCTTACTTTACTTAGCATATTGTCCTCCAGGTTCATTAATGCTGTGGCAAGTGCCATAATTTCTTTTTTTTTTAAAGAGTGAATAATATTCTGTTGGATGTATATGCCACATTTTCTTTCATCATTCATCTGCTTTTGTATACTTTCAATTCTTTCCACCAATATTTGCAGCAAAGTTAACTCAAATCTCTCTCAGTGGCTGACAGTGTTTATTTTCATCTGTTTTTGTGCCACAGATAAAAATTTTACCCTATAAAGTTTATTCATTCAAATCATTTTTGTTGATTTCTGCAAATTTGTCCCATATTTATATTCTCTCAGTTGTATACTTGTATTCCAGTTTTACTTGTTTCCCAGTTTCCTTGCTTGTTGGTATGTACTCTACATTTCATGGAGAAGATATAGTTTAACTTACATACTCTTCCTTTATTTGTATTTGCTTGCTTGCATGTTGTAAAATATACTCAGGTAATCATAAATAATTATATAGATAGGGAGTATAAACCATGTACAGAGCACAAAAATGTTCTTAAATAAGTTCCTTTTATCAGTTTATTCATCATATTGTAGAATGACAGTTCCAATGCAGGTGCAGTTCTTTAGCTATCAAAAATGTTAGTGTCCCCATTTCTGGTTTGAATGAAAAAAGTAAAAAATCCTAAAAAATGTGCTCTGATTAATTTCCCTAAAGGCTGTTGCCTCCTTTTGTGTTTCGACCATAATTTATTTTGCTTTGTTTTTAAGATATCCAAATTTATACACCAATTAATATTTATATATTTCGCCCAATCTGTGTAACTAAAAGCCCAAGGCTATTCTGAAAGAGTCCACTAGGAATCCGTTTTACTTATCTAGTTATAAGATACATGCATTTCAGTTTAATCAATTTACAAATGCATTTCTGAGGCTACAAGAATAAAATACAGCCTCTAGTCATTGCTTCTCAATAAAATAAACCCTCAGGGCAAGTTGCCAGTTGACATTGTGGTTAAGAAAAAGTTTCAGAAGCATCAGCCTCCAAGTAATAAGCACATAAAAAACTGTAATATACACCCATATCACAGAATTATCTTGATTTATGTAAGTAGCACAGACAGAATTACCTAGGGGAATGTGCAGCACAATTGAAGTGGAAAATGCTAAATCTCAAATTGGGTCTCACAGTAGTTTGCAGCAGAGATGTCTTGCTCAAGAGGGTCACAAACTGACTTTAATGGAAGTCAGTAATTTGTCTACTGCATGTTGAACCATCTAATTGTTGTTTATGTTGATGTAATTGCTATGATGAAAGTGGGGAATAGGGTCCAAAACATATTTTCAAAGTATTAGTTCTCTGAATTTAGAGTGATATTTGATTAAATAAAAAATAAATAATAAATTGATTTGACTGGCTAGTAAATCCCTTTTTAAAAAATATTTTGCACTATAGAATATGCTTTATACTAAGAGACAACAGAGAGAGAGAACAATGGTAAATGATGATTACGGCTATTTAGAAGGCTGATTATCACTGATAGGTCTTTTCTTTACTCTTCCCTGATTCCTTACCCATAATTTAGGTTCACTTAAAAATATTTTATGTGATGCTATTGAATCAAAATTATGACTATGAAAAATGAGATTGCATGCATGGAAAGCTGAATAGGAAATATGACAATATTACAGCAGAAATCTCCTTTTCAACATCACCATCAAAAAATGCTTATAAAATGTGAACTTCAATATAATAATTAGATAAAGCCAACAGTAATAAGAAAAACCAGAAATGAATGATATTCACACAACGAAATTAACCAAATTGTTTGTACAACTGGAATCATATACCAATTTTTAAGAATTTTTAAGAATTTAAGAATAAATCTTTAAGAAAATCCCTGAGATATAAGTTCAGAAGACAAAATTCTGTTCTATTATTTCAAGATGTCTAATTACATGAGACACAATGTTGAGTTTCTAGCCTCAATAGTTATATAATAGTCATGAAGCTCTGCTTTTAGTAATAAATCATGGAATTAAATAAGACAAAGTATATAATGAGTACAAGAAGATCAACATAAACAATCATTTAAAAAGACTAATAAATTACTCTGACTTTGAAAGAAGTAATTTACAATGCATAAGGATAAATCTTCAAATAATATAATCCATGACATTTATATGTATATTAAAATTATTTATATACAGAAATACATGAAATGATTTATTTAAATATTTGCATTTAAGTAGAAGATAATTTCTTTCCTCAATAAAACTCAAGAAATAAGACTGCAATGATATTCCAAATTAAAGTGAAAACAATATATATATATACACACATACATGTACATATATATACACATATATACATACATATACATATATACATATATACACACATATATACATATATACACACACACCTATATATATAAACTTTTAGGTTCAGGGGTACATGTGCAGGTTTGTTATATAAAAAATGGTGTGTCAAACCTGAGAAAAACAAGCAATGGGGAAAGCATTCCCTATTTAATAAATGGTGCTGGGAAAACTGGCTAGCCATATGTAGAAAGCTGAAACTGGATCCCTTCCTTACACCTTATACAAAAATCAATTCAAGATGGATTAAAGGCTTAAACGTTAGACCTAAAACCATAAAAACCCTAGAAGAAAACCTAGGCATTACCATTCAGGACATAGGCATGGGCAAGGACTTCATGTCTAAAACACCAAAAGCAATGGCAACAAAAGCCAAAATTGACAAATGGGATCTAATTAAACTAAAGAGCTTCTGCACAGCAAAAGAAACTACCATTAGAGTGAACAGGCAACCTACAAAATGGGAGAAAATTTTCGCAACCTACTCATCTGACAAAGGGCTAATATCCAGAATCTACAATGAACTCAAACAAATGTACAAGAAAAAAACAAACAACTATCAAAAAGTGGGCAAATGACATGAACAGACACTTCTCAAAAGGAGACATTTATGCAGCCAAAAAACACATGAAAAAATGCTCACCATCACTGGCCATCAGAGAAATGCAAATCAAAACCACAATGAGATACCATCTCACACCAGTTAGAATGGCAATCATTAAAAAGTCAGGAAACAACAGGGGCTGGAGAGGATGTGGAGAAATAGGAACACTTTTACACTGCTGGTGGGACTGTAAACTAGTTCAACCATTGTGGAAGTCAGTGTGGCGATTCCTCAGGGATCTAGAACTAGAAATACCATTTGACCCAGCCATCCCATTACTGGGTATATACCCAAAGGACTATAAATAATGCTGCTATAAAGACACATGCACACATATGTTTATTGCGGCATTATTCACAATAGCAAAGACTTGGAACCAACCCAAATGTCCAACAATGAAAGACTGGATTAAGAAAATGTGGCACATATACACCATGGAATACTATGCAGCCATAAAAAATGATGAGTTCATGTCCTTTGTAGTGACATGGATGAAATTGGAAGTCATCATTCTCAGTAAACTATCGCAAGAACAAAAAACCAAACACCGCATATTCTCACTCATAGGTGGGAATTGAACAGTGAGAACACATGGACACAGGAAGGGGAACATCACACTCTGGGGACTGTTGTGGGGTGGGGGGAGGGGGGAGGGATAGCATTGGGAGATATACCTAATGCTAGATGACGAGTTAGTGGGTGCAGCGCACCAGCATGGCACATGTATACATATGTAACTAACCTGCACATTGTGCACATGTACCCTAAAACTTAAAGTATAATAATAATAAATTTAAAAAATAATAATAAAAATAAATAAATAAATAAATAAATAAATAAAAAATGGTGTGTCATAGGAGTTTGGTGTACAAATTATTTCATCACCCAGGTAATAAGCATATACCTCATAGATCATTTTTCGATCATTACCCTTTTCCCACCCACCAATCTCAAGTAGGGTCCAGTCTACTCTTCCCTTCTTTGTGTCTGGGCATACTCAAAGTTTAGCTCCCACTTGTAAGTGAGAACATGTGGGATTTGGTTTTCTGTCCTGTGGTAGTTCACTTAGGATGATGGCCTCTAGCTTCATCCATGTTTCTGCAAAGCACATGATCTTTTTTATGGATGATTAGTATTCCATGATGTATATGTAAGAGTTTCAAAATTTAATTAGTAATAAAAAGCTTACCAACCAGAAAAAGCCCAGGACCAGATGGATTCAAGTTGAATTCTACCAGACGTATAAGGAAGAGCTGGTACCGTTCCTACTGAAACTATTACAAAAACCAAGGAGGAAGAACTACACCATAACACACTCTATGAGGCCAGCATCATTCTAATACCAAAACCTGGCAGAAACACAACAACAGGAAAACTCCAGGCCAATATCCTTGATGAACATAGATGCAAAAATCCTCAGCAAAATACTTGCAAACAAAATCTGGCAGCACATTGAGAACAATTTTTAAAGGACATATTCTTGAGCTGCATTGCAATAAAATTACATTTCAATTGTTAACAATTAACCGTAAATCCAAAAGTTATTGAACAATATAAATAGCTGAATAGATCAACAGCTTAAAGAACATTTAAAATATTTTAATATAGAATTATATTAGTTTGTTCTCACACTGCTATGAAAAAAATACTGAAGATGGGGCAATTTATAAAGCAAAGAGGTTTAATTGACTCACAGTTCCACATAGTTGGGGAAGCCTCAGGAAACTTACAATCATGGCAGAAGGGGAAAAAACTCCTCCTTCTTCACATGATGGCAGGAGAGAGAAGTGCAGAGTGAAGAGGGGGAAAGTCCCTTATAAAACCATCGGATCTTGTGAGAGCTCACTCACTGTCATGAGAACAGCATGGGGGAAATGCCCCTATGATCTAAACACCTCCCATGATGTCCTTCCCCCAACACATGGGGATTACAATTCATATTACAATTCAAAATGAGATTTGGGTGGGGACACAGAGATATCAATAATCCTTCAAAACTGTTGGGCTTAATTTTTAGTGAGCCTGAACTTTTAAAGTGTTCATAATACCTACCCATTTAAACATTTCAAAAACATTGGTGGAAAAAAGTGTACCAGTTTTATGAAATGATCACAATTTCAACTTTAGTGAGGGGCAAAAAAAAGCAGTTGCTCACCCATCTTGTTTATCTGTAGAGTCTAAAGTTTTGAACAGTGAGGACTGTGACTTGAACTACTACTATTACTCTTCCTCCTACTCTTAGGGGGATGCCCCTGGCTGCTGTATGGAGGATAGTATGAGTGTAAGTGAAGGGCAGGGCAATGATGAAGCTGTTGAGGTCATGTTTTCTGGGAAGAAGATAGTAATGGTAGAGATCATAAATATGATTTGGTACTAGATATATTTTAAAGAAAATGCTAAATTTTATTCCCTGAGTAAATGTATAAAAGGTTTTTGAGAAATAAAGAGCTAATGGCTTTCCATGGCTTGTAGAATAAAATCTAATTTTCTTAGCTCTGGGGTACACATGATTAGAACTCACTTAACTGGTCAAAATTAGCTTCTTTTTTGGAACTGGTAAATTAAACCACAAGTTTGTGTTATTCACTTCTCAGATTGCAGTCTTAAATCTTTCCCCACCTGGAAGCCTTTGGCATAACACTTATCAAATGCTTTTTTTCAGTTCTAGCTAGTTCTATGCTAGCTGTTTTTGTTGTTAAATCATCTCATAGATCTCAGCTTAAACGTGCTCTTTAATGAAAACTTGTCACTTCCTCTCCTCCTTCACTCTCTATCAAAATTGTTCTCCATTGCAACACATTTTTTAAAATTTTCTTTGTAGAACTTTTTTAAAATTTTAAAATCATTTTAAAATCATTTTTGTATTGGTTTGATTTTTTTTTACCTTATTTGGTCTGCTTTATGAAAGTTCCAGAAGTTTCATGAAAGCAGGGACTAATTCTGAATTAATTTCAAATGTCAGTTGAGCACCTGTTAAGGGCTTGTCTGTAATTTGCCCTCAAAAGAGACATAAATTAATGAATAAGCCCAAAGAAATTGAAAAAAGTGAATATCTATTCCTGATCAATTAAAATAGTTAATTAGTAACAATAATAGCAATTAATGAAACTCCTTTAAGTGATAGAGAAGCTTTATCTTAATATCATAATTATCCGTGAAAATGTAGAAATGTACCAAACAATATCGGGATGTGACAACAATGCCCTCAGTTGGCTAATTTTCACTGTTCCCTCCGAGACACCCTTTGCTCTGTGCCCTTCAAAGCCAACCCAAATGAACAATATCAAGGATTTATTTATCTTCAGGCTTCCTCATGGTTTTATACAAAGGTCAATACCAGCGGAATTTCTAGAGAAGGGAAAAGAGTTAAGTTGGCGTATATATTACCTTGGTTCCCTCCATTTAGAGTTATTGTAGTCTGATTGCATTTCTCAACATAACTCTCTCTGTCTCCAGGTCCAAGTGACTGTGCTCTTGAGAGGTGACAGCGTGCTGGCAGTCCTCAGAACCCTCGCTTGCTCTCGGCACCTCCCCTGCCTGGGCTCCCACTTTGGTGGCATTTGAGGAGCCCTTCAGTCCCCCACTGCACTGTGGGAGCCCCTTTCTGGGCTGGCCAAGGCCGGAGCCCACTCCTTCAGCTTGCAGGGAGGTGTGGAGGGAGAGACACGAGCAGGAACCGGGGCTGTGTGCAGCACTTGTGGGCCAGCTGGAGTTCCGGGTGGGCGTGGGCTTGGTGTGCCCTGCACTCGGAGCAGCCAGCCAGCCCTGCTGGCCCCGGGCAATGGGGGACTTAGCACCCGGGCCAGTGGCTGCGGAGGGTGTACTGAGTCCCCCAGCAGTGCTGGCCCACCGGCACTGTGCTTGATTTCTCGCCGGGCCTTGGCTGCCTTCCCACAGGGCCGGCCTCGAGACCTGCAGCCCGCCATGCCTGAGCCTCCCACCCACTCCATGGGCTCCTGTGTGGCCGGAGCCTCCCCGACGAGCGCCACCCCCTGCTCCAGGGAGCCCAGTCCCATCGACCACCCAAGGGCTGAGGAATGTGAGCGCACGGCGCAGGACTGGCAGGCAGCTCCACCTGCAGCCCCAGTGCGGGATCCACTAGGTGAAGCCAGCTGGGCTCCTGAGTCTGGTGGGGACGTGGAGAGTCTTTATATCTAGCTCAGGAATTGTAAACACACCAATCAGCACCCTGTGTTTAGCTCAAGGTTTGTGAATGCACCAATCGACACCCTGTATCTAGCTGCTCTGGTGGGGCCTTGGAGAACCTGTGTGTGGAAACTCTGTATCTAACTAATCTGATGGGGACGTGGAGAACCTTTGTATCTAGCTCAGGGATTGTAAAGGCACCAATCAGCGCCCTGACAAAAGGGTGGGGCCAGATAAGAGAATAAAAGCAGGCTGCCCGAGCCAGCATTGGCAACCCCCTCGGGTCCCCTTCCACACTGTGGAAACTTTGTTCTTTCGCTCTTTGTAATAAATCTTGCTACTGCTCACTCTTTGGGTCCACGCTGCGTTTATGAGCTGTAACACTCACCGCGAAGATCTGCAGCTTCACTCCTGAGCCCAGCAAGACCACGAGCCCACCGGGAGGAATGAACAACTCCAGACGCGCTACCTTAAGAGCTGTAACACTCACCGCGGAAGTCTGCAGCTTCACTCCTGAGCCAGCGAGACCACGAACCCACCAGAAGGAAAAAACTCCGAACACATCTGAACATCAGAAGGGACAGACTCCAGACGCGCCACCTTAAGAGCTGTAACACTCACTGCGAGGGAACGCGGCTTCATTCTTGAAGTCAGTGAGACCAAGAACCCATCAATTCCGGACACACTCTCACTTTTGTCCTTAGTAGTAGTAGTAGTACTTATAGTATATAAGCACCCCATTCTTACCAGACTTGCTATTTCACTGTATCTTGTTTTGCTACACCTCATCCATCTATTTGTAAGTAGTCTCTGAATTAATCCTTGCTAAATACTCAATTTGAGTTGCCATTTTTTTTTCTCCTGTCAGGACCCCAATTGAAAAGCCACTATTAAGGCTGCGCATGATGGCTTATGTCTGTAATCCCAGCACTTTGGTTTGGGAGGCTGAGGCAAGAGGATTGCTTGAGCCCAGGGGTTTGAGATCAGTCTGGGCAAACAGTAAGTCTCTACCTCTATTGAAAGAGAGAGAGAGAGAAAGAAGGAAGGAAGGAAGTGAGGGAAGGGAAGGGAGAGGGAACTATTAAAACTAGTAAATACTGAATTTTATGAAACTTCTAGAGATGAACAGTGCTATGTAGATATCAGAAATAAAGGTATAACTGTTGGAAATAGAAATAAGAACATTATATGTAGATAGAAATATTTATTAAACATGAGTGAATTTTCAAAAACCTTATAAATAAATAAAATTAATCAATCCAGTATAAAAATACACACACACAATAATAGAAAGTTTTCCTGTGTATTTTTCAACTTCTATTGAGTGCTTCATAGAAGATATGTACTTTTCTAAGCCCTTTGCATGATATAAACTCATATAATCCATACCACAATTTAATGAGGTGGTTATTATTATATTACCTTAATTTTACAGATGAGTTAAATTATACTCAGAGATTATGTGATTTTTGCCTGAGTGAAAAGCAGGAGAACCAAGATTTGAACTTAGTCTGAGGTTTGGGTGGTTTAAACTCTTAGCCTCTACCCTATAGAGCTTCCTGCTACAACCCCTGGTATAAAAAATAAAACAACTAGAAAATAGAAGGGAAAAAATGCTCACAAAATAGTATCTATAATAAAATAAACAAATGTAAATCTACAAAGAAATATAACATCACTTTGAAAAAAACTGCAAAATTTTGTCTAGGGAAACTTTCAAAAATATAAATAAATTAAAAGGTTTAGCATGTTACTAACTGAAAAACTCATTTTATAAAGAGTTTAATTATTTCCAATTTATTTGGTAAATTAAGACCAAGTCAATTCAGGTTCACCAAAGGAAATTTTCATCCCGAATTTGACAAATGATTTTCAAGTTCAGAATAGTGGACAAAAGTATATATCAAACAATATGAGGAAAAAAAGTGTAAAAAAAAAGCTTGCCAGATAATAAAGTATATACAAAGATATAATAATTAAACTATGATACACATGAAAGAAAAACAATAAAAAGAAATAGATCATGGTATGTTTTAGTATTTAATTAAGAAAACTCTTTGATCTTTGGTTTATTTTCAACAAAAGTTGCTGCATTGATAGCTCATCTATATCAAAGCTAATAAAGTTGGATACTTAAATAGTTTTTTAAAGTCTGAAAGTTAAATATGAAATGTACAAATCAATAAAACTAGATTATTAATATGATTTATCAGTGCAATGGACTTGGCTGAAGCAATAAATTACACATACAGACACTATATATGTTATTTATAAATCTAAACATTACATATAATATTTTGCAACCAGCACACTTGGGAAACAATAGAAATGGATATGACAGATAAAGGGTTAATTTTCATGGGCTATGAATGAATGGTTTTAAAAATTTAAAGACAAACTTCCTAAAACAAAGATGATAGGTAACATTCATAACCAATTCAGAAAATTAGATTTAAATATCAAATGTCTAGACCATAAACACTGTACTTAACTAGTAGGCAAATACATGCAAATTAAAATGAGATACTTCTTTTATACACAAGTGGCGAAAATCAAAGATAATGACATTACACCTTTAGCAAGAGAATAACAAGTTTTTTCTTCTAATAACACATACATAACAAAGTTGTCTTCATCTGCACTATATCTATAGTAAAGTGAGGCACTGAAAGAAAAAAACATTTCTAATAGTACTTTACTGTAAAGGAAAATATCAAATATAAAAACAAAACTTCTTTTAATACCAAAACCCATGTTCTTAAGCATTATCTTTTGTAATGTTTATAATTTTTCCAGAAAATTTTATTAGAATGCTTCAAAATATCAGCAGTGCTTATATTCAGAGTATAGGGGGGATGATAATTGGTGAAATATAAATATGTATCTCATATTATATTTATAAAAATTTAAAGCTACAAAATGTATTTTTTTTCTAAATATTATAAATATAATTAAGTAAAATAAAGAGTAGAAATTATCATGGATATATTTTCAATCATTAGATGGTAGAAATATGGGTTTTTTTGGTGGAAATATGAGTTTTAATTTTTGATCCTTTAAATGTTGCTTTAAAATTTTTTCATAAACATAATATTTTAAAACATGTTTAAAGAAAACTTGTACATTAAACAATTTGTTTCTTAATTTAAAATTATAGGTTAATGTGTAGGAGTCACTATAAATACGCAAGTACAGGCATATGCCTAAGATAGTTTCTATTTGAGTTTAAATTTCCGAGAGCTGTTTGAATCATTTTGGCTGCAACCCCAAGCACAGGAGTAGGACAAGGAGAAGCAGCAAGAGCTCCACACGCTATTTATTGACCTTTGCAAGAGCAGTGACACCATCAGGTGAACTGAGATCTGGCAGCTTCTAAGCATGTTTCCATCACAGAATTACACCAAGATTGTAAGGTTTCATTAAGACGGGTTTGACAGCTGTCTTAACTACAGGAATCCTTCTATCACCTTCGTCTTTCATGTTTGAGCCTCATTCCTCTCCTCACCCTTCCATGGATCTTTAGCTTGGAATTTAAGACTTTGAACTAATAATGTTCATTTTATTTCCCCCGTCGTATATCTTCTAACTATAGAACAAGAAACTGCTATTAGAGCAGTCATCTCCTGAGTCTCCAAATATTGTATCAAAAATCTTGACACCAAGTACTTTTCCTCCTTTCCTCAGTAATATTCCAACACTTTTCCAAAGTCCAGAAGTAAACTACCTGTTTGACTTTCATTGTGATTTTGATAACCTTAATACCTGACTCCTAAAATAGTAGTATAGCACAATAATTAAAGTATTTAATGCAAGACTCACTAAGGCTGAAAACATTTGTGATTATTGTTATTTTAAATATGTTGGACAATCTCACATTAAATACAAACAAAAAACAGCAACAAATAAGCTAATAAAAAGAGACTACTTATCATTACACTTTCTCTTATACCTCCCTGATTTTTATTTATGCCTTTTCAGTCACATTTCTCAAGAATAGTCTTTACTTCCGTGTTTATTTCTTACATACATACTCGGTGGGGTACTTCAACAAAGACTGATTTATTCCCTTACTTTAATTAAACCAGTCCTTGGAAAAGTTAACCGAAAGGAGCTTTTTAAAATTTTTTCTTTCATGTGACATCACTGTAGAATTGAATAGAGTAGGACGTTCCTTCCTTCCTTAAACCCACTCTTTGCCTGCACTCTGACACTTCCCCTTTCATTCCAGTTACTCATTAGCACATTCACAGTTGTCCTCTCTATAATCTCTTAGTATTAGACCTTTAACTCTTCACTTCTCTCTCATAAAGCAGTGTCTTTTAAGCCCACAAATATAATTTCTACATATAATTAAAGATCTGCAATTTTAATTTTAGCTGAACTTTCTTCCCCAAGCTTCAGATTCATATTTCCAATGTCCTCTTGATCTCACAACTTGAGTCCCTCAAAATGTCTCCAAAGTAAACAGTCAAGAATAGAGATTATGATCCGTCCACTTTCTTTTCCAGAACCAATTCTTTTCCAATATTTCTTGTCACAATAAAAGGCACATGCTCTTAGATGAACCAGGAACCAAAGAGTTATCATTAACTTTTCCTTCACTCCCTCACATCTAATCTATAACATTTTCCATTAATTATATTTTCTAATTACATGTTGAATCCATCTAATTGTTTCCATCCCTGATATTAAACTCAAATCAATTATACCTTATATGTGCAATATTTCAGTAGCCTCACAATCATTTTAACCTTGCGTCTGCTCATGTCCTATTTTCACTTAGATAGAATGCTGTTCTTACAAAGGCACCTGCAATCATTTAAAGTTGCTACTTATAGTAGTGCAGATTGTTTTCTGAATGACTTTTGAAGTTGTGTTTTTTAAATGTTACAGACAATAGAGTAAGTTAACTACTTAACACAATAAATGTTTTACACATATTCCCATTGTGTATACCTATTTATTTTATACAAAGTTTCCTAAGAAGACTTTCATTAAAATGTTACATTTCAGTAAATGCAACATGAATAACTTGTGAATATATATTTTTATTATCTATTTTGGTTTCATAAAATTAATGAGACTGTTATATTTAAATAATATTTAATTTTGGCAGATGTTAATAAAATAAAAATTTAAACTTCCTGTGACTTAATTTTCCTTTATTATGTGTAAATAATATGTTAAAAATAAATGTTATCCAAATTCATTTTCTTTGATTTAAAACCTATGAAATTCAAAAGATAGGATAATAACATTCATTAAATAGATTGATTCAATTTCCTTTAGCCAAATATACCAGAATGTGGTACATTAATACATTATTCAATTACTCTATTAATAAAATAGATAAATACATGATAAAATGAATCTACAATATGCTATGTCTTATAGTAGATATATTTTATTCAGTTATGACATAGCATATAGTAGATACAATTGGTTGAGACATAGTCCTTATTCTAACAGAGCTTAGCTTCATGAAAAAGACAGGAAAAAAATATGATAGCTAGTAATAAGTATGAAGACAAAATACTCTAAATGTTTATGGAAGAAATTCCAGTCAGTTGAGTTTAAACAAGGATTAGTGGAAGAAAAGACATTTAGAGAAAAAAAGAGCTAATAAAATGAGAAAGATCATACCAGGTTAGATATGATCAACTCAATTAAATCTGATTTTTGGGAGGACTAGGGAAAATGTTTGAAAATTAATGTTATACATAAGAAATGGATAATAGTTTGCTTTGATGCTAATAAAAAGTTGAAGGAGAAAGCCAGTGTGGGATGAAGCTGGAAATTTTAAGGTTGAACGAAATATTGGCTTTGATTTATGAATTAGACAAGTTGAATTTGGTTTGTAAATGACTCTTAAATAGACACTTGGAAAAAATTGTAGCAAAATGCAACTTTCTTTTTAAAAGGTGATGATAGTTCTATGTCATTCTTAAAACGAGAAGAAAAGTAAAATTACAGTATTAAGTTTAAACAGAAACATACTGAACAGTACCAGAATTATAAGAGGTAATTGCTTATCAATCATGAACACTAATAGATCTCTCTTGAAGAAATCTGAGCTAATCATAATCTTCAAATTTTAAGCCAATGTGTAAATTCTTTTTTTTTTTAGTAAACAAATATTTATTTTATATATAAAATGTTTACAAAATGGTGTTTTTCTAGTCCCTGGTGACACTAGAGTGAATGAAACAAACAATATTTTCTGTCATCACAAAGTATACATTCTATTCAGTGAGATAGAAAATAAACACAAATAAAACAAAGAATGTTGGGTTATGGCAGTGATGGATAATGTTATTTGTCGACTGTGCCACAGTATGTCCTGGTTAAACATTATTTCTGGAAAAATCTGTTAGGGTATTCCTGGATGAGATTAATAGTTAAATCTGTGGACTCAATAATGGAGATTGCCCTTCCTAATATGACTGAACATTATATGCAATCCACTGAGGTCCAGAATAGAATAAAAAGACAGAGGGAGGATGATGAGGATTTGTACCATTGGCTCCACTTGCTCTCAGGTCTTTGAACTTGGAATGAAATTACACCCCCAGCTTTTCTTAGTCTCCAACCTACAGATGGCAGATATAAAAATTATCAGCCTCCTTACTCATGAAGGTCAATTCCTCATTATAAATCTCTCCGTCTGTCTCTGTTCTTGGCCAATAGAAGAAGACAAACAACACACATACACACAACATACACACACGTGTGTGTGTGTATGTAAATATATATATGATTGAAGTAGCAGAGATGAAGACAACTAGCAGATCAGGTTATTTTATGGGCATATTAGGCCGTAGTCAGATGACCAGCCTCTAGAATTCATTATGGCCTAAAGTTCTAAAGACTATCTACTGAAACATACAATTTGAGAGATGAGAAAGAAACAGAAAAAGGGAATAAAAAAATGAAAAAGAAAAAAGAAAATAAAATATAAAAAATCAGATGAATGTAACCAAACCCTGAAAATGCTTGTAATAATTTGAAATAAAAATGAAGGGTATTTAAAGGCTAAGAGAGTCACTAACTGTATTAGTTCAATTTCATGCTGCTATGAACCAATACCAGAGACCGGGTAATTTATAAAGGAAAGAGGTTTAATTGATTCACAGTTCAGCATGATTAGGGAAGCCTCAGGAAACTTATAATCATGGCAGAAGTAGAAGCAAACATGTCCTTATTCACATGGCAGTAGGGAGAGAGAAGTGCAGAACAAAGCTGCAAAAAGCTCCTTGTAAAACCATCAGGTCTCATGAGAACTCACTATCATAAGAACAGCATGGGGCAACTACTCCCATGATCTAGTCACTGCCCACAAGGTCCCTCCTCCAACACATGGAGATTACAATTCAGATTACAATTCAGGATGAGATTTATTTGGGGACACAGAGCCAGACCATATCACTAACACTTCAAATGCTGCTGATAATCAAGTAGAATGAACACTGAGAAATGGACATTGGATGTAGCAATTTCGCAGTGATTGTTGCCCTGGTCAAGAGTTTCAGTGGAGCAGTGGGAACAAACACCTTACTGTAATGGAATCAGGAGAGAATAAAAGGAGAGTAAGATCATCTGCAATGAAAATGTGAGAAATGAGACATCAACGGTGGAGAAAGCATAGTCAAGAGGACTTACTGGTTTATTGTTTTAGTTTTTGAAACTGCATGATGTATCAGAATATTTGCATGTTTACATGACTGGTTCAGGAAAAATAAATAATTCAATGCAGAGTACACAGGGTAAACTTGCCAGAGCATTATGCTAAGGTAGATCAGAAAGGAGAAATAAAGTGAAAAGTGGAGAGATTGGTCTAAGCAAGAAGCATGAGTACTTTATCTGTAGAAGTAGGAGAGAATGTAAGGCATATAGACAAAAACGCAAGAAGGTAAGTAGAAAATTGTGAATTTTTTTGTGGTTACATCAATTATCTCAGTTAAAGAAGATACCAGTTATCAGCAAAGCATATTAATGAAAAGGATGTAATATGGTATGAAATAGTCATGTAGGAGAGTAAAAGGAAGATATATATGCATAAAAACGTACATATGTAGATATGCATTTAAATATATATTTATATTTATATAAACGTGCATAAACATATGTAGGGATCAAGGAAGATAAATATACATTTAATTATATATGCATGTATATATATGTATGTATGTGTATAAACAAATATTAAAACTGGTGCATATGTATGATATATTGTATTAGTCTATTTTCATACTGCTATGAGAAAATATCCAAGACCAAGTAATTTATAAAGAAAAAGGATTTTAATGGACCCACAGTTCCACGTGGCTGGGGAGGTGTCACAATCATGGCAGAATGTGGAGGAAGAGCAAGGGCATGTCTTATATGGTGGAAGACAAGAAAGCATGTGAAAGGGAACTACCCTTTATAAAAGCAGCAGATCTCATGAGACTTATTCACTATCATGAGAACAGCATGCGAAAAACCTGCCACCGTGATTCAATTACCTCCCAAAAATGTCCCTCCCACAACACCTGGTCATTATGGGCGCTACAATTAAAGATGAAATTTGGGTGGGGACACAGCCAAACCATATTACTCCTCCCCTGGCCCCTCCAAAATCTCATGTCCTCACATTTCAAAAACAATTATGACTTCCCAACAGTCCCCCAAAGTCTTAACTCATTTAAGAATTAACTCAAAAGTCCACAGTCCAAGTCTAGTCTGAGACAAAGCAAGTCCCTTTCACCTATGAGCCTGCAAAATCAAAATAAAGTGAGTTATTTCCTAGACACAATGGAGTACAGGCATTGGTTAAACATGCACATTCCAAATGGAAGAAATTGGCCAAAACCAAGGGGCTACAGGCCCCATGCAATTCTGAATTTCAGCTGGGCAGTCTAATCTTAAAGCTCCAGAATGATCTCCTATGACTCCATGTCACACATCCAGGTCACACTGATGCAAAAGGTGGGCTCCCATGTTCTTGGACAGCTCTGCCTCTGTAGCTTTGCAGGGTACAGCTCACCTCTTGGCTGTTTTCACGGGCTGGCTTTGAGTGTCTGTGGCTTTTCCAGGTGAATAGTGCAAGCTGTCAGTGGATCTACCATTCTGGATTTGGAGGATGGTGGCCCTTTTCTCACAGTTTCACTAGGTAGTGCCCCAGTGGGGACTCTGTGTGGGGGTTCCAACCTCACATTTCTCTTCTATACTGCCCAAGCAGAGGTTCTCCATGAGGGCTCTGCCCCTGCAGTAAAAGTCTGCCTGGACATCCAGGCATTTCCATACATACTCTGAAACCCAGGCAGAGGTTCCCAAACCTAAATTCTTGACTTCTGTGTACCCACAGGCTCAACAGCACGTGGAAGCCACAAAGGCTGCTGTGAAGGTTTCTGACATGCCTGAAGACATTTTCCCCTTCTTGGTGATTAACATTTGGCTCTTCATTACTTATGCAAATTTCTGCAGCCTGCTTGAATTTCTCTGCAGAAATAGTTTTCTTTCATATTGCATTGTCAGGCTGTAAATTTTCCCAACTTTTATTCTCTGCTTCCTCTTGAATGCTTTGCTGCTTAGAAATGTCTCTTACCAGCTACCTTAAATCATCTTTCTCAAGTTCAAAGCTCCCCCCATCTATAGGGCAGTAGCAAAATGCCACCAGTATCTTTGCATAGCAAGAGTGACCTTTACTCCAGTTCCCAAGAAGTTCCTCATCTCCATCTGAGACTACCTCACCCTAGAGTTTATTTTTCATATCACTACCAGCATTTTGATCAAAGCCATTTAACAAGTCTCTCAGGAGTTTCAAACTTTTCTATATTTTCCTATCTTCTTCTAAGCCCTCCAAATTGTTCCAACCTCTGCCTGTTACCCAGTTCCAAAGTTACTTTCACATTTTTGGGTATCCTTATGGCAGCACCCCACTCTACTAGTACCAATTTACTCTATTAGTCCATTTTCATACTGCTATGAAGAAACACATGAGAACGGGTAATTTATAAAGCAAAAGAGGTTTAATGGACTCAGAGTTCCACATGGCTTGGGTGGCCTCACAATCATGGCAGAAAGTGAAGGGGAAGCAAGGGCATATCTTACATGGCAGCAGAGAAGAAAGCATGTGCAGGGGAACTACCCTTTATAAAACCAGCAGAGCTCATGAGACTTATTCACTATTACAAGAACAGCATGGAAAAACTCATCACCATGATTCAATTACCTCCCACCAGTTCCCTTCCATGACATATGGGCATGATGGGAACTACAGTTCAAGATGAAATTTTCGTGGGGGCACAGACAAGTCATATCTTATGTATTTTGATATATACAAATATACGTAAACTTGATTATTTTTTTCGCTGGTACTACTTTTAAATGCTATTTTATTGTGGTCAGAAAAGATACTTGGTATGATTTCAATCTTCTTAAATTTGTTAAGACTTGTTTTATGATGAAATACATAATTGATCTCAGAAAACGTTTCATGTGTCTTTAAGCGAATATAAGTTTTTCTGCTGCTGGGTGAAAAGTTTTGTATATATCTGTTAGGTCTATTTGATCTATCGTACTATTCACATGCATTTTTTTTCTTATTTCTGTCAAGATGTTCTAGTCATTATTTAAAATGGGGTATTGAAGTCTACTAGTATTGTATTAACTGTCAGGTTCAATTTCTTTCAGTTCTGTCAATATTTGCTTTATATACTTACATGCTCTAAATATCAATGCATATATATTTATAATTTTTATTCCTGTTGAATTGACATATTTATATTTTAAAAATGTCATTTTTTAATCTTAAATGACAAATGACCTCTTTGTCACTAGAGACAGTTTTTGACCTAAAGTCTATTTTGTCTAGTATACATATAGACACTTATCTTTTTTTAATTTTGGTTACCATTTACACAGAATATCTTATTCCATCCCTTCACTTACAGCTTATGTGTGTCCTTGAATATAAAGTGAGTTTCCTGTAGACAGCATAGAGCAATATTAAAAAAAATCCATTTGGGTCCTACATGTCTTTTTATTGAGGAATTAATACATTTATGTTTAAAGTCATTATCGATAAGAAAAGGCTTACTATTGGCATTTTGTCTTTTTTTGTCCCTCTTTTACTCTCTTGCTATCTTTCTTCATCTTTCTTTTTTATTACTGTTATTGGTAAGTTTTGATTCCATTCTCTTTTTCTTTGGGGTAAAAGACATTCTATAGGTATCCTATAGGGCTTTTTGTGGTTAACATAAGGATTAAATTAAATCTTATAGTTATAACATACTATTTTAACCTCATAATGATTTAACTTCACTTGCATATAAAAACTCTGCACTTTTACCAATGAAATGAAACTAAAAATCAATAACAATAAGAAAATGGGAAAATTCAGAACTATGTATAAAGAACACACTCTTGAATGAGTGTTGGACCAAAGAAAAAATCAAAAGGAAATTAAAAATTATCTTGAGACAAATGAAAACCAAAACACAAGACACTAAAATGTGCAAGGTACAGCAAATGCTGTACTAAAAGGGAAGTTCATAGCAATAAAACTCTACATTAAAAAAGAAAAAGTATCTCAAATAAACAACCTAGCTTTATGCCCTAAGGAACTAAAAAAAGAACAAACAAAGCCCAAACTTAGTAGAAGGGAAGAAGTAATGACTATCAGAGCAGAAACAAGCAGAGAATAGAAAAAATATGAATAAAGTAATAGTTTTTTTTATTTGAAGAGAAAAACAAAATTAACAAATTATTAGCTGGACTAAAAAGAAAGAAGGCTCCAATGAAATCAGAAATGAAAAATGAGACATTACAATGAATGACTCAGAAATAAAAATAATCATAAGGAAAAATTATATACCAACAAATTGAAAAGAATTAAGTACATTTCTGGAAACATACAACATATCAAGACTGAATAAAAAGGAAATAGAAAGTGTAAACACACTAATAACAATGAAATTAAAGTAGTAATCAAAACCACTCAATAAAGACAAGCCTAGGACTAAATGACTTTATAAAATGTCTTCATGGATATTCTACAAATCATTCAAGCAGTAATTAATACTAATCTATCTTAAACTCTTCTGAAAAACAGAATAAGAGGAAGCACTTCAAATTCATTTTATAAAGCCAGCATTATCCTGATACCAAAGCAAACAAAAACACCACAAGGAAAAACAAAAAGAAAAGAGAAACTACAGGGTAATATCTGTGGTGAATATAGATGCAAAAATCATCAGTAAAATACTAGCAAACCAATTTCAACAGTACATTTAAAAGATTATACACCATGACCAAGTGAGATATATCCCTGAATGCACTGTTGGCGCAACATGTGCAAATTCATCAATATAATACACTGCATTAACAGAATGTAAGCTAAACATTACATGATTATCTTAGTAGATGCAAAAACAAAAGTATTTGACAAAGTTCAACATTTATAGGTGATCAAAAGTTACAAACATAATTAGTATGGAAGGAATTTACCTCAACATATAAAAGCCATTTGTGAAAAAAAAAGTAACATAATCAATGTGGCTTTTAGATTTTCATCAGAGATCCAGTAAAGGCAAGAATGTCCATTTTCACATCACTTCTATTTAGCATAATAGTGGAAGTTCTTACCAGAGTGATTAGATGAGAAAAATAAATAAAAAGCATCTAAGTTGGAAAGAATGAAGCAAAATTATCTATGTACAGATGACATGATCCTACATGAATAAAACCCCAAAGACTCAATTTTTAAAAAATGGTTAGAACTACTAAATGATTTTATGATAACACAAAACTCACCTACAAAATCAGTAGTGTTTCTTTACACCAATAGTGAACTTTCCAAAAAGGAAATAAAATAATACCATTTACATGGCATCAAAAGGAGTAAAATACATAGAAACAAATGTAACCAAAATAATAAAAAAAAGTACACAGAAAACTATTAAAACATTGATGAAAGAAATTTAAAACAACACAACTAAGTGGAAAGTTATCACATATTCACGGACTAGAAGAACAAATATTGTTAAAATGTCCATACTGCTCAAAACAATCTATAGATTCAATGTAATTCCTATCAGAATTCCAATGGGATATTTTTATGGAAACAGAAAATAAAACCCCAAAATTCATATGAAATCACGAAGACCTAAAATAGCCAAAGGAATCTTGAGAAAGAAGAATGAAATTAGAGGTGTTACACTTCCTGAATTCAAATTATGTTACAAATCTATAGTAATCAAAATAGCACGGCACTGAAATAAAAACAGACAAATGGACAAATGGAAGAGAATAGAGAGCCCAGAAATAAATCCATGTATATATGGCCAACTAATCTTCAACCAAGGTTCCTGGAATCTATAATGGTAAAGGATAATCTCTTCAACAAATAGTGATGGGAAAACTAGATATCCCATGGGACTAGTTACCTTAATCATACATAAACTTTAACTCAAAATGGATTAAAAAAAAACAACTAAGTAAGATCTGAAACCATAAAACTCCTAAACAAATACATAGGTGAAAAGCTCTTGGCCATGAATTTTTAGATATGACACCTAAGGCATGGGTGACAAAAGCAAAAATAAAAGTGGCCATATGAAAGTAAAAAGCTTCTGCAGAGTTAAAAATAAAAATAGAGAGGCAGCATATGGATTGGCAGAAGATATTTTCAAACCCCTGATAAGGGGTTAATGTCCAAAATTTATGAGGAACTCATACAACTCAATAGCGAAAAAAAAAATCTAATTAAAAATGGGTAAAGGACTTGAGTGGACATTTTCCTAAGAAGACATACAGTAGCCAACAGATATATGAAAAACTGTGCAGCATCCCTGTTCATCAGGGAGATGCAAATCAAAACTACAATGAAAGATTCCCTCACATCTGTTAGGTTGGCTATTATCAAAAGGACAAAAGCAAACAAGTGCTGGCAAGGATGTGGGTAAAAGGCAACCTTTGTAGACTGTTGGTGGTTCTGTAAATTGCTACAGCCATTATAAAAAGAGTATAGAAGTGCCTGAAAAAATTAAACATAAAAACTATACATGATGCAGAAATCCCACTTCTAGTTACATAGCTAAAAAAGTAAAATAAAATCAGTATATCAAAGAGATTTATGAACATTCATGTTCATTGCAGCATTATTCACAATAGCTATGATATGGAAACAACCGAAATGCCCCAGTGTCTGTCAACAGATAAGTGTATAAAGAAATTTTAGGGGAAAAATATACATACACCATCATTCAGCCTTGAAAAAGAATGAAATCTTGGGAGGCCAAGGCGGGCGGATCACGAGTTCAGGAGATGGAGACCATCTTGGCTAACACGGTGAAACCCCGTCTCTACTAAAATACAAAAAATTAGCCGGGCGCAGTGGCGGGCGCCTGTAGTCCCAGCTACTCGGGAGGCTGAGGCAGGAGAATGGCGTGAACCCTGGAGGTGGAAGATAGCGCCACTGCAGTCCGGCCTGGGTGAAAGAGTGAGACTCCGTCTCAAAAAAAAAAAAAAAAAAAAAAAAAAGAAAGAAAAGAAAAGAAAAGAAAGAAAGAAAAGAATGAAATCTCGCTATTTGCCACAACATGTGCTAACCTGGAAAACACTATGCTAAATGAAATAAGTCAGACACAGAAAAGAAAAGTACTGCATAAACTCACTTAAATTTGGAATATAAAAAAATATCTAAATGATAGAAGCACACAGTAGAATGGTGGTTATCAAGCACGCATGCAGGAGTGGGAGGAGAATGGGGAGATATTAGTTAAAAGGTACAAAGTTTCAGTTATGTAGGATGAGTAAATTCTAGAGATCTAATTTACAGCAAGGTTACTATAGTTAATAATATTGTATTGTAATACTTGACATTTGCTAAGAGAGGAGATCCTAAATGTTATCACTATAAAAAAAAGCAACTGTGTAAGGAGACGAATGTTAACTAGCTTTACTGTAGTAATCATTTCACAGTGTATATGTACATCAAGATTATCAAGGCATTATGTTGTAAACCTCAAATACATACAATATTTATAAATAAACACTATTCTAGAGAAGTCGGCAAAGGCCCTCAAGTGGATAGTTTCCAAAGGTAGGACGAGTTGTCTATAGTGACTAATACTGGCTATCCATATAACAGCTATTCCCCTTTTTTCTGAAGTATTGAAAACCCAACTTCATTTAAATTCTGATATTTAAGAGTGGACCCAAAACAGCACTGAACTCACATACTAGGTCTTGAGTATAAATCATGCTTGTTAAAAGCAATAGTAATAAAACTATTTTCCAATGACTGGATAGGGGTATCTGAGTGACCTAATTTTGGCCAAACAAAAAAATTTCAAAGTCTCTTCATGAATTTTGGGGAATATTCTCCTATGATAAAATTGTCTTGCAGGGAGAGTTGCTTTCTCTTTGTCCCCATTTGGGATGCTATGACATGAACATGTGCTATTTAGATATTTGCATACAACTTTTAACAATGAAGAAAGAGCAAAATGAATTGCAGAGATGCCAACACAAAATTCTAATGCCATAAAGCAACTAAATAAATTCTGGTGCTACACTCTTCCAGTTTTGAGAGGCAAAAATTAAATATCATTGTGACTTAATATAATTCAAGTTTTATTTTACTTGAAGACAAGTATGTCCTAACTGATATACTGCCTATGGCAAAGTCAATGGCCAATAAATTGAAGTAAACTCATTTTAAGATTCTTCGAAATTCACGTTACCCACTTGAGCCTAGAGGTCTTTATTGTTCTAGAATGATATATTTATTTTTTGGGTGGCGTGCAATGGTTTGGTGCAAGAAAATTTATAGATAAAAGACCTTAATAGAAAACAGAGATAAAACCTTAGTTCAAGGCAAGGGGTAAGAAAATATTTAAGAAAAGTGTAAACTTTGTATTTACATTTAAACACAGAAAGCAAGAGTAGGCCGAGCGCAGTGGCTCACACCTGTAATTCCAACACTTTGGGAGTCCAAGGAGAGTGGATCACCAGAGGTCAGGAGTTTGAGTCCAGCCTGGCCAACATGGTGAAACCCCATCTCTACTAAAAATACAAAAATTAGCCAGACCCAGTGACGCACACCTGTAATCCCAGCTACTTGGGAGTCTGAGGCAGGAGAATCACTTGAAACCAGGAGGCAGAGGTTGCAGTGAGCCGAGATTGCACCACTGCACTCCAGCCTGGGTGACAGGGTGAGACTCCGTCAAAAAAAAAAAAAAAAAAGAAAAGAAAAAAGAAACCAAGAGTAAAATTTCTAAGCTAAATTCTCTTAAATAAAAAACCTTAAATACAAGAGAAAACAAGAGGTAGATACCAGGGGCTGAGCTTGTATGGATTCTCAGGAATCCAGATTATTTGTAACATATGCTATAAGTGAAGAAAGAAATTAAGAATACAATTTTAAAATTGCTTGGTGATTTGGGAGGCCAAGGTGGGAGAATCATTTGAGGCCAGGAGTTTAAGACCAACCTGAACAACATAGTGAGACCTTGTCTCTACAAACAGTTTTAAAAACAACAAAAAAATTGCTTGAAAAAAATGCAAATGAAAGAACAGGTACTAAAACCTATGGGACAAATACAGGAAAAGCAGTATTAAGGGGAATGTTTATAGCAATAAATGCCTATATTAAAAAAAAAACCTAGAGATATTTCAAATAAACAACCCAATGATGTACCTCAAGGAACAAAAAATGCAAGAATAAGCCAAAGCCAAAAATTAGTAGAAGAAAAAAAAATAACAAAGATCTGAGCAGAAATAAATCGAATTGAGACCAAACAGGTACAAAAGATCAAACAACATGTAGTTTTTTGAAAAGATGTTTGATGTTTGAAACTTGACAAGACATTAGCTAGATGAACTAAGAAAAAAAAAGGGAGAAGACACAAATAAATAAAATCAGAAACAAAAAAGATATATCACAACAGATACCTTAAAAATACAAAAAATAGGCCAGGCGCAGTGGCTCAAGTCTATAATCCCAGCACTTTGGGAGGCCAAGGCAGGCAGATCACAAGGTCAGGAGATGGAGACCATCCTGGCTAACACGGTGAAACCCCGTCTCTACTAAAAACACACACAAAAAATTAGCTGGGGGTGGTGGCAGTCACCTAGAATCCCAGCTACTCAGGAGGCTGAGGCAGGAGAATGGCTTGAACCCAGGAGGCAGAGCTTTCAGTGAGCCGAGATTGTGCCACTGCACTCTAGCCTGGGCGACAGAGCGAGACTCCACCAAAAAAAAAAAAAAAAGTACAAAGAATAATTAGAGACTACTATGAAGAACTATATGACAATAAATTTTAAACCTAGAGTTTAAATGAGTACATTCCCACACATACAACCTGCTGTAATTGAACCCAGGAGAAAGAGAAAACCTGAAAAGACCAATAAAATATTACAAGATTGAATCAGTAATAAAAATCTCTCAACAAAGCCAAGTCCATGACTGGAGGGATTCCCCTCCAATTTCTATTGAACCTTTGAAAAGGAATTAATAACAATACTTTTAAAACTATTCCTAATAAATTGAAGTGGAAAGAATTTTTCTTAACTTGTTTTACAAGGCTAGCATAATCCTAATACCAAAACCAGAAAAGGCCACAACAAAATAGAGAACTACAAGCCAATATCCCTAATGAATATAGATACAAATATCCTTAGCAAAATACTGGCAAACCAAATCCAACAACAAAACAAAAAGTTAATACACCATGACCAAGTTGTATTTATCCTAGAAATGAAAGGATGGTTCAACATGTACGGATCAACAAGCATGTTATATCATATCAACAGAATGAAAGACAAAGATCATATGATCATTTCAATAGATGCAGAAAAAGCATTTGATAAAACTCAACATTGCTGCATGATGAACAAACTCTCAATAAATTAGGGATAGAAAGAAAGTATCTCAACGCAATAAAGGCCATACATGACAAACCCACAGCTAACATCATACTGAATAGAGAAACCTGAAAGCTTCTTCAAACTAGAAGACAAGGATGCCCACTCTCACCGCTCTCATTCAACTTAGTGCTGGAAGTCCTCGCCGGACCAATTAGGTAAAAGAAAGAAATAAAATATACCCAAATTGGAAAGTAGGAAGTCAAATCATCCCTGTTTACAGATGTCATGATCTTTTATAAAGTAAAATGGAAATATTCTTCCAAAAAACTCTCAAAACTGATAAATTCAGTAATGTTTCAGAATACAAAACCAACATACAAATATCTGTGCTGTTTCTGTACATAAACAACAAACTAGCTGAAAAATAAACCAATAAGGCAGGGATTCCCAGGCAGGATGGCCAAATAGGAACAGCTCCTGTCTGCAGCTCCCAGCAAGACCAATGCAGAAGGCAGGTGATTTCTGCATTCCCAAGTGAGGTACCCAGTTCATCTGGTTGGGACCTGTTAGACAGTGAGTGCAGCCCACAGAGGACGAGCAGAAGCAGGGTGGGGTGTAGCCTAACCCAGGAAGCATAAGGGGTCGGGGAAGTCCCTCCGCTAGCCAAGGGAAGCTGTGAGGGACAGTGCCATGAAAGACAGCGCCGTAAAGGACAGGGCCCAGATACTACACTTTTCCCACCGTTTTTGCAACCCACAGACCAGGAGATTCCCTCCAATCAGGGGTTGACAGACACTCATACAGGAGAGCTCCGGTTGGCATCTGACAGGTGACCCTCTGGGACAAAACTTCCAGAGGAAGGAGCAGGCAGCAATCGTTGCTGTTCTGCAGCTTCCGCTGGTGATACCCAGGCAAATAGGGTCTGGAGTGGACACCCAGCAAATACCAGCAGACCTGCAGAAGAGGGGCCTGTTAGAAGGAAAACTAACAAACAGAAAGCAATAGCACCAACATCAACAAAAAGGATGACCACACAAAAACTCCATCCAAAGTTCACTTACAGCAAAGATCAAAGGTAGATAAATCAAAGAAGATGAAGAAAAACCAGCACAAAAAGGCTGAAAATTCCCAAAACCAGAATGCCCGTTCTCTTCAAAGGGATCACAACTCCTCGCCAGCAAGGAAACAAAACTGGACAGAGAATGAGTTTAATGAAATGACAGAAGTAGGCTTCAGAAGGTGGGTAATAATAAACTCCTCTGAGGGAAAGGAGCATGTTCTAACCCAATGGAAGGAAGCTATGAACCTTGATAAAAGGTTAGAGGAATTGCTAACTAGAATAACCAGTTTAGAAATAAGAACATAAATGACGTGATGGAGCTGAAAAACACAGCATGAGACAAAATAAAGGGATGGAGGAAGATTTACCAAGCAAATGGAAAGCAAAAAAAAAAGGGGGGTTGCAATCCTAGTCTCTGATAAAACAGACTTTAAACCAACAAAGATTAAAGGCATTACATAATGGAAAAGGGATCAGTGCAATAAGAAGAGCTAACTTTCCTAAATATATATACACCCAGTACAGGAGCACCCAGATTCATAAAGCAAGTACTTAGAGACCTATAAAGAGACTTAGACTCCCACACAATAATAGTGAGAGACTTTAACATCCCACTGTCAATATTAGACAGATCAACAAGACAGAAAATTAAAAAGGATATTCAGGACTTGAACTCAGCTCTGGACCAGGTGGATGTAATTGACATTTACAGAACTCTCCACCACAAATCAACAGAATATACATTCTTCTTAGCACCACACTGCACTTATTCTAAAATTGACCACTTAACTGGTAGTAAGACATTCCTCAGCAAATGCAAAAAAAAAACAGATTTCATAACAGTCTCTCAGATAACAGTGGAATCAAATTAGAACTCAGGATTAAGAAACTATCTCAAAACCGCACAACTACATGGAAACAGAACAACCTGATCCTGAATGACTACTGGGTAAATAACAAAATTAAGGCAGAAATACATAAATTCTTTGAAACCAATGAGAACAAAGAGACAACATACCAGAATCTCTGGGACACAGATAAAGCAGTGTTTAGAGGGAAATTTATAGCACTAAATGCCCACAGGAGAAAGTGGGAAATATCAAAAATCGACACCCTAACATCAGAATTAAAAGAACTAGAGAAGCAAGAGCAAACAAATTCAAAAGCTAGCAGAAGATGAGAAATAACTAAGATCAGTGCAGAACTGAAGGAGATAGAGACATGAAAAACACTTCAAAAACAATGAACCCAGGAGCTAGTTTTTTGAAAAGATTAGCAAAACAGATAGACAGCTAGCCAGACTAATAAAGAAGAAAAAAGAATCAAATAGGCACAATAAAAAATGATAAAGGGGGGATCACACTGACCCCACAGAAATACAAACTACCATCAGAGAATGCTATAAACACCTCTATGCAAAGAAACTAGAAAATCTAGAAGAAATGGATAAATTCCTGAACACACACACCCTCCCAAGTCTAAGCCAGGAAGAAGTTGAATCCCTGAATAGACCAATAACAGGTTCTGAAATTGCAGCAGTAATTAAAATCCTACCAACCAAAAAAAGCCAAGGACCAGATGGATTCACAGCAGAATTCTACCAGAGGTACAAATAGGAGCTGGTACCTATCCTTCTGAAACTATTCCAAAAAATAGAAAAAGAGGGACTCCTCCCTAGCTCATTATATGAGGCCAGCATTATCCTGATACCAAAACCTGGCAGAGACACAACAAAAAAAGAAAATTTCAGGCCAATATCCCTGATGAACATCGATGCGAAAATTCTCAATAAAATACTGACAAAACGAATCCAGAGCACATTAAAAAGCTTATCCACCAAGATCAAGTAGGCTTCATCCTTGAGATGCAAGGCTGGTTCAACATACGCAAATCAATAAATGTAACCCATCACATAAACAGAACCAAAGACAAAAAACACATGATTATCTCAATAGATGCAGGAAAGACCTTTGATAAAATTCAACAACACTTCATGCTAAAAGCTCTCAATAAATTAGGTATTGATGGGACGTCTCTCAAAATAATAAGAGCTATCTATGACAAACCCACAGCCGATATCATACTGAATGGGCAAAAGCTGGAAGCATTCCCTTTGAAAACATGCACAAAATAAGGATGTCCTCTCTCACCACTCCAATTCAACACAGAATTGGAAGTCCTGGCCAGGGCAATCAGGAAAGAGAAAGAAATAAAGGGTATTCAAATAGGAAAAGAGGAAGTCAAATTATCTCTGTTTGCAGATGACATGATTGTATATTTAGAAAATCCCATAGTCTCAGCCCAAAAACTCCTTAAGCTGATAAGCAACTTCAGCAAAGTCTCAGGATACAAAATCAATGTGCAAAAATTACAGGCATTCCTATACACCAATAATAGACAAACAAAAAGCCAAATCCTGAGCAAACTTCCATTCACAATTGCTACAAAGAAAATAAAATATCTAGGAATACAAGTTACCTGGAATGTGAAGGGCCTCTTCAAGGAGAACTACAAACCACTGCTCAAGGAAATAAGAAAAGACACAAACAAACAGAAAAACATTCCATTCTCACGGATAGAAAGAATCAATATCGTGAAAATGGCCATACTGCCCAAAGTAATTTGTGCATTCAATGCTATTCCCATCAAGCTATCATTGACTTTCTTCACAGAATTAAAAAAAACTACTATACATTTCATAAGGAACCAAAAAGGAGCCCATATAGCCAAGACAATCCTAAGCAAAAAGAACAAAGCTGGAGGCATCGTGCTACCTGACTTCAAACTATACTACAAGCCTACAGTAACCAAAACAGCATAGTACTGGTACCAAAACAGATATATGGACCAAAGGGACAGAACAGAGACCTCTGAAATAACACCACACGTCAACAACCATCTGATCTTTGACAAACTTGACAAAAACAGGCAATGGGGAAATGATTCCCTGTTTAATAAATGGTGTTGGGAAAACTGTCTAGCCATATGCAGAAAACTGATACTGGACCTTTTCCTTATATATTACACAAAAATTAACTCAAGATGGACTTAAGATTTAAAACTAAAATTATAAAAACCCTAGAAGAAAACCTAGGCAATACCATTCAGGGCATACACATCGGCAAAGACTTCGTGACTAAAACACCAAAAGCATTAGCAACAAAAGCCAAAATTGACAAATGGGATCTAATTAAACTAAAGAGCTTTTGCACAGCAAAAGAAACTATCATCAGAGTGAACAGGCAACCTAGAGATTGTGAGAAAAGTTTTGCAATCTATCCATCTGACAAAGGGCCAATATCCAGAAGCTACAAGGAACTTGAACAAATTTATAAGAAAATAAACAACCCCATCAAAAAGTGGGTGAAGGATATCAACAGACGCTTCTCAAAAAAAGACATTTATGTGGACAAAAAACATAAAAAAGCTCATCATCACTGATCATTATATAAATGCAAATCAAAACAATGATGAGGTACCATCTCATTCCAGTTAGAATGGCAATCATTAAAAAGTCAGGAAACAACAGATGCTGGAGAAGATGTGCAGAAATAGGAATGCTTTTACACTGTTGGTGGGAATGTAAATTACTTCAACTATTGTGGAAGACAGTATGGCAATTCCTCAAGTATCTAGAAATAGAAATACCATTTGATAAAGCAATCCCATTACTTGGTATATACCCAAATGATTATAACTCATTCTACTATAAAGACACATGCACATGTATGCTTATTGCAGCACTATTCACAATAGCAAAGACTTGGAACCAACCAAAATACCCATCAATGTTAGACTGGATAAAGAAAATGTGGCACATATACGCCATGGAATACTATGCAGCCATGAAAATCAATGAGCTTATGTCCTTTGCAGGGACATGGATGAAGCTGGAAACCATCATTCTCAGCAAAGTAACACAGGAACAGAAAACCAAACACTGCATGTTCTCACTCATAAGTGGGAGTTTAACAGTGAGAACATATGGGCACAGGGAGGGGAACATCACACATTGGGGCCTGTCAGGGTTGGGGGGAAAGGGGAGGGATAACATTAGGAGAAATACCTAATGTAGATGATGGGTTGATGGGTGCAGCAAACCACCATGGCACATGTATACCTATGTAACAAACCTGCACAATCTGCACATGAGTCCCAATACTTAAAGTATAATAATAAAAAAAGAAACCAATAAGGCAATCCTAGTTATAATCACTACAAAAAATAGAATACTTAGGAATCAATTTAACCAGGAGGTGAATGATCTCTGCAATGAAAACTACAGAACATTGATTAAAAAACTGAAGCAGGGAAAAACAAATAGAAAAACATCAAATGCTCATGGACCAAAAGAACCAACATTGCTAAAATAACCAAACTACCTCCAAACAATCTGCAGATTCAATACAATTGTTATGAAAATACCAATGGAATTCTTTACAGAATAGGAAAAATATCCTAAAATTCATATAGAGCTGTGAAAGCTCCCAAATAGTCAAAGCAATGCTGAACAAAAAGAACAAAGCTGGAATCATCACACTACCATACTTCAAAATACACTGCAAAGCTATAGTAACTGAAGCAGCATGATACTGGCGTAAAAAAGAAACATAGACCAATGGAACAGAAATAAATCCCAGCATTTATAGCCAGCTGATTTTTGACAAAGGTGCCAAGAACACACTGTGGCAAGCATATCCTTTTCAATAACTCATTCTGAGAAACTGGATATTCATAGGCAGAAGTATGTAACTAGACCTCCACCTCTCATTTTATACAAAATAAACTCAACATGAATCAAAGGCCTAAACGTAATACCTGAAACTACAAAACTACTAAAGGAAAACACAGGGGAAATACTTCAGGGTATTTGTCTGAGGAAAGATTTTATGAATAAGACCTCAAAAGCACAGGAAACAAAAGCAATTAAAAAAATGACATATCATACTAAAATTTTTTTGCAAAGGAAACAATCAACAGAAAGAAAAGACAACATACAAGAAGAAAAAAAATATTTTAAAGTATTTATCTGAAAGGGGATTAATATCCAGAATATATAAGGAACTCAAACATCTCAATAGCAAAACAAACAACAAACAAACCAACAAAAAACCATAGCCAAATAATAAAATTTAAAAATTTGCAAATGATCTGAGCAGTCATTTCTCAAAAGAAGATGTGCAAATGGCTGAAAAATATATGAATAATGCTCAACATCACTAATCATCAGGGAAATGTAAATTAAAATCACAATGAGGTATCATAGTTAAATTGTTTATTATCAAAGATACAGAAAAATTTGAAAGACAAAAATAACAAATACAGGCAAGGATGTAGAGAAAATAGACCTCTGCTACAGTTGGTAAATGTAAACTAGTATAGCTACTATGAAAAACAGTATGGAGATTTTTCAAAAATCTGAAAATAGTACTACCATATGGTTCCACAATCCCACTACTAGGCATTTATTCAAAGAAAACAAAATCAGTATATCAAAGAGACATGTGCAGCCCCATGTTTATTGCAGCACTATTCACATAGCCAAGACATAGATCAGCCTAGGTGTCCAACAACAGATTAATGATAAAGACAGTGTGGTATATATACACAATGGGCACAATGGAATACTAGTTTATCATAAAAAAGAATGAAATTCTGGTATTTGTGGCAACATGGATGAAACTGGAGGATGTTCAGTGAAATAAGTCGGGAACAGAAAAGTTAAACACCACATTCTCACTTATATGATGAAGGTAAAAAAAAAAGTTGCTCTCACAGAACTAAGAAGTAGAATAGAGGCTACTAGAGGCTGGGAAGGGTAGGAGAAACGACAAAATAGGGAGAGATTTGTCAACAACTACAAAATTGCAGCTAGTTAGGAGAAATAAGTTCTAGTATTCTATAGCATTGTAGAATGACTATAGTTAACAATAATACATAGTTTCACATAGCTAGAGGGAGGATATTGACTGTTCCCAACACAAAGAAATGATCAATGTTTGAGATGATGGGTATGCTAATTACCCTAATCTGCTCACTGTGCATTAGATGTATTGCAACATCACCATATATTCTATAAATATGCACAATATTGTGTTGAATAGACTTTTTTAAAAAGAAATTTAAAAAATGTGTCATGCCCTAACCACTCCTTTGTAATAAGAATTTATACTAGTAGGACTTATTAGTAGGTTAGTAAAATATTGTCTTTAGAGACAATAACAATAAAAAAGAGAAGTATTGAAAAAAGAATTATCTAAGAAAATATAAAATGATGGTTGCTTTAAAGGGGGGAAAAGGCAGCTTTGGCAAAGAAATAAATAGAGTATGTATTGCTACCCTGGGGCTAAGAAGTAGCTCTTGGGCTTACAAGTATATAAATCTACAAGATTAGGTAATGCAAAGACAAATAGCTCCTTGAAGGTTATAAAGGTTATAGAGAGTTGTAGACAGCCAAGGTAAGAACTATTCATGGATGATTATCAGTGCTCTTGAAGAAGATACACTAATTGACAGAGGAGAAGGGAAATTGTGAGCGCTTTTTTTTTTTTTTTTGGGCAGCATGGCATCTGATGAGCTAGTGAGCACTGAAATTTAAAAAAAAAAAAGGTCAATATAACTGGAGCACAATCCACCAATCATACAAATGTCAGATTCAAAAGACCACTACTGTAACTTTAAGTGTCAAGGAAAATCCTGTGAATTTAAAGTATCTGAGTGTGAGCATACATGTAATATATCGCTTTTGCATTATTACAAAATCAATACATTTTGAGAATATGTTATGTACACCATAGGGCATATAAACAATCTTAAAACCTTAAAAGATTTTATTTTATAAAAGCTAATCATAAGAAAGTCTTAGAAACCCAACAGAAGACCACGTATTAGAACAAATTAACAGAACGTTTGTCTGATTGCTGATATATTTTAATTCGATCTTTGCATTTAGAAACTGTTAATAAAGTAAAAATCAAATGAAAGGGGTAAGTTTTATGTAAAGATTTTTTTTAAGACAGTCTCACTCTGGTTGCCCAGGCTGGATTGCAGTGGCATGATCTTCACTCACTGCAACCTTGACCTCCCAGGCTCAGGGACGAAGTACCTGGGATAACAGGTGCACAGTACCATGACTGGCTAATTTTTTGTCTTTTTAGTAGAGAAGGGGTTTCACTATGTTGCCCAGGCTGGTCTCAAACTCCTGGGCTCAAGCAATTTTCCCGTCTCAGCCTCCCAGAATGCTGGGATTACAGGTGTGAGCCACCATGCCTGGTCTACATAAAGTTATGAAAGATTATGGTTTGAACTGTATTTGGAAATACACACATATGAATTTTACTCATACAGTAAACATATCATGATAAACTAAAAACAAAGTAATGAACAAAAACAAAATATTGCCTCCACTTGAAAACAGTCTTGAAAAATAGAAAAACCAATGGCCAGAATCCTCTTATTAGAATATGGAAAAATAGATTTCATTTTGTTTCAAAAAAAAAAAAAACAGTCTTACACTTTTCCCCTTTAGAAGAGTCTTTTTTGCTGAGTAATATTTTCATATTGTTAACCTGTTAAAAAAATAAAATCATACATTATTTTTCTGTTTTCTTTTTGTATTCATTCATTGGTTCTAGCATGTTTTGGATTTTATTGAGATGTGGAATATAGTAAGGCAGGTGTTCCCAACCCCCAGGCTACAGACCAGTGTCAGTCCATGCCCTGCTAGGAACTGGGCCTCACAGCAAGAGGGGAGTGGTGGGCAAGACAGCATCACCACCTGAGCTCCACCTCCTGTCAGATCAGAAGCAGCATTAGATTCTCATAGAAGCACTATTGTGAACTGTGCATGCAAGCAATCTATGTTTCACACTCTTTATGAGAATCTAAAGCCTGATGATCTGAGGTGGAACAGTTTCATCCCACCACCATCCCTCCTGCTCCACCCAACCCCCTGCCACCCCCCCAACCCCCCAACTGTGAAAAAATTGTCTTCCATGAAATCAGCCAAAATGTTTGGGGACTTCTGTAGTAGAGCATCATTTGAGTAATCACCTTTCTTAGAAACACTTGCTAATGCTTTTTGATTTGTACTAATAGTATCAGAATTAGAAACTTTATCTTCATCATGAAGCAAATCTCACTTAACACCAAGGATTTTGCCAGAGACCTCTCTCTGATGTGCCTGTGTGCCTGTGTGGGCCTCACAGCATTGTTCTTTTATTCTTACAACACTTTATGTGCTTATTTCTCATTGCACAGAAATTTTCTTAACTTCTGATTTGTATGCTGTAGCCCATTCATGCAGTCTTTACACTTTCTGCCTTTTCAGGTTCTGTCAGGGAACAAGAATTTCCAAACATTTTTGGGAATTGGTTGAATGTTACTTGTGCTGAAAACTGGTTTATTTTTAGCTATCCAACAGTTGACTGTTTATACTACATTTGTGACTCATCTATTTCTATGTAACTCTCATCAAATGCTGTCATGCCCCTTGAAAACTATGATCTGGAAAGTGGACCTGGCTGTCTCCAAGAAGGCTGGTCAATCCCACAGTCATGTTTGTTTACCTGAGAGTCAGCCTTAATCATTCCCAGATTACTCCAACTTTAAACAATTTTGCTTCACAGGTAAAGACAAACAGAGTACAATAATATGTTTCCAGAATTTAAAAAAACACTAGAACCATGTTTTGATGCTGAGTCTTTGTGTTGTAGTATTGTGTAATTTATCTTTTCATGTTTGCATGTAATTTATTTATAAATTTATATTTTTAATTTACTTAAAGTTAAAATTTAAGTTTAATTCAATTTAAACTTAAATTTTTAATTTGTTAAAATTTAAAATTTATAAATTATGTAATTTACCTATTTATCAAGTTATGACATAATATAATATGTCACTGCTAATGGCTTCTCTAAGATTGAGATATCTTTTTCTCGTAGTTTCCTTGCTATAAAATAGACAATGTAGGTATTTAATAACCTGCTAAAAGGATAAATGACTGAAGTTCACAGTAATTATATTAATTTTAGATGAAGTCAGGTAAGGTCCTTATTTTAAAAGTATTTAGATGTAATAACAGTTTGCATCTTGAAGTAATTGCTGGTTGTTGATGAGACATATATGTCAGAATTGTTTTTTTCTTTCATTGAATAGTTGTGTTTTTTCATTGAATACTTAATACATGTTTGCCTCATTTCATAACTGACAAACACATTGCCATGAATTAAGAATATTCACAAATAGTTTACAAGACTTTAGGCAGAGAGAGAAATGTGACTCAAATTCTGTTTACAAAAGTATACTCAATATACTTAACTATATTTCAAGGCAATAAATAGATCAAAAGAAAAAGATCCCCAAGACTCTGAAAAACAAAACAAAAAGAATCAGTAATATTTCAAACAACAAACACAATAAAACGTTTTTTCCTTTCTCCATTAGTTCAATCCATGCAATCAACTCCTGCTCTGCTTCATATTGGGTTAGCAATATTTACAAACACATCAGTTTTTCAGTTAGTGCCCTGAATGTTTTCTCTCCAATCCAATGGCACAATCTCCAAAGTTATCAAAATCTGCATTCAAGAGTCCTTTTCATGAACTCATCCAAAGAAGCAAGCCTTGGAGTGTGCTGATTATAAGTCACTTTTTTTGAGGAGGATCAAAGCAAAATATTATTTTTGAATGACAAATTCTTAAGACAGCTATAGTTAAAGACAGAGCTGACAAGGAAATTTGACTATTCTGTGGCATACAACAATTTAATGTAATAATTACCAACAACATATATTAGGACACATCAGATATTCAGGAATGCCATACAGTCATGGAACACATATTGATAGCTGCAGGAGGCAGGCAAATTCCTGGGCAGAGAGGGGCAGGTCTGCAGTGAAACCCAACCTTTAAGTCAGAGACAGCCTGAAGCCTGAAAACCAGGCTGCCAGTTCTGAGTAGAGTCCACAACCCAGAGTAGGAACTTCCTTGATGCCTTCAGGCCAATCAGATGATGCTTTTTCCATGTCCACCCATGGACCAATCAGCATGCACTTCTTCCACTCTGAGACCATAAAAACCCTAGGCTCAGCTGAACTCAGATACATGTCAGGACTACATGCCTGTGAGTAGAAAGTACCCACCTCAGGTCTCCTCTCTGGTGAGAGCTGTTCTGTCACTCAATAAAACTTGTCTCCACCTTGCTCACTCTCTAGTTGTCTGTGTAACCTCATTCTTCCTGGACACAGGACAAGAACTCAGGCCCCGCTGAACTGTGGGCATGAAAAGGTCTGTAACACTTTCCTAGCTGCCTCACTGAGCTGTGGGTGGGAGTGAAAAAGGGCCGTATGTAACACTTTCCTGGCCAGATCACCAAGCTGTGGGCAGGTGCAAAGGGGGTGGTAACACTTCCTGGCTGGTTCACCAAGCTGTTGGTGGGACAAAAAGGGGCTGTAAAAAGTTCCTGGCTGGCTTACTGAGCTGTGGGTATTGACACACTCCCATTCACTAGACTGAGGGAGTAAAGAATGGTGACACTTACAGGTGCCCAGACCTCAGGATTCCCTGAAGCAGAGCTCTAACACTATAGCCCTCTCGCCTTCCAACAGCGTCAGGCAGCCGCCCAACATGACAATGTGTCTGGAGTTTGTCCCTTCTGGTGGGTTCCTGGTCTCACTGACTTCAAGAATGAAGCCATGGACCTTCACAGTGAGTGTTACAGCTCATAAAGGTGGCACGGACCAAAAGCCTGAGCAGCATCAAGATTTATAGTGAGGAGCAAAAGAACAAAGCTTCCACAGCTTGGAAGGGGACCTGAGCAGGTTGCTACTGTTGGCTGGGGTGGCTAGCTTTTATCCTCTTATTTGTCCCCACCCATGTCCTGCTGATTGGTGCATTTTACAGAGTGCTGATGGGTCCATTTTACAGTGTGATTCATCCATTTTACAAACCTCTGGCTAGCTACAGAGCACTATTTGGTGCTTTTTTACAGAGCACTGATTGGTGCATTTTACAAACCTCTTGTAAGACAGAAAAGTTCTCCAAGTCCCCACTTGAACCAGGAAGTCCAGCTGGCTTCATCTCTCAATTTCCCCTCTAAACAGGACATCCCAACATTCTCTGCTGTTGGGAATTGAGCAATGACAACTCTAGCTACTCCCTGCTGGATAGGGGTAAAGAAGGGGCCCTGCAGTGGTAGTGTCCTCCAGAGGGGAACACTCTAGGCTACCCAAAGGGCCAGTGGGTCGGTTCAGGGGTCCTCGGCAGAAGTTGTTAGTTGACCTCATTTGGGGTTCCATTTCTAAGACCATCTGTAGCTTGATGGCCTTGATCCTGGAGGAAACAAATTTGACAAGGAGGTTAAAAATACAGGGCCTGAAGGCGAGTAATAGCAAGATGGCTGTCATGGCAACTAGAAAGGGGAGAAGCCATGTCACCCAACTCCAAAGGTTGGTAGAAGAGTTTGAAAGGTGTTGTCTGATTTCAGAAACCTTTTCCTGTACACGCCGGGTGGTGTCTCATACTAACGCTGACTGGTGAGTATAAAAGCAACAATCTTCCCCTAAGAAGGTGCAAAGTTCTCCTTTCTCAGCAGTGAGGAGGTCTAGGCCTTGGTGGTTTTGGAGAGTCACTCCTGCCAAAGAGTCTATTTGGGATTGTAGAGTAAGGATAGATTTTATTATTTCTCGCAAACTGTTTGAGAAATCCTTTGAGAGTGTGTGGTAGTAAGAGTGAAGTGGACAAACCTGCTATTCCAGTTCCTGTAGCAGTGGCCATTCCTAACCCTATAAGTAGGGGTATTATTGGTATGGCCCTGAGCTGATAGACATGAGCTTTGAGGGGCACCGATAAGGTCTGATTTCCACAAGATTAGGAGTTAGAATAATACATGTTACACTGTTAACTTTTAGCAAACTTTACTTTTGTTGAAACCTTGTAAGTTTGGGATTTCAATTATTCTTTGCTATTAATAAGACCTCGTTCAGTCCATATTAACTTAGAATTGGTATAGATGGCTCTGTCCTTATTCTGTAAGTAATTTAAGGTTTGGCTGAGTGCACACAGCTCTCACGTTTGAGCAGACCAATTATTAGGCAATTTTCCTAACTCTGCTTCTCCAAGAGTTTCCTTATCACTTACTGAATACCCATTGTGTCTTTTTCCCTGAATAGCCCAGGAGGAACTATCTATCATCCTGTCCTGGCGGGAGTTCCTCCCAGGTCTGGTAGGACCTTTGTATGGTAACTAATTAAGATTTAGATCCCCTGTTAGGAAACTTGCTGGGTTACGGATTTTTGATAGGAAGGCTACAGGTTGTCAGTGACCTCAGTGTTTTCAGCCTGGCTCATTGAGCTGTGTGTGAGCCCTTGTTTACACTGACAACAAGGTGGTATTGCAGTGTTATAAGGTCATGGAGAAGACCTTCAATTATCAATTATGGGTCTTAAATTTACCCTGGATTTTAAAGGAATAGGATACACTGTTTTTTCTTTACTTCACTACTTCCATCTCTCTCTTTCCTTCTCTCTTTGACTTTCTTTCTCTTTCTCTCTGACTTCCTGTCTTTCTCTTTCCTCTCTGCTGGTCTTTCCCTACCTCTGCCAGCCACTTATGCTGCTGTTCTCCCCTTTCCTTCCCCTTTTTGATGGCTTCAGTAGTGTAAGACTGCCGCCTCCTTGGGTTCTTGCACTGTGTGCAATAACTCCATGATTTCCTTGTGGTATTTAATGGGGGTTCCCCCAGAGGTTAGGAGCTCCCTTTCTTTCCATATTGCAGCATGGGCATGTAGGATTAGATAAGCATACTTGCTTTCTGTATACACATTTATTCTTTTACCCTTTCCCAGTTCTAAGGCTTGAGTAAGTGCCACTAGTTCTGCTAACTGGGGTCTGGTCCCTGGGGGAAGAGGCTTAGTTTCAAGTACTGTTACATCACTAACTATGGCATAACCTGCCCTTCGTATCCCATTCTCCACAAATGAACTTCCATCAGTATATAGGTTAAGGTCAGGACTAGCTAAAGTGACTTTTAAAAGATCATCTCAGGTAGCATAAGTCTGGACTATAATTTGTTGGCAGTCATGCTCCATTTGTTCTCCATCCTCTGGGAGAAAATTGGCAGGGTTGAGGGCCACACACATGTGTATTTGAAGCACTGGTCCCTCAAGGAGTAGTGCTTGGTATCTGAGCAGGCAGTTGGCTAATAGCCATAAACTTCCTTTGCCACCTAGTATGCCATTTACATAATGAGTAGTCCAGACAGTGAGATCCTTTCCTAGTATTATTTTGATAGCCTCTGATACTAAGATGGCCACCACTGCAACTACCTGTAAACAGTGATGCTAGACTTTTGCTACTATATCAATTTCCTTACTTAGGTATGCCACTGGTTGTGGGGTTGGCCCACAAGTCTGAGTAAGGACTCCAAGAGCTATTCCTCCTCCCTCTGTGACATATAAAGAGAAGTTTTGTCCTATGGGAAGGCTTAAGACTGGAGCTTGTACTAGGGCCTGTTTTAAGGTTTTGAAGGCTGTTTCTCCCTCTGGTTCCCATTCTACTAGATGAGTATTTGTCCTCTGGGTCTCCTTGATTAGAATATAGAGGGTCCTGGCTATCTCGCTGTATCTGGGGATCCATAGTCGGCAAAAGCCGGTGATTCCAAGGAACCCCACAACTGTTTTAATGTCTTAGGGTGAGGATAAGTCAGTATAGGCTGTATTCATTCCTTGCTGAGGGCCCTGGCTAAGATTAGGCCTAGACATTTGACTTATAGGCAGAGCTGGGCCTTCGATTTAGACACCTTGTACCCTTGATTAGCTAGAAAGTTTAAGTGATCTAGAGTAGCCTGCTGGCATGAGGCTTCTGAACTGGTAGCCAGAAGTAAATCATCCACATACTGAAGGACCAGAGTTCCTGGACTTGAGAAGTGGCCTAGATCTTGAGTCAGTGCCTGGCCAAACAGATGAGGGCTATCCCTAAACCCTTGGGGCAAGAACGTCCACGTAAGTTGGGATGTGTGGTCTGTGGGATCCTCAAAGGCAAAGGGAAACTGGGAGTCAGAGTGCAGGGAAAATCAGAAGAAGGCATCCTTTAGGTCCAGAATAGTGAACCATTCTGCTTCCTCTGGTATTTGAGAGAGCAGGGTATAGGGGTTGGGTAAAACTGGATGTAGAGAAATTACTGCTTCATTGATGAGTCTAAGACCTTGCACTAGTCTCCACTGACTGTTTGGTTTTTGCACTCCTAGAATTGGGGTGTTGCAGGGACTGCTGCATTTTCTTATTAAGCCTTGTGCATTTAAATGTCTAACAATATTCTGTAATCCTTTATGAGCTTCAGGCCTTAAGGGATATTGCATTTGATAAGGAAAAGTGGTGGGGGTCTTTTAGCCTGATTTGAACTGGGTGGGCATTTTTTGCCCTTCTGAATTGTCCTTCCAATGCCCAGATTTCAGGGTTGATTCCCTCCTCAAGTAGGGGACAACAAATGGGTAACTTGTCCCCCATATTCATGTAGATAATAGCTCCAGCTTTGGCTAATATGTCCCTCCCTAATAAGGGTGTGGGACTTTCAGGCATAACAAGAAAGGCATGTGAAAGAGCAAAGTTTCACAATTACAACTGAGGAGGTGGGAGAAATACCTGGTTATAGGCTGTCCCAGGATTCCTCGGATGGTAACAGACCTTGAGGACAGCTGTCCAGGACAGGAAATTAACACTGAGAAGGCCACACCAGTGTCCAGGTGGAAGTCAATTTCCTGTCCCTCAATGGTCAAACGTACCTGGGGCTCAGGGAGGGTAATGACATAAGCTGGCACTTGCCCCAGGCACCCTCAGTCTTGTTGTTGGATTATCTGGTTGGGGGCTTCTGGCCCAGAGAACCTTTGTCCTCTGAGGCGGTGTGCCATCCAGTAATTGCCTTGGCATGGTGGACATGAGCGAGTGGGTGGCTTGTTTCTCATTGGACAATCTTTTTTAAAGTGTCCATGCAAACCACACTGATAACAAGCCCCACCAGGTGGTTGGCCTGCTCCATTTTCTGTCCTCTTTGAACCACCAAGGTTTGTTTGTCTGAGGGCCATGACTAAGGCTGAGACCTTTCTCTGATCTCACTTTTCCTTTCAGCCTGTTCCTCTTGGTCCCTATTATAGAACACTGAGGTTGCCAGGTTTAATAGTGCCTCCAGATTTTGTTCAGGGCCCAGGGCTCGCTTTTGGAGCTTTCTCCTGATATCTGTGACTGATTGGGTAATAAACGTATCTTTTAGGATCCATTGACCCTCGAGGGAGTCAGGTGACAGGGGAGTATATATTCTTAAGGCCTCCCATAGCCATTCAATGAAGGCAGAACGATTTTCTTCCTTTCCCTGAGTTATGGTGAACATCATTGAAAAATTCATGGGCTTTTTCCTAATTCTCCTTAGTCCTCCTAAAACACAGGTCAACAGATGTTTATGACTCCAGTCCCCATGATCTGAGTCGAGGTTCTAGTGGGGATCCATACTGGGGATGGCTTGCTGACTGGTAGGAAATTTGTCCCTTTCTTTGACTGTCATTCTATCATTTACTTGACTAAGATACCAGGTATCTCCAAACTCTTGGGCTGCAGCTAAAGCTGCATTCTTTTCATTAAAGGCCAAGATTTGATGTAACAATAGCATGACATCTCTCCAAGTGAGGTCAAAGTTTTGCCCTAGACCCTGTAGGACATCTATGTACCTACCAGGATCATCTGAAAACTTCCCCAGATCTTACCTTGATCTACTTTAAATCAGAGAGGGAGAAGGGGATATGTACCCAGGTTGGGCCAAATTCCCCTCCCTCTACAGCTTGAAGGGAACATAACCGATAGCCCGGGGGGTTTCATGGTCCTTTGGAGATTTCTTTGCTTGTTTCCTTCTGGGCAGGGGAGATTAGAGGAAGTTTATAATTAATAGGAAGGGGAGCTATAGGGAGGCTAGGATATGGAGGTAAGCTGAGAAGTCCTCTTGTGGAATATAAATTGCAAGGCCAGGCCATAATGCAAAAAAAAAATGAGCCACCTCTTTTTCAGAGTTTGCAGGTCAAATTGGTCCCAATGACTTAGGATGCATTTCAAGGGTGATCCTGTTGATGCCTATGTGTTTCCCATCTGAAAGAAAAAATGCCCGCAGTTCTGGTTTGTTTGTTTGCCCCCCCATCCCCCACCCAAGAACCCGCAATGGTCCCCAGACCCTGCTGATTGGAATAGTTGTGTTCACAAATGCACAGCAGCAGATCCCCCTCTTGCCCAAGAACTTGCAACGGTTCCCTGGACCCTGCTGATTGGCATAGTTGCACTCACCAATGCAGCAGCAGGAACACTAGTTTTCCTCCTAGACCACAAAGAGGACTGAGGAAGGTCAGATTTAGTGGCCCTTACTGATGCATTCTTGAAAACCTGCACCCTTGCCTTTCCTCTTAGACCACAAGGAGGATCGAGAAGGGTCAGATATAGTGGCCCTTACCAACGCATTCTTGAAAACCTGTTAGAGTCCTAAGCATTTTCTCCTGTTAGTATTGGGACTTTACCCCTGTCTTATAAAAATGATATGCCTCAAAACGGAGTGGAGGGCCATACACTGAGGGAGGGAAGGGATCTCCAGGGTTGGAAGAGTGATGCCTTTTGTCCTCACTTCTCATCATATGGATAGGAAGGATATCATTTCTGAGGCTCCCCATATCCTAGCTTTGGGAATAGCCTTTGTTAGGCCTGCTAGTCTGAGGAGAAATCCTAAAATTCCAGATAGCTTCCCCCACCAATGGGGCTTTGGGAAAAAATTATGTCTTTCTGACTGGTGAGCCTGGGTGCCTAAAGAAAGGAACAGAGTCCTGAAATTCATACTAGAAATCATTCTTATAGGAGAAACTAGAAAAGCACCAGAGACAGGGAGTGGTTTTTTTTTTAGAAGCGGGACTAGCCTTGGAGAAGAGAGGCAGGAGGAAGTTTGTCTGACAGGTGTTAGGACCCAGGAGGCAAGCGTCAGGATAGATAGAATAGATGGGCGAGTCTCGTTTGGGTGACGGGACCTTGAGAGTTCTGCTCATGGCTGCAGGGCCAACCAACTTTTTGTTGGGACCCCGGAGCTGAATGGCTTTCCTCTCTGTTGACCCTCAGCTCAGCCCAGAAGTACAGGAAAAGTGGAAGATGGATCCAGGCAAACCACCACTCCCAATTCCAAAGAGTCAGGGGTTGTTAGAGAGCACTTTCCCAAAAAGCCTGACACCTGTGTCTTTAGTCTGGTGACTGCGTTAGTCGCTTTTAATTGGCCAACAGGTGCCTGGTGTTTAGCCCCCAAATTCTAAGGAAAAATAGGACAGAATGTCAAGCGAAAGGGGCCCAATGGTATTCACCACTTGGCGATAGTACCTTCGTGGTCACCAAGATGTGTCCAGAGATTGTTCCTTCTGGTGGGTTTGTGGTCTCACTGACTTCAAGAATGAAGCCATGGACCTTTGCAATGAGTGTTACAGCTCTTAAAGGTGGCATGGACCCAAACAGTGAGCAGCATCAAGATTTATTCTGAAGAGCAAAAATCAAAGCTTCCACATCACGGAAGGGGACATGAGCGGGTTGCCACTGCTGGCTGGGGTGGCCAGTTTTTGTTCCATTATTTGTCCCCGCCCATGTCCTGCTGATTGGTCCATTTTACAGAGTGCTGATTGGTGCATTTTACAAACTTCTAGCTACCTACAGAGCACTGATTGGTGCATTTTTACAGAGCACTGATTGGTGAATTTTAGAGCTCTCTAGCTAGCTAGAGGTTTGTAATTGGTGCGTTTTTACAGAGTGCTTTTTACAAACCTCTTGTAAGACAGAAAAGTTCTCCAAGTCCCCACTCAACCCAGGTAGTCCAGATGGCTTTGCCTTTCAACAGGAAGTGGTGGTGGGGCTGGGTCAGCCCAGAAACCATGGGCTGGAGTGAGGATTAAACAAGCTGAAACACAACCCCCCTCACTCGCTGGCTGTGGGCAGCAGAAATGAGAGCTGTATCCCCCCTCCACACACACACACACCTTGGGGCTCTGTGGTTTCTGGCATCTCTGAGTTTTTGGGCACCACTGTGTTCCCTTTCTCTAGGTGCCATCGCCTGCAGTGGAAGCCACTTGTGGTACACCTGGTCCAGCTGTGGCCATGCATGGAGACAGCACCTGTGCTGGCACCTGGAGCTGCCTGGCCCACCACAGCAGCAATGCATCTGGCTGTGCAGTGGCTGGACCCTGTGCTTGCTCACTCACAAACCCCTCACCACTCCATGCCTGCCTTGCCCTTGGGCATGGGATCTGGCCCGGTAATGCTAGCTGAGCACAGCCTACTGGGACAAGTGGGCAGAACGAGCCCAGTGGGCATGAATGAAACTCAAGCAGAGGCACTGACAGCCACAGGGTTCTGGGTTGCAAAATGACACCCAAAAGATCCCATGATATTTCTGAGGGCTCATCTGGGATCTGTGGAAGGGTGAGTAAAAATGGACTTGGTGATTTCTGTCCTTTTGTTTAGAGTCCTTAAACTCTACAATAGCCAAAATGAAAGAAAAACACTGGGCATCTGTTGGCCACGTAAAAGCAACTAGTGTGTCTGCCGGACTTAAGACATGGAGGTCAGGCTTGCTGAGGAGGACACTGTCAATTCCCCCTCATCCTTGAGTGTTGGGAATGTTGGCTTTGTTCCAATCCAGTTTCCCTTCATGGAGGTCTTGTCATCACAGGGGATCGAAATAAGGTCTTGGAGCAACTGAAGACATCTGGTGAGGCCACAACTCCATGTTGCCTGTAGGCCCCTAGACTGGCTCCAGTCCCTGACAGCCCATTATGGTGTCAGCACTAGGCCCTCCAGTCTTTCCTATAATATTTTCTTGTTTCCTTTCTGGCTGTCATGGCTCCTATCTCTTCTTCACATACAATGTCAAGGGTGTTGCTGCAAACCACTGAGATAATATAGTCATCAGGAGTGTAATTTAGAACAATGTGGTTTATTTCTATTCTTAGAAGTGAGGAGGATGTAATGATTGAAGCCTTCTTTCCCCCATTGAGGAAGCCTATTATCATAGGGCAAGAGGCCACCTCCTCCAGGCACCTTCTCCTCCATTGCACTTAAGTTGTTTCTTTTTCCACCATGTCAGGAGTCAACACAGTCCTGTAAATACAGGGAGACTTTCTTTTTTCTTTTATTTTTTCATTTTGTTTGTTTGTTTTTTGAGACAGAGTCTCACTCTGTCACCCAGGCTGGAGTGCAGAGGTGCGATCTCAGCTCACTGCAACCTCTGCCTCCCAGGTTCACGCCATTCTCCTGCTTCAGCCTCCCAAGTAGCTGGGACTACCGGCGCCTGCCACCAAATCTGGCTATTTTTTTTTTTTTTTTTTGTATTTTCAGTAGAGGCGAGGTTTCACCATGTTAGCCAGGGTGGTCTTGATCTCCTGACCTCGTGATCCACCCACCTTGGCCTCCCAAAGTGCTGGGATTACAGGCATGAGCAACCATGCCCAGTCAATACAGGGATACTTTCTATGTGAGAGATTTACTTTTCCTTTTGGGAGGCATCTTCTTAGGACAGGTCCCCAATTCCTAGGACTCCCTTTCTCTCCTTAGTTTGAGAAGAACCTGATTCCACAGCTTTACCTTAGCATTCTGCTTATGATAGAGAAGCAATGAAGAAACTGCCCCACTGGTTGCAGGCTTCAATTATGCAAGGGCCACCTGGGACTAATCTAAAGGGTCCATATACCCTCCTGAGGCAGCTTTTTGTCTCAAAATCAATTCCAAGCTTCTGGCTGAAGCCCTGAAAAGACAAACTATACCTGAGGGACCCAGACGCAGTTACAGCAGAAAGCCAGGACACAGTGAAGGTAAGCAAGACTATCCCTGCTGATTAGACCTTCCTGATCCTAGGCAGAGAACTTGCTCACATCCATGGCATAGGTGAGATCTAGGGAATCCACAGGTTACTGACAGCAGGAAGATAGGGAAATGTAGGTAAGTGTGAATATCCCTACTCACTAGGTCTTCCCACTACATGGGTGGAGGTCACATTCACACCCATGGGTGGCACTGCTAGGGGCTGCCAGGATTCGGGAAAAAAAGAAAGGAAGAAAAAAGGGGCTGCCTATTCACTCTCAGTCACATACCCCTGGTTTTTGCTGGAAGAGAGACAAACTAAGGGATGCTTTTCCCCTCTTCCAGATGGGTAATCATCATCTTCAGCTTGCACTCCTCTTGAGTGCATCCTGAATCACTGGGACTTCTACAACCCTCAGACTCTGGAGAAAAATCACCTCATATTTCCTTGTACAAAGTTGTGGTCAGGTTATGTTTTGCAGGAAGGAGAAGCTTGGCCTCAGGAAGAAAACATTAATTTTAATACCATCCTGCAGCTGGACCATTTCTGTAAACATGAGGGCAAATGGTCTGAAATCCCCTACATGCAGGTTTTCTATGCCTTGCAGGGTAATCTGGACCTTTGCCAACATTGAATCGATTCAGCCATCCTAGCAGCTATCTCAGGAGAGGCTGCAAAAGGCAATTCCAAGGGAGTAGGAAAGCAAACTCCACAGGTACCTCCAGCCAGGGAGTCAGCTCCCTCTGGTCCTGCTCCTCCTGGTCCACCCCATCCTCCCTATCCAGGTTTTCTCTCAAGCTTGCCCCATCCTAGAAATCCTCATTTTACACAGGTCTCAGTCTCACTCCTGCCCCTACAACAGATGCCTGGTAAATATGGCCCCATCAGGGTCCAAGATCTCTTTTCTTTACAGGACTTAGAGGAAATTAAGGGTCATCTTGGCAAGCTTTCAGACGATCCTGCCAGGCATATAGAGGCTTTCCAGAATTTAACCCAAGTATCTGAACTCTCCTGGAAGAATTTTATGTTACTTTTGAATCAAACCCTACCGCTGAAAAGCAGGCTGCCCTGAAAGTGGCTGAGAATTTTGGGATGAGCTTTGTATTTCATATAAGGCCAGGGAAGGGGATGAGCCTTTTCTATTTGGGAGAATAGCAGTATCATTGGAAAACTCTAAATGAGACCCCAATGATGAAATGGGAGAATGAAAGAGAAAAAACACTTTCAAGCGTGCATATTGGAGGGCTTATGAAGGGCTAGAACTAAGCCTCTCAGTTACTCCAAACTATCCATGATAGACCAGGGACTGGATGAGAATCCCATCGCCTTCCTGGAAAGGTTAAGAGGGGCCTTGGTAAAGCATACCTTTCTATCTCCTGATTCAGTCAAGAGACAACTAATTCTAAAAGATAAGTTCATTACTCAGGTGGACCCTGATGTCAGGAGGAAGCTGCAGAAACAGCCTATGGGACCAGATATTACTTTAGACAACCTCCTGAAAGTGGTCACCTAGGTCTTTTACAATAGGGATTGGGAGGAAGTCCAAGAGAGAAAGAAGACACAAGAAAAAGGGGGAGGCTCAGAGGACCACCTTACAGTCTCACAGACCCCAGAATCCACAAGATGCATCTGTTAACTGCTACAAATGTGGCAAGCAAGTCACTTTAGAAAGGACTGCCTGGGCAACATGAAGAAGCCATTTTGACCCTCTCCAATTTGGGATAGCATCCACTGTAGGGTAGACTGTCGATAGAGACACAAGTCAATGTGTCCAGAGCCAGTATTCCAAGTAGTCTAGAAGGACTGATGGGTCCCAGGGCTATTCTTCCTGGCTCCAGTGGCTCAGACAACCATTATCATCCAGGAGCCCTAGGTGATTCTGGAAGTCAAAGGGAGGAAGGTGGACTTCCTCCTTAACACTAGAGTGGAACTTTCAGTCCTCCTCTTCAATATGGGCCCCGAACCCCCTTAGTATGACTGAGAGGGGCATCTCAGGAAAGCCTTTAACCTGGTATCTTTCCCCAACCCCTTAGTTGTAGTTGGGGAGACCTCTGGTTTACTCATGCATTTTTATTCATGCCTGACAGCCCAACTCTTCTGTTGGGCAGGGATATTTTTGCTCATATGGGAACTACCAATCTTATTGCTCCAGGACAGACTTTTTGTCTCCTCTTTGTGGAGACCAATATTAACCCAGAAGTTTGGGCAACTCAAGGGGAAATTGGCCAAGCCAGAACTTCCACACTGATCTGGATCCACCTTAAGGATCTTACCTCCTTCCCTAACCAGAAACAATATCCCCTAAAACCAGAAGTTAGGAAAGGTCTAGAAGCCATCATTGATAACTTGAGGATGCAGGGCCTCCTCAAACTCTGCAACAGCCCTTGTAATACCCTGACATTAGGGGTACAGAAACCCAACAAGGAATTGAATGGAGACTGGTTCAGGACCTCCACACCTCATTAATAAGGCTGTGGTTTCAATTCATCTGGTGGTTCCTAATCCCTATATCCTGAGGGAACTAAATGGTTCACAGTCCTGGACCTAAAGGATGCCTTTTTTCTGCATACCATTATAGCCCAGCTCTCAGTATTTGTTTGCATTAGAGGATCCTTCCAACAGAACAACCCAGCTAACCTTGATGGTGTTACCTCAGGGATTTTGAGATAGCCCCCACCTGTTTGGGAAGGTGTTGTCCAAAGGCCTCTCTGAGTTCCTTTATCCTCAGGTTAAAGTTTTACAATATGTAGATGATATTCCACTTGGTTTTCCAAGTGAGAAAATCTCTCAGGAGGGCCGTAAGGCTCTTCTTAATTACCTGGCTAACAGAAGATATAAGGTCTCAAAATCTAAGTCTTAGCTCTGTCAGACTTCAGTGAAGTACTGAGGTCTAGTCTTGTCAGACGGGACTAGGATGCTAGGTGAAGAAAGGATTAAGCCCATCTCCTTCCTACCCCTCCCCCAAACCCTCAATCAGCTGAGGAGATTGCTAGGCATTACAGGATTCTGCAGACTACATACACCTGGGTATGGTGTAACAGTTTAGCACTTCTATCACCTAATAAAGGAAACTAAGGCAGCTAAGAGCCACTCCCTAATTTGCAAAGAAGCGGCTAAAAGAACCTTTGACTTGTGAACCCTGAATATGTGAGACAGGTCTCAGTTAATTTAGAAAGTTTATTTTGCCAAGGTTGAAAACATGCACCCATGACACAGCCTCAGGAGATCCTGATGACATGTTCCCAAGGTGGTCAGAGCAGTTTGGTTTTATACATTTTAGGGAGATATGAGACACCAATCAACATATGTAAGATGAACATTGGTTCAGTCTGGAGAGGTGGGACAACTTGAAGCAAAGGCAGAAAAGCTAAAAGTAAGGAGGGGGCTTTCAGGTCATAGGTAGATAAGAGACAAACGGATGATTCCTTTGAGTTTCTGATTAGCCTCTCCAAATGAGGCAATCAGATATGCATTTATCTTAGCGAGCAGTGGGTTGATTTTGAATAGAATGGGAGGTAGTTTGCCCTGAGTAGTTTCCAGCTTGACTTTTACCTTTAGCTTAGTGATTTTGGGGCCCCAAGATTGATTTTCCTTTTACAGACCAGTGAAAACAAGCCTTGCTAAAGGCACCAGCCTTTAGTCTTCCTATAAGGGAGTTGTTCAATCTTTATGTATTAGAAAGGAAGAGAATGGCCCTGGGAGTTCTAACCTAGGCCCAAGGTCCAGCCCAGCAGCCTATAGGCTACCCAAGCAAGGAGTTTAATTTGGTAGCTAAAAGATGGTCAGCCTGCCGCCAGGCAGTTGCACTGGTAGCCTTGCTGGTACCAGAGGCTACTAAGTTAACCAAGGGAAATAACATAGCCATTCATACCCCACATAATGTGGCAGAGCTGCTGTCTTCTAAGGGGAGTCTCTGGATTATGGACAACTGCTTCCTCAAATAATAAGCTCTGCTATTAGAGGGATCTGCAGTCCAGTTAAGAAACTGTCCCTCCCTAAACCCAGCCACCTTCTTCCCAGCGAAAGCTGGGGAGCTTGAACATAACTGCTAACACTAGTGCAAACCTACACAGCCAGAGAGGACCTGAAAGAAACCCCCTTAGAGAAACCACACTGGACTCTTTATGGATAGAAGTTCCTTTGTAGAGCAAAGGATCCAAAAGGCAGGGTATGCAGCAATCATCCTGAATAACATTATTGAGAGCACTCTTCTCTCTTGGGCACAAGTTCTCAGATAGCTGAGCTAATTGCCCTCAAGAGGCGACTTGAATTAAGCAAGGGGAAAGCAGTTAATATTTCTACTGATACTAAGTATGCTTTCCTAGTCCCCAGTGCCCATGCCACTATCTGAAAAGAGAGGGACTTCCTCACAGCCAATGGGTCTCCCATTAAATACCATCAGGATATTAACAAGACTATTATCCTTGATTTTCCTTCCATGGGAAGTGGCAATAATACATTGTAAAGGTCAGCAAAAGGGGACGTATAAAATAGCTGAGGGAAATAAGTTGGCAGAACAAGCAGCTAAATTGTCAGTGAAAGGGCCAGAGATTTCTGATCCACTTGAGCCCCCTCTGATCTGAGAGGCTCCATAAAAGAAATAAAACCTCAGTATTCCTCTGTGGAGATGGGATGGGCCACTTCTTGGAAATATACCCTTCAGTCCTCAGGATGGCTGCAATGAGAGGATGGCAAACTTCATCTACCAGCTTCCAGACAATGAAAAGTTCATAAAACCCTTCACCAAGCCTTCCCCCTAGGTCAAGATAAAACCTATCTATTGGCCCAAAGGTTGTTCACAGGTAAAAATTTGCTAAAAATGGCCAAACAGGTTGCTAATGCTCTCAAGACTTGCCTTAAAAATAATCCCCTCAATTGATGGTTTCTTCCCCTTGGAGCCCAAAGACTGTGAGGCTACACATAGAAAGACTGGCAAATGGATTTCACCCATATACCAATGATAAGGGGACTTCAGTTCCTCCTAGTATGGGTAGATACCTTCACTAACTGGGTAGAAGCATTTCCATGTTGCACAGAGAATGCCTCTGAGGTGAGAAAAGTATTAATTACTGAGAAAATCCCTCACTTTGGACTTCCTTGGTACCTCCAGACCGATTATGGCTCCTGTTTCAAGGCAGTTGTCAACCAGGCAGGAGCAGGGGGTGCGAGGAGCTCAAAGACATATAAGACCGTCTTCTCTGCTTGGAGACCACAGTTTTCAGAAAAGGTAGAAAAGACAAGTGATATTATCAGAAAACTGTCTCAGGAGACTCATCTTCCTCAGATTATTCTTCATGTAGCCTTACTATGTGTTAGACACACCCCTTTGAAGCTGGGTTTAAATCTCTTAAGTCTCTTTGAAATGGTGTATAGATGACCTTTTCTCACCAATGATTGCTTGCTAGACCAATAAACCTCTGATTTGATTAAACATGTAACTTCTTTGGCCCATTTGCCAACAGGAACTAAAACAACTGTTAGAGGCCCAATCCCATGAACCAAGGCCTCCTCTATTCGATCCAGGGGACTTAGTATTGATAAAGGCACTTCTTTCCCTTTCTTCCACTCTAGGCTTGAAGTTGAAGGGATGTTACACTGTACTTCTGCCTACTCCTACGGCAGTAAAAGTCACTGGAATAGATTCTTGCATTAATTATACTTGAGTAAAGGCCTAGGGAACTGACCGAATTACCTCTTTTGACCCAGAAGAGCACCCAAAGTTCCAGTGTGATGAAATCAAAGATCCCAAGCTAAAAACCACAAAAGATTAGTGCCAATAATTAACCTCCCATGGATATCCTCTTGGTAGTCTCACCTATGCTTGCTATTCTTGCCTTTTTTCGAGTCCTCACCATAAGGTGTCTTTATCAAGGACCCCTTGAGGTTGAACTTCCAAGGTATTATCTACTCCCCTAAACAGTTATTTCTATTCTAAAGTTTAACTGCTCTCTATACAAGATTTAATTTTTTTCACTAGGGTAAAACAGTTCTAGCCACAACATTGTTTTCAGAATGATTAGTCTATTTTACTTCTTATTTCTGTTATCTTTGGCACTAGATTTTTTCTTTTAGCTCCTCTTTGTATAATACTCATATTTGGTCCATACATACTTAACCTCTTTGTAAAATTTGTTTCTACTCACCTAGAGGTCATGAAACTCCAAATGGTATGCAAGTGGAGCCTTGGACAATAGCTCCTTTTTTACTTGGAAACCTTAGATAAGCCTCTGAGAGAGATCTGACTGCTGTTTTCCCCAAAACAAGGCCCCCTATCAGCATGAAGCAGTTGGGAGCAGTCACTATTCCTATCCTAATGGCAGTAAGATGTACCTCTTCAGAGGGGGGATTGATAGCATCAGGAAGCAGGCAAATTCCTGGGCAGATAAGGTTGGGTCCCCAGTGAAACCCAACCTTCAGGATGGAGCCAGCCTGAAGCCTGAAAATCGAGCTACCAGTTCTGGGTGGAGTCCATGACCCAGAGTGAGAACTTTCTTGATGCCTTTAGGCCAATCATATGGTGCCTTTTTCTGGCCCACCCATGGATCAATCAGCATGCACTTCCTCCATTCTGAGTCCATAAAAACCCCAGACTCAGCTAGACTCAGACACATGTCAGGACTACATGCCTGAGAATAGGAGCTACCCACTTTGGGTCTCCTCTTCACTGACAGCTGTTCTTTCACTCAATAAAATTCTTCTCTGTCTTGCTCACCCTCCAGTTGTCCATGTAGCCTCATTCTTCCTGGACATGGAACAATAACTCAGGACCTGCTGAACAGTGGGCATTAAAAGGATGTAACATGTTCCTGGCTGGCTTGCCAAGCTACGAGTGGTGACATGCTCTGTAACCCTTCTGGGAGCCCAGACATTAGGATTCACTGAGCCAGAGCTCATCCTCAGTGGGCATGGGATACTGGTAGTGTGGGCCAAGCACAGCCTGCCTGGCCAAGTGGGTGGAATGAGCCCAGTGAGTGTAAATGAAACTCAAGTAGAGGCCCCACCAGCCAAAGAGGATTCTGGCTGATGAAATGACACCCAAAGGATTCTGTGATGATATTAACAACATATGTATATAAATATAACACAAAGAAAGTAAAATACTGCCTCACATTTGACAACACTTCCTGTATAATTCTAACATAACAAATAAGTTAAATAAGCCTAATATATCTCTCGGACTTCAAGAAACCTAATATCAAAAAAATTAGTTTGATGTCAAAAATATTGAATTTAGAACTTGAAATTTTCCTTTTCAAAAGTTGGCCAAATATCAACATTTTTCAGCACAAAATAGTATCATAGCTCACTATAAAAATAGTCATTCATTAAGCAGAAGTGATAAAACAAAAGCATTTATCTTTTGATAGAGAGAAAACTCAGTGTCCCAAACAACAAGATCTAAAAAAGACAGTATGAGGCCCAACTAAAACTGCCTGTGCCCTGCTTCCATTTTCTCCCTGCAGTTTACTCAGAAGATAAACAAAATATTTTATCTCTTCATAAAACACAAATATTTTGTTCAAAAGGGAAAACCTTTCTTAGTTTGGTTAATAGGATATTTATACTACAGAAAGTCTTACCATTTTCTCTAATATGTTACAATTTTACCTTTCTATGGTGTATTACTAATGTTAAAGCTAATTTTAATAAAATCTTATAAACAAATCTGTCTACTTTTAATCAGTTTGATCATAAAGTAAGATTTCCATAATTTCTTTAATAATCTTTTCTAATTTTCTATTTATGGGTAGATCTAGGCTCCAAGAAAACCCAGTTATTCCAACACTTGGGCCCAGACACTGGCCTTGAATCAGTGGGCTTTTTATATTAATGTTTAACTTACACAAATTCTCTGAAATAATCTTGTCCTTCAAAATTAGCCCTTACAATCTCACATGCCCACCTCTTCTGCAATAGTCCCCAGGCCTAGAGAGATTGAATTGTTTTGATTTCTAGCCTTCTGTCTCACAAAACCAGTTCATTTTGAGTGTCACCTTCTCCCAAGTCTGAAGATGAGGCTTCAACTTGTGTCAATGTTCAAAATTTAGCTGGGGTTTGTGCCTCCTTCAGACCCAAGAGTCCAAGCCCTGTAATTTAACACCACAAGGATTGGTTAATAGGATATTTACACTATAGAAAGTCTTATCATTTTCTCTAACATGTTACAATTAAAAGTGTAATTGGGTGTTCAGGAGTTACTGCCTGCAGAACTTCAAACCACTGTATTAAAGTAGTTAGGTTACTCATTGCATATTTCTAATTGTTAGTGTTCTAGTGACAGAACTATGACCAAAAGCATAAAAAATGTGCTAAGTCCTGTGCCAAACTTATCAAAGACAATTAACTTTTTTCTCCACTATTAAAAAATGATAAATGCAAATGCAGTTTAGGAAATTCAATATGAGAAATAATCTCCATTCACTTAAATAGTGTAACAATTTCTTTTCAGCTATTTTAAAAGCATTTCATTACACATTTCCAAGATTTGTTTCTAGATACAATACAGACAACTGATTAGGGAATTTTCACCCCAAAATCTTCAAACCAGTGCAGAACCTGCACATATTTTGTTTTTAAGTACACAATGAAGGCCCATCTATGATAAACAGCTTAAGATCAAAAATCACAAGAAGGTTTTACCTTTTTTTAATTGCTACTCAGTCCAAGTGAATGTCACTTTAATTTAATAGTAGTAAACACAACTAAATTACCTTGAGAGAAATTCTAATCAATATAATTTCCTTAAGGACAAGGCCAATCTTTCCTGAACATTAAAACATTGTACCCATATCACAGTTTTTCCTCATCAAAGGAAACAATCTGAAATCAACCCAAACTATTGATTAGATTGACTCACCCTAGAAACAAACACAACTCAAACATTTCCACTCTCATCCACCTCTCCAAACAATGAAATATATAATGTACTATTTTTGTTCAGAATTTATAAATATAAGTACTTCTTTGATATTTTTTAGCTTCCTAGAACATCAGAGGCAAGAAAAACCAGCCAAATTCCAAATGTGTGGGGGTACTCCTTCAATTCCTACAGGCCTGACAAAGGTAGCCTAGAATTTCAGATAAATAGAACAAATGATGACTTGCTAAAAATGCACAGGAAACAAAATAACTATTCACAGAACCAAATAAAAACCTTCCACTAGAAACTAAATAACATCAATGATTTTATATAAATGCATATACAAGCAAAACCCAAAAAAGAGCAAACAGCAAACAACTGAAAACTAGAAGGAAAAACAAATGAAACAGGAAACCAATCCCCAACTTTCCCACACTCAGTCTATCCTGGAGGCTACAGTGTTACCCAGAGCACCCCCCTGCCAAAACACATGATGAATATTTTATTCCTGATGCATAATTCAATATCCTAAGTCCATCAATATCACCAGATATCCTGTGAAATCAATAAATTCACTCTAGACACATGACCACTAACTACTCCAGTGCCAGCACCATCCATAAAAATCCAAAAGTAGTGTGAAGCAATGCAAGCATGTATGTGAAATTTGCCTTCACACTAAATCTGGCTTCATGCTTAACTCTATTAAAAAAGAATGCCAAATTGCCAATGCATTTCTTTACAATATTTTTTATTTTACCTTCATCAAGGCTAAGAGCTTTAACTACAAAAATGTTAATTAGCCAATTTTCTCCAATTCTTTATTAGGTTTTAAAGACTATTTCATTATCTAAACTTTTTCAACTTTCTATTTTCTCTGTATATCCATGAAGATGGACACAGAGAAATATGAAAAACTTCATATGACTTACACAGACTGTCCACAGACATGTCTGGGCTTTCTGTTCAGTCCCGGAATTTTTTCTTCTTTTTTCTTTAAATAATCAGTCATTTTACCCAGGATGAAAAATTTACCACACAAGGTCTTTTTTCATACAAAATTACTCTTTTTTTACAACCTTCCTTACCAAAATCATATTTTCATATCTATAACTTTCTTCATATTTCTCTCCCCTTCTAACTACCTTGTTTCATAAATCACCTTTTTCAAGTCCATAATTTAACTTTTAGATAACTTCTAAATTAGACAAAACTATTTATTCTCACTAGTAACATATGTTTTTTGGCCCAGTTTATATACAGAATTATATGTTAACTATAATTCTTATCCTTAGTAGACTTAAATTAAAGTGAAATCCTAGGAAGCAAAAACCCTGAGCTTCCTACCAGATATTAGCATTTCATAAATGAGAACAATTCCACAATTTTAAGAAATACATTGCCCCATATCATAACCCTTCCTTAACTGGAAATAACCCAGATATCCAGTGAGCATCAAAAATAATTTTAAGATTTTAAATTACACAAAAAGTTCATCTATAGTGTTTACCCATTTACATTATATTTATTTTAAGAAGTTGGATTATTTATGCATTATTTATTTCCTTACTAAGTATTTTATAGACTGTGAATTTCAGATGTTCACCTAAATAACCTAAATAAGAGCCTTAATGTTAACTACACGGGTATTTTTACCAATGACACAGAAGATTCGGCGGTTTTCATTAAACCAACAACGTTAAATTTGTCTTACTTACCAAAAAATTCACAAAGATCATTTAGTTTTGGCTGGGTTTACAGTTTTATAATCTTCTGTGCCAAACCCTGATATTTTAAAATATCTAGCAAAGATAAATATAAAACCCAGATCAAAGTGTATGCTGACAATTCTGAAAACATTTCTATTTTTTATTTTACCAATAATTTTAAAGTCAGTTTGTTTAAAAAAGATTTACTCAAGTCACATAAACTTAAAAATTGCTTGGACTCATTTACTTAATTTATGAGTACAATTTTATTTACAAGCCAGTTTGGTAGACACAACATATAACAATAAATGTGAATACAAATAAACACATCTAGACATATATAAACACACAAACAAAAATTCAATAGCTTTTACCTTGGAACTTTATCCATGAGATAGCAATACAAACTCACGGTTTAACATGGTTACACTTTGTTTGCCAAATGATTCACTGGATTAGGTAATCCAATGAACACTGTGAATCAAAACTTTGTGTAAAGCAGTTTTCATGGCAGTTTCATTTTTAAAGGCCAAACTTCCCCAGATTCCATAGAACAGTGAGGCCAAACAGTACCAAAGGAGAACATCACATACAACCCAGGCCCAACCCTGCTTTAAAAAGCAGTGCAAAAGCCTGAATACATGCAACTCCATCCCACTTTCCTATTAAACAGCAAACTCCAGATTCCAAGCAATATTGGGGCAAACAGTGTTGCAAAAGAATATCAAGTTTACTGAATTCTAATTCCTCATGACTATAATATAGCAAACACACACACAATCACCAAAACACAATCCTACTGCTGCAGCAACAAAGAAGCCCCAAGAGTGTCCAAACTGAAACAGGGTGCTTCCTCTCTCTATCAGCTGGGCTTGATCAAGTGCAAACAAAAATTCCTTAGGAATTTCCTATATTGAGAAGAGCTGACCCTGTTGTCTGGTACCCATAAAAGAAACTCACTTGCCCAGACACAACACACAATTACAGAAAACCCCCAAGACTGTCCACACTAAAACAGGTTGTTCTCCTCTCTCAATTAGTTGGGCTTGTTTTGCAAATGGAAATTCCTTTAAAAATTAATAGGGAGGAGTATATCCTGCTGTCCGGACCCACAAAAGACACTCACCTATTGGGATGCAGATGTCAAATTTCAAAGTCAGTTCATCCAAGGCAATCAGGAACGTGGTTAGGGTCAGCGCTTGTGGGGCCAGAGAGAGACAGAAACTCACCTCCAGCCGAAATTGGGTGGGCAACTGCTTAGGAGCACTTCTGGGACTTCTGGCCCACAGCAACCAAGCCACAAGCAATGTCTTCCCAATCAAAGAACCAAAATCTGTTACCAAAACACAGGGGCTTTGGTCTAGTCCTGCTGCTCGTAGCACAGAAAGCCAATCACTGAGACAGTAAGTATTGCCAAGGAAGAAGGCTTTCTTTAATCAGGTGTTGCAACCAAGGAGATGGGAGCTCAGTCTCAAATTCATCTCCCTGAATGACTAAAACTAGGGGTTTATGTAGCAGAGAAGAAATGTAACAATGTGTAAGAAAACAGGAACTAGGGAGAGGCAAGGAGGCATCTGGTGCAGTGATCTGGTGAGTTTCAGTTCTTTGATACTTTTTTTGAGAGGCCTGAAGGTCTTTCCCTGAGGAAGGAACTCAGATAAAACAAATACAGGTTTTAAACTTTAACAACAGAAGGTTCAATTTCTATGTTTATCAAAAAGAACAGTCTATGGGAGTACTGGGCCAGTTTCAAAGAGATTCTGATACTTCAGAACCTACTGACAAATGTTGTTACCCAAGCCTGAAGAAAATCCTCCACTTCTTTTCTTTTGGCCTCTTTCATATTTATTTTGAGCTTCCAACAGAACAGAAAAGATACCTAGTCTGCTTGGCACTGTAGTCTTCAGGACTGTTCAATTTCTTGTAGATATTTTTAACTTAATTCTTTCAAATGCATCATTAAACTTTATGATTTCAAATCAGAGGGAAAGATCTGAATAACTCAAATTTAATTTAATCAGGGAAATTTGTTGAAGTTTTTTCCAAATGCACTCTAAAAAAGGTTTTTCCAAAGCTTTCTTATCCAAAAAGAGTTATTAATTTTGGAATAAATATGGATGATTTCACCACTAAATATATTTTAAGGATTTACCACAGGTCAATTTAGACAATTATACCCTACAGGACTCTATGGTGAATAATGAACACATACTGCATGCTTTCTCTCTAGGCTGCTCACAATGATTGTGTCCAGAATTTATTCCTTCTGGTGGGTTCTTGGTCTCACTGACTTCAAAAATGAAGCCATGGACCTTCATGGTGGGTGTTATAGCTCTTAAAGATGGTGTGTCCGGTGCTTGTCCCTTCACATGTGTCCAGAGTTTCTTCCTTCTGGTGAGTTCGTGGTCTCACTGACTTCAAGAATGAAGCTGCTGACCTTTGCAGCGAGTGTTACAGCTCTTAAAGGTGGTGCGGACCCAAAGAGTGAGCAGCAGCAAGATTTATTGTGAAGAGCAAAAGAACAAACCTTCCACAGCGTGGAAGGGGACCCAACCAAGTTGCCGCTGCTGGCGCAGTGGCCAGCTTTTATTCCCTTATTTGGCCCCGCCCACATCCTGTTGATTGGTCCATTTTACAGAGTGCTGATTGGTCCATTTTACAGAGTGCTGATTTGCACGTTTACAATCCTTTAGCTAGACACAGAGGGATGCTTGGTACATTTACAATCCTTTAGCTAGACACAGAAGTTCTCCAAGTCTCCACCAGACCTAGAAGCCCAGCTGGCTTCACCTCTCATGATGACCTATTAAGATGAGAATTACAAATATGGCAATATCCCCTACAGAGTAAATATCCAGAAAATCACCATGCATTTTCTCTTCTTTAGAGTAAAAATATTAAGTTTCTTAAATTTTAGAAAGACTATGATATCAAATATTATAAACAGACAACTTTTACAATTTTAAAATAGAATGTTGATTTATAAATTTGGAATTGGAAAAGGCATTAAGCATGATCTTGTCCAATAATTTATTTTCACTTATTAAATGGTTGATATTTGGTAGTTGATATATATATATGTAGCCAATGAATTCTTGCAATTTTCCTTGTAAACATATTTTGGGATTCTCTGGAAATGCAATGTTAGCACAACTGAACAAATGGGTTTGTTGTGATTTTTCTGTATGGATACATGCAGAGGAAAAGTAATACTAAAATCTAGGACAGATTGATGAATATTTATAATTACATTTACATTTTTACTAATAATTACATTTATATGTATTTACTTGCTATCTTTAGTGGGATAAAATATGAAAAGATACAAGTGCCTCTTACTTGGCTATGAGATACATGGGCTTGGGCCTTTAAGCTGCTCTCTTAATATTATGTGGATTAAAGAAAAACAAGCAATGCCAATATTTAGTGATTTTTGCTTTATCCTAAATTTATAAGTATATATAGATATTTTATCACTATCATATTTATCCATAACCTAAATATTGTAATGTATTTTATTTTTTCACATAAAAATGAAAATGGCATATTTCAAATTGACAGAAACTGCAGAACAATTCATTTTGAAAGAAAAATTTGATTTTAATAAGAATATTAATAACACTTGTGAATTTTTTTTTTTTTTGAGACAGAGTCTTTCTCTGTCACCCAGACTGGAGTGCAATGGCTCGATATCAGCTCACTGCAACCTCTGCCTCCCAGTTCCAAGTCATTATCCTGCCTCCACCTCCCGAGTAGCTGGAATTACAGGTGCCCACCACCACGCCTGGCTAGTTTTTGTATTTTTAGTAGAGATGGGGTTTCACCATGTTGGCCAGGCTGGTTTCAGACTCCTAACTTCAGGTGATCTGCCTGCCTCAGCCTCCCAAAGTGCTGAGAGTGCAGGCGTGAGCCACTGTGCCAAACCTAATTTCTTTTGGTATACTAGGAAGTGTGCTACTCACAGTGAACGAATGAGCCTACTTCAACCTCAGAATTACATTGAAATTTATATACTATTATCAACTCAATTTTACAGATAAGAAAACTGAGGCTAGTGTAGTAACTTTTCTAAGTTTAGATATTTTGTAAGGACTGGAGTAGGACTGTAATTCAAGCAGCCTGCCTCAGGTTTCATGATCTGGACTTTATGAAATGTAAATTAATATAAACATTGCTTTTTATAATTTTGTGAAAGTCATCACTTTTTCAATGGACATGTATTATTTTGAAATTAGAGATCAACAGTAACACAAACTATTTTCAGTAAATAAAGGGAAACCTTTCTCAGTTCATAAAACTCCAGATATTTAGATTCAAACTGAAAATGTGTATTGAACAGATGGTCGTGTAAAACTATTCTTATTTCTCTTTGCTAAAATGCCCTGAGTTAGAAGAAATAATAGATTTTAAGGAATCGCACAGCTCTTGCCAGAAAATGAATTCACAATTTCAAAAGTGGTTAGTGAATATGAATCGTGCTTTATTTTCTGTGGCTATGTTTTGGAGTGTAAACTTCAAGAAGTGTATTAGTTATAAAGAATCGGAATCTTCAACATGGCTTTGTTTCCTGAGAAGCTAAAAATGAAATATGTCCATGAAGAACGCACTATAAAATGATAATTTTGGAGCAAGCTGGTATGTTCCCGTGATGATAAGCAGTATACAAATCTATCAATAATGTTTGAGTCCACCTGGTTCTGTAAATTATCCTTCATGAAATTCCCTTTTCTCATCTAATTTTAGAAAATAATAATGTAAGGCTGGAAATAGAAATGAAATTTAGATGTACCTAAATTCACCTTTCTGGTTTTAAGACAAATTCTCGAATATCAGGATATTTGTTGAGTTGATTATCTGTGATCAGTGATTAGCATTTTGCCATTCGTTTTCTCTCAAAGAACAAATTTTACTGTATGTTTGTAAAAATACAATAACATAAACATAGTACATGTTTTATACACACATTTGACATTTAATGGTTAGATATTGTGTAGTTAGAAAATTCAAAATTGAAATACCATGTAATGGTAATCAGATGGATGATTTAAAATTTACCATACACACACACACACACAAACACACACAACTTCATATAATAAAACATCTGAAAATAAGATTACAAAGACACTTTGGTTACACATCTGTGCTTAAAGTATAATTCTAACTGATAGAGACACTCTGAATTCATGTCTTAAAGAACTACACGTGTTAATTATTTACATGCTTTGATTAAAAAAGAAAAGATTCCACTAGGGCTATTAGGATAGACTGAGACATACAATGTTGCAATATGTAGTAAAAAGCTTTGGTAGAAAGTAAGTAAACATGGAGGCTGCAGGGAAGATAAAGAGAGAAATAAAAACAGCAAATAGAGACAGTGAAAGAGGTTCCCAAGTTTAATGGTGTGCATGTGTGTTTGCAATAAGGAGGGAAAGAACCACATTTCCTGTTATTTCTCCATACAAGCCCATTGCTCATTCCCAAAGCTTTCTCCTGCCCAATTTATATTCTCTACAAAAAATAAATCTTGTCACCATGATATGAATGTTAACAAGTGCTCCAGGCATCTACAGAAAATACCACCAAATTAAAATCTCAGGAAGGAAACCCATTTTCTACCCTCACATAACTCTACCAACTCTCGTCTATATTCCTATCCGATAGTTCACATTTTTGTTTTAATATATTTAAAACTTTGGTTTTTTTCCAACATCCCCTAAGAGCTGTTAAAGAGAAGCAAGATTTAAATTACTTGCATTTTATAGGATCTCTGGTCCAATGTATCTGAGGGCAGAAAGGTAAGAAAAAAGAGGAGTTGTGGAAAAGACAAACATGCAGAAAGGCAATTATGCAATTTTTAATAATGCTGTGATAAATCCTTATTAAAGTAATATTTATTTTCAAATAAAGACACACAAAACATGAGCAAAGCGAGTGCTTACTTTTCATACACATTTAACAGAGATTTTTATATCATAGCTCACATTTCTCAACTCCAAAATATTTTGCTTTTTCTTGGCTTTTTCCTGGGAAAATAATGAGGCAACCTAAGTGTTCCAGGTTATCAGAATACAAACAAGGTATAGTATTAACATGCAATAACAGAGATACAAAATAGTAGCCATAAAGTACCAAAATGATATTTTGTGAGTCCCTGCTTTTGCAAAGGAGTCATTCCTAATAGTAGGGAGTGATAAATCTTCTATTCTTATATTTTTAAACAGTAGACCAAATAGTAAACATGGAGTGAATTTTTAAAAAAATAAAATTGTCATGTTCTGGATTGGGTATATTGTTTAAATCTGAAAAAAATATATAATTCAGCTTTGTGAATCTGGTAGGGTGAAGTCATAACAAAGGCAAAATATAGTGTCCTATTATGCTTTTGGTTGTATAATAATGGTTATTTTTGGCTCATAGCATTGAGGAAAACTGAACAAATCTGACAACACGCTGCTTATTCTAGACGTTGAAGACTGAATTTAACAGATAGAGGAATTACTCTGGTTAAGGAAGATTAAATGCTTTTAACTGCAAACTTAAGGATCCAGTCTTCTGTTAGTTTTAAGTAAGTCATCTGCTAGAGCAGTGTGACATTTAGGGGTGTGTGGGACACTTTCTCCAAGTGCAAGAATTAATGAATGGCAGCATGTCACTTAGGAAATCTGCATGTTGGCTCAAAGGAAATTTCCGGGCTTCTTTAAAGAAGTCACTGAACCAGGACACCTGTAAGAAAGGTGATGCAGAGTTCAACTTCAGCCCTTTGTTATAGTCCTTACTCCCTGGGTTTATATTTCTTCTTGGGTTTATATTTCATATTCACAAATTTCTGGCTTACATGAGAACATCGGCTTCCCCTTCACAGGTTACAATCTTCAAATCCCAGATGCTTACAGCCAAAATAATCTTCAGAAAATTTTTTTTAATTATCAAAGAGGTATTTAATTTTTTTAACTTTTCTAATTATCAAAGATATATTTAAGTGAAATAACCCAGACTTACCCAAATTGAAGGTAAATTATTATGTTATTTTTCTATTGCTGCATAATAAATTGCCACAAACATTACTTGAAAACTATATATATAAAATCTCACAATTTCTGCAGCCTCAAATTCAGACACACCATAGCTTGGTGCTCTGTTCAAGGTCTCCCAAGTCTGAAACCAAGGTGTTAGTGAAGTTGTATTCCCACTGGAAGCTACACTGGGGAGACAGTTTCCAAGCTCATTCAAATTATTGGTAGAATTCATTTCCTTAAAGCTCTGTTTCTAAGACACTGGCTTTTTGCTATTCCTAGGGGCTGCCTGCCGTTCTCTGTCACATGGGATTCTCAAACATGGCCATTTGCTTTATTAAGCTGCATGTTGATCTCTGGCTCCAGTTTGTTAGAAGTGAGTAGCACATATTTTAAGACAATCACATGAGTAACATCCCATCACCTTTGTCAAATACTATTAATTAGAAGCAAGTCACAGATTCCCTCCACACACAAGGGGACAGGATTACATGTAAAACTGAAATGGGAGAGTTTCCTGACCCCCCTCCCAGGACATGTGATGGGGTGTGGCTAGTCTGTAGGGTCACCGCCACTGCTCAAACCCCATACAGAAGGGAGAGCATGCAGTTGGACAGGTGCAGGAGTTGGGCACTGGGCTCTAACCCCATAGCGGCATTCAGGGGTGGGAGCCTGTGACTCCTGGAGCCCAAGTGGGCATGTGTTACACTGTGTTCTTTTATCCTTGCTGTCCTCAGACAGTTTAAGTGTTAACTGGCTCAGCAGACCCTCTGCAAGGACAGAGGGCCAGTGTGACAGCTTTCTGTACCCCAAGCTCTTGTCCAGTATCACGGAAGAATTGGGTTACACATGAATTTGTAGGATGCTGAATGTGGGGTTTTATTGGGTGGTAGAGGTGGCTCTCAGTGAGAAGGATGTGGAGCTGGACAGGGGATGGAGTGGAAAAATGATCTTCCCCTGGAGTTTGGGAGTTTGGCCACCCAGTGCCCGATTCTCCGACCTTCCCCTGGAGTTTGGCCACCCAGTGCCCAATTCTCCGACCAGCCTTAGCCAAAATCCTCCCGACTTTCAGACGCTCCTTCTCTTCTCTCTTTTTCTGCTGCAGCATTCTGCTATTTGTCTGCTCATCTGCTTGTCTCCTCGTCTGCTTCTGAAGCTTGGGGTTTGGGGTTTATATGGGTACAAGATAGGGTGCATGGCCGGCCAAAAGGCAACTTTTGGGCACAAAAACAAGAATGGCTGTCCTCATTTTGGGCCGCCGTTATCCAGGCTTGAGGGTGGGGCCTTTGCGGGGGAACCACCCTCTTCTTCTCAGTATTTCCTTGTCTCCTGTTTGTATCATAACCACCCAATGAGTTCTTCCTGCCTGCTGCACAAACAAAATCAATTCATGGAGACCATGTCATTGCAGTAAGGAAATAGTTTAATAGACAGGAGGCTGGCCACGCCTTGTGGGAGAGGCTTATTACTCAAATCAATCTCACCAAAGGCTCAGAGGTTAGGGGTTTTTCCAAAGATAGTTTGGTGGGTAGGGGGCCAAGGAGTGGGGAGTGCTGATTTTTTAGGTGGGAGATGAAATAATAGGGAGTTGATGCTGTCCTCTTGCACTGAGTTGGTTCCTGGGTGAGGGCCACCGGACCCATTGGCAAGTCTGGGTAGGGTCATCTGGTCGTCAGAAATGCAAAAACCTGAAAAGAAGACATCTCAAAAGTCCAGCCTTAGGTTTTGCAATGGAATAATTTTACAAAAGAATAATTGAGAAAGTTGCAAATCTTGTGACCTCTGGAATAATGGCTGGAATTATGCCTACATCTTAGTAAAATTTAGGCCCCTCTCATCCTCCTAATTTGGTGGGCTTTCCTTAGTTTTGCAAGGGCAGTTGAGTTTTTTGGAAGGGTTATTATCATTTAAACTATAAACTAAATTTCCTCCAAAGTTAGTTGTCCCACGCCCAGGAATGAGCAAAGACGGCCAGCCTGTGAGGCTAGAAGATGGAGGCAGCCATGTCAGATTTCTCTTAGTGTCATAATTTTTCAAAAGTGGTTTCACATGAAGGTGATGAGGCTAAAGGAAAACTTCCTCTGCCTTCTGAAGGTTAACTGAAAATCAACCGACAAAGGGCAGATTAATAGGAGAAAAGGCATACAAAATGTATCAAGGTGCATATATGTGCCCAGGAGTCATACAAAACATGAACTCAAACAGAGGACAGATGGTTGATGCTGAAATACTCCCCTCACAGGGGGAGACATATATGGTCCCGGAACATGGGAGACAGATCATACAGGAGGGTGAGGGGCAGAGCTGCACAGGAACAAAGATTGTCTTATTAAGTAAATAAAGTCCCCCAGGTAAGCTCTTGGAGCTGCCCTTGGAAGAACAGAGGAAAAGTCTCGGTGTAGTGAGGACTCTCAGTCTCTTCTCGGGTGTTCTGATGGTTGATCTTTCCTGGTTATTTGATGAGATTCTCTAGGAAGGGGGTTTAAGACAATTGCACTTCTTTTGAAAAGAAGCTTTCCTTGTCAGATAAAAAATTCCCAGAGAGAGTCCCAAGTCCCTCCCTGTGCTTGCTGAGGGGTTGGAGAGAGGGAGGGATAAAGTAAGGATAGAGAGACCTTGGATCTGAGGCAGCTTCTAAGCCACCTTGGCATGTCAAAGTGCCAATTTTGGGGGTATTGACTAACAGTAGGAGAAAAATTAAAACAAATGAAATAAATTAGGTTCAGGTTGTATTTCTTAATCTACTTCAGTAAACAGTAAACGGGCACTGAAAATCACTGAAATTGAATTAGGAGAGTGTTGGCCTTCTTTTCACTATATTTTCTCATATTCCTATAGTATTGAAAATGAGATGCCCCATTGTGTCCGGAATTGGGGGGTTCTTGATCTCACTGACTTCAAGAATGAAGCCGTAGACCCTCGCGGTGTTACAGTTCTTAAAGATGGTGTGTCTGGAGTTTGTTCCTTCAGATGTTCAGATTTGTCTGGAATTTATTCCTTCTGGTGGGTTTGTGGTCTCGCTGGCTTCAGGAGTGAAGCTGCAGACCTTCGCGATGAGTGTTACAGCTCTTAAAGGCAGCGTGCTTGGAGTTGTTTGTTCCTCTATCCAGAGTTGGTCGTCCCTCCCAGAGGGTTCGTGGTCTCCCTGGTTTCAGGAGTGAAGCTGCAGACCCTCATGGTGAGTGTTACAGCTCATAAAGGCAGTGGGGACCCAAAGAGCGAGCAGCGGCAAAATTTATTGCGAAGAGTAAAAGAACAAAGCTTCCACAGCATGGAAAGGGACCCAAGCGGGTAGCAGTTTGCCGCTGCCTGCTCGGGCAGACTGCTTTTATTCCCTTATCTGACCCCACCCACATCCTGCTGATTGGTCCATTTTACAGAGAGCTGATTGGTCCATTTTACAGAGAGCTGATTGGTCCGTTTACAATCCTTTAACTAGATACAAAAGTTCTCCAAGTCCCCACTAGATTAGCTAGACACAGAGCACTGATCAGTGCTTTTACAAACCTTGAGCTAGATACAGGGGGCTGATTGGTGCATTTACAAACCTTGAGCTAGGCACAGAGTGCTGACTGGTCATTTACAAACCTTGAGCTAGACACAAACTGCTGATTGGTGCATTTACAATCCTCCAGCTAGACATAAAAGTTCTTCAAATCCCCACCAGATTAGCTAGATACAGAGTGTTGATTGGTGCATCCACGAACACGGAGCTAGACACAGAGTGCTGATTGGTGCATATACAATCCTCCAGCTACACATAAAAGTTCTCCAAGTACCCACCCGACTCAGGAGCCCAGCTGGCTTTGCGTAGTGGATCCCGTGCCAGGGCCACGGGCAGAGCTGCCTGCCAGTCCCGTGCCGCATACCCACATTCCTCAGCCCTTGGGTGGTCGATGGGACCGGGCACCACGAAGCAGGAGGTGGTGCCCGTCAGGGAGGCTTGGGCTGTGCAGGAGCCCACTGGGGGTGGGGGGCTAGGGCATGGCAGGCTGCAGCTCCCGAGCCCTGCCCCATGGGGAGGCGGCTGAGGCCTGGCAAGAATTCAAGCATGGCGTGGGCGGGCCAGCAGTGCTGGGGGACCCAGCGCACCCTCCACAGCTGCCGGGCCCAGGTGCTAAGCCCCTCACTGCCTGGGGCCAGTGGCGCCGGTGGGCCGCTCCAAGTGTGGGGCCCACCAAGCCCATGCCCACCTGGAACTCGCGCTGGCAGCCCAGGTTCCTGCCGGTGCCTCTCCCTCCACACCTCCCTGCAAGCAGAGGGAGCCTACTCTGGCCTTGGCCAGCCCAGAGAGGGGTTCCCACAGTGCAGCAGCAGGCTGAAGGGCTCCTCAAGCATGGCCAGAGTGGATGCCCTCGGCGCCGAGAGTGAGCAAGGGCTGCTAGCATGTTGTCACCTCTCACTGTTATAAGTTGTGAATTTGAAATCTACTGCCATCAGGCTGAGGGACCTCTTACAAGTCTTTTACTTGTTTTAAGCTTCTATTTCTGTCAATAAAATGGGGCAGTAATGTACATTCCATAAAGTTGCTTTTAAGATTAAATGTTCCACTATTGAAGTGGTTGCTTTATTATTTTTTCCTTGTATGTATATTTTTTCTTCATGTGTATATGAGAAAGACTGAACTGCACTACTACTAAATTTTTTTGCAGCTTCAATTTTTCATACTTCTATAGGAATAAAGATTGATACCCAGGATCTCTCCTGAGATTGATAAAGGTCTTCCAAAATTTCTTTGACAATGTCAAGTGTTCTGAGTGTATTTTCATGGAAACTGGGAAATGCCAAAATAGAGATTGGGGCTTTCAGGAGTATATTGATAGCCTTTTTCATTTTGTAAATAGAATCAACATAATTCTGAACCATTCATTAATCTATTTTTGCGTTTTCAGATTTTTTTGTCTGTGTGGAAAAATATTTGATTAGCTTTATCTTTGGAAGGATACATATCACTTCTAGCTTATAGTCTGTTGTATACAAGAATACACTAAATTCTTGTGTTATATAAGATAAATTATTTAATTTTTATCTATAATGCTCAAAACCTTGCTTAGATTGTTTTAGTCAAAGTTAATATCTTTTTCTTTAAGAACGCATCATATATTTCTTTATATATGACTTTTTTCTGCCCACTTTTAAATTATTTGAACCTCTGTATATCATCACATTAGCCCCAATCTTAAAAACCTTTAACCAGTTTAATTTTTTCTAACTTAATCTTTTATAGCCCACTCATATCCTATTTTTTAAGATTTTGTCTATAGTATTTGGAAGGTTTTTGAAGCTTAAAGTAATAAAAATTTTCTTTAAATATGATACCTCATTCCTATTAAATCCCCTAAAACCCATTTGCTGTTTTCTGTCAACTGTGTTTTGCCTGAAAGGAAGAAAGCAATTACTATAAACAGGATTAGATTAGTTTGGGAAATATTTTCATGGCACCCTTGTAAGCATTTTAGTTGACTTTGAAACTAAAGCAAAAATAAATTACCTTTATTTCTCTTCCTGATTTTGTACTGTTGTTGCTCCTAGAGAATTTTGACATAGTGAGTATTGTTGCTTACAGAGATATTGGCTTTCATTGAGTGGCAGATCATACCATTCTTTTTTAACCATGTTGCTTTCATAGATGATTTGCCCTACTGTAAAATCATTAAGGATATTCATTAAACATGCCACTCTTTTGTAGGGGATCAATATTTCTAAAATAAAAGGCACCGTTGTTTGCATTTAATTTCAGTCATGCTGTCTTTTAGGCTTTCAGTATTTTGTTTGTAATATGCTAGAGTAGCTCCTTGTATAATGAGATGGCACTGTGTTTAATGAGCTACCGTTTATTGTTATGCCTGGCAATAGACCACACAGGTGCAAGACTTGCTAAATACAAGTACATCTATGAGATGCTCCTTCAACCTATAGTGAGGCCCATTTGAACAGAAGAAAGACAATATTTTACTTTCTGTTTAGTCTCCAGGCAAATGATAGTGGCTCCAGTCTTTCTCTCGAGAGTCCTGATCTGCTTTGCCCATTGATTCTTTCCCATGAAAGTTCACTGATATTTTCCAATCCTCACAACTTAAAAATACCAGGCAAAAAACATTATTTCTTATTATGTTAAGTCAAATAGAAAAGGTAGAACCAGACTTAAGTCAGCTTAACCATGAAATTAACTTATACCATAATAAAGCAGTACAGGAATTTTAGCTAAACAGCTTATGCTTAGTCAAACTGATTCTTAAATTTCACTTCAATCACTTTTTCTAAGCATTATAGCTTGTCCTTAATTTTGGTTATGTGAAATATGAATTTTTTTTAAAAAAATTATTAAACACAATGTTAATTAGACCTCAAAAGTATTCAAAATATTCAAATTATTTAAGTTATCCATTAGCAATTGACCATCCACCAATTGCCTAAGCTAAATGAGGATCAATTTTTGGTAAATTAAAATGAATGCGGCAGAGTGGGTAAAAGGAACTATGAAGACACTACTCAAAATAAATTTAAACAGAAAATAAATTTGCATATGCAAAATAGAAATCATATGATTTGAAAAGAATATAATTCATAGAAAAACAGCTATTTATGGTATCTAAAATTTTATAAAATGCTATTTTGTATTTTGAAGATTTGACAAAATGGTTTAAAAAATCTGATTACTATTGTTTTTGGCCAGGGAAAAAATAGAAACAAGGTGGGAAATTTATTTCTTTGCTCAAATAAATTTGATATCATGTACTCTCAGTGCCTTTAAATATACGTACAATTTAGCAAAAACATATTCTATTGTTATTCAATTAGGAAGCATCACATATGGGTATTCAGCATGGATCTTAAGTAATACTTAGCATTTCCAATTCTATGTCTCTCTCAACTGAAGACTTGTAATAGTTTCTAAGATCCACTATAGATATAAAATTCTGCAAGCATAGTGCTATTGTTATCTGTAAATATATATTCAAACACAAAAATCAAGTTGGATTCTCAATTTGATGCTTTGAGAGCTGCTTTCTGCATAGTAGAGTGATCACATTGTTTAAAAATCCCAATGAAACACTTGAAAATGAATACAACTTTATTTAATTTAGTTCAACAAGCAAAACAAGCATATGCAACATTTGCATCTTTTATAACTTTTCCTCCTAGACTTTTCTAAATTAAAAATAGTTGTAATTGGTTAACTGACTTTAATCCTACATATTTTAATGTTGTTGCTATCATATGAGTCAATATAAAATTTAGGATGTCTTTATACATGCTAAGCAGAACTTCCTGTTAGCTACATGTAGCATCTTTCTGTCAAAGAAAAAAAATAAGTGTCAGCAATGTTACATGTATAATATCTGTCCTCTAGACATGTAACAAATATTCTTACATTTTTAATTACAGAAAGGTAAAACTAGAATTATTAGAGCCTCTCATACAGTATGTGTTGGTCAATGTTATTTATAAGTATTATGTAGACAGTGACAAATATGTAAGTATGTGGGATTTGGCAAAGAGGATAGGAACCTCATTGTCAGGAAATGAAAATGAGTAATAAAGTTTTTGTCCTTGCTTTAAATATATATAATATTTTACAATAAAAATTATTTCTTTTTATATATTCATTGTCTAATTTATAGTTTACTATTCCATTTTAAAAGTTTATTTTAGATTTTGAAATATGTTAATAGAATTATTTTTCATATTGAAAAAAGGTATGTCAGAATTTTGTGTATCTGACAGTACTTCCTTGAGAACAAAAGGTTTTAGGGATTAAGTAAGTAAAATGGTAAAATGAACATAGATAAAAGGAAAATTTACCACAACTATAGTACATTAAGAATTGCATTAGCCGGCTAGGCGCAGTGGCTCACGCCTGTAATCCCAGCACTTTGGGAGGCCAAGGCGGGTGGATCACGAGGCCAGGAGACCTTACCCATCCTGGCTAACACGGTGAAACCCCGTCTCTACTAAAAATACAAAAAGAAATTAGCTGGGCGTGGTGGTGGGCGCCTGTAGTCCCAGCTACTCAGGAGGCTGAGGCAGGAGAATGGCGTGAACCTGGGAGGCGGAGCTTGCAGTGAGCCGAGATCGCGCCACTGCACTCCAGCCTGGGCGACAGAGCAAGACTCCGTCTCAAAAAAAAAAAAAAAAAAAAAAAAACCACACAAGAAAAAAAAGAATTGCATTAGCCATATTAAAGTATTATTTTATTTATAATGTAGTAACTATATCTTTATTGAGAGTTTTTTAAAAAAGACATACCAAGACTCCAGATTAAAAAAAATTAACAGTGCTGCTCTTGCTTTTTATGACAGTAGTCAACAAAAAGAAGTCTTTTCTTTTAACAAATTATGCTATTATGGCTTAACAGATGCAAAACATCTTTCACTAAATTCCCTAATGTAACTATTACTTTAATGTTTTCTTGATAAAATTTATTACAAATATACTGTGTATTTATCGCTATGGTTTGGAAACATGTAGAAAATAAAGGAAAACTACATGTCACGATGATCCTTTCAGAGATAATATATGTTTTGTTCTTTATTTTTGTCTTTTTAACATACATGTATGTACACAGAAAGAAAATGTTTTGCTTCTAATCTTGTGCATGTAAGTAGCTTCTAATTATAGAAATTATATACATATGAACTTTCATTGTTGTTAATTTAGACAATTCAAAACACTGTAAGGCATATATGATCGATCGATTTATCCACTTTTTCTCCCTCCAGAGGTAAAGATAGTTAATAGTTTTGTGCCTTTTTTCATTTCATTTTATGTAGATGTACATGATATAAACACACAGCATATTTTAACATACATTTGATCTCATAATTGTGTTTTTCATGGTTATAATTTTTATTCACTACTATAGTGGTTTATATAAATGTCTGTCTCACCCACAAACTCCAAATTTTGTAAAGGCATAACCCAAATCCCTTTTGTTATATTTGTAGCACATGTCTGAGCACCACCTGGCATGTAGTGGGTAATCAGTTATCATTTCTGGCATGTAGTGGGTAATCAGTTATCATTTGTGAATTCAGGTAAGCAAGTGAATCATTGAGTGAACACATATATGTATTTTATATATATATATATATATATATATATATATATATATATATATATATATATAAAGTCATATCCACTCCTATATATGACATATATATATACACACATATATATATGTCAATGTGTCTTAAAGTTATTTGAAGACACTCTATAAACGTCCACAGCAGTCCAGGCATGATGGCTCATGCCTGTAATACGAGCACTTTGGGAGGCCGAGGCAGGTGGATCACTTGAGGTCAAGAGTTCAAGACCAGCCTGGCCAACATGGTAAAACCCCTGCTCTACTAAAAATACAAAATTATTCAGGTGTAGTGGTGCACACCTATAGTCCCAGCTACTTGGGTGACTGAGGCACAAGAATCACTTGAACCCGGGAGGCAGAGGTTGCAGTGAGCCCTGATCACACCACCACATTCCAGCCTGGGTGACAAGAGCGAAACTCCGTCTCAAAAAAAAATAATAGAAAATAAAAAATAAATAAAATGTCCACAGCATGTTTGTAGCAGCTACAGAATTTTACATAAAACTGAGACAACATAAGTTATTTAACTTTTACCTGCTGGTGGACATTTTGTTTTAAATTTTTACAAACATAATACATTAAATACCTCATCTTTATGTCCATGCGTATGTATTTATGCAAACATATGGATAAGATACTATTACTTGGTCAAAGTTATACATTTAATTTTAGATAGATACTGACAAATGTCCTTTTAAAATGGTTTTACCAATCAATATTCACTTTAATTTCATCAATATGGTATAAAAAATTTCTTTTACTTTTCATTCTCTAAAACACTTGATGTATCATCTGTTTAATTTTATTAAAATATTGGGTGAAAAAGGATATCTTATTGTTTGTTTAATTTACAATCTACTGATTTTTACTTAGAGAACCTTTTCATTATTCACTGGTCATTTGAATTGTCTTGTTTTAAATCATCTGTCCTTATTTTTATATACCCCCTTAATGGAAAAAAATATTTTTTAATGAGATTGTGGAAATTATACATAACGTAGCTCCTAATCATTTCAAAATATTCTAAAACTTATTTTATTGGTCATTAAATGTTGGACTCTTTAAAAAAAGTTTGAAGGACTTTGAAAATGGATATATTCAACTTGGTGTGGAAAACAAATAAAATTACTTTATACAGGTTAGAAAATGTTGGATAATTTCTCAAAGAAAATAGGATTATATATATAGAAAACAAAACAAGAGGAAATCACAGCTCAAACATAATGCTGGAGAAACATCCTAGGAGGCAGGAGGGGTGGCATTCTCAGTAGGGAGGTCAAGAAAGACCTCCATGATCAGATTAATTAAATGCCAGATTGAGCCATGAAGGGATAGGAATAAGGCTTCAGGAAGAGGCATGTGTCACTCTGCTGTTCCCTAGGAGACATCCCTGCTCCTGCCCTTCCCTGGCTCTTGCGCATGTCTAAAACTGAGTTCTTAAACTTTTCTGTGGCTTCTTTGAGGACTAGGTATCTATCTAATACATGCCTCTCTTTCTGTTTAACCAGCTGATCATGAGTCCTGCCTTGTTTTTTCCCTTATTAAATGGTGCCACATTAACTAAACTTTCAGTACTTATTCTAGCTACTAAAAACCTTCTTTATGAATGTTTCAGTGGAAGGCTAATAGCTTTTGAAAAGCAGATTGTATGGTCGAGAGATGAACTTTTAAAAATTATTTTCAGAGTACAGACCTGTTCTATCAATCTCAGCCTGACTGTTGCATCAATATTTCTCCACAGGCCTAGAAGTTAATTTCAATTCTTCCTATATATGTCACTGAATTTACTCTCATTGTGTTTTTAAATTGCTTATTTTTTGTGTGTTTACTTTGTACTGAACACATTTCAACTTTTCTAAGCCTTAAATATTAACTAAAAAGTATATATGTTAGTGTATAATTTAGAAAAGGATGCACTCTGAGTTGCTAAATGCCCTGCTAGCTCATATACATAATTTGCCCTGTATTTCTTTATTCGGTTACAAAAATTACCAAGAAAATAAATGTTAGTAGTTGCAAGGGCTAAAGCAAATTATTGCTTTTTAATTTAAGGTCTTAGAACAGCAATCCCCAACCTTTTTGGCACCAAGGACCACTTTTGTGGAAGACAATTTTTCCATGGATGGATGGTGGGGTGTGGGGAGGGAATGGTTTTGGAATGAAACTGTTCCACCTCAGATCATCAGGCTTTAGATTCTCATAAGGAGTACACAAACTAGATCCCTCACATGCTCAGTCCACAATAGGGTTTGCGCTCCTATGGCAATCCAATACTGCCACTGATCTGACAGGAGATAGAACTCAGGCAGTAACTAACCTGACAGGAGATAGAGCTCAGGCTGTAATGCTCACTTGCCTGCTGCTCACTTCCTGTGTGTTGCAGCCCAGTTTCTAAGAGTCCACAGACTGGTAGTGGTCCACAGACCAGGGCTGGGGACTCCTGTCTTAGAAGAGTAGTCAAGAGATATCGCTTCTGAAAATTAAACCAGTTATTTCTATTTTTTTATTCTTTTTACTGTCCTCCTTTTATCTAGTTTCCTAGATGTATGTCTTTGAAACTGATCAGATACTTCCATTGCATGCTGTAATTCTTCCTTCATAATGCTCAACACATTTCTAATTATTCATTGATTACCTGTGTCCCCACTAGACAGTAATTACAAGAAATCAGAGACAATATTGAGTTTTCTCACCTTTGTATGCATTGCACCTAAAAATCTGCTTGACACATAAATGTTTGACCATAACACTGCCACCCTTGGGTACTGCGCTTAATCTTCTTGATCTGTACTTCCTAGCCAAGAAAAAGTAATCATGTAAAACTGGAAAATCAGGAGGTATAGATAGTACACTTTACATATTTACCAGTATACAAGCATACACCTTTTTACTGTGGTTTGCCTTATTGTGCTTTGCAGATATTGTCCTTTTTACAAATTGCAGGTTTGTGTCAACCCTTTGTTGAGTGAGTCTATTGGCACCATTTTGATTTTTTTTTTTAATGCATGTGCTCACTTCATGTCTCTTTGTCTCATTTTGGTAATTTCAATATTCCAAACTTCTTTATTATTCTTATATCTGTAATGATGATCTGTGATCAGTGATCTTTGATATTACTATTGTAATTGTTTTGGGGTACCACAAAGTATGCCCATATAACCCTGCAAACCTAACTATAAATGTTGTGTGTGTTCTGACTGCTCCACTGACTGAATTTCCTTTCTGCCCTCTCTTTTCTCTGAGACACCATAGTAGTGAAATTCAGCCAATTGCTAACCCTACAATGGCCTCTAAGCATTCAAGGGAAAGAAAGAGTTGCATCTCTCACTTTATCACAGGTGTCCAGCCCTTTGAATGTGAGGATGCTTTTGCCTACCTATATCTGGCTATTAGCCACACATAGCTAAAGAGATATCATAAAAGTTACGCTCATTAGCTATCGTTAGTGTTAGTGTATTTTATGTGTGGTGCAAGATAATTCTGTTTCCAATGTGGCCCAGGGAAGCCAAAAGTTTGGACACTTGTGCTTTAAATCAAAAGCTGGAAATAAATAAGAATAGTGAGGAAGGCATATTGAATGCTCAGACAGGCCAAAATCTAGGCTTCCTGCACCAAACAGCTAAGTTTTGAATGCAAAGGAAATGATCTTGAAAAAAATAAAAATAAGAATGTGACTCTAGCAAATATATGAATAATAAGAAAACAAAACAGCTGTATTTTTGACATGGAGAAAGTTTTCTAGTGGTCTGGATAAAAGATCAAACCAGCCACCATATTTCCTTGAGCCAAAACCTAATCTGGAGCAAGGCCTTAACTCACTTCAATTCTATGAAGGCTAAGACCGGTGAGGAAGATGCAGAAGTAAAATCTGAAGCTGGCAGAGGCTGACTCGTAAGCTTTAAGAAAAATAGACATCTATATAACATAAAAGTGCAAGGTGAAGCAGAAAGTGCCAATGTAGTAGCTGCAGAAATTTATCCAGAAGATCTAGATAACTGATGAAGATGGCTACACTAAACAACAGATTTTCATTGTAGTCTAAATAGCTTTATATTGGAAGAAGGTGTTATTTTGGTCTTTGAAAACTTGAGAGGAGAAGTCAATGCCTGGATTTAAAGCATTGACTGACTTCAAAAGACAGGTTGATTGCATTGCTGGAGTCTGACTATAATGCAGCTGCTAATGCAGCTGGTGACTTTAAATTGAAGCCCATGCTCACTTACCATTCCAAAAATCCTAGAGCCCTAACAAATTATGCTAAATTCACTCTGCCTATGCTCTGTAAATGGAACAAATGTTGTATGGCAGCACATCTTTTTACAGAATGGTTTACTGAATCTTTTAATCCTACTGTTGAGACCTACTCCTCAGGAATAACATTTCCTTTCAAAATATTACTGCTCATTGTGCCTGAGGATTAAGGAGTATTTTCAACTTTCAAGTCTTAATATTTAAGAAATTCATTTTATAGCTGGGCACGGTGGCTCATGCCTGTAATCCCAGCACTTTTTGGGAGGCCAAGGCAGGTGGATTGCCTGAGGTCAGGAGTTTGAGACCAGCCTGGGCAACATGGTGAAACCCCGTCTCTACTAAAAATATAAAATTGAGCTGGGTGTGGTTGCACATGCCTGTAGTCCCAGCTACTCAGGAGACTGAGACAGGAGAATTGCTTAAACCCAGGAGGCAGAGGTTGCAGTGACCAAGATTGTGCCACTGCATCTCAGCCTGGGTGACCGAGCGAGACTCCATCTCAAAACAAAACAAACAACAACAACAACAACAAAAACATTTCATAAACCTATAGCTAACATAGTAATTCCTCTGATGGATATGGACAAAGTAAATTGAAAGCCTTCTAGAAGCAATTTACCATTATAGATGCTGATATGGTTTACATCTGTGTCTCCATCTAAATCTCACATTGAAATGTAATCGTCAACGCTGGATGTGGGGCCTGGTGGGAGGTGATTGGATCATGGGGGCAATTTCCCATGAATGAGTTAGCACCATCTCCCTGTGCTGCTCTCATGATAGTGAGCGCTCATGAGTTCTGGTTATTTAAAAGTGTATAGCACCTCTTCCAGCTTTCTGTTTTTCCTGCTCCTGCCATGTTAGATGTCTGTTCCTGCTTTGTCTTCCGCTATGAGTTAAAGCTCCCTGAAGTCTCCCCAGGAGCAGATGTCATTCTGCTTCCTGTACAGTCTGCAGAACCATGAACCAATTAATTCTCTTTTCCTTATAAATTACCCGGTCTCAGGTATTTCTTTAGAGCAATGCAAAAACAGACTAATACAGATGTCATTAAGAACATTTATGATTCATGGAATGATGTTAAAATGTCAGTATTTATAGGAGCTTTGAAGAAGTTGATTATATCCCTCATGGATGACTTTGAGGGATTTAAGACTTTGGTGGAGGAAGTAGCTACAGATGTGGTGGAAATAGTAAGAGAACTAGAATGAAAAGTAGAACCTGAAAATGTGACTGAATCGTTGTAATCACATGATAAAATTTGAGCAGATAAGGAGTTGCTTCTTATGGATGAGCAAAGAGAGTGGTATCTTGAGATGGAATCTACACCTGGTGAGGATTCTATGAATATTGTTGAAATGACAAAGGATTTAGAATATTACATAAACTTAGTTGCTAAAACTGCAGTAGGGTTTGAGAGGGTTGAGTCCACTTTTGAAAGAAGCTCTACTGTGGATTAAATGCTATTAGATAGTATCACATTCTACAAAGAAATCATTCACAAAAGCACCAACCTGTGCAGCAAACATCATTGTTGTCTTATTTTAAGAAATTGCCACATCCAGCCCAACCTTCAGCAATCACCATCCTGATCAGTCAGCAGCCATCAACATTGAGGCAAGACCTTTCACTAGCAAAAAATTATTACTTGCTGAAGGTTCACATGATACTTGGTAGTTTTAAACAATAAAGTATTTTTAAATTAAAGTGTGTACTTTTTAAAGACATATTGATGTTGCATACTTAATAGACTACAGTATAGTGTAAACATAACTTTTATATCCACTGGGACACGAAAAAATGTGTTTGGCTCACTTTATTATGATATTAACTTTATTGACATGGTCAGAAATCAAACTCAAAGTATATGCAAAGTATGCCTGTATATCTTTTAAACTTCATGTGAATCTGCCGTGATATGCCAACTGACACATAATTGGATGCTTAATAAGAATTTATTATATGATGTATAAATTATTGAATGAGTAAATAGGTAGATAGGTAGGTAGATAGATAGATAGATAGATAGATAGATAGATAGATAGATAGATGATAGATAGATAAATGCACATGTTAGTCAGAGAAGAAACCAATCAGGAGACATTATCTCTGTATTGAGTCTTTCCTGTTACTTTGTTGGTTATGACCTAGCTTAAATTACTTACAAAGGTTCCCTCATGTGGAATATTAAAACAATACTTGTATTACTAAGTGGTTATGAATTTTTAATAAGATTATGCCTGTGAAAGTCCCTAGTGGTATGTCTGGTACATAATAAGTACTAGACACACATTCTGATGAATGATGACTCTGTCATTCATAACCATAAGAAATCCATTCCTTTCCTGGCATGGGTTTAAAAATTCAAAATTTGTTTGTGGGTTCATTTGCCTTTAAAAGGAGCAAGTTGGCATTTTTTATGTGTATGCAATACCTAATGTGACTAATACTCACAAATTTGAAAAAATAATATTATTGTTATAACAATTGAGACAGTGTCTTGCTCTGTTGCCCAGGCTGGTCCTGAACTCTTGGACTCAAGCAATCTTCCTGCCTCAGCTTCCCAAGAAGCTAGGATTACAGGCACATGCCACTGTGCCCAGCTATTATTTTTATTAATATGTTTAGAAAATGCTGTAAGCTGCATCTTACAGGGTCATTTTTATCTTATAAGTTTTTTTAAAAATTTGCCATACTATAAAGAAAATGTGGTATATATATATATATACCATAGAATACTACGCAGCCAGAAAAAAGAATAAAATTATGTCCTTTACAGCAACATAGATGCAGCTAAAGACCATTATCCTACGTGGGATAATGCAGAAACACAAAACCAAATACCACGTTTTCACTCATAAGTGGGAGCTTAACATTGGGCGGACATGAACATAAATATTATAACAATTGACACTGGGGACTATAAAAGGAAGTAAAAAGGAAGAGTGCAAGGGTTAAATAACTGCTTATTGGGTACTATGCTCACTACCTGGGCAATGGATTCAATCATACCTCAAACCTCAGCATTACACAATATACTCTTGTAACAAAAATTCACATGTACCCACCAAATGAATCTAAAACAAAATTTAAAATTAGAAAATAAATAACCTAAAATTTGCCTTGGAAAGTTCTCTAATTACATAAGTTTACAATGGAACATAGTATTTCTAAGCAAAGACAGGTTTCTGATTCTTTTTTTCTAGTAACTAAATTTTCTGCTAAATTTCCATTCTTCAATAATCAATAATTTCTAACTACTTATTGATTTATTTATAACAGTTTGACTATTTGAAATATTGAAGATCAAGGTTGTAGGTATTATGCATAGGTAGTATTTGACTGAAAATCTACTGCTTTACAATTAAAATATTTATTGTTTTAATTTTATTTAAGGAGATTTCAAGTTCAAAACATAGATTATTGACATTTTACTATCATACAGAATACTTAAAAAAGAAACAAAGTTGGAATTATCTGCTTTCCTTTATCACCAAACTTCTTGAAAGAAGTATGTTGCCCAATTTCTCTACTCATCATTCACTTATAACAAAATTTCCAATACACCTTCCAGCGTGTCACCCTGATGAAAGTGGTTTTTTAAAGACAACAAATGCCCATGTGAGTATCAGGGCCCAAAGGATTTCACATTTTTCTATTTTATTTAATGATGTTTCAAAGCTCTCATTGAAACCCCCTTTTGCATTCACTCCTGTGTTATTACAATATCTCATTCTCTCTCCTAAATTTCTAATTCCTTCCTTTTTCTTCTTCATTGTGAGTTCATATTCTGTCGGCACTCCCTTAGTCTCTTCTTAATATCCTAACGTAGGAAGGATACTTTGAGAAACCTACCCTATCCAAGAGTCTATAATTCTATTTTTTAAGAATTATATTTCTTATATTGTCAGAGGCATGTGAACCAGAGCAACTCCATCTTAAACAGGAGCTGAGGTAAATGAGGCTAAAACCTACTAGGCTGCATTCCCAGATGGTTAAAGTATTCTAAGTCCCAGGATGAGATAAGAGGTCAACACAAGATATAGGTCATGAAGACCTTGCTGATAAAACAAGTTGCAGTAAAGAAGCCGGCTAAAACCCACCAAAACCAAGATGACTCTGAGAGTGACTTCTGGTCGTCCTCGCTGCTACACTCCCACCAGTGCCTTGGCAGTTTACAAATGCCATGGCAATGTCAGGAAGTTACCTTATGTGGTCTAAAAAGTGGAGATGTAAATAATCCACCCCTTGTTTAGCATAAAATCAAGAAATAATCATAAAAATAGGCAACCGGCAGCCCTAGGGCTGCTCTGTCTGTGGAGTAGCCATTCTTTTATTCCTCTACTTTCTTAATAAACTTACGTTCACTTTACTCTGTGGACTCACCCTGAATTCTTTCTTGCACGACATCCTAGAACTCTCTCTTGGGGTCGGGATCAGGACCACTTTCCTGTAGCAATATCATTTTCTAAACATATCTATTTCCCAAAGTTTATTCCTGAATTTTCTCTCCTCTGCTCTGAGCAAATAGGCAACTTCTGCTTTAAAACTTACCTCCATGGAATCTCCTAAATTGGTATCTCTAGGTTTAATGCTTAACTACATTCTTTCTTAACTGAAACCCTTCAACCTGCTGTGCCTCTGAAACTCTTCAGGTAACTGAAAGTTAGGTGGACCACATGAGACCTCTCAGTGTTCTGAACATGTTTGCTGAATTTTCTATTTTCGTTTACAGTATTTTTTCCACCTAGTAGAATAAGCCCATGTGAATAAATCTAACCTGGCCTTCAGCACTAGACTAAAGCCACCATTTCCACAAAGATTTTGTTCTTTCACTATTCAGCTAAAATATTTCCAAGCCTTTGTAAGGTGCTTGGAAGATAATTCAAATAAAAATACAGCAGTCCCCTCTTCTTATAAAAGGCATAGTCTAGTTCTTTTCTTACTCTCAATCACATTTGGAAGAAACTCGCTCTCCTTTCTGTTCTCAAAGTTAGTACAGGCATCTTTTTTGTGACAGTTATCCAACCCTATATTCCCTGCAGTGCATTTTACATACTAGGCACTATGGTAAATGAAAACAAGTGTCTAATTTAAGACAGTCTGTGAAACAGAAAACAAATTGTTTAACCTGTCTGACTTGTATAAAACAAATTAAAAAAAAATAAAAACAGTTCACATGTTTGGACCTAGATGAGCATGCTATGAGGATAGAGAGTAAAATAGGAGAAAGATGGACCCCCACAGGGCACAAGGCAACTAGCATGTGCAGTTGGAGAAAGGTAGAGGAAAGAGCCAGATAACAGGAGTCTCCATTACTACCAGCATGTTTTCAAAGAAGAAGGCTTGTATTTAGATTCGTCAGGATATAACATCAGTGATAGGATGGTCCTAAGAGTAGCCATAATAATCCCAGGATACAAAGAGACAAATCTATTTAGTTTCCAAATAGCAAGTAACATTGAGGATATGTGCCAGAAGTGAGTCTCCAGGCCCAGGGCTGATATTCAGGAATATATTTTAGTCTTTAGAAAGGAGAGTGTGAGAACCAAATAGAGCACCAAGCCTCAGGACTAGTGTACTTAGCATGCGGCCAAGACAGGAACCCAGGCATTGTGAATTAAGGCCAAAATCCACTTATCAAACTCTCAATCAAAAGTATAGATGTTTTTAGTACAAGATGTATGTCCTGTTTGGGGACAGTGGGTAGTTGGGATCTAACAGCAGCAGGAGTGATTTGATGTTGAGTCCATGAAAGCTGACCTGTAGTTTCTTAAGTCCTTCCTGTCAAGTGTGGGGGTTGGTCTGTAAACCTGAGGCCTCTAGTTGAGGTCGTTTTTTCCAAAGGATGAAATAAAAGGAATACACATGTTACAATCAATAGAGAAAAATCTATATGTTTATAATCAAAGTAGGCAAACATTTTAGCTAATAATTTTTAGAGGCTAAGCATTATGTAAGTTCAAAGAAAATGTTATTGTCATCTAGTATAACATAAATTTGTTAATATTGAAGTTATATGATTTAACAAAAAAGTTTTATACAAAATGTAAAGTTTCAAGTTGGAGTAGATCCATGTAAAGTAGAATAAAACATATTTGTATTTGAGAAAATAGTCTTACATTTTAATTTATTCTAACCTTTTTTCAATGATGTGTATTTAATAGAAAATAAATAATTTAGCTTTCTATCAGTATCTAGAATCATACCCAGAGAAGTTCACAATAATACTACATATCATGTTTGCACTTATTTTGTGTTAAAGTCTGTGCTAAGACTTCTTTATATTAATACATCCTTTCACTTAATCCCTCTTATATTAGTATATGGTAGAAATTATTTTCCATTTTTAAAAGATGAGAACTCCGAAGCTCAAATGGATTAAATAATTTGTTCAGAGTCTCAACATTAGTACTTGATACAGTTGGGAATTCACTATACATCTTGTGGATTTCCAAAGTCCGCGGTATTTTAAGAAACACACTGTTAAAAACAAGTCAATGAAAACACTCACAGTATCTTTGCAGGTTGCTGTCATATAATTCATCAGAGGGAGTCAAAGATTCTGAAAATCTAGCAGTGAGCAGTCTTAAAGACAACGCACACTTATTTATCGAGGAAACAGTGAGGTAAAATTATGATATATCTTCGAGTTGGACTATTTCAGCACATTTGCCCAGATGCCTGAGGTGTTTTTTACTCTTTGCAGGGACTAACACATACTGATGAGGGGATGTATAGGAAGGTAAGGCTATTTTTTTAGTCTCTACCAGAGGCTCCAGTAACATTACTTCCATCTCCATAACTTCTCTTCAGTGGCATGGCCTACTGGGGATGTAAATTACGTATTTTAATAAAATAATTTGAACTTGCTACCTACTGACGCCAGCGCAGGCCCATCTGGAGCAGCCACTGAGAAGACGCCCCTGCAGTGGGAGAGGCGTGGCCGGGGCTGTGCACTCCAGGGAACCAAGCGGGTGGGAGATGGGAACAAGTGGGAGCCCCGCCCCCTTCCGAGTTGGTAGGGCAGGAACCCTGCACTTCTGGTCGCGGCTGCAGTCACCCAGCCATGGCTGCAGACCCAGGCATCCTGAACTCTCAGGGGCTCCGGAAGACCCTTGCCCCTGCAGTCTCAGAAGTGCCTGCTCCTGCTGCCTGACATTCCCCTGCTCCCAGCTTCCACTTCTATTTTGGAGCAAAGTTGAGATTGAGTCCAAGCACTGTTGCCACTGGACCAGGTGTGCACACGCTCAGGGCAGCGCTGACATGCCAGCACCCTGCCGCCTCAGCCCCCTCTGAACTTTGGGTGCCGATGAGCATGTGAGGGAGACTGAGGGAGGGCTGAGGGTGGCTCAGCATGGGCCTGCAGACGCCCCTCAGCATGAACAGCCTGGGTGGTGTGGGCACTGTGGATGGCAGATTGATGGCAGCAAGAGGCAGACAGGCCCTTGGGCAGAAAAAGGTAGGTCCCCCATGAAATCCCGCCTTCAAGCTGGGGATCACCTGAAGCACAGGGGCTGGCTGTCAGTTATGGGTGGAGTTTGCGGCCCAGGGAGAGAACTTATGGTACTTTTTCTGGGCTGCCATGGCTGCTCATGGATCAATCAGCACACACTTCCTCCCTTCTGAAGCACATGAAATCCATGGGCTCCCATGGAATACTATGCAGCCATAAAAGAGAATAAGATCATCTCCTTTGCAGGGACATGGATGAAGTTGGAAGCCATCATCCTCAGCAAACTAACACTGGAACAGAAAACCAAACGCCGCATGTTCTCACTCATAAGTGGGAGTTGAACAATGAGAACACATGGACACAGGGAGTGGAACAACACACGCTGGGTCTTGTCAGGGGGTGGGAGACAAGCAGAGGGAGTGCATTAGGACAAACACCTAACGCATGCGGGGCTTAAAACCTAGATGACAGGTTGATAGGTGCAGCAAGCCACCATGGCACATGTATACCTATGTAACAAATCTGCACATGTATCGCAGAACTTAAAGTAAAACAAAACAAAAACCCTGGACTCAGCCAGACTTGGGTGGACAGCACGACCTGCCTGCAGATAGGAGCTACTTACTCCAGATCTCCTCTCTGCTGAGGGCTGGCTGCACACTCGGTGGGACGACCTGCCTGCAGATAGCTACCCACTCCGAATTTCCTGAGAGCTATACTGTTGTTCAGTAAGGCACCTCTTCGTCTTGCTCACTCTCTAGTTGTCTGTGTACCTCGTTCTTCCTGGGCAAGAATTTGGGACCTGCTGAATGGAGGAACTGAACCAGCTGTAACACACACAGGGCTGAAACACGCCTTCCAGCTTGCCATATTGCAAGCGATGAAAAGGAGAGAAGAGCTGCAGCCCTTCAGAGAGCCCAGACTTAAGGGCTCCCCGAGCCAGGGCGGTGACACCCTCTTTGAAGCGCTGCGGTTCCCGCTGTCTCCAAGCTTCTGGGTGCCACCGTGTTCCCTGGAGCCCACAGTGGAAGCTGCTTGCGGTATGCCTGGTCCAGCCACAGCCTCACACCGAGCTGGTGCCTGCGCTGACGCCTGGAGCTGCCCGCCCCACTGCAGCATCTGGAGTACCTGGCTATGTGCAGTGGCCGAACCCCACACTTATTCACTCATGCACCCCTGCCACTCCACGCCCTTGGCAGGCCTGGGATCCAGGTTGATAGAACGAGCGGAGCACAGCCTGTCAGGCCGAGTAGGCAGAACAAGACCAGCAGGCCAGAGCAAAACTTGGGCAAAGGCGCCATCAGCTGCAGAGGCTTCTGGCTGGAAGAGGGACACCCCAGGGATCCCACGACACTACCATTGTATGATACATTTATACCCTTTGAACAATGCATTGAAAATAAGAAAGGAGAAAATATTATGTAAGTGAGGAACAGTGAAGACCTTGCAAAAAATAGTGATGATCTAATTTGGTAAATAAACCCTATAATTAAATTAATAACAATTAGTATGATATGCAAAGCAATTTTATACAACTGTATGTAAAATTTTGGAGGTAATAGTATATCTTTAGATAGTAGAAAGATACAGAAAATGTAAACATAAATTTGCTTAGTTTAAACTTGTGAACAGGAAAAACAGAAAAGAGATATTTTTTCTAATAAATATGTTAGGCTCTACTTATTCAAAGAAAAAGGTTCATCCTAATCACAATGTTGTCAATTACATGAAGAAAAGCATCTTACAAATATAAATAATACTCATTCCAAAGTATTATGCAATTTTATGAAATATAAGTCCTGTTATCATTTGCACCTCTAATTCCAGGAAAATACAGGCAATACAGGGACATTGGTCAACAGACATTTGTAATTTCTTCAGTGTTTTTCAACTTCTGAGCCAGAGATATTCCCTAGAACTGA